>NC_000012.12:93710128-94335128 GCF_000001405.40 Homo sapiens
CACTAATACAGCAGATGTTTTCAGTTTCAGAACTTGGCTGGACTAGAATGCCCAAGAAAGCTTTACTCTCATGTTTCCTGTTGGCTGTGCACTAGAGTTCCTTAGTTTTCCTCCATAATATCTCATTTCCCCTGGTATCTAGACCAGCCACCTTACAGCATGGTGGCTGGGTTCCAAGTGTGAGAATAAGGAAGCTTTTACTTCATTTTCCTTTTCCTTTTTTTTTTTTTTTTTTGAGACGGAGTCTTGCTCTGTTGCCCAGGCTGGAGTGCAGTGGCACAATCTTGGCTCACTGCAACCTCTGCCTCCTGGGTTCAAGCGATTCTCCTTCCTCAGCCTCCCTAGTAGCTGAGATTACAGGTGCACACCACCACACTGGCTAAATTCTGTATTTTTAGTAGAGATGGGGTTTCACCATGTTGGCCAGGCTGGTCTCGAACTCTTGACCTCAGGTGATCCACCCACCTTGGCCTCCCAAAGGGCTGGGATTACAGGCGTGAACCACCATGCCTGGCCAGCTTCTATTTCTCTTGAAGCCTAGATCTAGAACTGGCACATCAGTTTCATCACATCCTATTGGTCAAAATGAGTCACAAGGCCAGCCCAAATTCAAAGGGAGGGGAAGTAAATGCCCCTTCTTGATGGGATAGTTGGGATGCGCAGACAGGGATAGGAAGAATGATTAGTGGTGAAGTTTGCTGACAGTCCTCCTCAGTATGCTTAGATATTTGTTAGCATTATCTTTTCAGTAAAAGATAGGTATTATTAGTGAAGTCCAAGGCCTTTGAGTATTATTTGAACCCTTTGGTTTTGAGCTATGAATTGTTTATAGAGTGAATTGCTTGAACATTTTGGGCTTTATTGAGCCACAGCTGAAGATGATCATTGATTGACTGCCCCCCTCCACCCCACCCTCCCACCCCCGCCTTTTTTTTTTTTTTTTTTTGCTTTACTTGCCATTCATATTGTGTTGTACATGTTCCTCTGGGTATATTAGAGGTTGAAATCAAAAGCCAAAGGAATCTGAAGGGGGTCCTCAGCTCTTCTCTGGGTCTTACTGTAACCTAGAGCAAGTGACTCCATCAGCAGGACAAGTAAACTCAGGAAAAGAAGCAAAAAGGAAACAAGCCAGTTGCTCTGGGCTGAGATAATGTTAAATGGCAGAGGGAAGCTTGAGTTACTCAACTGCTGCTTGGCTTCCATCTTCACTGTCCTTGTTTCTCTGATTCAATTCTTGCTTCCTACAGTTGATTTCCCACATAGGCAAGCAGAGGGATCTTTTAAAAATGTAAGTCAGATCATGTTATTCTCCAGCTTAAAAACCCGAGGGGGGATTTCATTGTACTTGTAATAAAATCCAGACTCCTCATCATAAATTAGCTCCCACTCTTGCCTCTTTACCTCTTCTCTTACTCTTCTCCCCTCCCTCTTTATCAGCCACATTTTATTTCTTTCTGTTCCTTGAGCCCTTGAGGTTCATTCTGCCAAATTCATCCCATTTTAGGGGTTTTGTACTTGCTGTTCCCTCTCTCTGGAACACTCTGACCCTAGATCTTTGTGTGGCTGGTTCTTCATTCAAGCCTCAGCCCAGAGGACCTCATAAAAACCTTTTGTACCCTCCTAGACTCTTTTTTTTTTTTTTCTGGAGACAGAGTCTCACTCTGTCCCCCAGGTTGGAGTGCAGTGGCACAATCTCAGCTCACTGCAACCTCCACCTCCCCAGTTCAAGTGATTCTTGTGCCTCAGCCTCCTGAGTAGTTGGGATTACAGGCGTGAGCCACCACTCCTGGCTAATTTTTGTATTTTTAGTAGAATTGGGGTTTCACCATGTTGGCCAAGCTGCTCTTGAACTCCTGACCTCAGGTGATCTGCCCACCTCGGTCTCCCAAAGTGCTGGGATTACAGGCATGAGCCACCACACCTGGTCTCCTAGACTCTTAACAGTGCACTAGACACTCGCCCTCTCACAGTTCCTATGTTCTGTTTTTTTCTAGCACTGACTGTTCTTTTTCTCTATTTTCTCATGTATAAAGGTGGGGTTAATGAAAGAGGTACATACTTCGTAGAGTTGTTAAGAGGATTAAACTAGTTACTATTTAGAAGAGTATCTGGAGCATGATATTGCTCTCAAATATAGCTTTATTGTTATATCATTCTTTACTACCTGAAATTGTCCTGCTTAGTTATATGCTAGTTTATTGTCTTTCACTTATTGCTAGTGTCAGCCTTTTGCAAGCAAGGACAGCATTTACATATCTTTTTTACAGCTCATCCGTATTCCTAGTGTGTTGTCATACACAGTAGGTCCTTGACAAGTACTCGTAAAGTCAATAAATGAAAGGCAGGAATATTTATTTTGAACAGGCCAGAAAAAACATTAGTAACATTAAATTAAAGCTTGCGAAAGTTGAATGGATTGTAAAAGATTGTTTAGTTGTTCAAAATGGGTTTTGGATTTTTGATCCAGAAGCATTCTGTTCCAGGACACTGAAAGAACCCAGGGATAATTCATTGTTAATTTTTATTTTTATGGAATTTTGAAGAGTGAGAAATTGTTGGAATTATGAAGACAGGTAAATGACATTCTGATTTTCGAGAGTGAGGAATGTGGGCTTAAAAACTGTAGACTAGGAGCTTTATGCTACTTGTGGGCAGAATTCTAGAATGGGTTATTAAAAGGATGATTTGTGAATGCTTAGGACAGTGTTGTTTAGTGGGAAAGTGGAGCACCCTTAGAGAAAAGAGGCCTGGAGAAATGAATTGATTTTTTTTTTCAGGTGACTACTGAGCTTGGTGGCAGAATTGAGAATAAAGACTCCCTGACTTCAGACCAGTGTTCTCTCTGTTCCAGTAGTGTTTTCAATCTGGGACCATAGAGCTGCTCAAATTCAAGCAAAATAGAATCTTTTTTGTGTGTGTCTTTATTTTGAAGATCGTTTTTTTTTAAAGCCATTTTCAAAAACAGTTTTTCAGTTGGGGTACATTGACCTCTGAAAGTTCTAGGACACAGTCTCAGGAGCCCATGAGATTTAGTTCTCCTTCCCACCACTTCAAAAGAGGTCTGTGCGGTACTCTAGGTTCAGAAACTTGGCACCATGATATTTTGCCAGTTTATCTTATTAACTGAATGCTGTCTGTAGTGACTCTGCAGAAAACAGTGTTATGTTCTTCTGTCAGACTTGTGCTGTTCAATATGGTTGCACGTAGCTATGTGTGGCCATTGAGCGTGAAAATGTGACTCCTGTAAGTTGATTATAGACTACCATGTAATATAGTCACCCCTCAGTGTCCGAGGGGTATTGGTTCCAGGACCCCCTGCACATACCAAAATCCACAGATGCTCAAGTTCCTCATATAAAAATGGCATCGTATTTTTATGTGATCTACATACAGCCTCCTGTATACTTTAAATCATCTCTGGATAATTTATAATACCTAATACAATATAAATGCTTTGTAAATAGTTGTTATATTGTTTGTTTGTTTTCTTAACGTTTTTTTTAATGGTTGTATTGTTATTGTTTATTTAAAAAATATTTTCAATTCAAGGTTGGCTGAATCTGCATATACAGAACCTGGGGATACAGAGGGCTGACTATATCATACACATTAGATTTCAAAGACTTAGTATGAAAAAATAATGTAAATATCTCATGATTTATTTTGAATATCTGTTGAAATGATATTTTTGATATATTGGGTTACATAAAATATATTAAAATTAATTTCATCTGGCTTTTCCTTTTTAAAACGTGGCTACTAGACAATTTAAAATTATATATGTGACTGGCATTCATTAGAACTTGACACCTCTCTCAGGAGGAAAGGTGGAAGGAACTGGTGGATATCACTGTGCAGATGAGGTGATATGACAGCTGCCTTCAGCTCTTTGGATGGCTCTCATTCGTAAAAGAGATTCTTTCTGTTCTGTGTTTCTCAAAAGGTCGAACGAAGACATAGAAAAAGCAAGTTAATGTAAGATAGACCCTTCTAAAATAGTTGTCCAAAGAAAATATAGGCTCCTTCTAGAGATAATGAATTCCTTGTCACTATACATAATTCAAGAAGAGGCTAAATAGCTGCTTAATGAGGTTGTTTAGAGGGAGATCAGGTGGTTAAAAGTAATGCCTTTCCAATCCTGAGAATTTGTGACTTGATGAAATTGGGCAAAGGGCTGATTTTACAGCTACATGAAATAAATGGATTCCGTGGGCAGGAGAAGAAAGCATTTTATTTCACTCCCTGTGCTTTTCCTTTAAACTTTCACATGAGTATTTTCCAGTTGAGGAGCTTTTGCATTCTTGGTTACAGAAAGATGTTTGATTGTCTAATCCCAGGGAATCTGGTGAACAGTGTATCAGTTAGGAATGTGCTTGGCAACAAGTAAACAAACAAACAAACCAAAGTGACAATGGCAAATAAGTAGAGATTTATTTTAATCCTGTAACAAGAACTCTGGAGGTCAGCTGCTTCTGGCATTGATTCATTGGCTCAAAGGCATCAGAGCGAGTGTCTCTGCTATTCTCTTGGCCTTCCTTTTCCTCGTAGTAGCAAGGCAGTCACAGCTACCAACAGCACATCCGTAAGGCTGGAAGAGGCACGGAAGTTGCTCAGCCCCTACTGCGTCTGTCACTTTTTCTTGGGAAAAGAAGTAGTCTTTCCAGAAATCCTCAACACAATTCCTCTTCTGATTCATTGGGCAGAATTGTCTCATGGCCACTCCTTGGTACAAGGGAGGCTGCAAAGTGAATGTTTGCTCTTCTAGACTCTACGATTGAGACAAGACAGGAGGAGAAGGAGGTTGGGAATGGCATTTGTGTCAGCCAAAAAGAACAGGGTCTGCCGCAGATAGTTTTAGGTGTGACTGAGGGCACCACTCCCAAGTCAAACATCAAGTGCTTGGGAGTTGAGACATCATCCAATGTCCTTTTTTTATTAAAAAAAAAATTCTTTCACTAAGTGGTTTTAGCTGCCATTGATGATTGTAGCCTTGGATGAGTTTTATTAAACAATTCTTTCTTTTTAGAGAAGAAAAAATTGAGGACCCGAGAAGTTAACGCCTTTGATTTCTATTGAAATTACTCATAGGGTAAGAGTGAGAGTTCTTGCTTTGCCCTTTCCACCTTCCTGACTTCATCAGCAAAGAAGAGAATCTTGGTTTTATTTTTCATTATCTGCAAATGATATGTCCATAACAGTAGTTATTTGTCACAAAAATACTTCACAAGAACATTGGTAAACACATACAAATGTTAGCAGTTCTGAACAGGCATTTATTGTAGAGGAACCTGTTTATGATGAGAAATATGAAAGAATTGAGACAGTGGGCCTCTACCATAGAGGAGGGAAGAAACTAGTTGGGTGAAATTTAGTGTTAGGATGTTTTGTCAAAAAACTATTTTTGGGAGGCTGAGGCAGGAGGATGGTTTGAGCCCAGGAGTTCCAGACCAGCCTGGACAACATGGCAAGATTCCATATCTACAAAAATAAATAAATAGAAATTTAAAAAAATTTTTTTCATCTTTAGCATTAATGGCAAATATTTAGAGCTATATTTAATGGAAGTATATGTGAATTGGTGGTATAAACAGATTTTTCCAAACTCTTTTTACTTGTAATTTCTGTGGCTGTAACAACTTTTACTAGCCTCTTAGGAGTTTCTTAAATCCTTTTTCCCCATTTTCTTTGGTCTATGATAAAGAAGTAATCTGAAGTAGAAAAAAATTATTTAGGCTGGGCACAGTGGCTCATGCCTGTAATCCCAGCACTTTGAGAGGCTGAGGCGGGGGGATCGCTTGAGGTCAGGAGTTCGAGATTAGCTTGGCCAACATGGTGAAATACAAAAATACAAAAATTAGCCAGGCGTAGTGGCAGATGCCTGTAATCCAAGCTACTCGGGAGGCTGAGGCATGAGAATCGCTTGAATCCAGGAGGCGGAGGTTGCAGTGAGCTGAGATTGTGCCACTGCACTCTAGCCTGTGTGACAGAGCAAGACTCCACCTCAAAAAAAAAAAAAAGGAAAAAAATTACTTAGATGAGCTAATTTTTGAAGATGGTCTTATAAAGTTTATTTTTTATTAATACACTTTATTTTTTAGAGCAGTTTTAGATTCCCAGCAATATTGGGTGGAAAGTATGAAGAATTGCTATATACTCCCTTCCCCTGCAGATGCACAGCTCCTCCCACTGTCTACAGTTCCCAGGAGAGGTGTGACATTTGTTATCATTGATGAACTTATATTGACACATCGTTATTACCCAAAGTCCATAGTTTACCTTAGGGTTCATTCTTGATATTGTACATCCTATGGGTTGGGACAAATATATAACGACATGTATCCACATTTATGGAATCATACAGAGTATTTTCACTGCCCTAAAAATTCTCTGTGCTCTTGATTGTTCATCCCTCCTTCCACACAACCCCTAGAAACCACTGATTGTTTTACTATCGCCATAGTTTTGCGTTTCTAGACTACTATATCGTTGGAATCATGTAGTGTGTGGCCTTTGCAGATTGGCTTCTTTTACTTGGCAATATGCATTGAAGTTCCCCCCATGTTTTTTCATGACTTAATAGCTCGTTTCCTTTTAGTGCTGAATAATATCCCATTGTCTGGATATCACCGTTTATTTATCCATTCACCTACTGAAGGATATCTTGAATGCTCCAAGTTTTGGCAATTATGAATAAAGCTGCTTATAAACATCTATGTGCAGGTTCCTGTGTGGACATGCATTTTCAGTTCATTTAGGTAAATATCAAGAAGCATGACTGCTGGATCATATTTTAAGAATATGTTTAGTTTTGTGAAGAATTACCAAACTGTCTTCCAAAGTGGCTATACCATTTTGTGTTCCTACCAGCAATAAATGAGAGTTCCTGTTGCATCACACTATACCAGCATTTGGTGTTGTCAGAGTTTTGGATTGTGACCGTCTAATGGGTGTATAGTGGTATCTCATTGTGTTTTAATTTGTGTTTCCTTAATGATATATGATGTTGAACATCTTTTCACATACTTACTTGCCATCTGTATATCTTCTTTGGTGAGATATCTGTACAGGTCTTTGGCCATTTTTTAAATCAAGTTGTTCATTTTCTTGTTGAATTTTAAGAGTTCTTTGTCTATTTTTGGTAACAGCCCTTTATCATATGTGTCCTCTGCAAATATTTTTTCTAGTCTAACTCATCTTCTCATTCTCTTGACAGTGCCTTTCACAGAGCACACTTTTTAATTTTAATGAAATCTAGCTTATCAATTATTTCTTTCATGGATTTCTGCCTTTGGTGTTATACCTAAAAAGTCATCACCATACCCATAATAACCTAGATTTTCTCCTATGTTATCTTCCAGGAATTTTAAAGTTTTGTGTTTTACATTTAGGTCTGTGATCTATTTTTAATTTTTTTAGAGTTTCGCTCTGTTGCCTAGGCTGGAGTGCAGTGGCATGATCTTGGCTTACTACAACCTCCGCCTCCTGGGGTTTAAGCAATTCTCCTGCCTCAGCCTCTCAAGTAGCTGGGACTACAGGCATGCACCACCACATCTGGGTAATTTTTGTATTTTTAGTAGAGATGGGATTTCACCATGTTGGCCAGGCAGGTCTCAAACTCCTGACCTCAAGTGATCCACCCACCTTGGGCTCCCCAAGTGTTAGGATTACAGGTATGAGCCGCCGCACCCTTCCTGTGATCTATTTTGAGTTAACTTTTATGAAGGGTCTAACATCTGTGCCTGGATTCTTTTTGTTTTTTTGCACGTGGATGTTCAGTTGTTCCAGCACCATTTGTTGAACGGACTGTCTTTGCCCCATTGTATTGCTTTTGCTCCATTGTCAAAGATCACTTAACTTTGTTTATGTGAGTTTAGTTTTGGGTTCTCTGTTCTATTCCATTCATCTATTTGTCTGTTCTTCTACCGATATCACACTCTCTTGATGACTGTAGCTGTACATTAAGCCGTAAAGTCAGGTAGTGGCAGTCCTTAAACTTTGTCCTTTAACATTGAGTTGGCTGTTCTGGGTCTTTTGCCTCTATATATAAACTTTAGAATCAGTTTGCCAGTATCCACAAAATAGTGTGCTGGGATTTTTGTTGGGATTGCATTGAATCTATGAAGTTGAGAATAGCTGACATTTTGACAGTGTTGAGTCCATGAACATGGGATATCTGTTTATTCAATTCTTCTTTGGTTTCTTTCACCAGTTTTGTGGTTTTCCTCATATAGATCTTGTACGTATTTTATTAGATTTATACCTAAGCATTTTGATCTTTGGGGGGGTGCTAATGTAAATGGTAATGTGTTTTTAATTTTTAATTTCACTTGGTCATTGCTGGTATATGGGGAGGTAATTGACTTTTGTATATTAAACTTTTATTCTGAATCTTCTTATAATTGCTTATTAGTTCCAGGAATTTCTTGTTTATTCTTTTGGAATTTTCTACATAGACAATCATGTCATCTGTGAAGAAGACAGTTTTGTGTCTTCCTTCTTAATCTACATACCTTTTGTTTCTTTTTCTTGTCTTATTGCACCAGTTATGACTTCCAATTTGATCTTGAAAAGCAGTGGTAATAACGGACATCCTTGCCTGGTTCCTGGTCTTAGTGGGAAAGTCTCAATTTTCTCTCTTTTTTTTTTTTTGAGACACGGTCTGGCTCTGTCACCCAGGCTGGAGTGCAGTGGTGTGAACATGGCTCACTGCAGCCTTGATCTCATGGGCTGAAGTAATCCTGCCACTTCAGTCTTCCAAGTAGCTTGAAATACAGATGTGCACCACCATGCCTGACTAATTTTTGTATTTTTTGTAGAGATGGGGTTTTGTCATGTTGCCCAGGCTGGTCTTGAACTCCTAGGCTCTAGCAATCTTCTTGCCTCAGCCTCCCAAAGTGCTGGGATTACAGGTGTGGGTCACTGTGCCTGGCTGACTTTCTCACTGTTAAGTATGATGTTAGCTGCAGGGTTTTTAAAAATATGTTTTTTATCAAGTTGAGGAGATTCCCTTCTATTCCTAGTTTGATGAAAGTTTTTATTATGAATAGGTGGTGAGTTTTGTCAAATGATATGATCATGTGATTTTTCTAATTAAGTCTGTTGATGTGATGGATTAGATTACATTTATTGATTTTGTATGTTGAACCAGCCTTGCATAATTGGGATAAATCCCACTTGGTCATGGTGTATAATTCTTTTTATACATTTTTAGATTTGATTTGCTAATACTTTTTTGAGGATTTTTGCGTTTATGTTCAAGAGAGACATTGGTCCATAGTTTTCTTTTCTTGTAATGTCTTTGGTGTTGGTATTAGGGTGATGCTGACTTCATAGAATGAGTTAGGAAGTATTTCCACTGCTTCTAGTTTCTGAAAGATATTGCAGAGAATTGTTACAATTTCTTCCTTAAATGTTTGATAGAATTTATCAGTGAACTCACCTGGGCTTGGTACTTTCTATTTTAAAGGTTATTAAATATTGATTCAAATGTTTAATAGATGCAGGCCAACTTAGATTGTTTATTTTTGTGTGTGAGTATTGGCAGATTGTGTTTTTCAATGAATTGTTCCTTTTCAGGTATGTTATCAAATTTGTGGGCATAAAGTTGTTTATAAAACTTCTTTATCCTTTTAATGTTCATGGGATCTGTAATGATGTTCTCTTTTTCATTTCTGATATTAGTAATTTGTATTCTGTCTCCTTTTTTCTTAGCCTGTCTAGATGCTTACTGATTTCATCTATCTTTTCAAAGAGCAAACATTGCTTTATTGATTTTTTCCATTGATTTCTTGTGTTCTCTTTCGTTAATTTCTGCTCTAATTTTTATACTTTTTTTTGCTTTTGCTTACTTTGGATTTAATTTGCTTTTCTTTTTCTAGTTTCTAAAGGGGAAAACTTGGGTTGTTGATCTTAGGTCTTTCTTCTTTCCTAATTTTTGCATCCAAATCCTATGCATTTCCCTTTGCTTTAGCTAGAAACTACAAATTTTGATAAGTTGTTTCCATTTTTATTTAGTTCAAAATATTTTTTTAAATTATCTTGAGAATTCTCTTACCCCTATGTTACTTAGAAGTGTATTGTTTTATCTCCAAGTACTTTGGAATTTTCCAGCTATGTTTTTGTTATTAATTTTTTATTTAAGTCCATTGTGATCTGACAGCAGATTTTATATGGTTTCTATATTTTTAAATTTATTAGAGTGTGTTTTATGGCCTAAAATGTGGTCTATCATGGTGAATAGTCCACATGAGCTTGAGAAAAATGTGTAATCTGCTGTTGTTTGATGGAATAGTCTATAGATGTCATTTACATACAATTGATTGATGTTGAGTTTATGTCCTTCCTGATTTTTTGCCTGCTAGATATGCCTATTTCTGAGGGATGCTAAGCCTCCAAATGTAATAGTGGATTCACCTCTTTTTTCTTACAGTTCTATCAGTTTTACCTCATGTATTTTAATGCTCTGTTGTTAGGCACATACACACTAATGATTGTTACGTATTCTTGGAATATTGACCCCTTTATCATTTTGTAACGCCTCTCTCTATCTCTGATAACCTTTCTTGCTCTGTAGTTTGCTATGTCTGAAATTACTGTAGCTACTCCCACTTGCTTTTGATTATTGTTAGTGTGGTATAGCTTTCTCCAACCATTTAAATCTACATATGTCTTTATATTTAAAGTGGACTTTTTGTAGACCACATATGATTGGGTTTTGTTTTTTGATCTACCTTGACAATTCCTGTTTTTCAATTAGTGTGTTTAGACCATTGGCATTTGAGGTGATTGTTAGTTGGGTATATAGTTGGATACCTACCATATTTGTTATTGTGTTTTATTTGTTGCCCTTGTTTTTTGTTTCTATTTTTATCTTCCACACTTTTTTGCCTTTTATGGTTTATTATTTAGTATTAAATCATTTTACATTATTCCATTTTCTCTTTTGTAACATATAAAGTATACTTGTTTTTAAAAATTATTTGTAGAAATGAAGTCTCAACTGTGTTGCCCAGGCAGGTCTCAAACTCATGGGCTCAAACAGTCTTCCCATCTTGGCCTCCCAAAGTGCTGGGATTAACAGATGTGAGCCACCATGCTCCTTTTTTTGTTTTTTTAAACTTTTTTAAAGTGGTTTCCCTAGAAGTTTGCTGTATATATTTACAACTCATCCAAGACCAATTTCAAATAACTCTGTACTAATACATGGGCAGTGTATTTCATTATAATAATGAAATATTCCTAATTTCTCCCTCCTGTCTTATGCTGTCATTCATTTCACTTATACGTTAGTGTATATAACTATATGTGTATGCACATACACAAACACACACACATATATATATACACACACAGCCCTCCATATATGTGGGCTTTGCCTCCATGGAGTCAACCAACTGTGGATCAGAATATTTGAAAAATAAGGGATAATTGCATCTGTACTGCACATGTACAGATGTTTTTCTCTTGTCATTATTTTCTAAACAATACAGTATAACAACTATTTGCATAGTATTAGGTATTATAAGTAATCTAGAGATGATTTAAAGTACATAAGATGATGTATGTAGATTAAAAGCAAATAATGCATCATTTTATATAAGGGACTTGAGCATTCATGGATTTTGGTATCCACTGGGGGTGGGGCCCTGAAGCCAATCTCCCATGGATAATAAGGGACTACTGTACACATAAGCATACATAACCAAATACATTGTTGCCATTATTATTTTGAACAAACTTTGATCTGTTAGATCAATTAAAAAAATAAACATTTTTGTTTTACCTCCACTTACTCCTTCTTGATGCTCTTGTTTTCTTTATGTAGATCTTATTTCTGACCTAACATTATTTTCCTTCTCTCAAAAGAACTTCTTTTAACATTTCTTGTAAGGCAGGTCTACTGCCAACAAACTCTGTCAATTTTTGTTAGTCTGAGAAAGTCGTTATTTCTCCATCAGTTTTGAAGGATAGTTTCACAAGGTACAAGAATTCTAAGTTGGTGGGTTTTTTCTTTTCCTCTCCACACTAAATAGTTCACTCCACTTTGTTCTTGATTATGTGATTTCTGAGAAGGCAGATATAATTTTTATCTTTGTTTCTCTATAGCCAATTTACTTTTTTTCTCTGATTTCTTTCAGGAATTTTTCTTTATCTTTTACTTTTTGTAGTTTGAAACGATAGCCTAGGTATAGTTTTTGTTGGCATTTATGCTGCTTGGTATTCTCTAAGCTTCCTGGATCTGTGGTTTGGTGTCTGGCATTAATTTGGGGGCAATTCTCAGCCTATATTGTTTCGTATATTTTTTCTGTTTCTTTCTTTTTCTCCATCTAGTATTTCCACTATACCTATGTTAAACCTTGTATACTTGTCCCACAGTTCTTGGATATTCTGTTTTTCAGTCTTTCTTCTCTTTGCTTATCAGTTTTGGAGGTTTCTATTGATACATTCTTAAGCTCAGATATTCTCTCCTTAGCTATGTCCAGTCTACTAATAAGCCTACCAAAGACGTTCTTCATTTCTGTTACAGTGTTTTTGATCCTTAACATTTTTTTTTCTTAAGATTTCTATTTCTTTGGTTACATTGCCTATGTGTCCTTGCATGCTGACTATCTATTAGAGCCCTTAACAAATTAACCATAGTTGTTTTAAATTCCCTATCTGATAATTCCAACATCCTTGTCATGTCTGTTTCTGATGCTTGGTCTGTCTCTTCAAACTGTGTTGTTTTGCCTTTTAGTATGCCTTGTAATTTTTTCTTGATAGCTGGGCATGAATATGGGGTAAAGGGATCACTCTTAAGTAGGCCTTTAGTAATGTAGTGATAGAAGTGTGGGAGGAGAGGAAGTGAAACCATCTTTGCAAAAATTATGACCATGAGAAAAATTTTGGCATAGGAAAGTTATGGCAGTGAAAGAAATCTAACCTAACTGACTCCATGTTGCTTCTCACCTCCAAGCTGTTCCTATTCATTCCTGGGCATAGGCCAAACAAAATATAGGAGGAATTTACTTTATAGTTTAATTTTGAAGCAAAGATGATAACAGCCCCTTCCTGAGACAAACCCCCTCTTTGCTTAGGGATTAGACCATCTTTGTAAAACTGAAACGTTAGCCACAAGATTAGAAATTCTGGCTCAGGAGTCATGTAGCCAGAGGCCACAAGATTCCTAAACTTCCCAATTGCTCCTATAGATAACATCACTATTGTAAAACCTAAGATTGGTGTTTGAGGTATTTTTCTGACCCTGCATTCTGATGAACCAACCAGCTGGTGCCACCCAGACTGGTAAACTGGCTCATCTGGTCTTTTGGCCCGCACCCAGGAACTGACTCAGTACAAGAAGACAAACTTCGACTCCCTATGATTTCAACCCAACCAATCAGCATTCCCTATTCCCGACCCTGCTGCCTCCAAATTATCCTTGAAGAACCATAGCCTCTGGATTTTTGGAAAGGCATATTTGAGTAATAATAAGCTCCTGTCCTCTTGCTTAGCTGCCTCTGGGTTTATTAAACTCTTTCTCTATTGCAAAAACCTGCTGTTCAGTGCATCGGCTTTGCTGGGCAGTGGGAATGATGAAACTGCCTGGTGAATACAGAAGTGTTCTCTTGTCCTATGAGTAGGTCTCAGTCTTTGAGTAAGCCTGTGCCTCTGGACTGTGAACTTCACAGTGTTTCTCAGGTTTTATTTCCTCTTAGGTGGGACAGGGTCGCTAGACTCGGCTGGAATTATATGTTTCTGTTCATCACATGGAAGGCTTGAGTGGGCTAGAGCTGAGAATTTCTCTTCCCTCCAGGCCCGTTAGGCTGTGGGAAAATCCACTGTCAGATGAGGCTCTGGTTAGGTAGCTTCTCCTGAGGACAGGCCTTGTTAGGAAGACCCCAGTGCTCTGGCATATTTCAAAATGGTTCCTTTTCCTTCTCCTCCTGCTGGAAAGGGATTTTTCTTGGGGAAGTTTCTGCTCCAGGCCGGGTGCAGTGGCTCACACCTGTAATCCCAGCACTTACTTTGGGAGGCCGAGGTGGGTAGATTATTTGAGCCCAGGAATTCGAGGCCAGCCTGGATAACATAGAGAAACCCAGTCTCTCCTAAAAATACAAAAACTAGCTGGGTGTGTGGTGCATGCCTGTAGTCCCAGCTACTTGGGAGGCTGAGGCGAGAGGATCCCTTGAACCTAGGAGGTCAAGGCTGCAGAGAGCCCTGATCGTGCCACTGCACTCCAGCCTGGGTGACAGAGCCAGACCCTGTCTCAAAAAAAAAAAAAAAAAATTTCTGCTCCAGTATGTTGTGATTCTCTGTATCTGCCTGTCTGTTGCTTCAATTTCAGAGGCATCAGTTTACCTTGTGATCTCACTTTTCTTACAGAACTAAGAAGACTTGTTGATTTTTCAGTTTGTTCAGCCTTTTTACTTGTTAGGATGGAGTGGCGACTTTTCAGCTCCTTAAATACAGAGCTGGAAACCAGAAGCCTCTTGACTTTTCATTTTTTGCCTTTGAAAAAAGTCAGGTAGTTAATACTTCTCTTTCAGGGTGCTGTTTGAAAATTCTGTTATGCAAAAACATAATGTAGATAATTTGTATTCCCAATAAATGATAAGGCACATTGGATATAATTGTTACTGTTTTGTATTTTTTAGCATAGTTTTAGATGTTTTATTTTGCTACAAAGGAATTTTGAGCAGAAGATTGTGACATATATCTGTAAAGAACAGACTTATTATTATTATTATTATCATTATTATTATTATTTTGAGATGGAGTCTCGCTCTGTTGCCCAGGCTGGAGTGCAGTGGCGCGATCTCGGCTCACTGCAAGCTCCGCCTCCCGGGTTCACGCCATTCTCCTGCCTCAGCCTCGCAAGTAGCTGGGACTTCAGGCACCCGCCACCACGCTTGGCTAATTTTTTGTATTTTTAGTAGAGGCGGGGTTTCATCGTGTTAGCCAGGATGGTCTCGATCTCCTGACCTCGTGATTCGCCTGCCTTGGCCTCCCAAAGTGCTGGGATTACAGGCGTGAGCCACCACGCCCGGCCCAGACTTATTATTTTTTATGTTCATCCCCCTGTTAATTATCTTTCACTCACAATATTCCCTTTGCTTTTCCTTTTTACCAGTGGTCCAGTATGGGTATCAGTGGAACAATATATGTCTTAAGAATAAAGCAATTTTAAACCACCATGACTAGTAGCAGTGTTTAGCTGAGTTCTGTTGCCCAGTTGTCACCAACTACTGCATATACTCCCTAGATATACAGTTGCATGTTCTCACACTGTCCTGTTTTGAAGAAAAAAATGTTTTTAAAAAGTAGAAATTGAACCAAATGCCATTACTGTCTTTATTGACTTGAAAGGCCCTCATTCCACCCAATCCTGCCCTACTCCTCTTACCCCAATTCCTTTGTGAACTACTTTGGGAAATGCTGCTGGTGGTGGTGTGTGATGATATTTGTAAGAGCATGAAAATAAAAAGCTGGGAATATATAAGAGATTCAGATTTTGCTGAAGCAGAGAATTTGACTTGTGGAGTATTGTAATGCAAAATTTGGTGCACTGTTAATGGAAAGCATTTGCTATATTAAACAGTAAGGGTCTATTGTAGGTTGAGAAGCTGGGGAGATTTATTTTACCATTTAGCATGTAGAGAATTTGAATAGGAAAGTAGGTGTGTATAGAGTGCCTGTTTGTCCCATTCATTGTTGGGGTTTATATATACCTTTCTCTCTTAATCCTCAAAACTCCCTGCCTGTAATGTAGGTATTTTCCCCATTTTGCAGATAAGGAAGCTCAGACACATGAACTTTTCCAAGGTCTCAAAGCTAGTACATCGTGGGGCTGTATTCAAACCCAGGGCTGACTTCAAGACCTATTATTCTTCTACTGAATTAACCTGAATGCTTGCAAAGTCTGTGGCTCTAATTGTTTCTGTGGCTAATTAATGTTCATGAACTGGTGAAGAGTAAATAGTTTAGTTTTTTTTTTTTTTTTTTTTTTTTCTTGAGATGGAGTTTCACTTTTGTCACCCTGGCTGAGTGCAATGGTGCAATCTCGACTTTCTGCAACCTTCGCCTCCCAGGTTCAAGCGATTCTCCTGTCTCAGCCTGCCAAGTAGCTGGGATTACAGGCACCCACCACCATGCCCAGCTAATTTTTGTATTTTGATTAGAGATGGAGTTTCACCATATGGGCCAGGCTGGCCTCGAACTCCTGACCTCAGGTGATCCACCTGCCTTGGCCTCCCAAAGTGCTGGGATTATAGGCATAAGCCCCAGCACCTGGCCAATAGTTTAGTTTTTTAATGACTCCCTCAACTTTGTTAGGTCTGTTTATTTGAGAGCATGTATTTATTTGGGGCCATAAATGTATTTTTACATTTACCTATTTTATTTATCTCAGGTCTTGCTTTTTACATTAGAGAAGGAAGCTTTACTAGTACTCTACTTGGAGGGGTACATCTCTTTATCAGGAAAGGATCTTATTCAGATATATACATACATACATTGTATTTATTTATAAATACAATAATAACACTGAAGTATAAAGAACCACAATTTATTACTTTTTTCCTCATTTTTTTTTTCTGCTGTGGAGCTTACCAGCTAGAATTCTGGTTTTGGTAGCAGGAAAGAACAAGTGGCAACTTTGTGAATTGTGGCATTTGAGATTAGACGGATATACAAGATGGTGTACTACAGCACTCTAACAGAAGGGAATAGCACTGTTGTCAAAGACATTGGAAGGTCTCTTGTAACTGAAAGAGCCCTCTTTGGCATTTGGCCGTCTCAGTTTCACGATAACAAGACGAAGCAGGAACCTTGAAATTGCTCCTCTTTGTATTCCATTCCTGGATAATTACCATCTATACTCAGATTTCGAAAGGTCCTTTTATTTTATGATTGCATCTTTCAGCAACAACTATTATTATCCTATTATGCAATTTGCCTTATTTATGATGCTCAGGTGGGAAAACGTTCAGACTCCACAATTGAAAAGATCGCCCTGATTGAGCATTTTGTGGTGCTTTTGCTTGTTTTGCTGTTGAACAAACAAGAGTTCAAGACAGGTGAATTTTTTCCAGATGTGCATTTGAATAATTGGACAGATCCCTGTGGTCTCTTCAGTAATAACACAAGTGACTGCTTATTGTCGCCTTCTTCCTCCATGCCTGGCTTCCTGTGGTCACTCTGCAAAGGGCTCTGTAGTTGCAAGATGACTCCACAGTTAATATTGAGCTCATGAGGAGTAAATAGTTCATCCAAGCTGGGAATCTCTGAGCTTCATTAGGTCTGCTTATTTGGGTACCAGAACCTGTCACTATCCAGGAGACACACAGCAGATCAGCTTTCACTTGCTTTGTTACCATTTTAGGCATGAAATAGAACGATTTTCTCCCAGAACATGATGTCCCTGTGAAGTAATAAGTGATAGCACTTTATGGGCTTTAAGGAATCTAGAGCCAGGCCAGTTAGCAACTGAAGCTGTAGTAACTCAGCTGGACACTGATGTCCTTTTCCTGAAGTTATATGAGCAGAGGCATGTAAGGGAAATGTGGCTCGGTGACCCACAGTGCTCAGTGCCCAGTTCAGTGACAGGCAGCCAGGAGAGCTGAGCCATGGAGAGGCCAGCAAGCCAAAGGGATTTGCTGCCATGCTGTGACATGGAAGGCAGGGTGCACTCAGCACTGTATTGATGACGTTCTTAAGTCTGAAGGACTTAATGCAGTTTCTGGATGTGCCTCCTCATCACCACACCTGTTCAAGGGGGAAACTGGGACCCACCCCAAGAGTCAGCTCTATAGAAGTTTTTCCTGACAATACTCTCTACTCCTGGAGGTAGACTGTGTTTTTCTCCTGTACTCTCCTCTAACACAGAACTTGCGTGTTACTATATGCAACTTGTTTATCTGCCCCCTGGACTGTGAACCCTTGAGGACAGGGATATTGTCTTATCACTCTTTGAATTCTCAGTGCTGGGTACATATTACGTGTTCAATACATGTTTGTTAAATAAATGAAACAGTCACGTTTGGCTCCTTTCTTCCACAAGGCATTCTACCCTTCCACGGAAACAATTATAGCAGCATGGAAACAATTACAGCAGCTATCTATAATTGATAATCAGAACTAATGAAATATGGTAGCACAGGCATGAATAGAGTTGAAATTATCAGAGTGATTATAAAATACATAGGAATAAACTTAACAGAAATTGGGCAAGACCTTTATGAAGAACTCTTCCAAACTTAACTAAGGCACATAAAAGAACACTTGAATAAATAGAGAAACATGTTCATTGGTGAAACGAGTCAATGTAGTAAATACGTCAATATCACTTTTTGTCCATATTAACCTAAAATTTAATACAGTTCCAGCATAAGCTGTAATGTTATTTTTATTCTATGAAATTTGATAAAATACGGTAAAGTTCAGAAAAACATTGCCTGAGACTAGTGAAGAATGAAAAAGAGGGGAAAATTTTATCTCATCAAGTATTAAAACATAAAATATAGTAAATATAAACAAAATGGTAGACAAACTAAGAAATTGGAAGCCAGTATAATCTGGATACCAAAACTTGACAAAGGCACTACAAGAAAAAGTTATAGCCTTAAGCATAGATGCAAAAATCATCAACAATATATTAACAAATGGAATCCAGCAAAACAGAAAAAGGATAATATATCATTACCAAATGGGATTTATCCTGGAAATACAAGGGTTTAGCATTTGAAAATCAATGTAATTTATTGCATTTATTGAAATAAAAGAGAAAATAAGAGCATAGCTACAACAGGAAGTCTAGAAGCAGGCTTGAGTATACATGGAAACCTAGTACAGGTTCACAGTCCTTTATCTGAAATGTTTGGGGCCAGTTATATTTCAAAATTTAGGGTTTTTAGCAGTATCTCATAATCAAATTCATGTAAATTTCCACAGCAGAACAGATTAATACGGACACTAAATGGGATGATAAAGACCAGAAATAGCCTCACATTAGCTCAGGTCAAGTTTTGCCACCAAATGAATTTAAGCACCAAACCGCAAAAAACAAAAGACTCTGTTTTCAGAGCTTTATGATTTCAGAATTTCAGGTTAGGAATTATCAACTCTTTAATGCCAGGGTGGCACATCAAGTCAGTGATGAGATTTGTAAAAGGCATTGGGATTACATACTAGTCATTTAGAGGAAGAAAAGGATAAAGTTAAATTCCTACTTAATAGCAATATTGTTTATGTTTAAAGATTTTATGTTAAAAAACTAAAGAATCTATAAAAGCACAAAATATATACTTAATCTTTATTTATAATCTTGTGGTAGCAGAGATCTTTGTAAGCATGATACCAATAGCAGAAACTAAATAAATTTTAAAAAGAGATCTTACAGCCAGCCACGGTGGCTCATGCCTGTAATTGCAGCACTTTGGGAGGCCAAGGCGGGCAGATCACCTGAGGTTGGAGTTTGAGACCAGCCTGACCAACATGGAGAAACCCCATCTCTACTAAAAATACAGAATTACCCTGGCGTGGTGGTGCATGTCTGAAATCCCAGCTACTCGGGAGGCTGAGGCAGGAGAATTGCTTGAACCTGGGAGGCAGAGATTGCAGTGAGCCGAGATTGCGCCAGTGCACTTCAGCCTGGGCAACAAGAGAGAGACTCCGTCTCAAAAAAAAAAAAAAAAAATCTTAGATTACTAAGCAAAAATTACAAAGAACACCATAATATTAAAAACTAATGTCAATGTGGAGAAAATGTTGGCTATATATATAGTGGCCAAAGGGTTATTGCCCATAGTTTATAAAGAGCTCTTACAGGTTAATAAATAAGAGATGCATTCTCCACGACAAAATCAGACCAAAGATATGAAAAGGTAATTTGCAAGAGAAGAAATACAAATGGCCGCTGAATTCTTTACTACTACTATATCACTATCACTACTACTAGCAGGTACCATTTACTGTTTATTGTCTGCCAAGCACTGGGCTAGTATCATATCTTGCTTAAGAAAATACTATGAGACAGGTGCAATTATTTACATTGTGCAATGAGGACAGTCCAATTTAGGGAGCTAAAGCAGCTTGTCCTAGATCACACATTTAGCAAAACTGTTGCAGCCCAGGGCTGTCTGCCTCTGAAATTCTTGCTCTTCAGTATAACACGGACCTACTGCTCCTATATATCAGTATTTGTATAAAAAGAAAATTCAGTGAAAGCAACCAGAAGTTACCATTTGTTTTGCCTATTAGATTGGCAACAATTGAAAAGGAATATTCATAGCCAGGGAAGATCAGAGTGTGAAGCCTGCACTCTCATATATTGCTGCTGGTAGTGTCAACTGGCATGATTTTTCTGGAAGGCACTTTGGCAATATGTATTGAAAGCTACATTCTTTGATACAGTCTTTCTACTTCTAAGAATTTGTCTGAAAGGACTAATTTGATAAGTGCTTATATGTAAACAGTGTTCATTTCAGTATTGTTTATAAAAGCAAAATGTTGAAAGAAACTTGTCCATCAGTGAAAGATGGGTTAAATGAGTTATGAGAGAATTGAAGATGTAGAGCTATATTTATTATTTAAACATTGACCTTCATTTACTTTTTTTTTTTTTTTTTTAATGGAGCTTTGCCCTGTCACTCTGGCTGGAGTGCAGTGGCACAATCTCGGCTCACTGCAACCTCCACCTCCCGGGTTCAAGCTATTCTCCCACCTCAGCCTCCCAAGTAGCTGGAATTACAGGCACATGCCACCACATCTGGCTAATTTTTATATTTTTAGTAGAGACGGGGTTTCACCATGTTGGCCAGGCTGGTCTCCAACTCCTGACCTCTCAACTGATCTGCCTGCCTTGGCCTCCCAAAGTGCTGGGATTATAGGTGTGAGCCACTGCACCCGGCTGACCCTCATTTGCTATTGGATGGAAAAATAAAATAAAACAAAGCATGTTGCAAAACAGTTTTGTGGTGCAACTTTATATTTGAAAAACTCCAAGTCATATACACATATGCCAAGAAAAAAGTCTGGGGAGGCTGTGAAACACAGTATTGACAGTGGTATAATTATTAGTGTTTTATTTTTTTCTTCATATTTTTCTGCAGTATTTATTGGTTTATTTTTGCTCTATACATAGACTCCAGTTGAAAAAAGTATTTAAAAATATATACTATAATTTTCTCAGACTGATAGAACATCTCAACTTGAAGATTAAGCACAGAATTTGGGGATGTTCATCCAGATCTGTATATTTACTTTGCTTTTGTTAGGGAGTATGTAGGTACTTCCTGTACTTATATTTTACTTTTTGAAAGTTGGCACAGGCATGTGCTCACACATACATTATTTCCCACATGTTAGTCCAAGAATTGCCAGGCTTCTATTTCAATGACTGTGTTTAAAGTAATAGTTTGCCAGCGACTTGGTTTACATATCCAATCAGTGTGAAAGTTATGTATCCTTCTCCATAGATACAAGGAAGTCCTCTTTGCCCAATCAGTAGATCAAGAAGGCGAACACCTTCTTAATTACAAATGAGGTTTTAAAAAGTTGGCTTAACAAATATAGCTATGTTTGCTTAACAAATATAGCCATATAGCTTAACGAGTATAGCTAAGGAGACCTACCTGAGGATTCTTCTGGTTTAGAAAAGAATTATTTCTGATAGGGAGACAATCATGTTGGGTGTATTTTAAAATGCTTGATATAATCTTCAAAATTTATTATGAAACAGTGAAATCTGGCCGAGTGTGGTGGCTCACGCCTGTAATCCCAGCACTTTGGGAGGCTGAGGCAGGCAGATCACCTGAGGTCGGGAGTTCGAGACCAGATTGACCAACATGGAGAAACTCCATCTCTACTAAAAATATAAAATTAGCCAGGCATGGTGATGGGTGCCTGTAATCCCAGCTACTTGGGAGGCTGAGGCAGGAGAATCGCTTGAACGCAGGAGGTGGAGGTTGCGGTGAGCCGAGATGGCACCATTGCACTCCAGCCTGGGCGACAAGAGTGAAATTCCGTCTCAAGAAAAAAAAAAAAAAGAAAGAAAGAAACAGTGAAATCTAGTATTTTATATGACATGAGCAATTTGCACAGTGACTTTGAACATTATCCTGACCATCAAAGAACATTATTTAATAAGAATTGTGGACTAAGTAACTTTAGTGTGCATTTTCAGTGTCTCTAAAGATTTGGGCGCAGAGTTATGAGCTCCATTTGGTTGAACTGGTAGTTTTAGAAACAGATTTTTAAATTACTTACCAAATGTAAAAGGAAAACACTTGTATTGAAAACACTGGTTGCAGATCGTTCTAAAGGCCATTTGGGACAACAGAACAAGGCAACATCTCAGAGAAAATGGTTAGTAATGGGCTCTTAGAGATGGTGTCTTAATGCAGTAGTTATTTTGAATTATCTTTAAAATGGTTTTTTGACCCTGTTCTTCTGTTTTGACATTCTCCTTTGAAGGCATACAAGTTATACTGATGATATTTGAATAGTGGAACTCTTGTGTAGCAGTTAAGAGGGTGCATTTTAGAGTCAGACAGACCTGGGTTAAAATCCAGGCTCTACCACTTAGTCGTTTTTTGAGCTTTGGCAAGTCACTCTAGTCTCTCTAAGCTTTAGTTTCTTCATTTCAAAAGTACAGACCTGACAGAGTTGTTGAGAGGATTAAATGACATAATTTTTGTAAAGAGCATAACTGCCTGGCAGATTAAATGTTCAGTAAGTGGTTGCTCTTTTTTCATAAGTAGTCCAATTTCTTTTAGAAGATTTTCATAATAATATGTAGTGTAATGGAAAGAATGCACACTGTCTTGTCTAATAGACCCAGATTTGAACACTGGTTCTGCCCTTAACAACCTCCTAACCTTGGGCAAATCATTCTGCTCTGTGCCTCAATTTTCTTCCCCAAGAAATGGAGTCATAATGCTGACCTTTTTAGGGGTTGTAAGGATTTGAAGTGATATAGGCTAAGTGTCAAACTCTATGCCTGGAGGAAAGTCAGTATTCAATGAATGGTTACTATCATTATTGTTATAAAGCTAATAAATATCAAAGAACATGTTAAGGCTTTTAATATTTTTCCTCTTCTCTTTTTTATCTTTAGTTGTAATTCTTTAAGAAATTGGGTACACATAGCTAAGACTGTGCAGTATAAGAAAAGTGTTAATAAGTTATATAAAAATGTATTCTAATACTACATTTGGTAAACAAAGAATAAGAATCTGTAGGTAGGGATTATATGAGTGGAGAAGGATGTGTACTTAGGGCTTGGCTTTGGGGTGCGTGTCAGAGACTAGTGTATGAGGAAGAAGAAGCAGGAAAAGGCAGTGTTTCATTTCTCACAATCGCCCCTCTCACCAGCCACACTGAAGAGGTGATGTCATGGGCCTCTGATGCTGTGCTTGCCCCCATCACCCAGCCGTCTGGAATAGCTGCTGGAGGTGCCCAGTGTGCCAGCACTGAAGGAAGGCCTGGCTGCTTGGCAAGCATTGGTGATGCTGTGACATTGAGTTCCTGGGGAGGCTGCCTGCTCAGGTGGACTGCCACATGCTGTATGTCTTGCTTCATATTTGCACAATATGGTGCTTGATGTGATTCATTCATCCATTCATCCATCCTTTGTTTTTTTTTTTTTTTGAGGCAGCATCTCACTCTGTCACCCAGGCTAGACTGCAGTGGTGATCAAGGCCCACTGCAGCCTCAATCTCCTAGGCTCAATCGATCCTACACCACAGCCTTCTGAGAAGCTGTTACTACAGGCATGCGCTACCACACCCTGCTAAATTTTTATATTTTTTGAGGAGACAGGGTTTTGCCATGTTGCCCAGGCTGGTCTCAAACTCCTGGGCTCAGGCCATCTGTCTACCTCAGCCTCCCAAGGTGCTCGGATTACAGGCGTGAGCCACCTGCCTGGCCTGTCCATCCTTTTTTCCCTTCCTCCCTCCTTCCCTTCCTTTCTTTTTTTCCCTTCTTGTCTTCCTCCCTCACTTTCTTTTATCCAGCCATCCGTCTGTTCATCAGTCCATCCATCTGTCCATCCATCCCATCCATCCGTCCATCCATCCATCCATCCGTCCATCCATCTTCTAGGTCCTAGGTATAGTAGTAAAATAGTCAAAGTCCCTTCCCTCAAGGAGCTTACATTTTAGAGATTCAAAGCATTTTCAAATGTATTATTTCATTTGCTTTTTAAAACAAGTATGTGAATTTTGAATTTTTTAGTATTTTCATTTGCTAGATGAGGAAACAAAAATATTTTGAGATTAAATGACTTACTTGGGATAATAATGCTATGAATAAAACCCATTATTTTTTATTTAGAACTCTTTTATCTATACCACTTTTGTATTCTAAACAAGTTTTTCATTAATGAAACATGTTTTCACACTGTGTTTTTCTCAATACTTCAATCATAGGTAGCCAAGGGAATTTTAAAGAACATTAAGTGCACTCAACTGAGCTGCTTTAACCTTTCAATATGTTCCCGCTGCTCTTAGAATGAGATTTGAAATCCAGAACACCACTGCATCATCAGGCCAGTGCTTCCTTCCCAGCTCTGTCTCCGGACCCCGTCCCTCGTATTGCCTGTCTTCTGCAAATGCTAGCCTTCTTTCCTGACCTCAGAGGTATTGTGTTCTTTCCAGCTTCAGCCCTTTGTATGCACTGTTCCCTCAGCTTGGAATCCTCTTCTCTGTTTCCCTCCTTGTCCGTCTTCCCCCTATCTTCACCAAGCTAATCCCACTCAACTCACAGATCTCAGCTTTCATGCCACTTCCTAGGGGAGGCCTTCCTCATCCCCCTGCCAAGGTTAGGTCCCTGTACCATATGTGCTTTCTCATAGCACCCTGTGATTTTCCTTAATGACTCACCTATCACAATCCAGGATTTTGTTGACTGTCTGCCTCCCCTTCCTGTAAAGGTTAGAGGGTAAGCTCCATGGGGGCAGAACACTAGTTATGTCATTTTCACCGCTGTTTCCCTGGCTAGCACTGGGCCTCCTGTAGGCCCTCCAAAATATGCAAATAAATGAATGAACAAACACCCTGGCAGCATGGAAACCCAGAGCGGCACAAGCGAGTTCAAATGCTTATGGTTTGTTCCATCTCACTTCCCTCTAGGATGTGATTTTAGCAGTGTAGGCAGCTTACGAAATGGGGCAGGTTTCTTGTGTTTTACTAATGTGTAAATAAAGATAGAGTAACTCTTAAGATATGGAAAGTTTGTAAAGTGGCAGCAAAAAGTGACAAGGTGTGGGGATCCAAATACAGAGCCTAGGGAAAATAGAATAAACCAAGTTGTTTTTATGTCTCTTTTCCATTAGACTGTGAGCAAGCTGAAGTCGAGTCCCAGAACTTATTTATGTTTATATCCTCAAAGAGACTATAGTGCCTGGTTCATCGTAGCTGTGGAATAAATGTTGAATGAATGAATGATACACCTCTTACCTTTGAAGCTGACTTCTTGTGTTCTTCATGCTGACATTAGAAATAGGAAAAGTCAGTCGAGTACAGTAGTTCAAGCCTGTAATCCCAGCACTTTGGGAGACCAAGGCGAGAAGATCGCTTGAAGCCAAGAGTTTGAGCCCAGCCTGGGTGACAAAGTGAGACCCCATCTCTACAAAAAGAAAGAAAAGAAAGAAATTGGAACCGTATTATTTGTAGAAAAAATACTAGATCTAGAACCAGAGACACCTAGGTTAAAACTGATTTAAAATGAGAATAATTATTCCTACCAAGTGGAGTTGTTGGGAGGGTGGTATACATATAGATGGTGTATATAAAGTGCATAGCAAGCTGGTTGTGGTGGCTCAGGCCTGTATTTCCATCTAGTAGGAGGCCGAGGTGGGATGATCCCTTGAACCCTGGAGGCGGAGGTTGCAGTGAGCTGAGATCACGCCACTGCACTCCAGCCTGGGCAATAGAGGGAGACTCTGTCTCAAAAAGAAGTGCATAGCAAGCACCAGGCACATCTAACAGCTCCTCAGAACATTTAAGCTCCCCTTTTTTTGCTTCTTTCCCTTTGGTATAATTTTAGAAAGACTTTTGGGGAGCATGACATATAAATCATTAAAAAAGAGAGAGCCTCAAAGCAGAATCATGGCAATTGAGCTAGATTTGTATTTATCAAAGCAAGCATGATGCTGGGATGCTTAAATAACAGTACAGTACATTGCAAAGGAACTAGGGAATAATGTTCCTATTATTTTTGTCCATGGTCAGCCTATTACTAGAAAAGAGTGACCACATTGATTTCTAAAGTCCTTATATTCAAAACTTTCTGTGCTGACCACCATCATTTATGTTTTTCCCATCTCTACTTAAAAACGTCAACTAGCCCCAACTTTTCCTCTAGTTATTTCTTTTATTAGATTTATTCTGTTCTCCACAATAAAATCTATCTTCTGTTCCCATCCATGACAATTCAAGTAGTTATAATGGGTGGATATAGGGTATGATAAATGTTGGTAAATCCACTGAGTTCCTTGAGTTCCACATTGATGTCTTTTAGGATGTGACTAGGGGTAGGCTAAATATTTTCTAGTTTCTCAGATCCTACCCCTGGTCTAATTATGATATAGAGGCCAGATTAGTGTCACCAGTTTTTCTTTCTCTTCTGAATGTAGAGCAAGAGCAAATGATTGCAGATAACAGCATGAGAAACTTAGGATCAACCACCAGCATCTAAGTGAGTCTTGTACTAGGCTCATTCCAGTTAAAAGCTGTAAATCATTTCATAGCCACATCAGTTTAGTTCTCTTTTATAGAACTCATTATGTGATACAAAATATGCAAGGCACTGGAGATACAAATACAATTATTTCCTCAAGGAACTTTGAGTTGAGCAAACATGGTACTGTCTGGTGAGACCAGACATATGAGCAAACATAGTACTTCTCTGGTGAGACCACATAGAGAAATGTACAAGGGGTAGAGGAGGCAGTGATGACTACTGGTCTGGGATAGTTGAGGGAAGGTGGCATAGGCTGCCTATTGAAGAATAAATTAGAGTTTGCTATGTGAACAAGGTTGCAGAGGGAATAGTATATGGAAAAACAGGGAGATGTGGACCCATATATTTTGTGCAGAGATGTCCAAGTACTTAGATATTACTATATTGCAAGTATGAAGAAAGCTTTTTTTGAGATCTGACAATGCCAAGGTAGGTTATGGACTCTCTTTGGAGTCCCCAAAATAAAAATAAAACATTCACATCTGCTAAAGATAGCTTGAATGGTATTTTTGCTAAAGGCAGAGTCATATACTGTATGTGCCAGATAAAAGTCAATGTCTATTATGTAAACATTGAGATTACATTAATTAATTTAAAAGAAAGGATTCAAACTTAGTACTAATCTGCATCTGGAGAACTAATCTGGTATGTGTTATTTTCAAGTCACCCAACTAAAGCAGTCTGTTGTATGGAACTCTGCTCCCTCTTAGTCAAACAAATGCAACCATAAAAAGCAGTGCAAATTCAGTGTCACCTTTTCTCCATGGGATTGGGTGGTTTCTTTTGGAGCAGAGAGAGTTTCCAGAGAATCAATATAGTAGCCAGAAGAAAAGTGGAGGGTGGCCTTACCTTGTCCACTCCGTGCTGCCTGAGGGTGAAATGGAACCTCGGATGTTGTACACCTTTAAATTGTCCATGTTGCCTGTTTCATAGCCTTCCCGGGCCAGGGAGCTGTGTAGTCAGTTTATAGTTCTAAGAACCAGAGCAGGACTGCTGTGCTTGTAATTGCATGCTTTTTATGGAACAGGCAATGTTGTTTAGGGAATTTGGGCAGCTGGAACCTGCCACATTAGCAATTTGGACTGAGGAAGAATTTCAGGGTGATAAAATAAAGCTCATTATATAAATTCACTTGGGTATTTAGGAGGCTGAGAAGGGAGAGGATGAGAGTATTCCAAAGGCAAGCAGGAGAGTTTCATAAACAGGTCCCTTTCTATTCGTTTTTACTGTAAGTGTTGAATTGAGCTAGGAGGATCACATGGCCCATTTTGCAAAGGGCAGTCATGTTCTGCTGTTTCTTAGCTGTTTTGTCAGTTGGAACAAAACAACAGCGCTGCTCATTTTTTGCAGGGTTAGAGGAAAAAGGAAGGACTGGCCGAAGAATGGGGTGGGGAGCTGGAGAAGAGAAGGGCCAAAAGTGTCAGACTGTGGGGATGAGGACCTGAAGGAGGCCCATGAGACCTCAGGCATGGGCCCTGGAACTCTGCCTTTTTGAAGCCTGTTGACAATCTCACCCTAATTTAACCCTTTGTGGAATTCTTCCATGAGATGCAGTTGCCATCATCAGGCTTCCTAGAGAATTGAGCCTGCCCACTCTGTTATGAAGTCTACCCAGAAGAGCTGGCAGAGTAGGCCCCTTCACTGGGACTGCAGCAACACTGACCAAAGCAAATCCTTCTCTTGGAAGAAACAAACTCATTCCTCACACCTGCCTCACCCCGCTCCCACCGCCACCCCCTGCACCACACGCCAGCCCTTAATAAAAACTAAAACTGATGTCATTGTAACCTTTGGTTATTCTTTTTTGTGCGTAAAGTGTCAACCTCCTGTTTTATTCTCATAAATAATGGAAATCTTAACTTCATTTCAGAAAATCACAAAAGATAACAGGGACCCTATTCAAACAGAATAAAAATAATTAGTAAGTCACAAACTCTGACTAGAAAGAAAAAGAGAAGAGAGAGAGGGAAGGAGAAAGAAAGAAGGAAAGAGAGGGAGAGAGAGAAACGAGGAAAGGAAGGAAGGAAGAAAGTGAAAGAAGAAAGTCCTCTTGTTGGTGTTAAAATGTGTCTTTAAGGGGAAACTTATCATTTAGGTTACTAATGGTTTCTTTCTTCATCATTTTAATTTCCATTAATAAAATGTGACTTTGAAAGGATGCAGGGAGTTTGGGAATAGAGAGTTTTATTTTTATTTGTTTATTTTTTTTCCCCTTCTCCCAGCAAAATACACAGGTATCTGACTATGTAGAGACACGAAGCCACCTATCCTGACCAAACTTGGCAGTGGTCAGGGGATAGGAGGAAGTGTAGTGCCATGGGATGGGCACCAGCCCTGATGAACTCGACTTTCTTTCCATTTCTCTCCTGCATCCAAATGTTGAGGAGACTTTGAGTAGTAGTGTAGCCTCTTTTCCTTTTAAAAATCTGCACCCTGCTTATTTCCAATACAGATATGAGGTTGGTACCCACTAATCTTAACAGGATATATATATATATATCTAAAGTATATAACATATTATTTAAAAACTAATGTATTATTTAGGTTTTATTAAATTATCCTGTTTTTAGGCTATGCTGATGGGCTAAATTTGCCTAAACTCCTGAGATTTAGATTCTCATTTATTGGCATTAGAGGAGTTCCTAAAAAAAAAAAGCTATTAAGATTAAATATCATAAAAATCTTTCTAGGAAAATATAATCAAAAGCATCAAGGCTGTCTCCTACAGTTAGTGGTTTCTATTATTTTGGTTCTCAGAGCTATGACAATGTCACTGGATTTCAAGAATTCAGAAAGACAAAAAGAAAACTCATAATTTTGAAATGGGGAAAGGGAAAGATCTTGGACATAGTCTTCTGTTTTTAAAATAGTCATTCTCATTTTAAAATAGGAAAAAAATTATTTTTCATTTAACAAAGCAAAAAACCCAGTCTGTACTTTTAAATTAATGCAAACATCAATATTTTATAGGGAGAACATTAATAATCATTGTGGAGCCCATTAATCACAATTCTGCTTTTGATTTATTGTAAATATGCCTCCCATTTTCCTCCTCATTACCAATCACCTTCTTTAATTATAAGAGGGCTTTCATTAAAACTTTTGAATCATTTATTTTGGAGCACCTAACTTTAGAAGACATTTATTGATTTTTATAGCATAAAATACAAATGTTTTTATTTTAGAAAACATCATAAACTAAAACTTTATTGGAGGAGTTTGGCTAAAGATTCAAAAATATATAGAAGTAAAAATATATTTAAAACTGCACAGTTTTTACAACAGCATGTATGGCATTTGGATTCAGAATTTTAACTAGCAGTAACCTCATCTGTTTAGTAATGAATTTTAAAATAGAAAAAAAATCTGCCAAAACAGACCAGTTGTTTATTAGCTATTTAACTTTGATGAGCTGAAATGAGATAGTGAAGCAGAATAATTAGAACAACTTTTTTTCTCAACATCTAAATATTTCTCTTTTTCATTAACATTTCAGTTAAGTTTGAAGAAATTCCAAAAATGAGATTCTCATTAACTAAAAGGAATTCTAAGGGTTATAAGCCATCTACATTTTTTCTATGACCTGAAGACTTTTTTTCGAAAACCAATTTTGGGGGAGGATTGTCAGATTTACCTAAGGTTTTGGTTTTTAATTTAAAAAAATTTAAAGAAACTATCTTAGTGATTTTTGTCATCATTTTTATTTGTTGCCATGATTAATATATGGAAATAAGATAAATTGGATTCTATTTCTGTGAAAGCCATATTCTTAACATCAATGCCTACCTAAAAAATATACGAGTCACACTTGATCATTCAGAATCATTTTGAAATTCTCTGGTAATCTTTTAAAAAGCCAGCGTTGACTAGTATTATGTGGCTAGTTATATTTATTACAGCAGTCTAGTTATTGTTTGTGTAACTATAGTTTTTTTCTAATAGAAATAAAATGTCTATTTGCAGGATAAAAAGAAGTATGTATATTTGATGATTTTGTTGTAGAAAATACTTAATACCTTTTAAAAGCTGTTTGACTTTCGGTTTTAAAACAGCTGTGTAGCTTGGTGAGTCCTGCAGATTCCGGCTTTCTCTGTGGCCTTTGAGCCAAGTAATTTTTTGCAACATTTTCCTTTGCTTTCTTATAAACACTCAAAAATTATACTTGCTTTTCCTGAAGGCCAGCTATTAAGTTAGAAAGCACCAAAGGTGTTATGAAATTGCCCTTTATTTTTTCGTACATCAGGGAGGAATGATAGATTTTGTGTATCTCTTGTGTGTCATTAGAACAGAAATATTTAGGGCTGCTAACTCCCGGAGTTGTGTACTTACCCTTATTACAGATGCAATGATTTTGTCTGACTGCATTGCTTTAAGATGAGTTTTATTGCTTTCATGCTTAGGCAAGGATATTTAATTTTATTTGTGTTTAGAGTATCTTGTTGTAATATACTTCTCCCCCATCTTGTGCTCCTAAATTTGGGATAAGCATAGAATCCTTTTAAGAATGTAGGTTATTTTCCAGTTTACTAGAAAGCATGACACATATAAATTAGCGACTAAGGATTATAGCGTCCTTTCCTAAAGGTTATCATGAAAAAAAGTTAAAATGTCAAAGAAGATCCTACTCCAGTAAAAACAATTTACTCTGTAAAATCCTGATACCTCATAGGAAGCTTTGGATCTTGTTCTCAGCTACCAAAATTCTTTAAATATGAAAGTTAACATGACAGGAAAGTGGAATACACTCTGTGCTGAAGACCCACTGTTCAAGGTGTGTGGTTATTAATCTGGGTTTGAATTTACAAATTATATGGTCTGATTAATTTGTAGATAGGGGTCGGTGGAGGTTAGACGATGGGCTTTAGAACAAAGAGGCTGATAAAATACTACTCACAAGCCTTTCTGCTTGTTTGTGACTCTCTGGAAATGCCATTAGATAGTTCTCATAGCTATGGTCAAAATAAGTAGGCTTAGAAATAAAAGACATTTTCTCCCCTGTAAAAGGAGGCGGCTGGCCTGTGCTCTTTCTAGGCTCTTCCCAGAGACAGCAACCTCGGCTTCTGAACCCTTAGTGCTCATTCTATGCTCCACCGCGTCTCCTCTACACGCCATGATCTTTGTTATCTGATTTGCTAGCCATTGTTATGGAAAGTTCTCGACTGTAATGCAAAAAGCTCAGCCTTGGGTCCTTGCTAATGTCAGCAACCCAAAGGCGCCCCTCAAACCACCTCGAAAAGAAAAATCCTTTAAAAGATGTCAAACTCTCCTTTCATGTTAGCCCAAAATGAAGTTCCCGAGCAGCATCTGGCAGAGCAGGGTAATTCAATCTATTTTAATGCAAAGATTTTCCAAGAAGGCAGGAAGCCGTCAAGGAGAAGGCTTTGAGGCATCTGCTGTTTTGTTTCCAGATCCCTTGTGTTAATTTAATGTTTCTAGGGAACCCGGCTCTTTCTTTTTTCTCGGAATCCCTGCTCTAGGAACTGGTGAGTGCGGGGGCGCTGTGGGAGCTGCAGATAAGCCAGCGCTTGGCCGGGCACCCGCGGGCCGCGCAGCGGGGCAGGGAGGCGCGCGGCCCCAGCCGCCCTAGGGCGCCGGCTGCCTCTGCGGGCCCCGGCTGCCCAGCCCAGCGCGGGGAGGCGGCGCCGACTGCCGGGGGGCGCCTGCAAGACCTGTTTATTTGCATTTGTCCAATTTGGCTCAAGTGAAAGGTAAATACGGAGCGATCAGCTTGTCCTCACTCCAGCAAAACCAGGGAAACTCAGCTCCATCTCCAGGAAACAAACCCAACCCAAACCTGAGTGAAACGTAAATCTTGCATAAACAAACACGTTCTTTTGCTTCTGGGAAGGAACACCGGAGAAATGGGCATTCCTTCCGACTGCCCGCCTCCCACTGTCGGTAAAAATGAGCCGTCACAGGTTGCCGGCAATTTCTTGTTGTGTCCCGAGCCATTCCGCGGATCTTGTTTTGAAGGGGCGAGTCAGGTGTTTGTGCGGCTCCAGATCCTGAACAGGTTATGCGCTGGGTCCTTCCTTATCAGGAGGGGGGTCAGGCTGCCCTCCCATTCTCATCTTCCGCCCCAGACCAGAGGCTACACCAAAGTTCACTTTTGAAAAGAAATCCTGCAGAATTAAAAATAAATGTCTGCCCTTTAAAATAGTTTCGTTTTAGTATTATGCATATTTCTGTTTAGGAACTTGTAATGCTAATAATTTATGTTGCTATGACAATTGTCCTGCATACCTAATATTAAATTTAATGAATTAATGTGGCGTATAGAGTAATAGTAACTTAACTAGTACTCCGATAATGCCAGTATTCCCTGTGTTACTAAGTTAATGGAATCAGAATTTTGGAGTTACAATATAGAGGTTTTTTAGGCCAATTTTTCTATGGGATTCTAGGGATCTTTTTATAACATTTCTGCTTTTCGAAGCAGTCTATACCATTGCTGGAGAGCCGTAATTACTAGGATGCTATTTCTTTTTGTTTGTTTGTTTGAGACAGGGTCTTGCTCTGTCATCCAGGCCGGAGTGCAGTGGGTCCAACTCAGTTCACTGCAACCACCACCTCCTAGGCTTAAGCGATCCTCCCACTTCAGCCTCCCCAGCACCTGGGACCACAGGCCCTCGTCACCGTCTGGTTAAGTTTTGTATTTTTTAGTAAAGATTTGGTTTCGCCATGTTGCCCAGGCTGGTCTCGAATAGAACATTATTCCTTATAGTAAGCTGAATTCCCTGTGTAATTATTCTTACTGTCCCTTCAATAATAAAAGCCTAAAATTATTCTTACTCATATATTTTAGTGAGGGTGGTGCATGCTTGAAGACCGTGATGAGTGTTCTCTTCTTATATTCAGGGCAACTATGATCACATATTGGGCTCCAGATCCTTGCTTTATGCATCTTCTTTTGAATTGTTTAGAAACAATGGCAAAATTTCCAATTTCAAGGTAGTGCTTGAAATTATGCAATAAAATGTTATGTTAGCAACATTTTTTTTTATTTTAAAAATTCCTTTGATTATTTCACACTTATATCCTGTTCTCTGTTATGGTAGTTTTGTTTTCTATTTTATTTTTAGTTTCTATGTAATTTATTGTGCTTTAGCTGAAATCACTAAATAAAGATAAATGAGTTTAACAGACTCTTATGTGCTCATTTTTGGTTCTTTTTTGCTTTACCCCTTGTATTCGTTTTCTATTACGGGCATAACAGATTACCACAAATGTAGTGGCTTACCATATCCATTTATTTTCTCATCATTTCTGTGGGTCAGAAGCTTGGCACAGGATGGCTCTCCTGGCTTCTGTGCCCAGGGCCTTCACAAGGCTGAAGTAAAGGGAGCAGCAGGCCTGGACTTGTACCTGTAGGCCTTCCAGGGGAGAATCCACTTCCAGGCTCACTGGCAGAATTTAGTTCCATGTGGTAGTTGTACTGGGGGCCCAGTTGCCTTTCTTGGAGAGCACTAACTGCTGGCTGTTACCAAGGGTCTTCTAGAGGTTGCCCATCTACATCTTCAAAGGCAGCCACAGTGTGCAGAATTTGCTTTAGATTTCCCTGCCTTCCCCTAATGTGTTTCTCTTCTACTTTTAAAGGGCATGTGATTACAGTGGCCCAACTGGATAATCCAGGCTAATCTCGCTAGTCAACTTATTAGTAACCTTAATCACACTTGCAGTGTCCCTTCATAGCAGTACCTAGTTAAGTGCATGATTGAATAACTGGGTAATGGGACTTCTCGGGAGAGATCTTTGACATTCTGCTTACCATACCCCTCTGGGTACCACTTTGTTGTGATGGTAACCTCATAAGCAGCCATTTAAAAGAGATTTTAAGCATCTTAATTTTGAAAATTTTGCAAGGTAAAATTAAAATAAATCCAAGTAACATCAAATATTACTTATACATAATTCTAGAGGTTTAATAAAAACAATAAACATTCACCATAAGTAGTTGTTGCTTTTAAAACCCAAAGTTTTTCTACCTTGCAAAATCTTCCTTGATTTTCTTGTTTTGTTTTGGTATCACAATAGATCAGTTTCTAGTACCACCACTATATAAAATAAAAATAATAATTGCATTTTAAAAAGAATGGTTTTCCTCTGCACTCTGATTTTAACCATGGAAAGTTTTTGGTATATTCAAATATAATTCTATTAGATTCCAATTTTGAATAAGAAACTGGGTTCCCTGACCTAGCTGCCACTTACTCATATCTAAAATGTACTTGAATTTGCAGCTTCCAAGTTGGGCACATGTAAACCCCCTCTTCACTTCTTATAGAGCTGCATAATTCTTAAAGCTTGTGGTGACGGGAGGGCACACTTGCTTATACGTCCAAATTTACTGTTTATGGATCTCGATTACTGTTTTCTACTTAAATTCTAATTTTTCTCATTCATTAATTTTAACTGGACAACTATTCAGAAGTATGAATTACATATGGGCAAATTCTAGTGCTTTGAAATTACTGGAAAAAAAATAAATGGATGATCAACAGATGCAAGGAACAGAAAATGTTTGGCTTTTAGGGGAGTTTTATGAATACTCTTTTGGACTTCCCCACTTCCTTTTAGTAACTCCAATGTCTTCCAGTAACTCTAGCAAGGAGGAGGCCCAGGGAGAGAAATGGGGATCTCACAGTCTCATACTAGGAAGCTGTGCTATGGGGAAGTGACTGGTGGTCTGGAGATGTGAGGTAGAGGCATAGGCAGCAGGTATGTTGACACTTGAAACCAGTACCTCCTCAGCCCTTGCGGGAAATGTGATAATCCAATCTTAGCCATATATCTCAGGTGACTCTATATCTGAAACGTGCAATGTAGGTAAGGTACTTCTGTTGTTTCTCCTAATTTGTGACTATTTTCATATAATGAATGATGGTCGTGGGCATTTTGGTATAGAAGGTTTTAATTATGGCTCAGTATTTGTGTAATTAACCAAGTGGAATGATTTAGAGTTCTGATATTACTGAAGTCTTTACAGCTGGAAGTCAATGGATCCATGCCAGTACATTATTAAGTATACAATTACTTATTTGCCTATTTATCCCTTCTCCACCTTATTACAAAAAGATATTGAGGAAACTTACACACATACACACACTATTACCACCACCACCTAAAATGAATAGATGAAATTAAGGTAAAGGGAAAATAAGGCTAGGAGAAAAATAACCATGCTAGGATGAATAGGGTTAGGGCAAAGAACATGTAATATAAAATTCTATATGGGGCTAGAGCTAGGCTGTAAATTTGGCTCTGGATTTTCTAGCAGCCAAAACAAAAAGAGAGAAAATTAATGAGCTACAGGATTCACCATATTCATAAAATGATTAAAGAAGATTGGGATTTTCCCTTGAACCCATCTTGTTTGAAGTGGGGGCATTTGATGCTTTCTTTCTGCTAGAAAGGTTAACTCTGAGTTGCAATAAAAATCATAAAAACACAACTTTGGCAGAAACATAAATGAACAGTATGACAGAATGGAAGCAGTTCACAGGATTTCTAATATTACCTCTCTTTTCCTCGGTCCACATTCTAATATTCCAATATGCTCCTCAGCACACAGAGTGGTCCAAGAAGATTGGCCATTCTTTCCGGAAGTTGGACTTCCCTGAAGATTATGTGGGAATGGGACGTGGAACCTGATAATTTTTTTTGCAGAATGAAAACTTTTATCATGAAGAATTTTTCTTTATTGCATACTTTTATACAGTTAGGCCCCAACCCGGGAATTAGTGGTATTCCAAAAGTTCCTTTTTAAGTTGCTTGTTTGAAATTAAGAATGTATTTCCCTCCAAAAATGATGTTGGCTACAATCTAATTTCAGACTTGCGATGAACCCAAGGTTCAAAGAGGTTAAATCTGAATAAATACAGTTCTACAATTCTGTATTCAAAGCCATTGAGACCAGATTTTGCTGAATTTGGATTTTTTTTTTTTTTTGAAGAAGGAAAGAAGGATAATATTGTGCATGTACCAGTCATATAGCAGTGTGGTCTGGAGCAGGATCCTATAATCAAGCACATTAATATTTCTGCAGTGAAACTGATGAATATTCACACGCAGTGGATAAATAAAAACTATAAATAGCCTCATGTCAGTTCAGGTCAGGTTTGTCACCAAATGAATTCAGGCCAAATGAGTTCAGGTCAGGTCAGGTTTTGCTGCCAAATGAATTATAAAAAAAAAAGAATGGTTTTCACCACTTTTGGGGTTTCAGATTAGTGGATCTTTATTACACTTTTTTTAAAATAAAAAGGCACTAGTATTATAAACTTTAACCACAATGTAATGTTATTTTATGGAAAAACGTATTGAATTCCTATTAAGGAAGCCAATAAGTCATTGCTGTATTGCGGCCCTGTAGCAAAAATGGAGTGTTTCCATCAGGCTGGAGTCAGAGCAGAAAAGGACCTCCTCTGTAACCCAGGAGAGAGAGGGCTCTTGTCAGGCAGGTACTGGTGATAGTATTGGGAGACCTAGGGCTGGGAACTGGGGAGGGGCATGAGACAGGGAGACGGGAAAGCAAGGGTGAGTATTATTCTTTTCCTTCTCCCTTATTCATTTCCCTACTTTTTCTCTTTTTTTCCTTCCTCTTAATTTTTCTTCTTCTTTTTTTTTTTTCAGATGTAGTCTTGCTCTGTTGCCCAGGCTGGAGTGCAGTGGTGCGATCTCAGCTCACCACAACCTCCACCTCCCCGCCTCCCAGGTTCAAGTGATTCTCCTGCCTCAGCCTCCCAAGTAGCTGGGCCTACAGGCATGCGCCACAGTGCTGGCTAATTTTTGTATTTTTAGTAGAGACAGGGTTTCACTATGTTGGCCAGGCTGGTCTCGAACTCCTGACCTCGTGATCTGCCTGCCTTGGCCTTCCAAGGTGCTAGGATTACAGGCGTGAGCCACCACTCCTGGCCTAATTTTTCCTTCCCTTTTAATGCTAGGGCAAGGAGCATGGCAGTGGTGTCAGGTGGCCTTACACTTCCCTCTTCTCCCACTCTTTCCTTCAGACTACCTGTAAAGACACTGGAGGGTGCTGAAATAACACCGCTTTTAAAGGTAGTTAGACCACAGTCTCAGTCTTGGCTCTGCCCTCTGGCTGTGGGACCTTAAGTGGTTTGCTCAGCTTGTAAAGTGGAGAAAAAAATATATATATATATGAAATACTTTATGTAATATTATATATCATATGGTAAGTATACGTTTATATAAATTGGAGCTATGCATATATCTTTGAGTGGCATCCCAGAATGGTAGAGAAGATTCAGTGCAGTGTTAGGTGATAGTCCCTACCACAGAATGCGAGTTCAGTAGATGGTAATATCCTTCATCATTGTTTGTTGTCCCCTCTCGCACCTTCCAGAAATCCTTTCCTTGTCTCCCTGAACTCTGGCTGAGAAGCAGGGAGCCACAGTGCAGCTGTGAAGGGGAGGAAACAGGCTTCTTCTTTTTTTGGTTTTGTTTTATTTTATTTGAGATGGAGTTTCACTCTTGTTGCCCAGGCTGGAGCGCAATGGTGCAATCTCAGCTCACGGCAACCTCCGCCTCCTGGGTTCAGGCGATTCCCCCCTGCTTCAGCCTCCTGAGTAACTGGGATTACAGGCATGCACCACCACACCAGGCTAATTTTGTATTTTTAGTAGAGACGGGGTTTCTCTGTGTTGGTCAGGCTGGTCTCGAACTCCCAACCTCGGATGATCCTCCCGCCTCGGCCTCCCTAAGTGTTGGGATTACAGGCATGACCCACTGCGCCCAGCCAGGAACAAGATTCTTAAGCGTTGAGTATGGCAAGGCATACTGGGGAAGTGATCTGCAAAAGCATGAAAGCCCCAAAGTGTGGGTGTTTGTATCTGGTCTGACTGAGGGATCCAGTCCCCCTTCGGGACCTGCTTTTGGCTTTGGTAAATCCTAAGACTTAGAGGTTTCTGGAAGAAAGACTAATCTGCAGTCTCTTCTGGGAGTTGATTGGAAACAGGTATCTTTGGGGCTTACCCAGAGCTGTTCACAGATGTGAGGGCTGATAGTGCCTTGCCTTATCCCATGGCCAGGGCCTAGCAGGAGTAGCAGTAAGCCCTCCAAGAAGCCACTAGAAATTGCACAGCTATTCTAGGATTGACATGGGCCCTGGCTGGTGGTACTATAGCTCTTCATATTAACTGCATGCAACCTTTCAATAATATTAAGTGCGTAACATCTGCCAGGCACTATTCTGGGGACATGATGGTTAATGACCTAGACAAGATCCCTGCTGTCATGGAAACAAATGAGGGAACTATGTTGGAGAATAGCAAGATGAGGGTGGATGGGTGAGTGAGGGCTGTCAGAGGAAGTGACACTGAAGCTGGCACCTAAAGGATGAGCAAGAATTAGCCATGCCAGTAGCCTCCTAGCTAGAGAGGCCAGCAAGTTCAAAGGGCCAAGATGGGGAGGAGCTTGGTGTGTTCTGGGACCTGCCAGAAAGTCATATTGTTGGAGCTTCATGAGCAAAGGGGAGAGGATCCAGGATTGAGCCAGACCTTGCTGAGCCTTATAAGTCCTGGACAGGAGAATGGATTTTATTCAAACAAGAAGCCCCTGAAGGTTTTTAGGACAGGGACATAGTTTGCACAGAAGAGTCCACTTTGCCTCTCTAGTGGATGTCATGCTATATTAAAAACTGGCAGAGTGCTGGGCTTCTTCAGTGATACTCCAGCCTTTCCCTTGTTTTTAACTCACTTATAAATAATTTTAAGTCACTTTTCCTCTTTATTTTTTAGGTTTTCTCTTCAAATCCAATTAACTATCATCATTAATTAAAGAATATGTGAGCAGTCATGTCTGTAGTATTGAGCAATTCTCCTGTTATCTGTTTTTTGCTTTCTATTATGGGTTTTATCTATTTATCTCCCAACACGCCCATCATTTGCTGCCAGCACTGGCATGCTTTCTCTTTTAAGCTTTTCTCTTTTCCTCCCTGTTTCAGATTTGTGATAGACTCTTTTTGTGTTTGTCCATTTATTTCAAGTCCGTTAGGGGCATTTTCTCTTGTCTGTGCTGATTTGCTTTATAGAACTTGGTTCAGTACAACAAACCTAAAACAGCTCCTTGTACATAGTAGGTACTCAGGACATGTTTGTTACATGAATGAATAAACCTTTAGGGGCAAGATCTCCTGGGCTTTTGTGAAGAACATGCAGACTAATACATTATGTTCCTGCCCTTAAGCAGACTACTGTTTTAGCAGGGCTACTTCAGAACCTAAAGCCAATGTTTGCAATAGAAGCCTAATAAAGGAAGAATGTAGAAGTGTGCAATGTAGAAAGGAACTTCGGGCATATAAATCTGACTCCAGAACCTCAGATCCAGCCTCTATTCTGGCTTTTTAGTAGGCGAGTTCTTCAAGGGAGAGGGAAGTGTGGTTATCATGGACAACTGAATCGGGGCTTTATTCACACTAGGAGAAATGACCCGGAACTTGGTAATAAGATGAAAGAATGATCTTTCAGAGTCGTAGTAGAGCGTTGTCTAACAAGACCTAAGGCTCATCTGATTCTGTAGAGGATGTGACTTCATTTTAGATGTTAACTTAGAGAAAACTGATATGATGCAAATAATTTCTGGCAGGTAGAAAAGATAACTCTAAAGGTTTTGTTTTATTGTCCTATAGAATATTCACATACTACATAAAAAAATAACAAAAAATACATACAAAAAATTCTAAATTACATACAAAAAAACCTACATTTTGTATGTAATTTAGAATCTTATTCCAGTATTTTTTTTTCTAAAACCGACTATATGTATCAATTTCTTAGCCAATTTACTGTTTTCATTAATGAGGTATATGTGTCTTTGCCATGCTCACTATATATTTGCATGTGGATTATACTTTTAACATTTTGAAAATTATATTTTGACATTCATATTCAGTAAAGTCTTTAGACATGAATGTACATGTCATTATCCAAGTTACCTAATTATATCATACCATGTAACTTTTAAATGGACACATCGCAGATGTCACAATAAGGGAAATTATAGTATGATAGAGAGGTAAACATTTTACTTACAGAAAACCTGAACTTTAATTTTAAGAGGTTCTCAGAGGGACTCTGTCTTTGTAGAAGTTCGATAGAAACAATCTTAGTTAATTTTAGGCCAGCCTCAGGGAATGCTCTCACTGAACTGACCTGGTAACTTGCCTGTGTCTACTATACTCTTTCTTGTATTGTGGAAAAAATAAAAACTGTAAACTTGAGAGACATTCCACAAATACAAATCTTGCTTCTTTTGCTTAAAAAAATTATGAACATAATTATAGAAAAAAGTAGATTCTGGTTGTTTACCATAAAGAATTACTACTAGACCAATAGCAAAGGAAGTTACAAAGCACAGATCACAAAAATCTCTCCAATCACGTCAGGAAGTTCAGCCCTGGATGGTGTTTGTTTACCTACAGTGAGGGCAGTCTGTCACCAGCTGATGCCCTGTTGAGAGCCTCTTGATCTAAACAGGAGGTTCAGTCAATCACTATTAACTGAAACCTACATTAATATGTATTATTCCTCATTAAACACTGTTAAGAAAATGAAGATTAATACATGCTGTATTTTGAACAGATGACACATAAAGACAAAAACTAAGGAAGCAAAACATAGTACCTGTTGGTAAAAACTTCCCAATCACTGCTTAAACAAATCCTAGTACTGACCTCAATCAGGGTTTTAAATACTTGACTCTAAATCCTTTATCTTGGGCCAGGCGTGGTGGCTCATGCCTGTAATCCCAGCACTTTGGAAGGCGGAGGCAGGCGGATCACTTGAGGTCAGAAGTTCGAAACCTGCCTGGCCAACATGGCAAAACCCCGTCTCTACTAAAAATACAAAAATTAGCCAGGGTGGTGGTGTGTGCCTGTAGTCCCAGCTACTCGGGAGACTGAGGCCAGGGAATCACTTGAACCCAGGAGAAGGCGCTGTAGTGAGCCAGGATCGTGCCACTGCATTCCAGCCTGGGAGACAGAGCAAGACTCTGTTTCAAAAACACAAACAAAAAATCCTTTATCTTTACTTTGCTCCTTTCAGGATAGCTCTGGAATTTGAATCTGCTTTCCAGAGCTTTATTCTCAACTGCCAGCCTCATTTTTCATACTGTAGTTACTTAAGGGTGGAGGTAGTCGGGCCGGCAAGTAACTACCTGCAGTGTACTTGAGAACCTTTGAAAGCATCTGTACTTGCCAAGGGTGGGGCATGTATGCTTGAGAGCCCTTTAAAGCGTCTTTACTTGCTAAGGGCGCTATGACCATTCCCATTCCTGGGACTTCATTCCCGCTGGGACCTCATTCCCCAGTGGAGGGTAAAGCATGGCTTTTGCTGACGGTTTCCAGGTAGCCTTCCAAAGTATGTTAGCATAAAGGACTGGAGATGCTGACCATCTGGCTAACTCATGATTCAGAAGCCCTTTGGATCCACTTATAAGGCCATTCTATTTAGGCCTGCTAAGGATGTCTGCCATGCTAATGTCAAAAGCAGGGATTTTAGGTTATGTTAGTGATCAGTGAGGAATTTTAATATGTTGTTTTGTCAACTACTGAGGCTATAGGCCCTTTTAGGTCTTCAGGAGAAGTAGACCAGTAAAATAAACACTGTGTGTTTAAGCTATGAGAGCTCAGGATCCCTGTGGTTAGCAGTTATGAGGCACTTGGACACATATTTATACTAAGAGTTGTAGCTTTTACTTATCTTGGGTAAAAGAAATACTCCAAACAGTTAGAACAAAAAAATATATCTGATGGTAAAATGGATAATGTATTAGTCCATTTTCATAGTGCTATGAAGAAATACTCCAGATTGGGTAATTTATAAAGAAAAAGAGATTTAATGGACTCACAGTTCCACATGGCAGGGGGGGCCTCATAATCATGGCAGAAGGTGAAGGAAGAGTGTATTAGTCTGTTTTCATGCTGCTGATAAAGATATACCTGAAACTGGGCAATTTACAAAAGGAAGAGGTTTATTGGACTTACAGTTTTACATGGCTGGGGAGGCCTCACAATCACAGTCGAAGGTGAAAGGCACATCTCACATGGTGGCAGACAAGAGAAGAGAGCTTGTGCAGGGAAACTCCCCTTTGTAAAACCATCAGATCTTGTGAGACTGATCCACTATCATGAGAACAGCGCAGGAAAGACCCGCCCCCGTAATTCAACCACCTCCCACTGGGTTCTTCCCACGACATGTGGGAATTGTGGGAGTTACAATTCAAGATGACATTTGGGTGGGGACACAGCCAAACCATATCAAGGAGCAAAGTCACGTCTTACATGGTGGCAGGCGAGAGAGTGTGTGTAGGTGAACTACCCTTTATGAAACCATCAGATCTTGTGAGACTTATTCACACTATCAAGAGAATAGCACAGGAAAAACCCACCTCCATGATTCAATTACCTCCCACTGGGTCCCTCCCATTACATGTGAGGATTATAGGAGCTAAAATTCAAGATGAGACTTGTGTGCGGACACAGCCAAACCATATCATTCCACCCCTGGCCCCTCCAAATCTCACGTCTTCACATTTCAAAACCAATCCTGCCTTCCCAACAGTCCCCCAAGGTCTTAGCTCATTTCAGTGTTAACCCAAAAGTCCACAGTCCAAAGTCTCATCTGAGACAAGGCAAGTCCCTTCCGCTTATGAGCCTGTAAAATCAAAAGTAAGTTAGTTACTTCCTACATACAATGGGGTACAGGCATTCAGTAAATACACTCATCCCAAATGGGAGAAATTGGCCCAAACAAAGGGGCTACAGGCTCCATGCAAGTTTGAAATCCAGTAGGGCAGTAATTAAATCTTAAAGCTCTGAAATAATCTCCTTTGACTCCATGTCTCACATCCAGGTCCTGCTGGATGTAAGAGGTGGTCTCCCACAACTTTGGGCAGCTCTGCCTCTGTGGCTTTGCAGGGTATAGCCCCCCTCCCAGCTGCTTTCACTGCTGGAGTTGAGTGTCTATGGCTTTTCCAGGTGCATGGTTCAAGCTATCAGTGGATCTACCATTCTGGGGTCTGGAGGGCGTGGCCCTCTTCTCACAGCTCTACTAGGAAGTGCCCCAGTGGGAACTCTGTGAGGGGCTCCAACCCCACATTTTCCTTCTGCACTGTCCTAGCATAGGTTCTCCATGAGCGCTCCGCCCCTGCAGCATACCTCTGCCTGGACATCCAGGCATTGCCATACATTCTCTGAAATCTAAGTGGAGGTTCCCAAACCTCAATTCTTGTTTTCTGTGCACCTGCAGGACCAACACCATGTGGAAACTGCCAAGGCTTGGGGCTTACACCCATTGAGGCCATGACCCAAGCTCTACCTTGGCCCTTTTTAGCCATGGCTGGGACACAGGGCACCAAGTCCTAGGTTCACACAGCAGGAGTCCCTGGACCTGGTCCATGAAACCATTTTTTCCTGCTAGGCCTCTGGGCCTGTGATGGGAGAGACTACCTCAAAGATGCCTGACATGCCCTGGAGACATTTTCCCCATTGTCTTGGCAATTAACATTTGGCTCCTTGTTACTTATGCAAGTTTCTGCAGCTGACTTGAATTTCTCCCAAGAATAGGGGTTTTCTTTTCTGTTGTATCATCAGCCTGCAAATTTTTCACACTTTTATGCTCTGCTTCCTCTTGAATGCTTTGCTGTTTAGAAATTTCTTCCTCCAGATATCCTAAATCATCTCTCTCAAGTTCAAAGTTCCATAGATCTTTAGGGCAGGGGCAAATGCCACCAGTCTCTTTGCTAAAGCATAGCAAGAGTCACCTTTGCTGCAGTTCCCAACAAGTTCCTTATCTCCATCTGAGACCACCTCAGCCTGGACTTTATTGTCTATGTCACTATCAGCATTTTTGTCAAAGCCATTCAAAAAATCTCTAGAAAGTTCCAAACTTTCTCACATCTTCCTGTCTTCTGAGGAAGACATTTTCCTATCTTCTTCTTAGCCCTCCAAACTGTTCCAACCTCTGCCTGTTACCCAGTTCCAAAGTCGCTTCCACATTTTTGGGTATCTTTATAGCAGCACCTCATTCCCAGTACCAGTTTACTGTATCAGTCCATTTTCATACTGCTATGAAGAAATACTTGAGACTGGGTAATTCATTAAAAAAAAAAAAGGGTTTAGTGGATTCACAGTTCCACATGGCTGGGGAGGCCTTACAATCATGGCAGAAGGTGAAGGAGGAGCAAAGGCACATCTTACAGGGTGGCAGGCAAGAGAGCATGTGAAGGGGAATGGCCCTTTATAAAACCATCAGATCTCTTGAGACTTATTCACTACCATGAGAACAGCATGGGAAAAACCCTTCCCTATGATTTCATTACCTCCCACCAGGTCCCTCCCATGACATGTGGGTATTATGGGAGCTACAATTCAAGATGATATTTGGGTGGGGACACAGCCAAACCATATCAGATACAGTTCCCAAATATTGCCTTATCCCTCACAAAGGAGTGGTGGGCTTAGAAGGCCACATGTCAGCAGAGTCCTGCATCTCCTCTGCATAGGTTTATATCACCTTCTAATTTGGAAAATTTTTTAAATCTCTGTTCTAGCTTTGTCATATGCCCTACATGACAGTGGAACTAACTACCCTATGATTTTCACCTCAGCCAGGCTTAGTCTTCAGGTTCCAGGTGTTGGTTGTTTAACAGCATCACAAAACCTAGGGCTCCCAACATATGAATACACAAACTTACAAATAAGACAGGCATTTCAGAGCAGAACATCTGGTGTTTGTCTGCCCCACAGGCGTACCTCCTTTAGGTGTAATTCATTGGAATCCCAGTCAGCCGATTTAGGAGCCTAAGTGCATTAGCTCATGGCCAGTGCACTGTAGCCACATACTGTAGTTTCTTCAGGTTGAGTGATGCTTATTGATCTGTTAGTTTGCTCCGCAGAGCCCCTCTCTGCCCCAGGTAACTTACTTTCTGATGGTAATATTTTGATAGAAAGTAAATAACTTTGTTTCAATAAAAGAAAAAGTAGCATATGATTATTTTAAAGATTAAGGTACAGATTGGATATTTTTGGAAAATTTGCTGCTTTTTAGGCAGATGAACTGTTAGGTGGGTGTGGGCCATGTTCTAAGCCCAACTAAATCCATCTTTAGAACAATTCTAAAGAAAGCAGAAAAGATAAAGATATCAAGTCATAAATGTATACTTGTTTATTGAGCATGGTTTAAAATTTTAATCAGCCTACAATCAGCCCTGGCATCCTTGATTCCCCTTACTTTGTTGCACTTTTTAAAAAAGCACTAATAATTATCTAAAACACTAAAAAATTTATTTATGTTCATTACTTACTGAGTATTTGCCCCTTCATCCTCCAAGTGAGTGGCACAGGTCAGGCATCTTTCTCTTTTTTGTTCACCAATATATCTGAAATGTGTGTTACAGTGCAAATAATAAATGTTCAATAAATACTTGTTAGTGAATGTTGGGAATGACTCACCATAAGTTCAGCGATATTAAGATTAGTTAAGCCATGATCCAGTGAATATGTCCATTTTTAGGAAAGCACCCTCACTAAAAGGAATAAAATTTTGTTGTAAGACTTAGGCCCATTACTCTGGCCCTGGTGAACTGGACCAGACCACTTGTAAGCCACACAGGGACCTGCCACAAAGAGAGAGGAGATAAGACAGAGCCTGGATCTCTAAGGTCTAGAGCGGAGCTGGTTTAAGCTGTTTTATTCCAGGGCCTTCCTTGTTCACTGCTGCATCCTCAGCATCCAGAACTGGGCCTGCTGTGTAGTAGATGCTCAATAAATATTTTTTGAATGAAGAAAGGCAAAGTCCTTCTAAGCAGTAGGAAGCCTTTCTGTATAGGAGTAGAAGAAGGAGGAACAATCCAAAGAGGAAATGGGTCCAGTGATAAGAGCTTACAAGAACATGCCATGTAGGCACAAAACCTTAACTTCTTGGCACATCAGGTATCAGGGAACTTCCAGGCAGTGCAGGACACACAACCTCCTAGCCTTCATCCACACTGGAAGGTATCTCTCATTCTCCTGGCACACCTACAGGTGGGAAGTCTTGAGCACTGTCTTGAGGCTGAACCCGCCACTGACAGAAATGATTCAGTTTAACAGAAAATCAGTTAATTTATTTGCCAGTCTATTTGTTCACTTGATTACCATTGTCATGGCTGAGTGAAATTTTCATTTAAGGGATGAATGAATTGTAACCTTTTAAGCACCATCACTTAAAACTATCCAACCACTTTTGTTGGAAAATTTACTAAAACATACGTATATTTCCCCATCTTCTTAATAAAGCATTAGAAGATTTTCGTATTATCTCAAGATCATTTGGGAAACATTGTGCTGTTATATAGTAGTACACTTAGAGTCTACTCCAGGTAGAGTTTTCATTATGCCGAAGACCATATATTGTATTTTTTGAATTCTCATGCCTGTTTTTCTTGGTTTTACTGTCTTCTCTCTCTGGTAGGTTATGTGTTCATTTTCTAGTGCTGCCTATGTGGCTGCCCCAAGAGTCTCCAATCTCCCAAAACATACTGTCCCTGGTTATCTGTAGAAAAATAGATGGCCAAGTTTATTAGATTCATCTAAAATACAAAGGAAGTTTAATGTATGGACTTTGTGATACCCACAAGCCTCCTGTTTCATCTCTCCCATCTCTAGTTCTTCTCAGCAGTGCTCTGGAAAATTGGGCTCATCAGACATGTGGCTTCTGGAGAAATGAGGTTTTAATAACTTGTCGTTTTTCTGTTCCAAATTTTGAGAGTAGCAGTATATCACTGCTTAAAATGTGCTAATTTTTGAGATAACTTTTCTTAGCCTGGTTCTCATTAGAGCTTAAGAAGGAGACAATAGCAATAGGACATTGTTTGCTCAGCCTCTCCATTTCTGTAGGAAAAGAATTGTTAGGAGGAGGAAGGGTAGGGAAAAAAAAGTGCAGGGGAGTGTCATCATCTGGTAGATAGTTTAAAAAAATTCCTCTGGCTTTGGAGTAGGAAAATTGATTGTAGAGGATCCAGGAGGAATCAGAGAGGCTGTTGAAGAGGCTATGGTAGCTGTCCATGTGAGGGACAATGGCTTGGACAAGGGTGGCAGTGGTGCAGATAGAAAAGGGTGGTTGGACTCAGCATACATTGGAAGAAGAGGGCACAGGACCCTGTGTCAGATATTTTGGTATATTCCTCCTATCATTAGAGTTTAGTCATGTGTATTCACACCCCACATTTGTTTCTTCTAAGAAATGAAGTCTATCCGTTAAGGAAATGTCAGTTAATCCTCATTGCTGCTGTTATCATGGTTGGATTTGCTCCAAAAGGTATGTTACCATATATAGAATTAAAACCAGTCTCTACCCTGTGGGGAAGTAATGCAGATGTTTTGAGATTAGAGTTTAGAATCTATTCCAAAGATCTGCCAGAACACATGTTTAACAATGAGCATGAGAGTTTTCCCCATTGCTATTCTTACTATGTTGTTTATCAAACAAAGATAATTTGGGGGCTTGTGTAGAAACTCCACAATATTTAAGAAAATAAACACAAATCTCTGAGTCAATAACTAAATGTTTCTGATGGTATACTAAGAAATATAACTTATTTTATTAATGGTTATTAATATAACCATGACTTTTAAATTAATATTAATATTAACTGATATTAATATTAATGTAACCATGACTTATATTAATGGTTATTAATATAATTATGACTTTTAATTCTTTTAATTAAAATATTTGTGGTTCTTTATAGTTCACCACAGCTTTGAATAAAACAAAATTGTTTTCATGTTTTAAATGCAGTGGAAGGTTTTATGTTTGGTGTTATTCAATTGGTAAGGCAAATTGCTTTGTTATTAGCTTGATTTACGTGAAAATTTAGATTTAATTTTAGATTTGGTAGATTTTAATCTGATACCATTTTATATTGGTTTATATCTGAATGCTTCATTAAGATCCTGGGTATACACAGTTTAACCTCAAGCATATAGTCTTATTATATTATTTTATTATAAGAAACAGAAGTATGGAAACTTGAGGCTGGGACTGTTCAGAGCTAAATCTTATGAAATGAAATAAGTTCTTGTAATCATTTTGCAGCCATTATTTGTTGTGCTTTTGTGGTATTTTGTCTCTTTTGAGCTATCCTCACAGGTTTCCAGGAATTCAAGGCCTAAGAAACATTCTACTAAGAACTTGAAATACCAAGGCATTTAATTTTTGGAAGTGTAGAATGTTTTATTACTTTTGAAGTTTTGAGGACCAGCAAAATAGAGAAGTGTATTGTGTTACACAATTTGCTATGTTATAAATGTTTACTTTTAGTGGACATGATGTAACTAGAATGGAAAAAAACACAGAAATAGTAATTGTTGATATAATCTTGCCTTGGAGGTAGCGATGGGTGGGGGAATGGGGAGTGGGAACATAGCATGAGAGGAGAAAAAAATCTGTTACCAATTTATGGTAAAATTATTACAGTTAAAAAGAGTTGCATATATGAATAATAATAAAACCTTCACCCAGCTTTCTTGAAAGTTTACAAACTTCCTTTCTTTGCTTAGAACTAGCTCGAGAAAGGAAAAAAAAAATCTTCTCTTAGATTCTTTGCATAAAAAACTAATTCCTTTATTTTTCTCACCGGTTCTCTTCATCTTTCATTTTGGTCCCCAGAGAATACTGTTTGACTATTTTGAAATCATTTCTCTTCTCCACTTTGTTGCACTTTGCCCTCTGGGATCGTTTCCCCAGCTCACTCTTCTTCCTTTGTCCTACTGCTCCCTTTACCCCCACCTCTCTTTCTATAGCCAAGAAAGAAACTTGTTAACCATGACTTTTTCTTTTAGGAACCAATTCAAAAATCCCTTTGGTACACAGGTTTACAGGCACCCTATCTCAGTCTGATTCCAGAAAAAAAAGCACCAGGAAATACAGGAAAATATGTAGCTATTAATAAATTCCACAGATAGGCAGAAGTTGCCAAAGGAAAATGGGAGAACAACAAGGACTGTTCATTGGACTTCCAGGAATAGAAATTGTTGGGAGTCTACTCTTTTCAAAATAAACTGACATGGGGCTGACCACCTTGTCAGTTACTCCCATCTGATGGTGGGGTGTGGCAAACAAGGGCAAAGGTATTGTTTGGTTTTCAAGGTCAGGCTGCTAATTGTATAATTGGATTAACCCAGCCCGCAGAGACATGGAGACTACCAGTCACTTGTTAGCCTGGGTCCCAAGGTAGAAGCAGCACAAAAGTATGGGGAGGATGTTCAGCTGAAATGGAAGGAAGAAAGTAAAGAGGATAGAGAAAAAAATACAGAAATGTTAGCCAAAGGAGTTATAATTAGGAGAAAACCATTATCTTATTAATCTCTGTGTGATTAATTAATTATAAATGAGTTTTCTCTTGGAAAAGAGCGAAGCTACTTAGTATGACTTGTGGGGAGAGTGTGTGTGAGGAGAAGAAAGTGTACTTTTTCTGCCCAATTATGGAAGGTCTTAAACATCAGCCATGTTTTTAGGAGTTTGACTAATAAATCCAGAAGGCTTATTATTTATTTTATCCAGGCATGTTTTATTTACTATGAGAGATCTTCTTAGTTCTTGCTTTTGTTTTGTAAGAAAAATGAGCTAGGTTAGCAGTGTCCGTTTTCTGTTTTTAGAAAATAAGATGTCTGAGATGTTAGAATCTTCACATATAATTTGTCCTACCCCACAGTCAGCAATTTCATATCTACTGCTCACAGTATGCCCAATCAGAGCACAGACAGGTGTGTGATGGTGGCTTCTCAGTAGGAATTTACATTTAAGGGCGCTTGTCTTCATTGGTTTGTTTGCCATTCATTCATTCATTCATTCATTCATTCAACAAGCACCCACTGCATACCAGCACTGTTGTAGGGATGTTTATCCTGGGTGAGTGTGAGAATCGCCTTACTCTTCAGGTGCCTCCACAGTTCTCTGCTGATTTCTTTAGTGATGATTTGCTGACACTATGCACAGTGGTAGAGGTGGCTTTAGCAGATATTGGAAGGGTGCCCCAGAAGAAGTGAGTGACATTTGAGCCAAAACCTAAGTGATGATCAAGGGGAAGACTGGTTCAAGCAGAGGGGCCTGTAAAGCCAGGGCTGTAAGGTGGGCATGTGAGATAGGGAGAGGAAGCCGCTGAGGTAGGAGTCTAGCGAACAGGGTGAGAAGGGGTAGGAGATGAGACTGGGCAGGCTGGCAGTGTCTTCAACTCTGGCTGCACTTTGCAGCCATTGAGGTGGCTCAGGCCATATCACAGACCAATTCAATCAGAATCTCTGTGGACCCAGACATCAGCATTTTAAAAAAATTCTCCAGGTGACTCTAATGTGAGTTTAGATTTGGTCTGATTACACTGGGAAGCTTTGGAAGAGAATGATAGACTCAGCTTTTCATTCTTTAAAAGGTTGCTTTGAGGCTGTGTGTAGTGTGAAGGGTACACGGGGGAGAAGGGGAAAGGGTGTCTTCAGGAGGACCAGTTAGGAGGCTCTAGTGGTGGTTTGAGTGAGAGATGATGATGGTGGCTTAAACAAGGCTGGCAGTGAGGACAACTGGGAGAAGTGGTCACTTTCAGGAAGTGAGGAATGAGATTAAGAGAGAAATCAAGGATGACTCGTTGTTTGGGGACCAGAACAATTGGGTGGGTGGAGTGGCCATTTATAGAATTAGGGACGACGAAAGGAAGGTGGTACAGGTGGGAGGAGGATCTGCAGACCTGGGATGTCATCTCATTCCCATTATCCTGGGCTCCTAGAAGACACAGCTCACACTTCCTACAACTCTTTAAGTTCATACCTCTATTATAGCACTAGTAGGCTGCACATTGCCTAATATGGACTCTCTGCCTTATTTTCAGCAAAATTCACTGTGTGACCAAATTGGTATTATGAGCACTAGTTTCATTTCATGACAAATAGGAATAGAGAGAAAATTCTCAATAATTTTCCCAGCTTTAATTCTCTGTTGCTCAGCATGCTTTGAGCCCTGATGGATTTCTTTCGATTTTTCAGAAGAATCCTGCCTATGCTTTAATATAAAGGAGGATGAATACGGCAGATTCAGAAAATTGTGGTGTCAAAGGATGAGCTTTGCTTTCCTGCCATCTTCTGTGCTTTGTTTCCTTCCAACCTTAAAGGAAATACTACCCTACTTCAATAAAAAACTAAAACAAAGATTCAACTCAGCAGAAGGAAGAGCCCAATAAGCTTAAAATAAATTTGCAAAGGCTAATAACTGGAAACCTTTTTTAAGCTAAATAAAAGCCTTGTGTTTAAAGTGATAGTCTGCCTTTTCTGGTCTGCATCATGATAGCTTCTAAATAAAGAAAACGGGCCGATGTTGTGAGTAATTGCAGCTGCTACTCTGGGGGTTACATCAGGCAAGTGATTTGTCAATAAGAATTTATTGTCTTCATTTCTGGGATGAGGCTGAGGGCAATAAGGAATTCAGAAGGCTGCTTCCTTGTCTTTAAGGGGTTTGTAGTCCATTGGAGAGATATGTCTGGCTTTCTTGAACCAGTTAACAAACAGTTACATTAGATGTAATTGGAAGCTAACTTATAGAGATGAGGGCAGTAGACATTAAAAGAAAGGAGAGGTCAGGCAGGAAAAGCCATGAGGTCAGTAAAGGCCTCATGGGCAATAGGGCTTGCCTGGCAAATATTTGGCTGAGGCAAGTTGGAAGTTGAGCTGGACCTTAAATGATATAGAGACCTTTATTTACCGTTATGTGCTAATAGTTAAAATTTACTTATTTGGGACTGCTAACATATGCTCAAGTTAAAAATGCCAAAGGTCTCCTTTCTATTCCTGCCCCCAGTCCCTCAGTTTCCCTTTCCAGAAGCAGTGCTATGACTCCTTTCCTACAAACCCTTCCAGATACAGTATCAAACTTTTTTTTTTTACATATATAGCATTTCTTATTTTTTTATTTGTAAAATTTGTCCTTTTCCAAGTGCTAAAACAGTAAAGAACAGGTAAGCTAAATAAAACAAAAACAAGTCAACTTCCCTGTGGGGAGGCTAGAACAGTGCTGGTCTCATTGACTAGTGGGGAGCAGTACATGAATGAGGTTTGCTTTTCCTAAGATATTTGCCTTCTCATTGATTGGAGTATTGGTGGCTAAAACGTAAGCAACTCTGAACCCTCTAGCACTTACAGAATGGTGATAATATTGTGTTGAGTGCTATACTATGCTAGAACTTCACATCTGTTTTCTCACATCTCTGTAAGGTGAGCCTTTCCCTCCCTTGACAGATGACGAGGCTGGAACTCAGGCTAAGTTAGCCTGTTGTAGGCCAGACAGCAAATAGGAGGTAGAGCTGACTTCTGACCTGACCTTTTCCTACCATATTATGCTACCCCTCTGGATCTAAAGCTCTTGGTTCTGTATTTCTAGTATCATTGTTGCTGTTTTCTTTTATGGCTTTACATACTGAGTCCTTGGTATGAACTTGGGGTGACCCAAGAGAAAAAAGTGAGTGGAAACTAACTTCCTCTCTATTAAAAAAAAATCTGCTCAAAGGAGAAGGGCAAATTCACAGCTCAGTTTCAGGGGGCTGCAAGTCAAGTCAATATTTTCTTCTTTTTTTTTTTCATGTGGATAAACTGCCTCCCTCATTTTGAGTTTTCGAATCTGAAATAATGAGAGTCTAATGAATAACAAATATATACCTCTTTTTCTTCTTTTAATTCTTATTAGCATTTTGGATTCAAGTCTAGAAATTCCTCTTCATTTTTTTTTCTTTTTTGTCTAACATTTCTTTTGAATAAAGAGTATTACCTACTTTTAAATGCAAAAAATGGAAAATTGGGAAGACATTGTCTTCTTGCTTTTTGCAGAGGCAACATTTTTATTAGTGTGCATATGTGTAAGTTTGGCCCCAGGCTGTGCTCACAATCCCCAAGCCCCTGGCAGAAGGGGACTCCAGGGTCCCCCCATCTCAGGGATGACATGTGGGTCAGTATAGTGTCAGGATGGTGATGATCCACTGGCTCTGAAACCACAGAAATGTTCATCAGTGTCTGCTGCCGCCTACCTGTGGCCTTCTTGTTAAATGAGAGAAATAAACCCGATTTCTTTTGGTTGTTCTATCATTCCTGCAGCCCAGAAACAAAGAGAGGGTATGACTGGTTCAGGGAATTTTATTCAGTCTGGTGGGCAGACAGAATGTGAAGAGCCAGCCAGGGTCCCAAGATGATGCTGGAGCCATTAGCACGGCTTACATTTTCAAAGGTCTTGTAAATCACATTATGGTTTTAGGATGTTTTTCCTGGGCAGTTATTTTAATCAGGGGATCAGACATGATCAACTTTTTTTTTTTTTTTTTTGCTTAAGAACGATCACTCTGGCTGCTCTGTGAGCAGTGAATTGGAAGTGACAAGACTAGGGGCAGGGAGACCTGTTTGGAGGCTATCGCACTAACCCTGGTGAGAGGTGGCCATGGCAGAGTTGCTGGAGGGAAGGGGGAGAATTCTAGAAATGTTTAGGGATACAAGAGAACAGGGCTTGATGTGGGAGATGAGAGAGAAGGAGGACTTTAGGGTAACTTCAACATTTCTTGTTTGTGCAGCTGGTTGGTTGGTGGCGCTTTTTGGTTGACAAAGGGTATACAGAGGATGATTTCTTAGTCCTCTTATTGATAGATTTTAATACAATAAAGTCATCTCGAAGTTTCAGATACATTTCTTCATGCTCTTTCTAGGTTTTTCTTTCTTTTACATGTTTCATGGGTGGGGGAGGGTTTAAGAGTCTCAATTGCTCTGGAAATTGACCTTCCTGCTAGGGAAGAGATGGTGGTATCCTTATGACAGTTTTCTTCCAAATTGTGGAACGCTTTGTGGTATTTAGTAATCATATTTTTGGTTTTTTTTTTTTGTCTACAGGGAGTGGAATTACTTTCATAGAAATATATAAAAATTCATTTTTTCTCTCCTAATTTTTTTTTGTGATACATTTTTCTGTAAGGAGGAATTATAGGACTTAACTTTCTATGAGTGTGGTAAAGAGGATAAATACCTCTGTATCCTCTTTATATAAATGAAAGGCATCTATCCAGTTTTGAATTATTTGGGGAAAAAAATCCCATGGAGGAATGAACTCGAGATAATTAAATTTCTCCAATTCAGAAACTCTGAATTTTTTTTTTTTCTTATTAGGAAAGTGGTTGAGATATGGCTGAATGGAAATTTAAAATCTTGAGCATGGTTATACATCAGAAACGTAACATGTAGTCTAGGTCCATTCCAGAGAGCAAAAAAGACTCAATATTTTTGACATTATTAATGAATAGATTGATGCATTTGTTATGCCTGCAGAGAAACATTATTTTATCACGAGTTGCCTGCAGCTCAGAGAGTAAAGGGCTTTTGGAAGAGTTATTCAGAGAGAGGTCAAGGGGGAGTTACTGGTTTTTTGTTTTTACAAGGAAGTTTTAGTAAATCATATTAATAGTAATAATAATAATGATGATGGTGTACATTTGCATAGCACTTGGCAGTTTACACTGCTCTTTAGAGTGCGGGATCCACGCAGCTCTCTGTGAAGTAAGCATTTTATAGGTGCCAAAACAGATTCACAAAGTGTACCTGAGGTCATCTGTTTCCTGGAGCTGTAATTTTTCCCAATAATCAGTAATATTCCCCATGCATTACAATGGTATCCACAATGCAGCTGTGTGGGGAGAAGGTAAGCCTCTTTATTGAGGGTGAGAGGGCATGAACCGGCTCCTGGGTGCGCCCTCCTAGGATTGAGTTAGAGTTTGCAATATTAAAAGCACAACTCCAGTCACACCTGTGGATGGTAACAAGATGCTAGACTGAGCACGATAGGCTATTTCTCATTTTTTTTTCCTAGTAAAATTTATTTGTTCTTTGTTCTCATGTCTTCTGTTAGCATTCTTTGGAAAGGCATTAGTTAGTGCCACAGGTTTTAGAAAAAAACTAAGGGAAAAATACTAAAGCTGAGAATGTTTTATTAAGTTTTTTTTTTTCTGTGAATTAGTAAAAGACTGTCATGTATGATTTTAGCAGAATACCTTGATCCAGATTGAGGAACTCCAACCAGTAATCCTGGGAGGCATAATTTAAGAACCGCTAACAGAAGCATTTTGAAAGTGATTGAAATTGACATTCCTTAAAAAGGTAGTTTATTGCCTTCTGAGGAACATTTGTTTAGCTCTTTAAATTATTCATATTTGAAGGGAAAGCATTCTACAAGAAATCTTATTTTTGAGATATAGCTGGTAAATATGGAAAACTCAAAACGCCTGCCTGTTCTACTTGTCATCGTTCATCCTCTGACAGCTTACACCAGTCAAGTTACTAAGTCTCTGGTTATTTTTGAGACTCTTTCTCCCCAAGCGTTCCTTAGTGAATCTTAAGATTCTGGGATTTAGCTTAGCAGACAGGCTGTGCCACCATGCAGTGTCTTCTTTGGCCCTCCCTGCCCCATTGCAATGTCTTTTACTACACCTTATTTAGCCAAAAATGTGCAGTCCTTTAGTGATGAGAATGTAATAATGGAATACTTAAAGTAATTAAAGATACTGCTTTTTCTGATTGAAACAAAAGCTAATAGACTTCCAATTGTCACCTGTCACAGTGTACTTTTTTGGAGTTGCCCTTTGAGCTGTGTTATCTGATTTGAACTTTTCAAGCTTCCTCTGGCCACACTGGGATTTTTCTCTGGCTATGCCCTGCAGTCCCTTTACTGAATTGGCAGTGCTCCTAATGCTTTTCTCTAGCTTTCATTTGACCTTCAGTAGAGGTTAAAATTAACTTCAAGGTGAAACTGGTCCTCGTGATTGGTCGATTGCTTCTCTTTCTTGAGCACTGCACCCATTTCAGAAGACAGATGGTTTTAGTATTAATGGCATCAACCATCCTTTGCTGGAAGATAAAGAGTCAGACTTTCTATTTGGAATGTAAGCTCCTTGAGGGCACTGAGCTTGTTTATTCAACCTTCTATTCCTAGTGCCTAGAACAGTGCCCAGAACACTGTAGAAGAAGATGTGTTGATTAAAGGAATGAAACTTTCCTATAGGGACTCTCAAGAGATAGCTGGCCTAACTTAGAATAGAAATGTGTGTGCCAAGGACTCGTGGTTTCAAGAAACAGATACTCAAGTGGGTGTGGACACATTTCCAGGATGTTCTCCCTCTCACATGTACCCAACCAGACCCTCGGGCCTTGTCCTTTCTGTCTGGTTCTAGGGAAAAAGCCCATTGCCTGTGCTTTCTAAAATAATAAATCTCACATTCACAAAGGATCTGGTTTCTGCATGTTTTTCTGCATGTTCCAAGCTCCAGCCATGTGCAAGTGATATTAACAAATTTATTTATGATTTGTTCGTATCCTCCTCCTTCCAGAGATTGGTTGAAATATTAAACTGTTCATTTCTATTCTTCACTTCCTTTAAGCCTTAATTGGAGCCACTTCTTCTATTGGATAAACGCCTTCCCTGGTTGGCCTCGTTTCTCTCAGGTCCCTTGTTTCACTTTGTGTTTCCTCAGTTGCCAGTAGGCTGTGCTGTGATGCTTTGCATTTATTTGGTTATATCATGTATACATTTATTCTGTGTCCTCTATTAGATACTCTTGTCGTTTTTTAAGCTAACATTCATTGAGGTTTATTGTGTGTCAGGTCCTGTGTTTAGGGCTTTGGATCCTAAATTATCACATTAATTTTCACAGCAACTGTTTGCAGTAGGTGGCATTATCCCCATTTTACAGATGAGAAACCTAAGTTTTAGAGGAGAGACACACCCAAGGATGTACACCTAGTAAATGGCAGAGCTGGGGTTTGAATCTTTATGCATTTAATTTAAAAGCCTGAATCATCACATTTCACACCCTCTTAGAGGAAGGCAGGGTTCATGCCATCTGCTTCCTCCAACCACCACCACTCTTCAGCAGTATACCACAGAATGCTGTAAGCTTCTTATGACCTGAAAAGATGTATTTTAAATGCAATCAATACAAGTCTTCTGAAGAAATACACACAAGCAAATTCAATTCAACACCACCAAAAACTCCTTCAATTAAGATAAACCAGTATTGACATTTTGGAGTATATCTTTCCTTGTTTCTTTTGCAAAGAATTAAGTATATACATTGGAAACACTCTTAAGGCTTAATGCATTCTGCTAATAAATTTCTCCTTCTTAGAACCAAAGTTGTGTGCTCACTAAGAGCCATTTGTTTTTTTCTTAGTACTGTTTATGCCAATCGAACTTACTGTAATTCTGTAATCTAATTAGATATTACGTAAACCAATGAAATATGAGTATAAAAATAGAGTTGTTGCCACTAAAATTAGGTTGAATGCTTTAGCAAAATGTGATAAAAACAAATCTCTAAAACAATTGCTCTAGAATTCAGAGTAGGTGGAACAACTGAAAGATTTGAAAATAAATGTTAAAAGTCACAAAGGATTCAACATTCATATTGCTTCACAAGTGTATTTAAATTTTTGTTTCATGTTAAAGAAATTGAAACTGAAAATAGAGAAGAAGATGGATTATGGATATGATTTATGCAGGAAAGATTATGTGGAATTCTAGCCAGCAAATACTCAAGTCCTCAGTGTTAAAGTTAAAATAAAATGTTTTAGGCAGCAGGTGGTTTTTTTTTTTTTATGAATCCTCACTTTCACTAGCTTTTGAAATTAAGCAATTAACTTCTGATCCTAAATGTGTTAGATAAGAATGCTTCTACTCTATATATCTCAAAAAAGAATAACATAATTTGCTAAGCAGCTTTTTTCATGTAATATATCATGAACATGTTTTCAAGCCAATAAATATGGATTAAAACATTTTCTGGCAATATAACGTACATGCAGAAAAGTACACAGATCCTAAGTGTACAACTCAGTTTATGATCACAAAGTGAACACATCCATTTACTGCCCTCTACTTAGGTCAAGCAACAATATTCCCAGTACCCCCAGAAGCCTCCCATGGCCTCCTCCTCCCCACCAGAGATAATAGCTACTTTGAATCTAACATTATAATGTTTGTTTTGGAACTTTACGTAAATGAAATGTCTGTAGTTTTTGATTTTTTTACTTACTTTACTCAATATTTGTTTGTGAGATTCATCCATGTTTTTCACATGTATTATTTGTTTATTCATTCTCATTGCAGTTTATTATTTCATGTGAAAGAAGATACCATAATATTTACTCATTCTGTTGTTTTTGTTATATACTTTATTTATTTTTTTTTTTGGAGACAGGGTCTTACTCTGTTGCCAAAGCTGGAGTGCAGTGGCACAATCTCAGCTCACTGCAATCCCACCTCCCAGGTTCAAGTGATCCTCCCCCAAGTTAGCCGCCTGAGTAGCTGGGACTACAGGTATGCGTCACCATGCCTGGCTATTATTTTTGCATTTTTTGTAGAGGTGGGGTTTCTCCACGTTGCCCAGGCTAGTTTCGAACTTCTGGGCTCAAGTGATCCACTCGCCCCGCCCTCCCAAAATGCTGAGATTAAAGGCATGAGCCACCACTCTTGGCCCACCATTCTATTGTTGATGGCCATTGGGGTTGTTTCCAGTTGCGGGCTATTATGAAAAATGTTGCTATGAACATTCTTGTACATGTCTTTTGGCATACGTGTGCAGTTTTAAAGTTGTTCATTTGTTTATATGCCTTAGGAATGGAATTGGCAGGTGATAGGATATGTGTATGTTCAGCTTTAGGGAATACTGTGAAAGTGGTTGCACAAATCTACAATCCCATCATCAATTTATGTGAGTTACTGTTGTTCCTTATCTTTGGCAACACTTGGTTTGGTCTGTCTTAACTGGTTTTATCCAAACTGGTAGGCTTGTTATAGTCTCTTGTGATTTTAATTTGCATTTTCCTGTTGGCTAATGAGCACATTTTCATATGTTTATTGACCATTTGGATGTCTTTTGGGTGGGCATGTTGAAGTATTTGTTTAGTATTTGTCTCTTGCCTACTTTTCCATAGAACTGTCAGACATTTTCTCATTTATTTGTACTTATATATTCTAGATGTAAGTTCCTTTGTTGGTTATATGTGTCAGCAATGTCTTCTTCCACTCTGTGGCTTGCCTTTATTGCTCTCTTAGTAGGGTTAATGGAGCTTCCCAATTTTAATGTTGTCCAACTTACCAATCTTTCTCTTTGTTGTTAGTACTTTTTGAGGCTTGTTCAAGAATCTTCACTTATGCCGAAGGTCATGAAGATATCCTCCTATGTTATCTTTTTTTTTTTTTTTTTGAGACGGAGTCTCGCTCTGTGGCCCAGGTGGGAGTGCAGTGGCGCAATCTCGGCTCACTGCAAGCTCCGCCTCCCGGGTTCACGCCATTCTCCTGCCTCAGCCTCCCGAGTAGCTGGGACTACAGGCGCCCGCCATCACGCCCGGCTAATTTTTTTTGTATTTTTAGTAGAGACGGGGTTTCACCGTGTTAGCCAGGATGGTCTCGATCTCCTGACCTCGTGATCCGCCCGCCTCGGCCTCCCAAAGTGCTGGGATTACAAGCGTGAGCCACCGCGCCCGGCCCCCTCCTATGTTATCTTTTATCAACTTTATTCTTTTACCTTTCACATTTAGATCTACAATCCACATGGAATTAATTTTTGTGTATGTTGAAAAGTTAGGGTTAAGTTTCATTTTATGCTACATTAATATCCAGTTGCTCAAACAGCACTTACCAAAAAGACCATCCATTCCCCATTGCTCTGCCATACAGCCTGTTCCATAACATAAATCAAATATCCATATATGAATGGGTCCAGCTGTGGACTCCTTATTCTCTTCCACTGGTGTATTTCCCTTGAGCTAATAACACATACTTTGATTACTGTAGCTTAGTAGACTGAGGACTACATCTTCTTCTTTTCACCAGTTCCTGGAGATTCTTGGTTATTCTTGATCCTTCACATTTCCAAATGAAAAGATTAGAACAGCTTAGAACAGCTTGTCAATTTCCACAAATACACACAGAGACACACTCAGATTTGCAGAGATTTTTAATGAGATTGTTTTAAATCTATAGATCAATTGCTTTTACAATCAAATCTCTAAGAGAATTGATGTCTTTGCAATATTGAATCTTCCTCTTTGTACATAGAGTATCTTTCCATTTATTTGTGTTTTCTATAATTCATTGAAAGTTTTATGTTTTAGTTATTTATCTTCAACATAATTCTTTCCAATGGCTATAGAATATTTTTTGGTTAACATAAAAATTTATTAATTAATCTCCTTGTGTTGTAAACCTAGGTTGTTTCTGTTTTGTTTCATTGTTGTAAATAATGTGATTATGAACATTCACAAGTATACATATTTTAGTGCCTTTCTGTCTCCTTGGAATTGACTCCTGAAACTGGAATTTCTGGAACATACAGCTTGCACCTTCATATTCCCCAGTGAGTTCTATCATTTTAAACTCTCTCCCAGAGTTATAATAGGTTCCACTCTTGTGAACCTGGAGAATAACTCACTGTATTTTCCATTTGAATTTTTTAATTACTATTGACAGTGAACTAGTTTTCATCTGGCCATTTGTAGTTCTTTTGTGAATAGCCTTTTCATGGCTTTTGCTCAGTGTTTTTATATTTTCCTATTACTTAATAATTGCTCTTTCTATACCACATATAACCCCTTGTCACGTGTATTTACAAAATATGTCTGTGTGATAAATGAATTAACCAGTATACGTTTGTTACTGGAGTGGAACTTTACAGAAGAGCACAAAAAGAAAACCTTGTTAAGCCTGTTGGAAATGTGATTATTCCCTGAATGTTTATGTCCTTTGCACATTTAGGAATATCATAGCAATAATGAACTTAGTAGTAGGGACAATCAGCAACTAAATGAAGTAGAAGACAGATAATATAATTGCATGGGAAGAACATAGAAATTAGATCCAGAAAACTGGGTTCTAGACATGACCTCACTGCTCTTTACCTCCATGATCTTGATTAAACCATATATTCTCTCTGAGTCTTAATATCTTCATCTGTATAGTGGGTGCACTTATACTTATTTATCTTCCAGGTCTAAGATGAGATCATATATGAAAAGCAATAGTGCAAACAGTGAAAGTTATACCATAGAAATTATAATGCCAACAAATATAGTGTAAGTGTGGCAAGTTGAATGTATGCTTTATTTAAATTATCGTCTTTTGAGGTAACCTAATTTATAAAATATTCAGCCTAATGGCCATCATTCTGAGTCTGTGGTTTGTGAGTTTGTACTAATTTGCATGACTCCTTTTAAAAAGAAATGGTTTGTTGTTTGAAAAAATCAAGTTGACATCCTTTGTGACTGTTCAGAGTGTGTTTGTGGTTTATTGGCTTCTAGGGCATTAGGTTTCTGTCTCCCATATTGACAGTCTTTATGAGCTCGTTAGCCACTGTTCTGGTAAAAGCCATTTTGATCTGTGATGAGGGCACTACATTAAAAGAGTATTGAAGTTGGAAATCTATATTTTGGTTCTTTCATTAGAATGTGCCCTTTACAAAAGAGGCAATATGAATTTGCATTGCAAAGGATTGCTTATTTCTTTTTAGAACTCTTGAAGTCAGGTAATTTAATTATGTCTATGCCATAGCCTTTTATCTTCCTCTGCAAAGAAACTCTCTCTTCTGACACCTCATATTGGAAGCCGGTCTTCTTATCCCCAGAATTAATTAACATGCAAATACTTGTCTAGAGATATGGGAACAGTGCTTTTTCAATTAGCATTTAAATATCACTCTTAATGATGTTAGATTGACTCTTTTAAGGGAAAATTAAAATAGTATAGTCATCTCTGGATTATTTCCTAGAGCATATTATTGATATTTCTGAAGATATGGGCTTAGTAGGAGCTTTTATCTTCTACTGTTCACAGACTGATTGAGTCAGATCCAGGGTTGGACTGGACAGCAAAGCCTGGTTCTGGCCTTCCTTTGCCTCTGGTTTCCTAGCTAGGCCTGCTGATCGTGCCCTGCACTGCTTCTCAGTAGCAAGTGTATTTATGTAGGAGCGGCACCTGCAGGAACTGTTTGCAACTGGGAAGGGTACCCAGAAGCAAGGAGGGAAGTATAGAGGAGCTTTGGTAGCAATCATCTCCCAAAAAATAAAGAAGATGAACTTTGGAGTTAGAGATGCATAGGTTCAAATGTTGCCTGTGCCACTTTGAAGCAGTATGATGTTGAGCAAGTTACTTCCCTTCACTGAGACTCAATTTCCTCATCTGTAAAATATAAATAGTAATATTTACCAGTCAGGTTGTTAAGAGGGTTAAACATGACAGTATATATGCAATATGTCTTACGTAAGTCAGAGTAGGCTCTCTGCTGTAACAAAGAACTCCAAATCTCAGTGGTTTAACTTAGGTTATGATGTGGTTTGACTGTGTCCCCACTCACATCTCATCTTGAATTCCCACATGTTGTGGGAGGGACCCAGTGGGAGGTAGTTGAATCATGGGGGCAGGCCTTTCCTGTGCTGTTCTGGTGGTGACGAATGAGTCTCACGGGATCTGATGATTATATAAGGGGGAGTTTCCCTGCACAAGCTCTCATCTGGTCTGCTGCCATGTGAGGTGTGCCTTTCACCTTCTGCCATGATTGTGAAGCCTCCCCACCACATGGAACGGTAAGTCCATTAAATGTCTTTTGTAAACTTCCCAGTCTTGGGTATGTCTGTATCAGCAGTGTGAAACAGACTAATACAGGTTATTTCCTGCTGGAAGAAAGAGGAGGGCTTTGCTTCATGCAGACATTCAGGGACCCAGATATCTTTCATCTAGTGGCCTTGTCATTTTCTAAGGCCTTGGAACCCTCATTGAATCATCTGTCTCTGGCTGGCAGGAGACGGGAGAGAGTGAACATGGATTGTGCAGAAGGCCAGGCTGGAGGTAGGGCACATTGCTTCCACTCAGATTACATTGGCTAGAACTCATAGCCATACCTACTTTGTGAGTTTTTTTTTTTTTTTTTTTTTTGAGACAGGGTCTTGTTCTGTTGTCCAGGCTCTAGTGCAGTGGTGTGGTTGTCCAGGCTCTAGTGCAATGGTGTGATCAGGCTTGACCACCTGGGCTCAATCGATCCTCCTTCCTCAGCCTCCCAAGTAGCTGGGACTACAGGTGTGCACCACTCCACCTGGCTAATTTTTTTTTTTTTTTTGTAGAGATGGGGTTTCACCTTGTTGCCCAGGCTGGTCTTGAACTCCTGGGCTCAAGTGATCCACCCACCTCAGCCTCCTGAAGTGCTAGGATTACAGGCATGAGCCACTGTTTCTGGCCACCATAGCTACTTTCAAGTGAACCTGGGAAATTTGTGCTTAAGAGAAAACCAAAATGGATTTGTTTAATAAACACATAGTCCATCACTATGTAGTTCACCACAAACATATAGTAATACTTGTTGAATAAATGAAAGGAAGAAAAATGAAATGAATTTTCTTCTTCATAGATTCCTAGAGTATTAGAGCTGATGGGGGCCTTGGAAGTGATAGAGATTTTACCCCTTCTTTTATAGATGAGGAGCCTGAGGGCTTGAGGAATTTAGTGGCCAATGCAAGATCATCCAGCTGTTTAGTGGCAGGACCAGAACTTGAACCCACTTTCCCCAAATGCTGCTGTTTATTCTGCATTTAATTATTTAAAATATCATTGTTTTCTGCCATAGGGTTGCCCTTGCCTTTTGGAATGTGAAGATGGGTTAGGAGGTGGGAGGGGGGTTAAGGATGTTATTCTGATCATGATAGCTAGACTTCAGTTTTCTTTGGGGAAGAAGAGGTTTGGTATTTTAGGGTAGATATACCCTCAGGGCTGGAGGCTCTACAGCTTCTCAGTAATTTGTACTGAGAGTGAAAATTAATCTTCACTCACTCACTCATGTGTTTAAATAGCTTTTCTTTAGTCCCCTCCTATGTGTAACAAATCATCCAAGGTGATATGGATGCAATGATGAGCAAGATGTTCACAGCCTAAGGAAGGTGTCAAATATTTACACAATAATTACTAAATGAAATGAGGAGCAAGGAAGCAACAAGGTGGAAGGGACCAGCTGCTAGGGTGGGGAGGGAGAGGGCATAAGGAAAGCTTTATGGAGGCAGGGTCTTGAAGAATGGATCACAGTTTTTTGGGAATTTGATCTGTCCTGAAATACACACACTTGTGTTTGTGTAGTTGGTGCAAATCACCTTGGCCAGTTGTGGATGTGCATTGAGAAAAATGAAAGAAAGAAACTGACAAAAACCCAAAATGATGATCAATGCTCCTGTGAGCATTTGGTGCTCACATTTACCATTCATCGATAATTTTGTCAAGTTTTTACCAGTAAATGATTAATAAAATAACCTTCCAGATACAGCTCAAACATCAATAAGCAATATTTTATCACATGCCAGCAAGTTTTAGATCCAATGTGCCCAGCAATTTTTGGTTAGGTACAGACCCTTAGAATTTGTAGGGGCAGGGGTAAGATGCATGAAATAACAGTAAACTAAGTACCAGTATGAAGAGGAAGACACACACCCGTGTAGAGGATGTGCAAACACGTATATAGGTTTGCATTAGGAGGCCTGGTTTTCAGAAAGGTTTCTGTGAGATGTACTATTTAGAGCTGAGTTTTGGAGGGCTGATGGACATGCTTAGGAGTTGGCATCTCAAGTATAGTTACTAAATAGTGGTGAAAGAGCACGGGTTACTCTATAGTCTGGTGTAGAGGATTTTTGGAGAAGGGGGATCGAATGGAAGTTTTATAGTTAGTAAGTGGCAGAGCTTGGCTTAGTACCCCAGGCTTGTCTGACACCTGTCCTTCTCCCATAGCACCATAGTGCTTTGCTGAGAATGTGGGTAGGAGTCAGAATCCTATGATGCTTTCCGTTTGGAGGTTAGAGTCAGGGTTGCCAGGGGTCGATTATGAAACAGGTGATGTTCATTTTCAGCATCATTAGCTCCTCTTTGGTGTGTCTCTTCTCTCCTTGGCATTCATTTTCTCACACCCTTCCCAGCTGATTCACAGTAGGGTTTCAGAGGACTCTAGGACGTATTTGTATTATTTTAAAATATACATTTTAAATTCTAAAGTATCCTTATAGTAACAATTCAAGTTGTACAAAAAGGAGATAAAATGCAAAGTGATTTTCTCTTTCTCTAAAACCTTTAATCCTCATCTTTAAAAAAGTATCTTTTCAGAAATTTTATATGGACATTCAAGCACACACAATATATCCTCTTTTATCTGAGAGAACCCATTTAATATATGCATTTTCTGTAATTTGATATCTTTAATTAATATATGGAACAGTCTTTCATACAATTATATAGTTCTACTTTATTTTATTTTAATCAACAGAATAGTGGTCCACTGTACTGCTTTTCTGTGATTCTTATCGAACAGTATTTAAATTTATTTTCTTAATGTCTGCATTTATTATGCACTGTGTTGCAGAGAACATCCTTATAGCGATCTGCAAACTTGTAAAGGGGTTATTTGTAGGGGACTTGCAATGGAATTTCTAGGTTGAAGAGTGTGTGTATTTAAAATTTTTTTGAAGACTGTGTGTATTTAAAATTTTGATAGATATTGGGGAATTGTCCTCCAGAAAGGCAGTACCATTTTCATTGTATCCGCAGGGTATGTGAATGCCTGTTTCCTAAGGCTTTTTCTTTTTAAAGAGGACTTGAAGCCAGAGAAGAGGAGACAAAGAGCAGAGTGGGTACTAAAAGTAAGTGGCGGCCAAGAGAAACAGAAACACAGGTTCACACAAAAACTTGTGCATAGCAGCATTATTTATAGCAGCCAAACAGTGGAAACAGCCCACTGTTCATCCAGTACTGAATGGATAAACAAAATGGGGCATATACATACAATGGAGTATTATTCAGTAATAAAGACTACAGTGTGGATAACCTTTGAAAGCATGCTGCTAAGTGAAGTAAGCCAGTCATAAGATACCATGCATACTTATGTGAAATATCCATGTAGGCAAATCCATAGAGACAGAAAGAAGATAGTGGTTGCTTAGAGCGGGAGGTGGGGATGATTTGGGAAATGACTCCTGATACGTAAAGGGTTTCTTTCTGGCATGATGGGAATGTTCTAAAATTAGATTGTGGTGATGGTTGCACAACTCTGAATATATTAAAAACCACTGAATTGCATACTTTAAATGGGTGAATTTTACAATATGTGAATTTTATGTCATTAAAACTATTTAAAAAATAAGTGGTGGCAGAATGCATGGTATAGGATGGAAAGGATGAGGATATGGTCATTCTCACGGGCCTGTGGGTTGGGCAGGAAGACAGTGCCATAGCCAGCGAGCCAGGCAAGGTGGGGGAAGGTGTTCTGCCAGGCTATGCTGAGCCAGGTATTCAGGTGGCTGATGACAATCAGCTCTAGGGGTGGATGGTGGAGTTTTTTCCCCTAACAGAATAGAGACAAGAGGCAGTTGATGCCATGCCCTAGGCAGGGTCAGAACTGAGGTTAGTACACTGAATTTCTTACTCGTTGTTCTTGTTCAGTCCTTCGAATACACAGAAGATACTGTTCTCCTGGAAGGCAGTAATAGTTTCCTTTGCTGACCTAGAAATGCCTGCTGTGCTCCAGCATTTGGAAAAGGAAGGTCAGAGAGAGGAAGCTGAGCTCAGCTGCTGAGTCAAGGAAAAGAGAAGGAAGACCTAGGGGTCACCAACGAAGATGAGGCCCTCATTTGTGAATAAGTGTAGTCAGTTTTAAATTTAGCAATTAAGCTCTTTCTATATAGTGGAAGTGACTGTTCTTTTGGAATGTGTTTGCTAGTAAATATCATAAGAATGTTTAAAAGGAAGTTATGATTTTAAGTGACCTCTGAGTTGTGCTGATGGATAAAATTTAGCTCAACGGAATGAGGGTTAATCTCACGGTATACTCGGAAAGTTAAAGGGAAATCAACACACTTTTTCACCAAAGCCCGTTTTTCCTGGTGCTTGCGGCTGTTTGAACTTGCTCTTTGCTTCTCATTCCCCATCATCGTGGCTCCGTGGCATACATTAAATCAAACCATGACCTCCATACATTAAATCAAACCATGACCTCCGAATCTTCTTAGTTATTTTCAGGTACAAGGTTTTCAGCTTCAGAAAGGACAGAGGTCTCCATGGTTCCATTTTGAAGATTTTTGGGTGGCTACTGCTTGTTTACCAGCAGTTTGGTATAGAAGCCCAAGACAGTCCATGTGTGGTTCAGTATTGACCTAATAGCAGAATAAATTTGGACCAAACAGAAGTCCTTTTCTTTGTCACTGTGTTTGATTAACTATCCTGGATATGCTTTATTCTCTAAAAACTTCATTTTTGAAAATACCATGGTTATTAAACAACTAGTCTTTGTGCGTGATTAGGACATAAACAGGAATCTCACCCACTTTTAAACCTTTCCAAGAAATAACTTTTCCACTGATTTTATTTTGAATTGTTAAAAAACTTTTAGCAGGGAGAGAAAATTTGGTTGATGATTCAGAGCGCGAGGGAAAGGAAGCAAGGGATTCTGGCACATGCGCACGAGTTGAATGACAACTGGTGGATATTTTTATATTTATTGCTATTCTTAGCCTAAGGCCTGGAGCTGAGTAGGGAGTAACTAAGCTTAGCCATACTTATTAGACTTAGAGATTTTACTTTGTTTATGTCAATGTCAAGGCCTTTGGGAAAACTTTGGTATGCTTAGCTGATTTCTTGAAATACAATCTTTCTCTCATGCAATTTCCTCTCATTCAGTACGTGAAGAATAAAATGTTGACAGGTTAAACTGCAAGACAATCTAAGTTGCTGTTTATTTTTGTCTGTTAGCCAAATCTTAACTCACTATTCATAGCCACACAGGGTGTTTTTTTTTGGTTGGTTTTTTTTTTTTTTTGGTTTCAGTTTGTTTCTCCTAAATACATTTTAAAGATAATTAGTTATTGCCTGTATTAGAATTTCTTTTTGTGTTCTTGTGTTAGGATTCTGGAAGTAGCAATGAATTCACAGGAGAACTCAACAATGTAAGAGCAAGATGTTTCCACCACTTACTGAGTTGAGGGTATAAGATTTTATCCTTTGCCAGCCCCTTTAGAAATTGTGACTGTGAACTGCCATGATTTAACTTCAAAACACAGCCTGTTCTCTTGTCAGTGGAGCCAAAGCGTTATGCCTGAACAACGATTATAGGTTAGTATAGACAAGTGAAAAAGAGTTTTATTTTGCTGGATTCTGATACTACACATACTTAGGTTCAGCTAAATATCAAAATCGCCACAGCCAAGATGTAGTCATTGATGAGGACTTTAATTCTACCCAATGTCTGATCAATGTTTCATTCCATAGAAACATAGATGTTTCAATCCAGAAAAGCCTTTCTATTTTTTAAACCACAGATTGAGGAGGCAATGAGATGGAAATACTACCCTGAACTTAGTTCTAACTATCTAGAAAAATTTTTTATTGAAGTAGAATTGACTAAAACCTTGGGCGGGAGTAACCATGATAGTATTGTTTGGTAACTTCAAAAGAAAGAAAAGTTGGACATAACCAAATAGTAGTGGTGATTTTAGGAAAATATATTTCAAAGGAAAAAAACATAGATTTTTCAATATATAGAGGGATTTTTCAACATATAGAGACTTGAAAAGAGTACAAAAAAATAAAAAGAAGAAAGGAAATAGAGAAATAAAAAGAAAGTTTCTGACAGCAAAATCATCTTTTGAGGGAATGAGGAAAAAGAAAGAACCTTTTTTTTTTTTTTTTGAGACAGAGTCTCACTCTGTCACCCAGGCTGGAGTGCAGTGGTGCAATCTCGGCCCACTGCAACCTCCACCTCCTGGGTTCAAGCGATTCTCCTGGCTTAGCCTCTGGAGTAGCTGGGACTACAGGTGCCCACCACCATGTCTGGCTAATTTTTGTATTTTTTGGTAGAGAGAGTTTCACCATGTTGGCCAGGCTGGTCTCGAACTCCTGACCTCAGGTGATCTGCCCGCCTTAGTCTCCCAAAGTGCTGGGATTACAGGCATGAGCCACCGCGCCTGGCCCAGGAACCATTTTAAGATCAAGGAATTTTTGATGGGCTTGGATATTAAGAGAACATGTATAGAAGATTGAAAGACAAGCACATGATCAGGGACAAATTCAGAAGAGTGGCGTAAACCGGTAAGAAAATATCTGCAAAGCACAAGTTCATACTGAGCTGAAGCTGAAGAGAATGTTAAAGACAACAAGAAAGCTCTCTTTAAAGCTATGTTCATAACAAGAAAAACAAGTAAAGGCTAAGCTCGTTGCTTGGGGCAGATGGAATAATGTTAAAATATGACGAAAAACAGACCTACTCAACTATTTGGCTTCTCTTTCTCTATTAAAGACAATGATGTTCAAACTGGAATGTGTAACATAAACATAGTTAAGGATAAACTGAAGCATGCACGATAGATAATGATAATAATAGTTGTGACTACAATTTCCTGAGTTTCTATTCAGGACTGAGTACTGTAAAAGAGAATTTAGTTGCTTTTTAAAGTACTTACTGGCAGGCGTGCGCGGTAGATATTACTGTTATCAATCCCATTTACAGATGAGAAAACCGAGGCACAGGAAGATTTAATGACAAACCTGAAGTTACACAGTCGGTAAATGATGGGCTGGGATTCAGATCAAGGTCTGACTAACTTCAAAGCCTGGCTCTTTTCACTGGACTCCCTGATTCCCATGCCTGTCACATCTAGTGTTTTCAACAGGATTGCATTTTTTTGGTTTAAATTATATTGTAAGGCACATAAACAAACACATGCCAGTAGATGTTATTGAAGAGCCACAGTGTGTAATTGCTGTGAAACAAGGAAAATGGAATATCAAAATGATAAACAACACATAAAGACGTTCTTGATTACCTTTTTTTTTTTTTTGAGACAGAGTCTCTTCCTTCTGTTGCCCAGGCTGGAGTGCAGTGGTGTGATCTTGGCTCACTGCAACCCCTGCCTCCTAGGTTCAAGTGATTCTCATATCTCAGCCTCAGCCTCCTGCATAGCTGGGATTACAGGCACATGCCACCATGCCCAGCTATTTTTTTTTTTTTTTGTATTTTTAGTAGAGACACGGTTTTGCTATATTGGCCAGGCTGGTCTCGAACTCCTGACTTCAAGTAATCCACCCGCCTCAGCCTCCCAAAGTGCTGGGATTACAAGTGTGAGCCACCGTGCCCAGCCTCTTGGTTACTTTTTTTTAAAGGTTCTCTTTGAACCATCTAGAGCAAAGCCATCAAAGAGACTGCTGGGATCATGTCAGAATGATTCAGAAGCCAACCTGAGGGGATCCCCCAGAGGGCAAAGATGAGACAGTTTGAGCATCAAAAGGATTGAAATATATAAAAATATATAAAAGTCCATGAGTTTATGACAAAATTCTAAAGACACAAGACAATAAGACAAAAAAATCCCGCATTTGTCACTTCTGAGATTGTTAGGGCACCAAGTCATTGTTCTGAAAATGGATTTAAAAAGGAGATCTCACATCCACCCCTGCTTTCCTATTTACTTTATAGAGAATTACAGCTAATAAATGCAGAAGGGTGCTAGAAAAGTTTTAAAAACCTACAGTTTTGTAGCATCTAATGAAGTAATGGAGCTAAGCAACAACCATTAATGAATGATAAAATCAGGTAAAATTGGTGCTTTCTAACAGAGAATCAGGCTGACAACACTTGAACCCACGGATCAGTCTCCATATCACTAAAAGTGGAACAGCCGAACGTTAGTTATGCTCCTCCAATGTGATCTGATAGAAAAGAAACAGCACCACCTGTGAAGTATTCTTACCCACATCCCCTCCCTCAACGAGGCTGAACCAGAAGCTCATCAAACATGCACATCTAACTATTAATACCAGGTTATAGGAAATACGGGAGACAGAGGAACATGCTAAACACCACTACAAGGGTACAGATCAGCCAATGCCTGAATGTAGGAAGTTCTACAAAACAAATGACCCATTTTTGTTTTCAGTATATAAATGCTACGAGAAAAAAGTAGAGATGGGGAACTGTTAAGTACTGTAAACTAGTTCAACCATTGTGGAAATCAGTGTGGCGATTCCTCAGGGATCTAGAACTAGAAATACCATTTGACCCAGCCATCCCATTACTGGGTATATACCCAAAGGATTATAAATCATGCTGCTATAAAGACACATGCACACGTATGTTTATAGCGGCACTATTCACAATAGCAAAGACTTGGAACCAACCCAAATATCCAACAATGATAGACTGGATTAAGAAAATGTGGCACATATACACCATGGAATACTATGCAGCCATAAAAATGATGAGTTCATGTCCTTTGTAGGGACATGGATGAAACTGGAAACCAGCATTCTCAGCAAACTATCGCAAGGACAAAAAACCAAACACTGCATGTTCTCACTCATAGGTGGGAATTGAACAATGAGAACACATGGACACAGGAAGGGGAACATCACACACCGGGGACTGTTGTGGGGTTGGGGGAGGGGGGAGGGATAGCATTAGGAGATACACTTAATGCTAAATGAGGAGTTAATGGGTGCAGCACACCAACATGGCACATGTAAACATATGTAACAAACCTGCACATTGTGCACATGTACCTTAAAACTTAAAGTATAATTAAAAAAAACAAAAAGACTTAAGGGTGGGAGATGGAGCCTGCAGTGAGCTGAGATCACGCCACTGCACTCCAACCTGGGCAACAGCGAGACTCCGTCTCAGGAAAAAAAAAAAAAAAAGACTTAAGGGACCTGTAAACCAAATGCAGGTATGAATCTTGTTTGGAACTTGATTTGAACAACTGACTAACTAAAAAAATGCCTTTTTTTTTAAACAGGCAAAAATAAAACATACTCTGTTTATTACATGTTACTAAGGAATTACTGGTAATTTTATTGAGTTGGTGGTATTGTGAGTTTTAAAAGTCCTTATCTATTTAGAAGCACTTATTAATGAATTAATATGAGGCCTAAGACTCTTTAAAAAATACTCCTTCAAAAGAAAAAAAGTATGTGTATAGGGAAATACGTGAAATCAGAATGGTAAAATATAATAATTGTTGAAGCTTGGTGATAGGTTTTTGGGGGTTCTTTACACTTTCCTCTACTTTGTTATGTATGGAAAATTCACATAATAAAAACAGTCAAGTGTTCTATTTGAGAGGCAGAATTTTGGCAGAAGGCCTGGGTTATAACCCAATTTGTATAGCCTGGGGAGAGTCACTGCTACTCCCTCCTTTTTTGCCTCTTTCCTTTCCTTTTTACTTTCCTTCTATTTCTTAAGAAATCATTTGCTGGGCCACATTTTCCCCCAGGGACTGTCCTGGTACCATCAGCCTTCCAAGTTACAGGTATAGGTATTATTATTATTATTATTATTATTATTATTATTATTATTATTATTTTACAGATGAGGAAATCAAAGCAGAGAAGGGACTAAGTTTCTCACCCACAAATCCAGGTCTGCCTGTGTCCAAAATCTGAGCTCTTTTGTTTTATTTTATGCTGGCTCCCAGGAGTAGTCCTCTGATTTTATAATTTTTAAGTTTTTTTATTTTTAATTTTGTTTATGGATAAATTTTAAACAATGAGTAAATTAAGATAGATCAAGTGGAGTAGCATTTGTGTTTTTTGCATGTGAGAAAGATGCAAGGTATGGTTGTTACTGTAACAATTACAAAGATTTCATCAAAGGCAAGCAGTGATAAAAGCAAAATGTGTGGCAACTTTCTTCATATTCAGAAAAGAGTAAAAGCCTATAAATTGTAACTTTAAGCCATAAAATAACATTTATTTATGCTTGTTCTTCAAAAGCTTATATTTGATAATCTTTTTTGTTAGAAGTCGAAGCCTGAGAAAAATGGCTAATTTCATTTTTCATGTGTTTGTAAAATATTTTTAGGACTATCACAAGAAATTCCCTAAAAATGTCAAAGCAAATGAACAAGTGAAATTCTGCACATCCCTTGTGCCACTATTTTGTTTACTTACTGAAAAAATGACATTGGCTTTTGTAAAACCTGGGTGTGCTGGTGGGCATGTGCAGATGTGTCGCTGTCATCTGTCATGTGTCATGCTCTGGATGTCAGAACCAGACATCAGTCAGGGAAGAGAGTGAGTAGCAAGCCACCTCGCCAAACTCTTGCTGCAGGGTGCACGGGGTTCACATCCTCTGCTTAGATTTAGTGCGACTTTCCAAAACACCTGCAGTGCGGTACTTCATGGCTGGTCCCACGTAACAATTTATGCCCTAGAGATGTCTGACTAGATCTTAGGAAATTATACTAATGGTTCTGACGTTGTTTCCTTCAAGAATCGAGGCGCTAAATATAGTCAAGCTGAATGACAAAATTTTACTCACACTCAGGGCATGTCAGTGAGGGCATCAAAAATGGAAAAATAATAAATACTGCTGATATTTACTAAGTTTTATGGTATGACAGGCACTGCACTAAGTCTTTTGAATATCTAATCATGTTTAACTCTCAATGTCCCATTTTATAGCTGAGGTGGCCGCAGCACAGAGAGGTTAAGTGAGTTGCCCAAGGTTGCACGGTTAATAAATGGCAGAGCTGGGCTCTAAACCCAGGCCGTCTGACCCCTGAGCCTTTCCTCTTCTAACCACTGTGCAGTCTCCAAGCACCAGCAGAATGAAGTGAGCACGTGCTAATCCACAGCTGTCATGGTTTGGCCCTCTGTGGGCTTTCAGAGCACCTTAAAACCCTTTGTTCTGTGTCAGAGCTGTTTTTCAGCTTTGCAGATGTCTGAAGTCAAGCAGAAGAGATGGAGAGTCTGATAAAGCACACGTGGCAAATCTCTGGCCGAGTTGATATTAGAACACAGAGTCCCAGAGTGATTTACTGTCCAGGGGGAAAGCCAGTTGGCCTGGCTACCTTGCAAGACGGTTAAAGGACATAAGAATAGATATTCATTCAAGACTGTCAGAAAGAAAGTAGGTCAGCAATGAAATAAAAACAAATGTCAAAGAAACACCACTTTGGTATAAATAAAAAGTCGATTCTTCTTAATAAAGAGCTGTCTGTTCTTCATTAATTAGAAAAGTACAGAGCCTGCTTACTTTGAGATTCCAAAACCTCTTCAGGCACAACTCGTTATTAATTTGATCACTTTCCTCAAAAGAATGATATTTTGACAAATACAGTTTCTGGCTTCAGTCACATATAGAAACATTGGAATAAGTACAATGTTGTGTTTTGCTTTTTTTTTTAAAATAGGAACTATGTTTGATAATGCATATACTCCAAACACCTCTAAAAATAATTTTCAATTGGCAAGCTATTTTTTGGTGTATTTTCCTAGTCTGGGAGAGGAAGTTTTATCATTTAATTTGATAAACTTAGTACCTTTGAGAGAAAGGAGGAGAAAATTTTACCATCTTATGTGGTTGAAATATGCTTTAGTATTTACATAATTGAAAATGATTCAAACTGATTTCCTCTGACGAACATCCGAAATGAAAATAAAAATTGTGTCTACTCCAAAGGGTAGTGGCTTGAGTCACCCACTGGTATGTGTGACCTATGAGTCACTCACTGGTATGCGTCTTCCCGATCCCCTGGCCTATGGGTTAGAAGTCAAAGATGCTCCACTGGGGCTTCCTTTGTAGCTTCTTTTCCCCTTCAGTATTCAACCACAGCTACTGCTGGCAGCTCCTGGCAGAACAGGAATGGGAGACCAAGGAGAGGATATGTGGAAGCTGAGTGATTTATTTATAGGGGACTTTTGGCAAATGAAAGAAAATAGATGTGAAGTCTTAGCAGTTCCAGCATGTTCATCAGAAATGCAAGCTCATGATAGTCATTTCAAAGGGAATTGTGGAAGAATGGTGTTACCCTACTTCACAGGCCATTAAATCATATATATGTTTGGTTGCCAGTGAGAATCTGAGTAGCAGAGCAGACAAGAATAAGGACGTATGGGATCGAGGCCTGTAGCTTGTGACCATGAACAAGTCACGTGACCCTTTGGCCTTAAATTCACCATAAAGTCGTGTACTTGATCTCAGTGATTGTATCTTACTTCATCAAAATGGTATGATTCTAAATTCCTGTGGGATATACAGGTAAGACAGGACTGGTGGAGCATTAGGTTTGGTTTTTCCTTTAAAAGAAAGTGTTGGGGAGGCAGCAGGGAATAGCAAAGGTCACAGACTCAAAAGCATTAACTGCCGGGCCTATGAAGACACGAATGATGTAGGTTTGATATAATGGAGGTACAAATCCATGTTTTATGCAAAACCTCATATTTCTAAACTTTGGCAATTCATTCATGTTTATCAAATCACTGTTTTAGGCCCCCTTTGGCTGGCCAGTGGGCCCTCTGCTTTAGACTTCTGGAATAAACTCCACAGTTGAGAGATGAAGGACAGACCTGGATTCTAACAGACCTAAATTTGAACCTTAGCTCTGCCCTCTAAGGAATGTGTAAACGTATACATCTGTATTTAACTTCTCAAAGCTTCAAGTTTCTTTATCTGTAGAAATGAGAATGATAATACCTCTTTTGTAGGATTTCCTGAAGACTGCGGGTACTATGTATTAAGTATACATAGTAGGCACATCCTCAAAGGGAATTCCATTACCTTTTCTATGGAGGTAGATCCTGTATAATTTTTAAATTTTTGTCTTGATGGCCAGTTGCTCACAGTTTTTAAAAGTGTAGTAGATGCCAGCGCTTCTTTATAGATTCTGAAATCCCTTCAATTTACATTTTAGTTGTTTTAAAATAAAGATTTCTTTAAGAGACAACATTCAGAGGGATAAGTTTTCTACTTGCCAGTAGAGGTAGAAGGCAGTAAAACCAAATAGATCTGTCAGTTACTGTCTTGAGGTAGAGCCCCTAAAGCAATAAAACCCACCTTTGACAATGAGGAAACACGAGACATCATTTTCTCCTTAGGACAAAAGTCTAGTGAGTAATGGCCCTTCTGTGACTAATGGTAATTCTGTACTTTATTCCCATAGAAAATCTAATTTTGAAAACATTTGCTGCATGCCCTACTATGTACTAGGCACTATGCCAGGGGAATAATGTAAAGATGACCAAAACATAATGGAATTGTTGCCTACAAGTATGTTTCGGCTATTTAAGGATTTATATTGCAGTTTGTGCAAATTGTGTATGAGTCCACTTTGAGAGGTTATACATATCTTCCAATAATGTTGCTATTGCTCAAAATATCTTTGAAGTCTCTCTTTGGAATTTACTTTTAGAGCCCTTAGCACATTCTGCTGAAGATTTTTTTTTTTTTTTTTTTTTTTTACCCTAGTGGTATTTATTCTTAGAAGGTGGATTTGATGTCAGGGACTGGCCAAGAGTTGTTCATCACTAAGTCAGCCTCATGGGTGGTGGTTAAACTGGCTAGAGTAATTTTTCGTTAAAAACGAGCCAGGACTGTAAAGTAGTATGACAGGGTTTTTTTTTTTTTTTTTTTTTTTTTAATATCACATCAACTGATTGTAGAGAAAAAGATAGTTCCAAAAAGGCATTCTGCACATTTTTTGCCCCAAACCAGTATCACTGGAATATATTTGTAGCTCCCTAACAGGCTAACTTTGAAATAAGTGGTGCTCACATGTGCATGTGTTGTAGTACGTCTGCTGAACCTTGTACTTAACCTCTTAGCAAACTCAGTGTCTTTGTTTTTTCCTTTGAAATGTTGTTTTTTCAAGTTCAGGGATAGATTTTCTCCAAGAAAATGAAACAAATAAGATCCACTCTCAAAGGACCTTAATGGAAAGAAATACATGCTTATACCAAGTTCTTTAAAACTATCCAAACTGGAAAGGATTGCCTCATAGCTGACTGTGATTATTCTGCCATGATTTAGGGACAGATAATTTCCTATCAGCATGTTTAACATGAGAATTAAAGAGTTCTGTAGTGTGGCCTATTGACCTCATTTGTTCATTCCACAAACATCTTTTGGAGTCCACTGTATGGCAGGCATTATCACTTACCATGGTGAGGATGGTGAGGCCATGAGCATGCTTCACCTAAGGAAGCCTGATCTTCAAGAATGCAAACTCACTCAACAAGAAACTTGAGAGTAATTAATAGTAGTGTTGGTAATTATCCTGTCTTTTCCTTGTAGGATTATTTGGAGGTTGTGAAGTGGTAAGTCTCTTTATTGCATTTGAAATATGGCTCATCTCATGACCATTGGAATGTGTGTACGCTCTGGAGGAAACCCATCTCTGCCATGTCACCTGTATTAGTCTGTTCTTATGCTGCTATGAAGAAATACCCAACACTGGGTAATTTCTAAAGGAAAGAGATTTAATTGACTCACAGTTTCTCAGGCTGGGGAGGCCTCGGGAATTATGGTGGAAGGCACCTCTTCACAAGGTGGCAGGAGAGAGAATGAGTACCCAGCGAAGGGAGAAACCTCTTATAAAACCATCAGATCTCGTGAGAACTCACTCACTATTACGAGAACAGGATGGAGGAAACCATCCTCATGATTCAGTTATCTCCACCTTGTCCCTCTCATGACACGTGGGGATTATGGGAGCTACAATTCAAGATGAGATTTGGGTGGGGACACAGCCAACCCGTATCAACACCTGACCACAGTGTGTGTGGTCTCTGAGGCCCAGTGGTGGCTCTCAGAGCACCTCCTTAGCAAATGTACCACTGGACCCTTGTTAGAATGATGTTCTTGATTTTTTAAAATTTATTTTTGTCTCTTGACTATTCTTGATTCAGGAATGTTCTTGATTTTAAAGGGAGGGTGTGAGGTAGTTGTTGTCTAGTTGTCTAGATATCCTCCACCTGAGAACGCTGTCTGGTGTCATAGAAACAGCAATGGCATTGGGATCAAAAGACAAACTTTCCAGCCCCAGCTCTGCCTCTCTTTAGCAGTCTCCTGACCTATACAAGGTTCAGTTTTCCCACCATTTAAGGGAAACCAATACCACTGTTTTATTCACAGCACTCTTGTGGGAATCACAGGAGACAGGGCACGGGAGAGCCTTTGGGGAACTGTGGATGTTAGTCCCTGTCGTCATCAGCCTTTCCATAGTGGAGCCTGGGCTACTCTGAAATAGAAGCACCTCTCCTTCCTTTGGACCCCTGGAGCACTGTGTTCTACAGTTCTTAGCTCTTTTTCTGTGTGCATTATTTGTATGTCTTATCCTTGGTGGTCAACCACTTCAAGGTGAGAGACTGGGGTGGTGGTTCCTTTTTTTTATTTTTTAATCTCCCCTGCCCCATCTTTCTCTTTCCCACTTCCTATGTTGACTGACAAAATCTTCGTATTTCCCAGAGTACCAGAGTTTTTCTGTGAGAGGCTAGGTCAGTGTTTCTCCCCAAGCAGAGGCTAAGAAGTACCTGATGCAGTCATTTATTTTCAGAATGTGTGTAGCTTGCCTCCAGCGGATTGCCTGGGAAGCTGGAGATGTGCTTCAGGGGAAAGGTGGTCCATCCACTTTTCCTGAACAGGCTGTGCATGCAGCCTTGACATAGCCAACTCTGCAGGAGCATGAAAGAACTGAAGATACAGTATTCGACTTCCAGTATTTCTAATCACTTTAGAGACAGGATGACGATTGGTTTAGAAGAGCCAGGGGATGACTAAGGAGCACATGTAAAACAATAATGTTCAGTATAGACTTTAGTTTCTGATTTGAAACATTTTCTAAAAAATCATGTATCTTTAAAAAATTGGAAGCAGCTCAGTGTTTGCTGGAGATGAGGCATAGAGTGTGGTGGAAGGGAGGGATGACAAAGGGGCAGGCAGAGACTTTGAGGGATGAGGGGTGTGCACATCACCTTGCTGGTGGGGACTGTTTCATGGTTGGATACATGTGTGAAAGCATATCAAATTGCATGCTTTAAATATGTGCAGTTTCCTGTGTATCAAGTATACCTCAATAAAGTAGTTAAAAATGGTATACCTTTATTATGCTGAAAGAAGGGAAAATTTGGAAAGGAGATGTTTTTCTGTAGAAGATAGCTTCTAGAAAGGAAAATCAAACACAGTCTAAGTTATTCTCTGTTTTGTTCTCCTCCCTCCACAGATGTCTTGTTGTTTTGGGTCCTCTTATCTAAAATTTCACAATATGTGAAAGTAGCCTGAACTCTAAAGGTAGTAGTTGTGGTTTTGGGAAACTGTGTGTTCGTACTGCCTCTGTAAATGGAACACAAGCCTCTCCTACCCTCTGGGGAGCTTGTCACTTAGTACAGTTTTTTAGGAACTCCTAAGAAGTTTAAGTTCTGGCCACAGGTCCCAGAGTTAAGGATGTTGTCAACTCTGCTACTCATTTGAAAAATGTCTTGTGGAACCTATAGCCGCAGAAAGAGCTTTGTTTCTCTGGGTGAAAACAACATACATTATCATTTCTAATAACTTTAATGGATGCTGCTGCTTTCTTCTTTTTGGCCCCCAAGATACTCAGAGATAAACTTGAAACTCAACTATAGGTGGGGGGAGGGGGAAGGGATAGCTTTAGGAAATATACCTAATGCTAAATGACGAGTTAATGGGTGTAGCACACCAGCATGGCACATGTATACATATGTAACTAACCTGCACATTGTGCACATGTACCCTAAAACTTAAAGTATTATGATAATAATAAAAAAAAAAGAAACTCAACTAAAGCATGGTCTGCATACTTGTGTGTATATTTTCGCTGGTCTCAAATTTCTATTTATTTATAGTTTTCTGGCTTACAGTCTATATTTGTGTAATATTTATATGGTTTTATATGGTTCTTGATGGAAATCCCCTAAAATCCTTTTCGTAGCGAGTCAGAGAATGAAATCTGTGGTTTAATCCACTGGCTTTTCTTTAGGCAAGAGACAGCTGTGCTAGAAGAATGGAGGATTATAATAAATTTGAAAAACCAGAACAGTTCTTCAGGTAAGCATGATCTGTACTCCTGACCTTAGGAATTGACTCTAGGTCCCAGATTTTGAATTTCTTATGAGCATAATCATCTACTTAAAAAAATCACTTAATTAACAGTGATTATTGAGTATCTGCATCTCCTCCAAGAAATAAAATGCCATATACATGACACACACACACACACACACACACACACTCTTGATAGTCCTACAGATGACTAATCACTCCCCACCCCCCGACTTCCTGCCTTTTCATTCATACATTGGGGTTGGGATCTCTGCTACCACAGGAGCTGTTGCAGAGAAAAAGATTTTTAAAATACTATATTATGTAAATTAGTACAACCATTATGGAAAACAGTATGGAATTTCTTCAAAAAACTAAAAATGGAACTATCGTATGATCAAGCAATCTCACTACTGAGTATATATCCAAAGAAATTGAAATTGGTATATCGAAGAGATAGCTGCACTGCCATGTTCATTGCAGCATCATTCATAATAGCCAAGATAGAGAATCAACCCAAGTGTCCATTAATGGATGAAGGGATAAAGAAAATGTGGTGCATATACACACAATGGAATACTATTCAGCCTTGAAAAAAAGGAAGGAAACCCTGTCATTTGAGACAACATGGGCAAACCTGGCAGATGTTACGTTAAGTTAAATAAGCCAATAACAGAAGGACAAATACTGTGTGATTTCACTTGCACGTGGAATCTAAAAGAGTTAAACTCATAGAAACAGAGAGTAGAATGGTGGTTACCAGGGCTGGGGGTTGGGGTGGAGGGCAGGTGGAGGTGAAGTTAGTCAAATGTACAAAATCTCAGAGAGGAGAAATAAGTTTTGAGATCTATTGTACAGCATGGCAACTGTAGTAGTTAATAATAATGTTTACTTCAAAATTGCTGAGTAAATCCAAATGTTCACACCACAAAAATATAAGTACACGAGGTGATGGATATGTTAGTTAGTTGAGTTAGCTAGCTAACTAACCATAGGTATAAGCATAGGTATAAGCATATAAAAATACCACATTTTATCCCCTAAATAGATACAATTATTATTTATCAGTAAGAAATAATAATATAACATAAATACTATATTGTTTCAAAATAGAGGGAAGAAAACATGCAAATAGTCCTAATGGATTTTTTTTTTTTTTTTTTTTAGTCTCCAGGCTGGCTTCCAGACAAGGCTGTATGGTGGCCCAGACTGGTTGAATTTTTTCACTTAACTTTTTGTTGATCTGCCTTAATTTCCAATAACTAGAGATTCTGATAAGAACTTTAAGAATAGGAATACTTCTGAGAATCTTAAGATGTTATTAGCCATATATAAGTAACCATACATTTTATAAAAGCATTTTTCTCTTCACAATAGCTGGAAGTGGAACATCCTAGAGAATAACTCATTTTTGAAAAATAGAATGTCTTAGGGGAGAACTGGCCTGCTAAGTATTACAGGGGAGGACTCAGGACAAAATCAAGTTATCAGATACCTGGGGCTTAGAAAGCAAGGAGTTAGAAGGTAGAAGAGGCTTACAGAAAGGAGGAAAGAAGATGCTGGAGACCCTCTTTCATCTATTATAGAACATTTTCTATGGCTGGCCTGTATTCAGAGAAGGATACCTATCTTGCTGCTTTCTGCACCAAATAGTTCCAAGATCCAAAATTCAAGCTAGTGCTCTTAGTGAATAGTTTGGTTATATTACGGGTTAAATGGGTTTTCCTATAAAGCTAGCCACCATTTATGGTATTTAGATCTACCACTTAGGAAGATTTCAGTCATATTCATGATTTTCAGGTTGTCCTCTCTCAGAACCCTGGTGTCATAAACTGTAATAGTTGTAGGAATTGTTGTAGTGGATATAGCAGTAATATTTTCTATGGAAAAATATAGAAGTTAATATATGCCAGGTACTGTTTCAGTTATGGACACTCATTTAAATATATGAAGTAGATGCTATTATAATCCCCAATTACAGACGAGGAAACTGAGAGACAGAAAAGTTAGATAACCTCCCAAGGTCATGTAGCTACTAAGTAGCAAAGCCTTGATTTGAACCTGCACTCTCTAGATCCCATTTAGGCTCTTAACTGCTATACTGTCTTAACTGGATTGAGGTTTTCCATAAAATTAAAGTTTCCCCTGAATCCACAGAAAATGTTAACAATATATAGAATTTTCTGGATTTAATTTTTTTCTGTCTCAAATCTTTGTATCTAGGATCACAGATAACTGAAGATTGAACAAGTTGCAAATTTCTTAATAGTCACATATGTATCATTATATACTCAGAGTTTAGCCAGATAACCCACCATAAATTGCTAATGAAGCTTAATAATTTATAGTGAAAAAACAAAAATAGAATTGCAAACCATAAGCAACTCAAGACGTGCACGGGGGATTATGCATCCTTCCCCCAGTTTACAGAAATTGCAACCATCAGCATATGCGTTCCACATCAGTGCCAGGCATTGTGTGGCAATCAGACTTCTTATCTAGAAACTCTAGAAATGTACTACTTTTAGTAATCCTAAATAACTTACTTAATAAGCTATATTACTTAAGCTATATTATGCACAAATATAAAGCTAGAAAACAAAAGGTGAACTTGGACTTCCTCTATCCTTTATAAAAATGGAAGGACCTGTGCTTTGCTGGATTGGTTTGCTGTTCAGGTGGAAACCCCTCGTGGTCCATTCAGTGGGCTGTGGGCGATAGTTTGAGAATCCTGCTTTAAAGGAAGAATACAGTTCATACATTTTATTAAAGACAGTCTGCTAAAGTGATGGAGCTGGAATTTTCTCAGTGAGAGCACTGTATAACAGGGTTTTCTGTTTTCCTTTTTTCATAACAAATAGTACTTCTCACTTAAAAACAATTGTTCCTTACAATGATGTCTGGGATTTGCTTCAAAATAATCCTGTGGGTAAAGAGTTGGGAATGAGTTGGGGAATAGGTGGAAGAAGTGGGATGAGGGGCAGATAATTGTCAAAGCAAGTGACATGGGGCTTCATGATACTGTTTTCTCTACTTTTCTATATCTTTGAAAATAAAAAGTTAACAGCAACAACAAAAACCTTCCTTGACTACTATCCTACCTACTTCATTTCTCTGCTCTTGTTCACAGCAGAGCTTCTAAAAGGAACTCTCTGTATATCTCATTTGTACATCCTCATCCTCCATTATTTAAGCAACCCATTCACTTGGCTGTCCTCCCCACCAGCCAACTGAAATTACCTTTTTAAGGGTCCCCACCAATCACCATCTTGCCATATGGGGTGGTTAATTCTCTCTTATGTTACTTGACTTTCAGCAGCATTTGATGCAATAGGTCACTTTTTGTTTCTTGGAGCATTTTCTTTTATTGGCTCATGTGCACCCACATGTTCTCATTTCTTCTGCATCTTGCTGGTTTCCAACAGCTGACCTCTAGCTGTTGGAAAGCCTCCAATGCTTCATCCTTGGGTTTCTCTGTACTCTTTCTGAGTAATCTCATTGGGTCCCATTGCTTTAAATACCTTCTGGTTGCTAACTTAACATCTGTAGCCCTGACTTCCAGACTTGAATCTGAGAGGCATCTCAAATTTAATGTATCCAAATCATAACTCTTAATCCCAGCCTTACTTTCTTCCTTTCTTCCTCACCTCTTGGTACCCCCATCTCAGTAAATAACACTGTTATATATCTGGCTGCTAGAGCCCCGAACCTTAGGCATCACCCTTGATTGCTCTTTTTCCCTCATATCCCACATCCAGCCTATCACTATGACCTATTGTCATATCTCCAAATTTACCTGAATTCATCTACTTTCCTCTCCTCTCCTGCTACCATCCCAGTCCGAACCTCTGACATCTCTCACTGGACTTCCATATCACCTCCTAATCCATCTCTGCCTCTGTGTTTGCCCCTGGCAGTCCATGGAGAGACCAGCCAGAGTGGTCTCTTTAAACTGAAGTGCCACTCCCCCACTTAAACTCACCCATTGGCATCCCATAGCACTTAGAAGGAAAGCCGAACTCCTTTGTGATGTACCTGCTGCCTATGTCTGCCCCACCCTGCCAGGACTCACTACTGCTGTCACACAGATCCCTTTTCTGTTCTTCAAATATACCAAGTGGGAGTCTTACCTCAAAGCCTTTGCAGTTCTCTTCTCTCTCCCTGCTATACAGATCACCATAAGGCTGGCTTCCTCTTACTACCTAGGTTTCGTCTTAAGTCACCTCCCTAGAGAGGTTTGACCTGACCACCCTATGTAAAGTATTCATATAACCCCAGGCCACACTCTATCTCATAGCCCATTTTATTTTAATTTATGTAAAGCATTTGTGTTTATGTATTATTTTTTTGCCCCTACCTATAAAGTCCAGAAGAGCAGCTACCTTGTTTGTCTTGTTCAGTGCTGTATCCCTGGCACCTAGAACAATGTCTGGAACATATAGAAGGTTAATGTTTATTGCATGAATAAACAAATGAATTACTTTGTTTGTGATTTAGGATCAAGGAACTTTTCCCCAAAGGCGAATCTGTGCAGTTTTATCCCACGCTTCTTCCCCATCCCTAAGTTCCTGCTCATCTGGACTGTGTGCTTGCAAACTGTGTAAAGACTTGTTCAACATTCTTAAATAGGTTAAAGAAGTACTGCACTTTGGGCTCTTTGTCATTTTCAAGTCACATTCTATCCTGGGCACCATCCGGAGGGGTCTTGTCCAGTTTCCTAGTTTCTCAGAAAGGAATATTTCATGGCTGCTCGCACGTCCTCTTCCCTTACAGTATTTGGACTTTACACCACTCATTGGCAGAGCCAAGGCCTACCCCATCTGAGCAAAGAGCAACAGAGATCTGTTGGCTCCATTCACTCCTTTGCTCTAAGACTCACTTGTTTCTTCTTATCTTTTCCCAACTATTTTTAGTTGTCAAATTGCTCCTTTCTTTCCCTTTCCCATCTATTTTTCTTTTCCTGTGGAAAACAACCCATATATTTCTAGTTTAGTCAGATTAGCTGCTAGGAAGGCCCTTTCTCAAGCTTATTTATATAACGAAAAGCTATACCCAAATCCTAATTTCATGTGACAATTGAGCAGCCTCTTGTAAAATAGCTAGAACAAGGGCAAGGATATTAATTTGGCTCTTGGACTGAGACACACTAGGGATGTCCCAGGGATTTGAACAATTTCTAATCTTCTCAGAGGAGGGCATAAGGAAATTCCTAACCAAGGTGAAATCTTTTGTCACATCCTAGAGTAGATAAGTACTTCAAGAATCTTCTAGACTGGGGATAAGTTGGAACTGCTAAATATTATCTACTTATCTAATGCATGTAATAATAGCTATCTATGTCTATTTTATCAAGTAGCTGGGAGGATAAGTTTGGTTTTTTTTTCAAGGACTTTTGAGCTTTTTCTTCAGGTAATATATCTTAAGGGAACACTTTATATAAAGCTAAGCCATTGGGAAATTTTTTCTGCCATAGCCAACAGTTTTGTAATTAACATTCCTTTGCATGGTATAAATACAAATCTGTTCTTTTGTCAGGATCATTCTTTATGAACTACCATATAAAAGTCATCTGGGCTGGGCACGATGGCTCACACCTGTAAACCCAGCAATTTGGGAGGCCAAGGCAGGTGGATCACTTGAGGTCAGGAATTCAAGACCAGCCTGGGCAACATGGTGAAACCCTATCTCTACTAAAAATACAAAAATTGGCAGGGCATGGTGGTGGGCACTTGTAATCCCAGCTACTTGAGAGGCTGAGGCAGGAGAATCACTTGAACCCAGGAGGCAGAGGGTGCAGTGAGCCGAGATCACGCCACTGTACTCCAGCAGGGTGACGAGCAAAACGGTGTCAAAAAAAAAAAAAAAAGCCATCTGGATAATACATATTCTTTATTAGTATTAAGTATTTACTTTTAGATCAATGAAAACATTTCTATGGGGCTAGACTTTTCCTTGTCAAGATTATAATTTTTCTTATGAGTTTTTACCTGAAACCCCTATTTTCTAAGACCCCATGGTTAATGAGTCTCTTTGACATTAATCATTTCAATTTTGCTGGTTCTGATGACCCTGTGCTATCTATTAGAGCTCTAACCCTTTGCAAACCTCTCTTCTGCCCTTGTCAGTGTCTCACGTGCTCACGTGCATCTTAGGCTGGATATCACGTGGCACATCCTGGTACCACCTCTGCTGCTTTCACTGGCCACTGTTGCATCTGTTTGGTGCAGCTGCTTCCTCCACTGGGACCAACCCCTCCTCTTCCTTACAAATATTCGGAGGTGGGGAAAATGGAAATGCTATCATTAGAACATCTGGCATCAGAATTTGCTTTATGAAGAAAATAATCTTGGGGGAAAACACTTTGATGAGTGCTTGCGGAAGAAAAGGAAACCCCAAAGGCCTGGGTATTGGGAGAGCTGCTTTGTGTAAGCCAAGGGCAAGCATTTACTGGTTGCTTTGAGAGTGAGGGGAACACATGAGAGAAAGAAAGAGAGGGGAGGGTGGAAGAATGGCAGGCATCAACTAAATGGCATAAAATTGTGGGGAGGGTCTTGATGCACCTGTTCCTCATGGTCTCCAGACTTTTCTGTGAAGTACAGCATGTAGTGTGGAGTGGATTTCAGGGGGTGAACTTGGAGATGCGTTCATTCACATCACAGTCAGTGCAGGTAGTGTAGAGACAACAGTCATGGGAAAGGGAGCCCAGGAATGAAGGAGGCCCTGAGAACATCATCCCTCACCAAAATGTTAAGACGGGTTTTGGGTTTCCAGAAGCTATAGAGTTGGTGGCAGTTTGAGCCAATTTTTTCCTACATCTTGAAGGGCAATAAGAATCCCACATAATGTCTGGGCCACATCTTGGTGGTACCTGGTATAACTTTGCCAAAAGAATTTTAAAACCACCGCAATAGGTAACTCAACTGCTGGTACTGTATTTTATGTGTGCTTGGTATGTTTATATGTCTTTAATTCTATTACAATTTTTTTATTGCACAAAGAACATTATAACAATGCATAATTATATATCAATAGCAATATTAAAAATAAAGACAAAAGGACACATTCAGCCAAATGTGCCTTCAGTGTCTGGCAGGCAAGTATGGCGTAGAAAGGGCAATAAGAGGCAGTTCCTGCCTTTAGGGGGCTTCCAGGATCGAGCCTGCAGTCCCAGCACCCTATTGAATCAACTGTTTCTGTTTTTCCATTTTAGTTGTGTCACTCAGGCTTTGGGTGATTTATTAAGAGAACCAATAAGATTTTGCTCAAGATTGGAAACAATCTCTTTCCACATCATTTAAGCCTCAGTTGAAGCTTCATTTTCCTCCTTCAGCTTCACCTGAGACTCCTTCTGGCAAAATCCCGCTGCTCCTCCTTGATCCTGTAGTTTTCTCTGTTTTAACCCTTGGAACATGATTTATAATTCGTGGGATGACTTTTTCTTTTTTCCCAGGAAATGATACCTTTCTTGAAGGCAGGAAACTGTGTTTTGTCTGTATTTTGTGAATCCCCACAAATATTTGCTGGATGAATGTTCTTGGGGACACTGCCCTAGATATAGTAGAAGCAGAAGTATTTCTCGGTTTTTGTGTTTTTTTCTGGAATGAAGGGTAAGGTGAAGGGTTATAGACAGAAATAAGACTGATTGAGTCATAATTGCACCTTTGTCAGTCACTCTTGTAAGAATTTTACATATGTTACACTTCACTCAGTCCTTATAACAACCCTATGAGATAGCAATTATCAGCTCCTCCCTCCTCTCCATTTTAATCATGACCTCTCAGAAACAGAGAGGTCAAGTGACTTACTCAAAGTCACAGCTAGTAGGTGGCAGTTAGATCTGAACTCAAATAGGCTCCAGAGACTGGGCTCTTGACCATTATTCTTCCTTTCCAAGGTTGGAAGAGACTGAGAGACCTCAGCTCCTGAACACCTGGAACTGCCAAGCCACAGCTGTTACTATTACTGTACTGTTACTAAAGAGCCAAACCAAACCACATGGCTGGCTCCTTTGGCAAGAACTTCCCCTCCAGATGTGCCTCTACTTAGCACTCTGATAGTGAGCACAGGTGAGTCCGAGGAAAGCAGGCCAAGAAGTGCTGATGAGTTTCTCTCTGAGGCCCAGGGATACCCAGCCATGCCAACAACCAGCCCTCCCATGCCAGTCCACGCCCTGTAGCCTGGCTCTCTTACTGCTTTAGGAGCCCTGGGCTCTCTTACACCTGTGTGGAAGAGGGAGGGACTCCCAGGAACATAATTAGGAGTGGGGGAAGGGAGGAGAAGAAGGGAGGGAAGAGGGGGAGGGGAGAAAGGACATGCATTTCTACCAGGGTAACTTTGGTTTCCTTATATTAATATAAGGGACTTGAACTGTGTTATTCTTTCTCAAATTGGGATTTAAGGCCCCAAGGAATCCAAAAATTCTATGAGAACTAGGTATTTTTATGTAAATGATTAACTAAAACAACGAATGTAACCTTATTCTGGATCATCTTCCAATGGAGTCCTGCCTCTTGATTTTACTTTCTGAGGTTATGTTTGTGACTGTGATGCATGCAAATCTCAGTCACCTACAGTGGCCACATTCAGACAATTTGAAATGCATTTTATATTGTAACCCAGCACACACACACATGTAAATAGAAATGCACCAGGAGTTTCCTAAAGTATTGCTCACCCTTTCTGCATAGGGAGTACCCTCTTGTCACCTCTCTTCTATTCCCAGGTAGTCATGACCCACTATCAGATTACAACCTTCAATAAAAAGATCATAGCATGTAACTGTAAGCATGATCAGTCTGCCGTTTTCTTTTGCAGTGGAAATGTTCCATTGAAAGACATTTTATAGAATACATCTTTACCACCCTAAGTTGTTTAACAAACTGAATCTTTGACTTGAGATCATGAGAACAAAATAAAGATATGAAATAATGACTGTTTTATTCTGAATTGCTGAAAAAATACCCAGATAGTTTAAAGCTGTAAATCAGAACAGGGCAAATCAGAGTCTCATTGCTGTAGGGGTATAGACAGAAATAAGACTGATAGAGTAGTAATTGCAGCTATACAATTATTTTCATCAAAACAACCTATATCAAAGTAGCCGTGTTATTTACTTTGTAAGCAGATATAGTGCATGGATCTCATCTCTGAATATGCCAGCTTAAAATTCATTAGCAGAAAATGTGGTAAGTGTACCATGATGACTTACTTTTTCATTAACTTAACATTTGGGATACACTGTATTAGGGTTCTCCAGAGGAACAGACTTGATAGTAGATAGATGATATGATATTAATAGATAGATTGACACAGAGAGAGTAACAGATAGGTAGATAAATATAGATATGAAATTTATTGTAGGTATTGGCTCACATAATTTTCGAGGCTGAGAAGTTGTGTACAAGATGCAGAATCAGGAAAGCTGGTGGTGTAATTCAGTATGTGTGTGTGTCGGGGTAGGGACTGGGGGTGTATAGGGTGGATATAGTATACGTCCCAGTCAGTGTTGGAATGTCCAAGAAGAGTGCTGTTGCCCAAATGCAGGAGAGGATGGATGTTCCAGCTCAAGAAGAGAGAAAATTCACCCTTCCTTGCTTTTTTGTTCTATTTGGGCCCTCTACAGACTGGATGGTACCCACCTACATTGGCAAGTGATATGGTTTGATTCTGTGTCTCCATCCAAATCTCATCTCGAATTGTAATCCCCATGTGTTAGGGAGGGACCTGGTGGGAGATGACTGGATCATGGGGACGGTTCCCCCATGTTGTTCTTGTGATAATGAGTGAGTTCTCACAAGATCTGATGGTTTAAAAGTATGGCACTTACTCCTGCTCTCTCTCTCTCTCTCTCTGGCCACTATGGAAGATCTGCCCCTTGCTTCCCCTTTGCCTTCTGCCATGATTGTAAGTTTCCTGACATGCATACTGTGAGTCAATTAAACCTCTTTTCTTCATAACTTACCCAGTCTCAGGTAGTATCTTTATAGCTGTGTGAGAATGGACTAATACAGTGAGGGTGATCTTTACTCAATCTGTTGATTCAAATGCTACTCTCTTATGAAAATACCCTTACAGACACATCCGAAAATAATGTTTCGCCAGCTATCTGGGCACCCCTTAAGCCCAGTCAAGTTGACACACAAAATTAACCATCACATACACTATTAAAGTGGCTGAATCATTTATTCTGGATTAGGGTGATTTTATCATTGTGGTGGTAGTTAATACACTTTTCTGTTTGCTATATTTCCTGTAAGCTAGTCGTTGAATCTAGAGGCTTGATTAGATTCAGGTTAAATATTTCAGGCAAGAATATCTTTTATTGGTGGTGCTGTAGACTTTCAACCATACCACATCAGGAGGTACATAAAGCCTGTCAGTCCCATGTGTAATGATCATAGATTGATTGGAGGTTTTGACATTTTCACCTTGATCTTTCCATTATAAAGTTCCTTATCAACCTTTCACAATGGTTTAATGTTTATTGATAACTGCCAAATTCCAGTACTTCATGAGGTGGAAGCAAAATGGTAGTTTCCTAATTCCTACATTCTTCTGCATTTATTAGCTGGTATTGATCTCTGAAGAACTTTCCCTCCTTAACTATTTGATTGGCCTTAGATGTAGTTCTTAGGCCCTATTTTATTTTATTTTTATCTATTTTTTTGAGACGCAGTCTCACTGTGTTGCCCAGGCTGGAGTGCAGTGGTATGATCTCAGCTCACTGCAACCTCCACCTCCTGGGTTCAAGTGATTCTCCAGCGTCAGCCTCCTGAGTAGCTGGGATTACAAGCACCCGCCACTATGCCTGGCTAATTTTTGTATTTTTAGTAGAAATGGAGTTTCACTATGTTGGCCAGGCTGGTCTTGAACTCCTGACCTCAGGTGATCCGCCTGCCTCAGCCTCCCAAAGTGCTGGGATTCCAGGCATGAGCCACAGTGCCTGGCCTTTAAAAAATGTTTATTTAAATAGTTTTGGGGGTACAGGTGGTTTTTGGTTACATGGATAAGTTCTTTAGTGGTGATTTCTGAGATTTTAGTGCACCCGTCACTTGAGCAGGGTACACTGTATCCAGTATGTTGTCTTTTATACCTCACCCCCTCCCATCCGGCCACAACAAGTCCCCAAAGTCCATTACATCATTCTTCTGAATCCTCATAGCTTAGCTCCCACTTATAAGTGAGAACATACAATATTTGTTTTCCATTCTTGAGTTACTTCACTTAGAATAATGGCCTCCAGCTCCATCCAAGTTGCCACAAAAGACATTATTTCATTCCTTTTTATGGCTGAGTGGTATTCCATGGCATATATACACCGTGTTTTCTTTATCCATTCGTTGGTTGATGGCCACTTAGGCTGGTTCCCTATCTTTGCACTTGTGAATTGTGCTGCTGTAAACATGCATGTGCATGTGTCTTTTTCATATGACTTCTTTTCCTCTGGGTAGGAACCCAGTAGTGGGATTGCTGGATTGAATGGTACTTCTACTTTTAGTTCTTTAAGGAATCTCTATACGTTTTCCATAGTGGTTTTACTAATTTACATTCCCACCAGCAGGGTAAAAGTGTTTCCTTTTAACCACATCCATGCCCACATCTATTGTTTTTTGACGTTATAATTATGTCTTAGGCTGTATTTTAAATCAGGGCTCTCTGAGCTTGATCTCATGTCAGCCATCATCATATCAGTGTGAAAACAGACTAGAACCAGGTATCAGTGATGCAGCAGCCAGGAGAATTTCTGGGCCAGGGGCCAGGCCACAAGCTGCATATCCCAATGGCCAACTGGTCATGGCTACTTCCTTTTTCTCATCTAGTGCAAGCTCAAGAGGTGTGGGATGGGACAATATTCCACTGTTCTGCAGGTAAATGTATCTTTGTGGGGCCTCTGAATGTCCTCTTCGGTCTGCTAGTCTCCTGACAAGGGGGGAAAACACTATCCAGACCTTTTCTCTGGGAGGCCATTTGTTTTCCTGTAATCTGTAGAAGAAACCAAGGTACTTTTGTGGGTGCAGCATCTCAGTTACTGGGGGAGCTTCTCAGTGTGAGCTCTGAATGCTTCAGGATGTCTTCCAATAGCCAGCCTTTCCTCTGTGTAAAAGGTTTCTCTGGAGTAATGGAGATAGCATGTGTGCAAGTAGGCAGGAGCTCCCCTTAGTGTCAGCTTGAGAGCAAGGAAGGGAGAGGAGAGCTATGCCTCTGAAACAATACCATTTTGCCCCCAATGCCAGTTTTATTTCAGAGATAAAATGCCATGCTTCAGAGCCATCAATGATAATTGTTTGAGATTGATGACCTTTGGAAGCTGACAGAATACTAACTTCTGGGAGAAGACTAGAGTAGATCAGGATGATTTCTTGGTATACTCTCAGCTGTTTCCCACCATGTGTTTCCTCTTCTTTCTGATATACAGCCAAAATACATTTCCCAGTCTGCCTTGCAGTTAAGGGAAACTGAGGTCTCGTCAATGGAATATGAATAGAGAAATGTGTACCACTTCCAGGCCTGGCCCATGAAAACCTCCCATATGCTCTCTCTCTTTCATCTTCCTTTTCCCTTCAGGCTGGCTGGAGGGGAGGCAGCTCCTGGGAGAGATTTGGAAGTTGGCAGAGCTGCTATTAAGCTGGGTTCCTGAATGATGGCAAGAAAGAGGCCCACTCCTCTATCGTATTCACCTGCCAAGTATTGTTTGTGAGCAAGAAAAAAAATATCTACTGTAGTTGAGGCCATCTTAAATACAGTTTCTCTTTTAAAGCCATTCCACGTCCACCATTTGGCATTAAGCGTCTTTAAAAAAAACTGTGAGTGCCCTGCCTTGCCAGTAAGCTGTTAGCAAGTCTTAACTCGGGAGATCTGTCTCTCCTGGCATTCTGAGAAGCAGAAGTCTCAAATTACTTCCAGCTGAAATGGAAAAGAAACAAAACAAAACAGAAACTCATCTGTGGTAGGCAGACTAATGTCCCTCCCACCGAGATGTTCATGCCTGAGTCCTTAGAACCTGCAAATATGTTACCTCCATGGCAAAGGGGACTTTGCAGGTGTGATTAAGGGTACTGATCTTGAGATTGGGAGATTATTCTGGATTATCTAGATGGGCCCAACCTAATCACAAGAAAACATTGGAAAAGGGAGGAAAAGAGTGGATCAGACCGATGCGATGTGATGATTTGACCCACTGTTGCTGTCTTTGAAGATGGTGGCAAGGCCTTGGAGCTAAGGAATACAGTCTCTAGAAGCTGGAATAAACAAGGCAATGCAATCCCCTTAGAGCCTCCAAAAGGGAGCACAGGTCTCAGAACTGTTAAGATAATAAATTTGTACTGTTTGAAGTCATTAACATTTGTGGCCATTTGTCATGGCAGTAGTAGAAAACTAATACACCATCCCATACAAAACACTTAAATGAAAAAAAAAATACATACATCTGTAGAGTAGGCACATCTGTAGGTTCTTAATGCCTGTCATCCTTATCTGGAAACTTGGGTGTTTAATGCATTTTGGCAAGAGTGATGCCAGTGAGGATGTTCCTTGGTAGCTTAAATATATCCAGGCTATTGCAATGATGCCTGACATTGAAGGGAAAATGCACACATTTAGTCAGTCACATGTATGATTTCAAATATCTGGATTTTGGAATTGTATAACCAGGTATATACCAGCTACATCTGAGGGGAAATTTTCCGTTTTCATCCAGATGCTCTGGTAAGTGCTGACATACCCAGACTATGAGAGATTTGGATCAAACTAAAGAAGTCCCCAAGTCTCAGGAGAACAATGAAATGTAGTGCGGGGTGTCTGCCGGAGTCATGGTGTACTCATCAGAATGAGCTGCTGAACACTGTGGTCAGGCCCTTGGCTAGTGACACCATTAAGATTTTGTTTCCTTCTAAATCACCACCCCTCCTCTACTGTTGAAATGTGGCTGTTTCATCTCTCCATTAGAGTCCTTCCAATTTACACCAAGCAAAACAGTTGGAAAATAAAACTTCATGGCCAGGCAGTGGGTAGGAGTGAGAGGGAGGAGGAAAGGATGTAGACACATAATTCAGAATCAAACATTGAATGAAGGACTCCTCGATTCAGACCCCATCTCACTTTGCCCATGGACTCAGTGTCTGACCTTGCATTACCCTCCCTGATCTTAACTTCCCAGAACTCTGACAGATGATTAATAATACCTGCTATACAAAGGGGGTGAGAACTAATAAATGGTAGTTAAGGATGATGAGTAAGCCGAGTATAATAGCTACTGCTTTCAAGATTTCTCAGAATCCATTAGAGTTTCTATTGTTTTAATGACTGTGATGAGTTCAGTAAGTCATTTCTGAGTTAGGCACCACTTATCTTTGTGTACTGAATATTCTTAAAGCCACAGTTACTTCCTTGCTGGGGTTATAAAGCAATTCTGAAGACCAAATCATGTTGCCTTTGTACATATCCATTGAGGTTTCTCTCTCTTACTCTACATGGAAATCCTGTAATACAGATTTCAGCCTTACACCGAGAAAATATATATTTCTGAGTCTTTTTTTCTTAATATATATGTGAGAAAACTCTAAAGTAAGAATAAATGGAAAATCATTAGAAGAAGTATAGAAATTACTTTGAAAGGGTATATACAGTCTAATTCATTTATTTTTATTTTAGAAATTTGAATGAATTATTTCAATAAATGTATATAAAAGATTTTACATTACGTTATACTCAGTTTTTCTTTTTCTTTATTTTTTTGAGCCAGTCCTCCGAGCCTGTTTCCTCAACTGCCCTTTTCTCCTACCCAGTACATCGAGCTGTTCAGTGAAAAAGAACAGTGTTTTGTGTGTATAAATAAATAAATAAATAAATAAAAATAAAAATAAACAGCTAACTAACGTAGGAAACCCTCCTTCTCCTTCCCCAACAAGTTGCCTGAAGAAATATGTATTAGCAAGACTGCTGGAAATCCACATTTGTTACATGAAATTAGGACATTAAAACTGTATCCTGCTGCTTAGTGCCCAGACCTTGTACCCCATGCAGCAGCCTGCTTGTCGGCCATGGAACAATGTGTAGCAAATGCCTTGGTGATGACATATCTGTCAGAGGGAAAGAAGGAGGGCATTGATTATCATAATGCGGCATAGAGCTCATTTCCTTCTGAAATTACCCAGAGATGCTTGGCTGGGCAAAGTACAGCAAGTCCCTGAAGGGGGCTGTAATTTCTCAGGCCTGTTGAAGGAAAGAAGAACAATATGTGTGTGAGTTGCTAAGTCTTTAGACGTTGGCAGTGGCAGCAGGCTGGTAATGAGCAGATTAGGTATTTCAATATGTTTCTTTGCCTCGGGAAATTTAACAGGTACACCTGTTTTCTTTCAGTGGCTGAAAATGTCAGTTACCATGAGCCTGGTGTAGTTGGCCTTTTTGAAAAAACAAGAGAGGTGGCCGGGCGCAGTGGCTCATGCCTGTAATCCCAGCACTTTGGGAGGCCGAGGTGGGCGGATCAAAAGATCAGGAGTTCGAGACCAGCCTGGCCAATATGGTGAAACCTGTCTGTACTAAAAATACAAAAAATTAGCTGGGCTTGGTGGCGCATGCCTGTAGTCCCAGCTACTCAGGAGGCTGAGGCAGGAGAATCACTTGAACCCGGGAGGCAGAGGTTGCAGTGAGCTGAGACTGTGCCACTGTACTCTGGCCTAGGCGACAGAGCGAGACTCCATCTCAAAAAAAAAAAAAAAAAAAAACAAAAAAAAGAAAAAAAAGGATGGACTGACACGTGGTCAGTCTTTGTTCTTCTGGTGGCTTGGACATTAACAAAGTGTTCCCTACCCACTTAAGCTTCTCATCTGCATCTGCACATCAGTGGTCTTCAAACTTTTTTTGTTATATGCCATTGAAAGAATGTTTTAAAAACTGTGTACCATCTCACTGTTTAAATCTGACATCTAAATATTTCCATCATTTTAAAAATAAGGAGTAGAAGACATTACATGTTTCATAAGGTAAAGATTGATGGTGTGTGGAATAAATATTTTGTGACATGATTTGATGAACTAGGTTTTAATGACCTTATTGAATAACATGTTAAATTGGAAGGAAATCAGTAAAAAGCTTATATGTAGACTTTATCCAGCACATCTTGAAAGATCTGATGACTTCAGAAAACACTGTGGTTATTTAAAGATAATCCACATCACTTATATGTACTACTTTGTCCTGAACTCAGAACTACCCAGGACTGGCCAACCCTACTCTTACAGACTTGCTTGCAGGACAGGGAGAGACAGAAAGTGCTAAGGCTTCCCCCAACCAGTATTTGGAATCATTTAGTGTAGCACACCATATTAAGATTTGAGATATGAGTGGTGTGACTTTCTTTTGTAGAGTGGGTGAAAGAATATTGTTGATGCCCAAAGGCTCTCAGGCAGTTTCAGAATTAGTACATATGGAAATTGAGGATGTAGAAACTCATTTTTGTGAAACTGTCCCTGCTCTAGTACCTTTGGGAAGTCCATTTGAAGACTGCTGGAATAGATCATGGACTCAATAAATACCTTTTCATAGGAGCACAGAGGGATGAACAAGGCAGACTGAAGGAGAGAATAGGAATGCTCCCCATGTCAGGTGTGTGGAGGGTGCACCAAGGCTCATTCTGGTAGAGGTAGAGGAGCTTCTCCCAAAGTAGCAAACTCAGATCACTCATGGTCTCAGTCCCCTTAATTCTTTCAAGCTGCTGGATCAAGAACGAGGCAGCCAGCCCTCCAGCTGATGACCAGAGACATTTATTATCTACCATGTGCTAGGCACTGTCCTAGGTACCAGAGACATCCTGGTAATCAAGACAAAGTTCCACGTTTGTGAAGTTGGGGATCAGGGAGGTGGAGAGACAGAGAAAATAAACAAATCTATGAGAATCTATGAGAGGTAGAGATAAATGCTATGATGCAGATCACCTGAGTGATATGACTGGAATGGCACCTCCAGCTTGGCTGGTCAGAAGTGGCTTCTCAAAGGAAGTAGCAGCTAAGCTGAGACCTAAAGCCATCCAAATAAAAACCAATGAGTACATCCATCAGTCAGCAAGTATTTATCGGGTGCCTGCTATGTGCTAGGCACTGTTTAGGTACTTGGTTTACATTGGAAAACAGGCCTGGGGATCTTACATTCTAACTGGGTGAGAAGGGGTCTGACAGGCAATAAGCATTATAAATAAGTAAATTACCTGGTATGTTAGAAGATGGTAAGTGTTATGCAAAAAAAAAAAAAAAAAAAAGTATAGAGCAGGCTAAGGAACAGAGGTAGCATGGGGGTAGTGTGTGATTTTAATTAGGGTGGGTGGGGAGGCCCCCATTCAGTGGGTGTCCTGGGAGTGAAGACTTGAATGAGGTGGAGGAGTGAGCTGTGTAGAAGGAGCTGTGTGAAGGGAGAGCTCAGGCTTTCGCTCTAGCTCTCCCTCACACAGCCTGTTCTCATGCTGCTAATAAAGACATACCTGAGACTGGCTAATTTATAAAGGAGAGGTTTAATTGACTTCACAGTTCCACATGGCTGGGGAGGCCTCACAATCATGGCAGAAGGCGAATGAGGAACAAAGTCATGTTTTAATTGCTGGCAGGCAAGGAGAGCCTGTGCAGGGGAACTCCCATTTATAAAACCATTAGATCTCTCGAGACTTATTCACTACCATGAGAACAGTATGGGGGAAACCGCCCCCATGATTCAGTGATCTCCACCGTGGGGATTATTACAATTCAAGGTGAGATTTGGGTAGGGACACAGCAACACCACATCAGTTCTCATTTTATTATCCCATGAGAACATCCAGCTCCCCTTTATTGCAGCACTGTGCCCACCCAGTTTCTCAAGGAAGCCAATGAGACTAGCAGACATTGTCAGGTCACAGTATTTTGGAGTGCTCTGCATTGCCTCTTATCAGTCCAGCTCTTTGTGGCTTCAGTTGATACATTTCAGTCCCCAATCACCTCTGAGTGAGCCAATGCCGTTGAGTAGCTGCATGCACTGAGTACTGCATTGCTTGCCCAGGTCACCTCTGAAGATCCCCTGCCTTCCTCAGACTGACCATGTTCCTAGGAGGTCGGGGAAAGTAGACCACAGTGGCTCATCTCAAGCATAGAATCTTTGTGAAGGCTTCTTTTTATTATAAACATTTTTGTGAAATTTGACTTCTTTTTTTCTTTTTTTTGAGATTGAGTTTCACTCTTGTTGCTCAGGCTGGAGTGCAATGGCGCCTTCTTGGCTCACTTCAGCCTCCTTCTCCCAGGTTCAAGCGATTCTCCTGCCTCAGCCTTCTGAGTAGCTGGGATTACAGGCACACACCACCACACCCAGATAATTTTGTATTTTTAATGGAAACAGAGTTTCACCTTGTTGACCAGGCTGGTCTCAAACTCCTGACCTCAGGTGATCCACCTGCCTTGCTCTCCCAAAGTGCTGGGATTACAGGTGTGAGCCACTGTGCCCAGCCTGAATTTTGACTTCTATTCATAATATATTCATATGTGTTTTAATATAAAATGTTTATCATTTAAATGGATTCTCCAGGAAAATACACCAGGTTTATTCTTTTGCTGTGCATATAATTGTGCTCAGAGAGTAGTTCTGCCTCAGTTTGAGGAACATCGGTGTTCTGGAAGAAATCCTGGATTGGGGGTAAAGATATGGGGTTCTGGCCCCATCTTTGCCATAAATTAGCTGTGTGACCTTGGGCAGATCATTTAAACCCATTGGTCTCCATTTTCTTTGATGTGAATTGGGTGGCAGTGACTGATCAGATTAGATCACAAAATCCCTTCCTTCTGTCATGCTATAATGACATAGAGTCTTGAATGCCAGGACCATGCCTCCCCAGTGCCTGAGTGGTTGTGCTTCCTAGACCCCAAGGTCCAGTGTGTGCCAGTATGGCCTTACCCTCTTTACTGCCTCAGAGTCACAGTAAGGACTTTTCTTTATAATTGAATGAACACGGAATGAATGGGCATCTTGGCATAGCTGGTTTACACATTATTCTTGTTTCCCTTTTCTACATATATGAAAATGTGAACTAAATCCATAGCCCTCCCTTGGTGGATAAAGACATGGGCATAATAGTTCCATGAATTTAGCCTCTTTTTGTATTCAACAGTCTCATCCCTTCCCCTCAACTTGTGTTCTCCTTGATAGAAATCTAACCACTTCTACAAGTGGCAGCTAAAGCATTAGTCTTATATAACCTTCTCGCTCAACAACTGAAAAGTTGTACAAACCTTTTAAAGAATTTACCATCAGCAAGGGCTGTGCTTCTAGGCTTGTCCAAATTGCGTGTAAAGTACACTCTCTAAATTAACCAGACCATATTAACTCTGAAAACAAGACTCACTCTTCTTAAGCTATGTCTCCAGACTGTACCAAATTGTACTTTCTCTTGAAGTAGGACATTCTGTGCCCTGTTTGAAAGCTGGCGTGACTAATGTAGCTGGAATTGCTGATGAGAGAAGACAGGAAGAGAAAGAACCGATGTGCCTTAAGAATAGGGAATTTCGGCTGGGCACGGTGGCTCACGCCTGTAATCCCAGCACTTTGGGAGACCGAGGCGGGCGGATCACCTGAGGTCGGGAGTTCGAGACCAGCCTGACCAACATGGAGAAGCCCCATCTCTACTAAAAATATAAAAAAATTAGCTGGGCATGGTGGCGCATGCCTGTAATCTCAGCTACTTGGGAGGCTGAGGCAGGAGAATCGCTTGAACCCTGGAGGCAGAGGTTCCGGTGAGCCAAGATTGTACCATTGCACTCCAGCCTGGGCAACAAGAGCGCAAATCAGTCTCAAAAAAAAAAAAAAAAAAAAAAAAAAAAAAAAAAAAAAAAGAATAGGGAATTTCACTAGGCCCTTTGCAGAATGCAGTATGGCTGATGTGTGTATTATGACATGGTAAATATTACTCCTAGCCTCCTTGTGAAACGGGCTCCATGTCATGCCTCAAGGCCCTACTAAGTCATTGCTAGGGCTGAGCCTCAAGCCCAGCCCCAACAGTAGGTTCAACCTGGCCTTCCCTCCCAGCACTATCACTGCCTGTCTTTCAACCTATGCTATACATTGTGACAATCAGTTAACTGAGGTACAAGTGTATTTGGATTTATGCCAGACTGAGAATGAGAAATATTCAGATCACACCTGGAAAATGCAATGCAAAACTCCCTTGTCTTGAGCTAAAAATCTAGAAGCATTTGCAAGTGACTAAGTCCCTTAGTTTATAGGTATGAGCCTGTGATAAGTTATCTTTAGTTGTTTCTGGCTTAAGGGGATGTCAGTGACTTTTCCCTTAGCCCCCCCTCCTGGAACAGCCGGCTGCTGGTGGTCTAGTTTTTTGAAAGAAGCCCTGAATTCTGAAACCTCATGCTGGGGTTTTGGGTTAGTGTTTGCATTACTGACTGTGGTTTCATGGCATGATAATGCAAAGTTTAATAAGAGCAGGCTGTCTTTGCCTACAGCTAGAGTTGCATTGAGGCATGACTACTTCTAGTGCCTGCTCTGTGCCAGATTCACAGTGCCTTACAGCCCCTCCCCAGAACTGGGGCAGAGGAGGAAGAAAAAAGTGACTCTGTGGTTCAGGGGAAGGAGTAAAGTTTCCAGGCTGTGTGATAGGACATTTCCCTGATGCTTGGCTTTAGGCTCAGGATGGGGACGTTAATACATTCAGCAGAGGCTGGCTACCTATACTGGCACCATTGAAGGACTCTGCCCTGGCTCAGTGCTGGTTTTGCTTGGTGATGCAGTGTAGTGTAGCAGGATGATCACCAGCTTTAAAGCCAGATCAACCCAAATTTGAATCTCAGCATTAGTCCTCACTCTGCTTTGAGACGTCGGGCAAGTGATTTAATCTCTTGAAATCTCAGTTTGTTCATCTGAGTAACAGGTGGTAAAATACATACATTGAAACGCTGCTAAAAGATTAAGCAATGAGAAGGCAAAATGGTACAGCAACTTTGGGAGACAGTTTGGCAGTTTCTTATACAACTAAACATACTCTTACCATATGATCCAGCAATCCATCTCCTTGGTTTTTACCCAAAGGAATTGAAAACTTATGTCCACACAAAAACCTGCGCACACAAATGTTTGTAGCAGCTTTATTCATAATTGCCAAGACTGGGAAGCAACCAAGATGCCCTTCAGTAACTGAGTGGATAAACTGTGGTATGTCCATCTGTATCTTTTATTCAGTGATAAAAGAAATGAGCTGTCAAGCCATGAAAAGACATGGAGGAACATTAAATACACGTTGATAAGTGAAAGAAGCCAGTCCAAAAGGCGGTATACTGTATGACATCTGGAAAAGGCAAAACTATAGAGAAAGTAAAAAAGATCAGTGATTGCCAGGCCTTCGGGGAAGGGAGTAAGGGATGAGTTGATGAAGCATAGGGGACTTTTAGGGCAGTGAAACTCTTCTATAGTATCTAGAATACTATATTACTCTATCAATCATAGAATGATACTAGAGAACATACTGTAGTGATGGACACATGTCGTTGTGTATTTGACAAACCCTTCTTTGTGTTGTACACGAAGAAGGAACCCTAATGTCAGCTATGGACTTTAGTTAGTAAGTCTTCTAAAAAGCTTAAACAAGGCAATGTGTATAAACTAACTGACTAACTGGCATAAATAAATAGTGGACTTCAAAAAAAATTCATAATCCTAGCACTTTGGGAGGCCGAGGTGGGTGGATCAACTGAGGTCAGAAGTTCAAGACCAGCCTGGCCAACTTGGCAAAACCCCATCTCTACTAAAAAAATACAAAAAAAAAAAAAAATTGTATTCTAAGTTCCAGGAATGTCATTTAGACATAGTTTCTTTTGGGGCTAGATGTATCAATTTTCATTAAAGGTGATATTATTATTTAAAAATCCAGCTGGTTGCTAAATGAGAATTAGCTACCCTTTATAACCAGGGATTGTTTCAAAGAAATGTAGTTATTTTCTCCCCTGTGGCCTATCTTGTGCAAAGTTAGTAATAGTTTGTTGCCAAATCCAAGGAAAGCAAACTCTGGCTCAGGCATGAGATTTATTTTTCTCACCATGATTTACAACTGGTGTAAAATTCAGGTCTGGACTTGGTTAGTTATAATGCTATCGCAATATACCGCATCTTGAGTTGATTTTGCCATATCCTGTATTGTTATGTAAAATGCTAACTTTAATTGAGAATTGCCCCAGTAGAATATCCTTATTTGTCCTGCATGAAGTTTCTCCTCTTTTGTATCAATTTTTTGTATGGTTCAAATTAGTGCGGGAAGAAAAGGCAGGAAATACAAATTTAAGGGATATGTGTTATATCATAAAAGAATTGTATCACAAAGCATTAAGACAATGCACAGAAAACTTTGCCAATAGCTGATAGAGCAGAAGGGATTGTATAATTAAATAAGAACTAACACCTATTTTGTAACTGGAAATTGCATTGTCAGAGTCCCTTTCCTTTTATCACTAGATGCTAAGAATCTAGCCATGTAAAAACTCCCAAAACATCCAAATTCAAAAAAACTGGAATCTAACGTGGTAATGCAGTTGTCAAGAACACGCAATAGTCTTTGGGCTTTTACAAAGCACTGAAAACTAAATGTTGCATTTGTGCCCTTATCTTCCACAACTTCTTTCTTGGCAGCTTTTCTTGGCTCACTTCAGACACACAGAATTTCAAGTAATCAGGGAAAGTTGGGACAGAAACTTCCTCTGTCTTTCCATGGCCTTTTCTTTTTCCTTTACGGATCTGTGATCCTATGCTTTCTCTCACATTCACATTATATGTGTCAGTTGGAGAAATCTTGATGCCCAGTTTCATTTGTTTCTTCTGTCCCACCTGTAACTAATTTAGGTTGAGTTCTCCGGCTCATGTATCAGAGTGTGTATGACAAATTATCTCAAAGCCCAGAGGGCCTCGGTGGTCCAAGTCCCAGCAACAAGGGACACCTGCTGTCATGACATGGGCTTGACCTGGGTTCTGTGGACATTAAGGAACCACTGTCCTGAGAGGGGGGTATGGAGCTAAGCTAGGGGAGGGAGCAGGATGAGCTTAGAGCTGCCGAGGAAACGGAAAGAGTCTATAGGCTTTAAAAAAGAGGAGAGAAAGAAAGAAGAATAAAAGATGTTTCTGGAGACTCTGAGAATAGTTAAGAGTCCAGGGCCAGCCAGAATCACCCTTTCCCCCAGCTACCGAGAGTGCCACAGAGCAGAAATTGACTTGGAAGATATTGCTCCTAGACCAAAAGTCCAAATTAAGGGGTATAGGCAGTTAAGGGCAAGTGAGGGCAGTAGAGATGGTTGTCCGAGTCCAGTGGCCATGAGAGGTTTCTCAGCTGCCTGCCAATTCTCTTCTGGGACAATGCCAGCCATAAAGTACAAGCCATGCTTTGGTGTGGGCTGTAGACATATTGTTTTCCCATAACTACTGTCATTCAAACAGGATCTAGTTTCTTGGCATGAGCAAATTGTTCCCGCTGAATACACACACTATGTCCGCTATGGGGCAAGGCAAAGCGAATCCTCCAAGGAACTGGATGGATTTTTCATTCTGAGATAAGCAGTTTTTTTGTGGGGGCGGGGGAGGTGGAGAGGAGCCAGCTTCACTCTCTGTTCATGCGAGTTTTGAATGAAATGAGTAAAGTTCATGTTCCCCCCAGAGTACACAAGGTTCAAGTGGGATTACCCAGTGGGAATCCAGCCCGATTGTAATTTAACTTGTTCGAGGGATCTAAATATTTAATCTGCCTTCATCACGAATCCTAGAATCCTATGTAAGCAGCAAAGGCCGAGGGTCTGAAAGTAAACACTGCAGTTAGAATCAGAAGTGTTGCAACTAGCACAACTGCTGCTGTGACGTCCTACAAACTTTGGAGAGTGCCAGAGGAAGCTAGCCTGAGAGCACAGAACTGGCAGTCACGAGGCCTGCATTCTCCAGCTTCGCCTGCCACCAACTCTCTGAGCCTCCAGGCCTCCTTTGTCAAGTAAGGACACAAGCAAAGCATCTCAGAAGACAAGTCATTTTCATAACTGGAAATGAGACAGAGCCAACAAGGATGCGTGAAACCAGCCACATAAATTGTGAAACCTATGTGATCATGTATATGTACAATGTTTTCTTAAAAAAAATTACCATTCCTAGATCTAATATCAATTTTTTGTATGATTTTGCCCCACATTTTGCTCAAATTATGCAGTGTTTGAAAGAGATTCTCTGCAGAGGTTGGAATCACCCCCTTGGGTGCTGGTAGCAATCTGTGAAGGTAGCTTTTTAGATGTCACAATGATTGGGGGTGGGGTGCTGGTGACATTGGATGGGCAGGTGCAGAACTGCTAAACAATGCTCTGGGCAATCCCACAAAGCGACCACCTGGCCCATATCTGGCATGACTTTCATGTCCCGCCGGACATTCAAGGAATCCGACTATGTTTTCTATATAAACATATAGTATTTTTCACATCTGAAAATATACACTGAATTTTCCAGGACTGTGTATAAATAGAGGTAAGATTGTACTTTATTTTGCTCAGAACTTTACCAAGAGTTATTAATAATCTCCAAAAAATCAAATTATAGCAAACACTAATGATGTTTGAGTCACTAAGCAACACACCTATATCTGTCTGCATTGTGATATCACATTCGTGGTTATTCTACAGGTACAAGAATCTGAGCCTCCCTTGTCCTTTAGTGCAATCAAGCAGAGTATCCACATACTGAAATACACAACATTTTCTGTAAGCTATTTTCTTTTCATTTCTCCTTTGTATTACAGTTTTCATGTTATATTAATTTAAAAACATGGGCAGGTTATATGATCTATGGATTTTATACCAGATTAGTAGAGTACTATAAAATGTTTGTTATAAAAAGTGTGTTTTATTTGATTGGGTTGAAAACTTCTGGGCCAGGTAATCCTAAAGTCTCTTAGCTTTTAAATTTTGTGAGCCTGTGAGATTATTTAGCCAAATGCCTTCATTTTTACTGGTGAGTAAACTGAAGCCCATTCAGTCTTTCATGCATTGTATTGCATTCAGAAATTGCTGTGATCATTGGGAGGGGAGAATGAAACTACCAAGCAAAAGAATATGATTTTAGTTTATTCTCTCCTTTCTTTTCCAGGATTACAAAGGCCCAGGAATAGCTAGTTAGCTTGCCCTGGTGTCACTGCTCACTCCTGTGAAGAATAAGGATAAACCATGAGGATAGTAGTGGTAATGGTGAAACAGAAAGAACACAGAAAGCTGATTCTAGAGTAGGGCTATCTAATAGAAATATCATGCAAGCCACCAATTGGAGCCACATATGTGGTTTACATTTGGAAGTAGCTACATTTTAAAAAGTAAAAAGAATATGTAACATTAATTTGAATGATATATTTTATTTAACCCAGTATATTCAAAGTATTATTATTTCAACATGAAAGGAATAGATTATTATTTTTTAAAGGCTTAATTTTATTTATTTATTTACTTATTTACTTATTTTTTGAGATGGAGTCTTGCTCTGTCGCCCAGGCTGGAGTGCAGTGGTGCGATCTCAGCTCACTGCAGCCTCCGCCTCTGTGGTTCAAGCAATTCTCCTGCCTCAGCCTCCCAAGTAGCTGGGATTACAGGCGTGTGCCGTGATGCCTGGCTAATTTTTTTTTTTTTTTGGATTTTTGGTAGAGGCAGGGTTTCACCATGTTCGTCAGGCTGGTCTCAAACTCCTGACCTCAAGTCATCTGCCTGCCTCAGCCTCCCAAAGTGCTGGAATTACAGGCGTGAGCCACCATACCCTGCCAGAAAACAATTATTAATGAGATATTTTATGCTTCTTTTATACTAAGCCTTCAAAATCTGGTGTGCACTTCACATTTAGAGCACACTTCAATTCAGACACAGATCATTTCAAGTGCTCAGTAGCCACACATGTCTAGTGGCTGCCATATTGGGTAGTGCGGCTCTAGTGCAATGGCTTTCAGCAGTTCTTCTGTTTCTACCCAGTTCACCTGTCTAGGCAGGAGACTTCCCATCCCTGTAGAATGACAATGGATGGGGAACGGGGGTGCAGCAGGTGGAGTTTACCATCACCTACTCCCTGCACTCGTCTGTGCACTAGAGTCATAGGCTTAAAAAATGTGAGACGGTTTCTGCTAAGACTTACTTGCAAGGTCATGCGACGACGTAGCAGGGTTCAAGCCTTGGAAGAGAGGACTAGTGATCTGAAATCAGAGGTCTGCCTTTGGAGAAGTGGTTGCTTGCCAGGAATTAGAGGGCTTAGTCCTGTAGAACTTTACTGAATAATTTTACAAATATAGTATTTTTAAAGTAATACCTTTTTTTTTCTCATTGTATCTTAATCTCATTTGGCTCATTCATGGTGCACAAATATAAAAGGTATTAGACCAGATGATTGTTTAAGTCTCTCCTAGTCGCTGTCACTGTCTCCTAATTTGGAAGGAGGTCCATCGGAGACTCAGATCTGGTCCTTCAAGAGACTGTGACTTCCAGCCAGGTCTCTCCCCAAGTGGCTCTGAGGTTTTTGAAGTGTGTTTTCAATGCCCAAGAGCTGTCTATGTTCAGCTGTGTGTGTGCTTGTGTTGTGGAGTCGGGTTCGGGACAGGGAACGTGGAGCTTAACCAGGCAAAGTGCTTTACGTCTATGACCCTGTTGAATCAGTGGAACAACCATTTGAGGTCGATGCTGTCGTTATTCTCATTTTCCACAAAAGGAAACAGAGGCAACAGAGGTTAAGCAACTCCTCCAAGGTCACAGTGGCTGTCGCCATTTCATTCTTTATGGTTGGCGGGCTGAATTTTCTTTCTTGGTGGAAACCTGCCTGCCCCTTCTTAGTCATCCTTCTTTTCCTCTTCTTCATGACATATTTTTCCCTTTTCTTCCCCTACTCCTCAACCACAAACACGCATCAGATGAGGAGCACCTCATCATAAAGCAGGTTGGGGCCTTCGAATCCACTCTCGGTGGCCCTTAGATTTCTCAACTGGTTTTCCATTTGATGGCTCACATTCCTTCTTCAGGAAGCTCAGGCTGGGAATGCATGACACTCTCCTCGCACTTGGTCATTCTACAGCCAGTCAGGGATCCTGTTGGCCTGCCTTCTCTTGGGGACCCAGAATATGGGAGCTGTTGCTACTACTGTTGCAACCTTAACCTGTCATAAGAAGAAAAGCTGCTTTCCAAGACCAGAGGAAGGCTGCTGGCCGTGCAGCGGTGCCTTGTGGATGGGCAGGGCTCTGCCAGGGTTCCCCCCGCCAGGTCTGGTCCTCAGCTTCGCAAACCAAGGGATTCCCAGACCCAGAGCAGATCAGGCTCGGAAAAGAGATAGGAGAAACAGATTCATGAACCGATGTATAAATCAGAACACCTGTTTGTTAATGGGTTAAGATAAAAATTCCTCCTACAAGGACACGAACATGCATGCTTGCAGGTCAGCATATTTTTCTCTCTGTGGAAAACCTTGTGTGAAGAGCCAGACTATTATCTGAAGGTTATTTAATGCACTTGGAAACAGAGCTAGGAGACTTAGATTATTGCTGAAAATCTAAGTATTTATATTTGAAGAAGATGGGATACAAAAAGGTACCTAGTGAAAAGGCAGCCTCTCCTTCACACCTCCCCACTCCCCACTCCCTAGCCCCTTCCCAGGGGCAACCCTTAGGACCAATGTCTTCTGTAAGTTCAGTTGCCTGAGGCCTCCATTTCCTTGGCAGGGATGGAGCTGCTGTGCAGGCCAGGTGACCTGTGTCTTCTGGTTAGGCTCCCTTCCTAGACGGGTTTTGTCTTGACATACTAGCGGGTGGGAGGTGGGGAGGAACAAAAACCGTGGGAGTGATAGAGGCCAGTTGGCAGAGGAGGCATGCAGGGGTTTATGAGTTAGAAATATCTGCAGAGGGGGCAAGGGGTGGGGCGAGGAGTGACCCAGTGACAACAGAAAGGAGTGTCCCCAGACCCCTGGCAGGGAGCAGACAGTGGCTGTTCTCTGACACTTATCAGCCCCTAAGGAACAGGACAGGAAGGAAAACCACAGGGTGAGAGAACTGGGGAGACTCTGTCCCTGAGAAATCCTCCCAAAGAGACAGAGCATGATCCAAAACCTCGTGAGAGGCGGCCTGGCCCCACAGCATTCGTGCCATAGCATAGGTCAGTCCTGTCATAGAGTGCAACCAGGTAAGGTGCCTTCCAGCTTCAATGCTGTGATCTAGAGACCGCACTGGCGAAGATCAGCAGCAAGAAAGAACAATTAGCCAATTCATTATGTTGACATTTCTAGCTACAAGGCCAGTATTTTACAAAATAAGGCCTTTTCCCTTAATTAAGGTTGTGACAGATAAAAGTATATTCCCAGCTGACTCATGTCACCCATGTGGGCAGGCCTATTATCCCTACTTGGCCCGCCCTGTCCGCCTATGAGGGCTTGCTCTGTGTGCGTACTCTTGGCAGCTTTATAAAGGATTCAGAAGGAATAAACACAGGGCCTGGTTCCTGCCCTTCATCCAGAAGAGAAGACTCATTCATACACATGGTCCAAGCCAGCAAACTTTAGTTGCTCAAGAGCAGGAAAATAAGGCTAATGAAGGAGGGGAACATCTAGAAACCAGCTCAAGCAAGGAGCAGGGGTATTTAATGTGGAAGAGTGAGAACTAAAAGTAGCCTTGAATACCATTTCTGACGTTTGAAGAGGCAGCAAAGCTTAATGTGTGGTGGTTAAAGGCATGACTCAGAAGCCAGATTACTTGGTTCAAATTCTGATTAAACATCTCTGGCCTGTTCACACAAGGCAAGTTACTTCATCTCTCTGTGCCTCAGTTTCCTCATTTAAGAAAGTGAATATAAAGAAAATCTAAAAAAAGAAAGTGAATATGATAGCTATCCTTCAGGGCAATTGTGAGAGGTAAGCAGGCTAACACATGGTAAATACTCAGAACAATGCCTGTTAGGGCAAACACTATAGAAGTACTTGTTACTTGGTGTGCGTAAGAGGGCAGGGAGCTGACTGTGGGTTGCACCACATAACCGAAGGAGAATCAGTGAAAAATCTTCTTCAGTATATAGACTAACTGTTTCTTTTCATATTAGAGTTAGCCAACAGAAGACTTCAAAAATAACGAGCAAAGAATACTCCAGATTTCGAAGGGATTGATTCTCTAACTCAGACCCATGTGGGTTCTGCAAATCTAGTCATTGACTTGACGTTTTTCACTCTCATATCACTCAGGCATCTCATGCTTCACATGTTCAAAAGTCATCTCTGCTTCCCATGTCTACCTGCTCCTCCTTCAGTCTTTTCCATACCAGCCACCCAGTCATTCAAGGTAGAAACTGGACCATCAGCCCCCTTTGATGCTTCCCTCTGTCTTGCCCCTGTATTTAATCAGTCACAAACAGATGTCCATTCTACCTCCTCAATATCTTTGGAGCCTGTCTTTTTTTTCCTCCACAGCCACTGCCTCCATCTGAGTTCAAGAATCATCATCATCCCTCCCCTGTAGGAACTTTCTAGCTTGCCATCTTGGTTTACCCCTGCCCCATGGCTAGAAAACCTGCAGGGCACCTTGATATAGAAAAAGCATGCTCCCCAAGGTCAGGAGATAGAGACCATCCTGGCTAACACGGTGAAACCCCATCTCTACTAAAAAAGAAAAAATACAAAAAATTAGCTGGGCACGGTGGTTGGCACCTGTAGTCCCAGCTACTTGGGAGGCTGAGGCAGGAGAATGGCGTGAACTCAGAAGGCGGAGCTTGCAGTGAGCCGAGATCATACCACTGCACTCCAGGCTGGGCAACAGAGCGAGACTCTGTCTCAAAAAAAAAAAAAAGAAAAAAAAGCATGCTCCCCTCTGAGAAGACGCATCACTGGGCCAGGACTTTATGCAGCCCAGGGGCCAGATTTCCCCATCGCTTGCCACTTAGCTGGTGCTCATGTGTTTGCCACACTGGCTTGACCAAGTATAGTGGTTCTTCTTTTCAGTTCATTCTTCCCACAGCAGTCGGGATGGATTTGTGAAAATGTAAATTGGATCATGCCCCATTTCTCTCAGATATCACCCCCATGCCCAGTCCCTCTTGGTTTCCCGTTGCCCCTGAGCTCCAGATCAAATCCCAGCTCTGTCCTGTCACCTGCAGTCCCACGCTGTGTCATTTCTGGCTGCATTATCAAATAGCCATTCATCAGGAAGGAGATTTTGCTGTAAAAACATGCTCTAGAGTAGATCATAGGATGTTAGCTCTTAAAGAGAGCTTAGAGACACTGCCTGATGCAGAGGCCAAAGACTGTGCCCCTGAGGGCTGTAGCCAGCTTGCAGACACATTTTGCATGGCTCACAGCATTTAAAAATCGTTTTAATTAGTTGACACTATTAAAACAGAGATTTTACCTAAAATATAGACCCATGGCTGCTCCTCAAAGATTAGCAGATGTGAAGACATTGGACCCTTCTTTCAGGGCGACAGTTGGTTGCTTCTGAGCTGCCACTGTCCCCTGAGATGGGGCATGCCTGCCCCAGTTCTCCCCAGCCCGCATAGCTCTGTGTTCTATACTCATTTATATTCCCTACCAGGCCCCTGTAGACATTGGCATTTTCAGCTCCTAAGCTCGTTCAACCTCTTCATTTTACAGGTTTGGAAGGTGAGACCAGAGAGCTGGCACATCGGTCTCTAGGTCATGTACTGGATCATGAAACATCTGATGGCTTCTGACTCCCAGTCCCCTAGTCCCTCTGTTGAACCATAGCTACCTCTCAGTGGAAAACTAAAAAGAAACACACCATGTAACTTGATTAATTATCCTTCCTGCTGTGACTGCTAGCCAACGTGCCTTTTAGTTGTTTTGCTTATATCTGTTGCCACATGAAAATTGGAACATATGGTCTGGAGGGCCAAGATGGTATTCTAAGAATATCTCATACCCTGCATGAAACTAGACCAAAGAAGAAAGGTAGAGAAACAGAGAGGATTGACAATGACAGGGAAAAGAAAATCTGGACAGCTTTTGAGAGGGGCACAGCCTCTTCCTTGTGGTGTTGCAGGACGGTAGGGAGTCAGTTGGGTTTCCACTCTTTAAGGGATGTGAACATCAAGATGTAGACAGCAGGCCAGGTGTGGTGGCTCATGCCTGTAATCCCAGCACTTTGCGAGGCCAAGGCAGGTGGATCATTTGAGGCCAAGAGTTCGAGACCAGCCTTGCCAACATGGTGAAACCCCATCTCTACTAAAAATACAAAAATTAGCCAGGTGTGGTGGTGGGCGCCTGCAATCCCAGCTATTTGGGAGGTTGAGGCACGAGAATTGCTTGAGCCTGGGAGGCAGAGGCTGCAGTGAGCCGAGATTGCGCCACTGCACTCCAGCCTGGGTGACAGAGGAAGACTCAGTCTCAAAAAAAAAAAAGATGTAGACAGCAATGAGTCAGTGGCACAAAAAGAATTGAAAGGCCTTTTCTTCTTTAGGCTTGATGCCCCATCCTACCCTGCCACTCCCTTAGAATTACTGTGGACAGCCAGAGCACTGCAAAAAAGGGAAATTTGTCATTTGCCTTGGGGAACAATGGCTTTCACCAATCAAGAGGCAAAATCAACCACAGTCTCAGAGCCTGGAGTAAGATGGAAAAATCTTCCTGTTGTCTTTAGAGGAGGAGGTTACATCATTTCTTACAGAAATGAGCCTTGACAACCCCCACATCCCGATACTGCATCCTCTTTGTACCACAGTGAATTGTTGCCATGAAGCTGAGACAAGGCTTGGTATGGGCAACTCCAGGCATGGGCAACTCCAGACCTCATCCTAGTGGTGATCCTGGGCTCCTTCTTCATAAGCAATAGAGAAGCAGACTGTTTGGGAGGAGGAAAAAGTAGTGATGGGACAAGTTCCCAAAAAGAGGCCATGGGAGGGAGTTCAGTGTTACATGCAGTCACCTTTTGGGTTTTGTCTCTATTGGATTATTCTGTTTTTTGTTTCTCATTGGAGTCTAGAAATGTTTAATGATACTTGATGGTACTTCCTTTATCCATGTAAAAGTATATCTAAGAACTTCTGCATATATTAACACTCTGTAATGATTAAGCCAATGTAATTAGAGTATTGTATCAGCAAGAGAAATATTTTTCTCTAGACATAGATAAATCAAATTTTTTCTTTCAAATCTCTGTGCAATTGCTCCAAAATGGAAATCAGTTTTATGATTTCATGGATTGTCATCTCCTTACAACAGCAGACTAATGAACATGATGATTTATGCAAACAAAATATACTCATTTAAGAATATGCTCGCATTGGCCGGGCACGGTGGCTCATGCCTGTAATCCCAGCACTTTGGGAGGCCAAGGCAGGAGGATCACCAGGTCAGGAGTTCGAGACTAGCCTGGTCAACATGGTGAAACCATGTCTCTACTGAAAATACAAAATTAGCCTGGCGTGGTGGCAGGTGCCTGTAATCCTAGCTACTCAGGAGGCTGAAACAGGAGAATCGCTTGAACCCAGGAGGTGGAAGTTGCAGTGAGCCAAGATTGTGCCAGTGCATTGCAGCCTAGGAAACAAGAGCGAAACTCTGTCTCAAAAACAAAAAAAAAAAAAAAGAAGAGGAAGAAGAATATGCTAGCATTGTTGATTTGGTTTATAGACTCCCAAAGGCCTGTTCCTCTGACCCTCTTAATGAATACACCAAAAGAGTGATTAATGGATTAATAAGTTAGCTCCATCCCCTTTCACTTCCTACCCTTAGACTAAAACAATTTTTTCAAATTACTTCTACTAATGTTGTACTTTCATTAATTGGTTGGATCAACAGGGTAGAAAGCTGTTTTCTTTTTCTTTTAAGAATTCTCTGCCACTAAGTTCTTCCAGCCAAAGAATGTTCATTCACTATAATACCTCTTCAGTTCAGGCATTTATTTACTTGAAGTGTGAATCCATTGCTGTTCTCATCGTGTCTAACTTTGTCTTTTTAGAAGTAAGGTATTTTTCCTTGCCTGTGGTTCACGCAGAAGTGGAGATAATGATTGTGTTGAGAATTCAGGGAGAGCCTGCAAGTAGGTAATAGAGGTGGGAAGTGGAGTGAGTAATAGTCAGAAGAGAAAGAAGCAAGGCTGTTGGAATGGAGAAGTCTAAAGAGACTGTACTAGAAGGAACTCGAATCATTAAAACCTAGCTGCACAGGCCGGGAAATTGTCAAATATCAGAGAGTCTACAGTTGAAGCAGCTTGGGAACAACTCTCTGCAGTAAAAATGCTGAGTTGTGGAGAACACAGTGACCCAAACTGACAAAATAATGAAATACATGGCGTTTCCCCAGTGAATGGAAAGCTGCTTTTTACCGTGTTCCAAAACACTGGCTCCGTTTGGTGTGTGTTTTGTTTTTATTTGTAATACCCTACTTTGATGTTTCCTGGAAACTCTCCTTTGAGTCTGTGAGTTTTGGTGTAAGCTCAGTGGCAATGTTACCCTCACCTCTAGGCTGCTGTAGGACACACCCCGGTCTCATTTTCAGTGTCTCAGCATACTTTCCAATGCTTCCAGTAATGGATTGTGCAAAACACAAAGCCAAAAGCAGATGGGACATATGTAGATAAGCTGTTTCATTTTTCATCCCTATAATTTCCTAGGTTTGATAGCACTTCAATTTTCTAACCATAAAAGCTGCTTCTGTGCTCTTTGGAAAACACACACACACTCATACACACACATACACACACACACACACACACTACCAGGAAGCAGGCTAAAAGAATATTACATGGGGTTTTTGTGTTGTTTTGCTTATTTCTTTCCTTTTAAAAGAAGTACCTTGCTGCTGGAAAAGAAGTCAAAAAATTGCTTTGAAGAGTATATTTACTAGAGTTCAGTTTACTTAGGGAACTGTCGTGTTAACACCGAAGAATGCATTAGAATGCATCATTCTATGATACATTATCCGAGCTGAAGCTGAAACCTAGCCTTCTGCCGAGTGGTATTCCTGAAGCCAGTCACTCTTAGAAGTGATAATGTTTATTTACCAGAACTTTAAATGCTGATTGTGGTGTCTGTGTCTCCTGCCCAGGGGGAATGGCCCTTCTGTCCATGGAATGTGATAGCCCAGCAGGAGGTAAAAGCTGCCCCTGGACAGAGTGAAGCATGCAGAGGGAGGCGGAGTGAATTACAGCTGTCTCTTTGGACCACCCGTCTTTTTGCCAATTAAATGTTTACATTATCTTTTTGCTCAGATAGTTTTCACAAGTATATATTCATTAATACATGGGGCTTGTTCCAAATCGATCATGAAAATAAGTTTTTGCTGTTGGTATTTTTTGTTAAAGTACATCTAACCCCAAAACTATTTGATGAGGGCAGTTTCCCTCAGGCTGTAAAATGAATTAAGGGAGCACTCTTCTCTGTAGTCATTTTCTTCCCGCGTTGGTTCTAGGCTCAATCATTTAGATGTCTCTGGTATCTGCATAGTCTGGGAATTATACTTGAACTAGCCCGAAATTACTGCCCAGTAATCCTCTTTCTCACTCAAGAGATTTGTCAACATTCATCTAACCAGAGACTTAGCAAGACATAGAGAATCATCTAGAAGAGCACTGACTCTGGAGCCAGAAAGACCTGGAGCCAGACAGGCTCTGTCACTTACTAGTCTGAGTGATTTGGGGCAAGTTATTCAGCTTCTCCAAATATTAGTGACCCCTTGGGAGAAGATGATGGTGATACCTATCTTGTGGCGATGGCTTTAAGAGTAAAAGTGTTTCCTTTGTTTTCCTTTCTCCTTGTTTTAAAATGATAGGAGGAGGGAGCACACTTATTTCAAAACTCTCTGAACTGGAAGGGGCTGTGTTGGAAACTGTTTCTAAGCTTGGAATGGAGCATGTGTCATATTTGTCATACAGCGGAGAGGGAAATGACTTCTCTTATTTCTCTTCTCTGTTATCCACCCAATAGCTAGGAGATAAAACATAGGGCTGGCTAAGCCTAGGAGAAGCACAGCAGTATTAGGCTATGAGAACCTATTTTGCTTAACCTCTTTCCGGCAAAAGGTGGAGCCACTGACACCAAAAAAGGGCAAGCAGGATGTCCAGTACCTCTCTCCCTAACTTTTCAGACCCTTTGATGCCACAGAGGAAGACAGGCATATCGGCAACATGGCCTCCTCCTTCCATCTCCCTGATGGTTTTGTCTTCCCCATTAATACAAGCACAGTTCCTTTTAAATGAACAAAAAGTGAGACAAATACATCCCTAGAATCTGACAAGTATTTTTGGAATTCTGTGCTTTTATTTTCTCTTCTACCTATAAAGTACATGAATGGCAGGGCTGAACTGTCTTCAGGAAAATCTGAAAGCCCGGAACTTATTAACATGCTTGACACCTGCCTCTATGAGGGACTTCTGAAGCCAGAGATATTCTTTGTAACTGAGGTCCATCTGTTGCACAGATTTTTAATTCAGATATTCTTCCTTCTCAAGCCAAGGCTGAGAGAGCAGCCAATTTTGTGGAAAGATTTCTTTAATAAGAAATGAATAAAACTATCAATGCTAAATAAAATAGACCGCTGTGAAACTTGGGTTAAATCCCACAGGGAAGAGTATGTGAGATTAACTGCATTATATAACAAAACCGCCTTTAATAGCTGGCACGATTCTTTTTGTTGTTCCAAGGGAGAAGCAGCCAAGACTAGAACCAAAGCACATGATATTATTTTAAAGTGCTGCAGCCTCTGGAATTTTTCCTCGGAGAGATGTCAGGATCCCAAGTCTTCCTGTGATTTATAGTTGTTTTAAACGTTTAATACTTTTTACATTTTCAAAGCTATATCCTCTGCTTCCAGCAGCCTAGGGGTGTGTTTCTGTTGCTTTGAAAGATGATTTCCAAATGGGAAGTTTTAAAACTGTGCAAAAAGGAGGTCTTACAGTACCGGGTGTTTGAGTGATTTTTAAATGGATGAAAGGGAGAAGGCTGTAAGGCAGGGCCCACGGAGTCTTTTTCTCAGCTCCTTATGATAACCCAACAGAGAAGTGGCTGGAGAGAACTTTCAGAGTATCACCATCTTCACACAGCAAACATCGCTGAACCAGACACTCCCAGACCTCAGCGAGCTCACTGTCAGGTATGGCTGGCAAGCAAGTGTTAGGTTGAGCCATGTGAAACTGCCATTGTTGTAGACCAGAAATGGTAGAATATTGGCAATTTCAAATGACTCAACCTAATAATTAGATGAAAACTATCCACAGTGATCAAGACTGTGATGGCCATCCTGCAGTATTCTGGGAGAGTCTAGGGAACAGGACCTAACCCAGTGAAGTGGGGCCAGGGACAAGAAGGGGACAAAATAAACCCAAAAAAACCCCCAGCTTTATTGAGGTATAATTGACATACAGTAAACTGCACAAGTTCTTAGTATGTAATTTGATGTTTCCACACACTTATACACCCATGAAACCATTGCCACAGTCAGAATGATGAACCTATCCAACACTCCTAAAAGTTTTCTCATGTCCCTCTATAATTCCTTCTTCCCATCACCCCCATCTCCAGGCAAACACGGATCTGCCTTCTGTCATTATGTGTTGGTTTCATTTCCTAGAATTTCACATAAATGGAGTTCTACAGCATTCTCTTTTGTCTGGCAACTTGCACTCCGCATAATTATTTTTAGATTTGTCCATGTTGAAGTGCATATTAATACTTTGTCCCTTTTTAATGTAGGACAGTATTTCATTTTGCAGATATGCCATAGTTTGTTTATGCATTCACTTGTCGACAGACATTTGTTTCGTCGGCTATTACAAATAAAGCTGCCGGGAACATTCATTTACAAGTCTTTGCATGGACATGGGCTTTCTTTTCTCTTTATTAAACACCTAGAAGTGAAATGGCTAGACTATATGGTAGATGTATGTTTAACGTGTTAAGTGACTACCAAATCATTTTCCAAAGTGTTTGTCCCATTTTATGATTCTATCAGCAGTGTATGAGAGTTCCGTTTCTTCCATATCTATGCCAACATTGTCTTCAGTCTTCTTTATTTTAACCAATTTTATTGTGGTAAGAACACTTAACATGAGATCTACACAATACAGTATTGTTAAGTATAGGTACAATGTTACAGATCCCTAGAAATTACTCATCTTGCATAAATGAAAGCATACCTGTTGAACAGCAACTCCTCATTTCCCCCTTCCCCCAGTAGTGGTTCCCTCCTGGCAACCACTATTCTCCGTTTCTATGAGTTTGACTATATTAGATACCTCAAATAAGTGGAATCATGTAGTATTTGTCTTTCTGTGACTGGCAAGCATTCTAATTTGAGTAGAGTGGTATTGCATTGTGATTTTAATTTACATTTCTCTAGTGAGTGATGTTGAGTGTCTTTTTAAGTATTTATTTGCCATCCATGTATCTTCTTAGCTGAAGTGTCTGTCCAAATCTTTGCCCATTTAAAAAATTGGGTTATTTTTGTTAAGCTTTGAGAATTATTTGTATATATATATGTATACAAGTCCTTTACAAGATATGATTTGCAAATATTTTTTCCTAGTCAGTGGTTTGTCTTTTAATTTTCTAAACAGTGTCTTTCAAATAGCAGAAGTTTTAAATTTTGATGACATCCAGCTTATCAATTTATTCTTTTATGGATCATGCTTTTAGTATGGTGCCATTTTAAAGAAGTCTTTGCCTAAGCTAAGCAAATAATTCATCTATGTTTTCTTCCAGACGTTCCATAGTTTTAGGTTTTCCATTTGGGTCTATGATCCATGTTGAATTAATTTTTGTGTATGATATGGGGTATGCCTTAAATTCTTGTGTATGTCTGCATGTGTGTATGCACATGTGTGCTTGTGCGTATGGAGAGTCAGTTGTTTTAGCATCACTTGTTGAAGAAACTATCCTTTCTCCATTGAACTGCCTTTGCACCTTTGTCAAAAGGTTTCCACATGGGTGTAAATCTATTTCTGAACTTTCTCCTGTTTTATTGATCTATTTGTCTACCTTTTCACTAATACCCACTGTCAATTTCTATAGCTTTAGGATGTCTTAAAATCAGGGAGTGTAATTATTCCAGCTGCATTCTTTTTCAAAATTATTTTGGCTCTTCTAAGGTCTTCACATTTCTTTATAAATTTTAGAATCAGCTTGTCAATTTCTATTTTTAAAAATATGTTTGGATTTTGATTGGAAGTCATTTTGATCGGGAGTGATTGAGCTTTCCAGGGGGATGTGTTCATGGGAGGAAACACATTTTTATATGTGAACAACTGGCATTTTAAGACCCATACAGCATTTAAAAAATTTTCCACAGCCTTGCTCCGAAGTTTATTGAAAACCCATCTGTGAAAAATAGTGTTATTTGATGCCAAAGGATACAAGGAAAAATAAAATGTTCTAATTCTGGTCCTTATTTCCTATGATTTCACCTTTTTTTTTTTTTTCAATGTCATTCCAGAGAGAGGAAAGACAGTTATCTCAGGCAGTCTTTTACCCCTGGGAAAAGACCACAGACACATGGGAGGGTTTGTGCTGCCTTGAGTGAAAAGAGTCTGTTTTGTTATGCTCTCCTTCCCCCAGCTGGCTGGAGGCTCATCCACCAAGCTTTAGACTATTATGCTGTGTAGGATTTTCTACCATTATCTGGTACAGGAGGCAGAAATCAAACCCCTATAAGGCTTGCAAGTTCCTGGACCCGGGAGATCAGCTCAGTGACTGGGCTTTCTCATGCGTGGTAGGAGAGTGGATGCTGGGGGTAGCCAGGATGAGGATGGCTCTGGTGAGCTGACAAGCAAAGCTACAAATCTGGAATTTTGTGAAACCTCTCAATTTTTAAATGCTCTTTCTGTAGTTTTTTGAACTGGACAGGCCAAATGAAACACATCTACGGGCCAAATTCAGTCCATTGCTACCACTGTGCAGCCTCTGATGGATGGGCTCTTTTATTTGCTTTTAGGGTCAGCTCTTTCATCAGCTCCCTAAAGTTTTGGTTTTTTGTTGTTGTTGTTGTTGTTTGAGATGGAGCCTCGCTGTGTCACCCAGGCTGGAGTGCAATGGCATGATCTTGGCTCACTGCAATGTCTGCCTCCCAGGTTCAAGCAATTCTCATGCCTCAGGCTCCTGAGTAGCTGGGATTACAGGTGCCCGCCACCACACCTGGCTGATTTTTTGTATTTTAGTAGAGAGGGGTTTTCACCATGTTGGCAGGGTGGTCCTGAACTCCTGACCTCAGGCAATCCGCCCACCTCGGCCTCCCAAAGTGCTAGGATTACAGGCATCAGCCACCACGCCCGGCGGTTATTTCAACAGTTGCTTATGGAGCACTCCTGATGTGCCAGGAAATGCTGGGTGCACAGGAAATTGACCAGTGGTGGGGAGAGCCTGCCACGGGTTCTAGAGGCTCCTGCTTCAATGTGGAGCTCAGGCGTGGCAGAGAGAGGCATCCCAGTGCCACCACCTACTCTCACCTGAATCTGCCCCTTCCTCGAATCTTCGCTGTCACTTATTTCAGGCCCTCCAAGAAGAGGATGGCTGATTTACGCTTGGAAGGCTCCCAGAAAGCTTCTTCGAAGAGATGACATGTGAGCTAATTATTGAATGTAGAGTAAGAATTAGCCAGCTGAATCTGCTCTAGAACAGTGTTGGTCAAACCTTGCTACCTGTTAGTGGAACATGAAATCAATTTAAAATAAAAGAAGGTAGCAGGTAGTGAAGGTAAGTATTTTTTGTTTTGTTAAACTTTTTTTCAGTCTCTCTCACACACACATGCACCTGCTTCTTTTAAAGGAAACTTTTAAAAGAAAATTTTGGTTAAACATATATAAAAACAGAATCTGGAAAACTGTTTGATTTTGAGAATGTTAACAAGGAGATTAAAAGAATATTTATTAAGGATAAGCCTATGTTATTTCTGCAGTCCTTTATAAATATGCCCCTTCACCTGCTTATTTGCAACACTAAGTAGGTACTGAACTAAGTAGGTACTGAATACTTGCTAGGATAATCATCTGCAAATCACTCTATTACTGACTGAGCTCCACAGTAATCATGAGACTAAGCAAGTGACTTTAATTCTCTTGACTTTATCTCCTTCATTGAAATAAGTGAGTTGGTCTAGAAAAGGTCGTGTTGAAGCCTAAGTTTCACAGAGATGCTTTAGACAATCTCCAAACAATTTACAGAAATAGCTAAATTTGCCCATTTCTGTATCGTTAGCACCTAAAATGTACTTGGCAATATAGCAGGCCTCAATTAATATTTGCTAAATCAATATGTCTGTCTTCAGGGTGCCATTGTATTTTATGTGAGATTGGGCATATTTGAATTCACTAATAAAATTCTTCACTGAATTCTCACTTTAGGCACAAAATTTGAAACATTGCCAGGCACATTAACCTGTGCCTGGAGTCCCAGCTAATCAGGAGGCTGAGGCAGGAGGGTCACCTGAGTCTAGGACTTCTGGGCTGTAGTGCACTATGCAGATGGGTGTCTGCACTAAGTTCGGCATCAATATGGTGACCTCCTGGGAGCAGGGTCCACCAGGTTGCCTAAGGAGGAGTGGACCACCCCAGGCCAGAAAAGGAGCAGGTCAAAACTCCTGTGCTGATCAGTAGTGGGATTGTACCTGTGAACAGCCACTGCACTCTGGCCTGGGCAACATAGCAAGACCATGTCTCTGAAGAATGAAATTTTTTAATAATTTTTTTTATTTGAAATATTGCAAATCCTAGAAAATTAAAAACATATCAAGAATCACACAATTTCAAAGCCAAATGGGATTCCCATCTGTGAATCTGCATGGCAGCACCTCCTGTGCTTCGTCAGGTTAGTTTTGCATTATGTGCAGCTGCACGGGGAATGCAGCTGCTACCCAAAATGCAACTGCTCCACAAGTGTTTTAAATTACTCTCTTAAACGATACTTCTTGGGATCTGCTTCCTACCAGACATTGTGCTAGGGGCTAGCTGTGAACAAGAAAGATACAGCTCTCATCTTCCTTTAACTCTTAGTTCACTGCGGTATATGCCACATGCTTTCATGCTGAGTTAATACCTGCTTGCAGGTTAGCGTCTTTGGGTAGACCCTGTGATCAGGCTTTGCCTGCATCTGTCTGTATCACATGCAGTCAGGTCACTGATTTGGAAGTGGTCTGTTTGATTGATGTGGATTCTGTGAGACAGTCATCTTCCTTGTTCCTGATTCCAAACTTGTGTGTTAATGGAACCAAGTTTGCTGTCAAGTTTTTGGTTGGTTTTGGGTTTTTTGCTAGGGTGATAGTGTATTTGCAGTCAGTGAAAACATCTGAACCTTTCCTTCTGAACAGCATTATAGCCAGGTTGAAAACATTGTATACATTTATGATTGATTTTTTTAACTTGATGATATCACATTTATCCCATGACAAATCTTGTTAGGATCATTCCATCAATCTAATGAAGTTATTTTGATTCTTAATATGTCAATCACCATATCACTGCCCCTTACAGCTTTGGGAAGACAGCAAATTTAAAAGCCTGCCTTCTCTCTCTCTTCCTAGGATGCTAATAAGAGAACTGAAAGTTTCATTTATAAGATTGTTGTTGAGTCACAGCTTTGAAGGATTTTGCTTGGTAAATTTGCGTGACATCCATACTTTTTTCATTTCTTTGGTCTTACTGCCAAGCCACTCAACACAGCTGAACTCCATGAAAGAAATATGCTTTTGATGCCTGAAGTCAGCTGCCTTCTTAGCGTTACTGATAATCTTACCCTTCTTCTAGGCAGGTTTGGCATTAATAAGGAAAACATAAGTCCATCAGAATTGTTATTTTATAGTTTATAATATGCAATTGAAGCTTCTTAATCTTTCTCTATACTCTTTATTACTTAGTAAACAGCAGCAAAGATAATATCAAGGAACCATAGGCCACCTTGTTTTCTTCAGCTTTAATATCTGTTTACATATTTATATATTTGATATTGAAGATGAAACTAAAGTTATAAGTATTTTTAAACAATTTTGAAAATTTTGGAGAACAATCATCAGTAGGAAATAATTACGTGATTAAGGAGTTCATTTTCCCTATTTAGAAAAGGGGGAAGACTGAAGAATGCAAAATATTATGTTCACATATACGACTTCTATATAAAGGAATCTTAAATGTCTTTTGCTAATAACCTGTGAAGAAGCAGTGTTGTCATTAATGTTGAACTTACAATAGTTATCTGAGCATTTTGGTAAACAGACAAGGCACTTGGAATTTTGTCTCTCAACATCTGTACTCTGCTTTTAACTTCAAAAGGTAGTTTTGAAGTACATGTAATTTTTGCCATCTGCCACTGAATTTGTGATTTAGAAATATTAGAAGCAGGGCCACATTATGACTTTCTTGGGCTGCAGGCTCTTTTGCCTTTGTGGCAAAACTTCTCATGACTTTATTGTGTTACACAAATGCTAAGTGTTCATTATAAGGAATCCAAGGGATGTAGAAAAGTAAAAAGAAACAAATCATAAATTCTATCATTTAAAAATAAGCCTCATTAATATTAAAGAAACGTTGTGTTAGATACCACCCTAAGCATGTTTGCAGATGGGAAGATAGATGGATGGAGAGATAGATATGCTTTCAAAGAAGAGTGATCATATGATACAGGCTAAGTTTTTATTTATATTTATTTTTTTGAGGTAGGGTCTCCCTGTGTCACTCAGGCTGGAGTGCAGTGGCACTCTCACAGCTCACTGCAGCCTCCACCTCTCAGGCCCAAGCAATCCTTCCACCCTGGCCTCCCAAGTAGCTGAGACCACAGGCATGCACTACCATGCCTGGCTAATTTTTTATTTTTATTTTTGTACAGATTGAGGGGTGTCCCTATGTTGCCCAGGCTAGTCTTGAACTCCTGAACTCAAGCGACCCTCCCCCCTTGGCCTTCCAAAGTGTATAGGCATGAGCCACTGCCTCAGCTATACACACTAATTTTTAAATGTAAAAACCATTACACTTAATTTTACCTGATTTTAACTGGAGAAAACTAAGTGAGAATTAAGGAATTACTGAACTTTGAACAAACATTTTTTCACATAAAAATGTTATTTTTTCCCCCTCTATGGTTAAGTAAAGAGATAAGAACTTGCTGGTTTTCATTTTGTGTTTTTTTTTCCAATTATGTTTTTGTGGTAGGCACTGTTGCTGTTCACCCAGTTTTCTTCCTCTTCTGGGATATAGGAGAATCATATTTGCTCAGTCTCTTCAAGTTAGATGTGACCTTGTGGCTTGCTTTAGTCACACAACATGAGCAGAAACGACCATTATGGATGAATGCATTTAATTACCGGGTCTCCAGTCTCACCCTTTCTTCTATCACCTTGGTGAGCCTGGGTGCTCATGTTAATGTGGTGGGCGCATAAGATCAACACAGCACAGAGTGCAGAGCCGGCACGTGAAAGGCACAGCCCTTACCCCCATGGGCCTGCAGTGCAGGGAGTATGAGCATGAAATGAACTCTTGATCGGTTAGGTCACTGAGACTTGGGACTTGTTTTTAACCATAGATTACTTAGGTTATCCTGATGCTATCATTTTCATACTAGACAGTATGGACTTCCTTTCTGCCATGATAAATAAGGTCATTAAGAACTTTCACTCTTTTTCCTTCCTTCCTTCCCTTTAGATTTTAGTTAGTTACATTGCTGTTTTCACATAGTCAAGTATATAATATTTACATTCTATTCTATAATCTAGCTTTGATTTTGATTAGTTATGTTATTTTCATATAGTTGAAGTATATAATGTTATGTTCAGTTGTTTAAAATTAGTTTGGTTTTTTTCTTTTTTGAGACGGAGTTTCGCTTTTGTTACCCAGGCTGGACTGCAGTGGCACAATCTTAGCTCACCACAACCTCTACCTCCCAGGTTCAAGTGATTCTCCTGCTTCAGCCTCCCAAGTAGCTGGGACTACAGGCCTGCGCCACCACATCCGGCTAATTTTGTATTTTCAGTAGAGACGGGGTTTCTCCATGTTGGTCAGGCTAGTCTCAAGCTGCCCACCTCAGGTGATCCACCTGCCTCGGCCTCCCAAAGTGCTGGGATTACAGGCGTGAGCCACCATGCCCAGCCTAAAATTAGTTTTATATTTAAATGAATTCAGTGCCCAGTACTAATCTTTTTCCTATGGCTTTCCTGGTACTGATATTGAGGAACAGATCAAGGGGCTTAGTGGAGACTGCCTGGCAGAGGGGAGGGGTATTTTATCATTTGCATTGTTTAGAATTGCCTGCACATGGTGATGTGAAAAACAGACAGACTTTTAATGGTTTTGTTACTAATTTAAAATTCTCTATAAACACTGCATCCTTTATTGCCTGCATCTGAAGCAAACCATTTTCACTGGCCCCCCCATTGGTATGCACTGCTGATAGCTTTATTTTATGCATTGCACTGACTAGATTGTCAAGACTTTTCAAGGAGGGCTCCTGAACGATGAATTTTTTAGTTTTTTTTCATGTTCAAGAATATCTGATGATTACCTTACCTTTATACTTCAATATCATCCCTAGGAGTAATATTTATGCACTATACTTTATTCCCCTTAGAATTTTGGAGGAATTGTTTCTTTATCTTTTGCATTTAAAATACTTTTGAAAACAATGACTGACTTTCCCCTCATTGTAGGCAACTTGGCTTGTTCTGCTTGAAGAATTATTTCTTGGAACTGGAAATTTAATTATTGAACCAGGGTACATGTTTCAGTTAATTGTTTCATATTCATTTTTTGTAAAAACGAAGTATGCTCTTTTGACTTAGAGCTCTGTTGCTTGCTCATTTTAGGGATATTTTCTTGTATTGGATCTTTAAACACTTTGGCCTGGGTTCTCTACTTCAGGAATACTCATTAATCTTTCTGATGGATTATATTTTTTCTCCTCTATGTCTATCATTTTTCTCTGTAAGTTTTGCCTTTTATCTTGATGACCTGAAGGCTTCCTAGGATATAAATAATTTTGAGCCATGTTAATTCTATTCCTTGGTGTTTCTCACTTATTAGTTTATTCCTTGGAGATTGTAGATTTTTGGTTTTGGCCCATTTTCTTCCACATAATGCTCTATTTTTAATTCATGTGTTACTCTGATATGTTACTCACTTGCCATGCTGTTTCATTCCATCTTGCATATGTTTGGGTGACTGTGGCCTTTGGGGCTCTGATCCACTGGGGTGATTTCTCCTTGACACCCTTCTGACCCCTGTGTATTACCCCTTGAGGACCAGGTATTTCCTGTCCTGTTCACTTTTCTTCAGGCTATAGGCACATGTAAGCAAAAGAGCAGGGCAGGAAAGTGAGCTCACCAAGTTGTTTACGCGTAGGCCACCCTATAATGCCTGTGCTGTGCAATCTCTCCTGAGAACATGCAGAATGTCTTCTCATTCTGCCAGGGACAGTTAGTTCTCGTTGTCCACATTTTTTATCTCCTGTCGCTTCATGTAGCAGTTACCATCTCCACTCTGCTGAAATTAGAGGAGAAAAAAATGTAAGAAACCCACTTAATTTTTTCCTCTTTAGATTTGGGGATAGTAGAGTGAATCTCTTAGAGTTGAGTTTGGGTGAATAATTGATAGAGCTTCAGGAAGGTAGGAATTGGAAAGTGGCTCTGCCATCTTTTTTGATGGGCTTCATTTTTATTTTATTACCTTTTCTTCATTCCCTTAGGTGTTAGGGGATGGAGACTCTGGGGTCAGGCCTCACTCTGCCATATTTACCCAGAAGCCTTCTTGGGGCTTGCCTGTCTTTCTCTTTTCAAATGAAACATGGATGTGGGAAAGGGGAGTTCATTGTAGCCCAGTTTGGCATAAAAAGAGGTAACAGCCCACATCTAACCTTGACAATATTTTACCATTATGGAGTTTCCTCTCTTTTTAATTTTCTGTTCACCCTCAGATTATGCAATGTAATTTCTCTGGTTTTAAATACAAAGTAAATTAAAAGTAGAAGCACTTGGTAATACTGTAGCTATAGAGAATAAAGCTAAGTGAGTATGTTATCATTGTAATGAATCATTCCTTTTCATTCATTCACTCATCCAGCAAATATGTAGTGAGTGCCTACTATGTGCAAGGCACTACCCTGGGTGCCTGGAGTACATCACTGAGCAGGATGGACAAAGCTCCCCTGCCTGCGAGACACTTACATTCCAGCAGGCATGAGTGTGTAGGGTTGGGGGCAGGCAGCGACAGTAAATACAGCACATCTATAAAATATATCACACGTTACAAGGTGATTTATGGACAAAGGGAATGACAGTGGAATGGGAGTTGCAGTTTGGAATAGGGCAGTCAGGGCAGCTGCCCTGAGAAGTTATATTTGGTGAAGGGGTCAGTGAAAGAGTGTCCCAGGGAAAGGGAACAGCTCGTGCAAGGCTCTCTGGTTCGCAGCTGGCTGCTGTGTTCAAGGAACCGGATGAATGACAAATTGGTGGAGCTGTGTCTGGTCCATGTGAGAGAAATGAATGGCCCAGCAAACTGTAACATTAATTGTTTTTACTGTTTTGAAAATTTACTGTACCAGATATTCATTTCACGTTTTTGTTTGTTTGTTTGTTTGTTTGTTTTTGTTTTTTTTTTTAGAGGGAGTCTCGCTGTGTCGCGCAGACTGGAGTGCAGTGGTGCGATCTGCACACTGCAACCTCCACCTCCTGAGATCAAGCAATTCTCCTGCCTCAACCTCACGGGTAGCTGGGATTACAGACGTGCATCACCACGCCCAGCTAATTTTTGTATTTTTAATAGAGACAGGTTTTCACCATGTTGGCCAGGTTGGTCTCAAACTCCCGACCTCAGGTGATCCACCCGCCTCGGCCTCCCAAAGTGCTGGGATTACAGGCATGAGCCACCGGGCGGTTTCCATGTGTGATCTTTAAAAGGCAGAAACAAATAAGCAAAAATCATTACTAAAGGCCCACGAGGGTTGTTTCTATCTTAGAAAATGTGTAAAGAAAAGTGATACAACAATAAATGGTTTGATTTAATGAGAAGTCAAAAATCATAAGATCTGTTGAAAATAACAAAATCACTTCTAAAAAAGATAATATGTTTTATTGAAATAAAGCCTTAGAAGTCATCTGGTTTTACCTTTTACAAAGAAGAAAGCAGTCTAAGAGAGGCCAAATGACTTATCCCAAGCTATACGGCTAGGTAGTAGCAGATTCAAATTTATACTACCCAGGCTTCCTAATTCTTAGCCCAGAGCTGTGTCCACCCTACCACCCACCTTTTAATTCAGTGCGAGCTCAATTATTGCTAACAGTTTTATTGTTGACCTTCCATGGACTCGATAGTCAAATCAAGTCTTCCATTACAATAAATGGGATTTATTTGTATTTTGCAACATAACCTTGTTCTTTGGAGTGGGTTTCACTTAATCATCCTGGAAATCGGTTTTAGAAAGACTAAACATGATTTCTCCATCTCTCTGTGAGGACCAAATTGTTCTCTGTGATTATCTATCAGAACAAGCAGAACAAGGGGTTCTAATTAGTTTTCCTTTTGAGGTTTTTTTTTTTTTTTTTTTCTTTTTCCAGGCAGTCAGTCTCTCAGCCAAAGGGATTTTTCTGCAGAGCCTTTGTACTCAGGGACCAGGGTTAATTCATGAGTCCTGGGAGGTGGCTGATCAGGTTAGTTTTTCCAGCCTGGAACAGCCCCGCCCTACCCCTGACCTCCTCCACTCCACCACTCTACTCACTCCACTCACTCCACTCACATTAGCTACAGAGAAACTGGATGTTGTCAGCCCCAGGGGTACCGTGAGACAGCTGGGTTCAGAGTGACTCTTGACCTTCCCTCTCTCACTCTCTCCCTCCCTCCTTCCTTCCCTTCCTCCCTTGCTTCTCTCTTTCTCTCTCTTTTTTTTTTTTTTCCTTTGCGCTCATCAGTTTATGGTCTACTTCACTAATTGGTCTGTGAAAAGCTTCTTCCTTTTCCATTCATATACTCACTCTTGTTCCCCCTCCCTCTCATAGATAAGGATAACTATTCTGACTGATATGTATTCCTTTATTTGTGTGTGTTTTTGTAAGTGGTGTTTTGGACATACATTCTTTTTTGTTTTTTGAGACAGAGTCTGGCTCTTTCACCCAAGCTGAAGTTCGATCAGTGACACAATCAGGGTTCACTGCAGCCTTGACCTCCCTGGCTCAGGTGATCTTCCCACCTCAGCCTCCCCACCGAGCACCTGGGACTACAGGTGTGCACCACCACACCTGGCTAATTTTTTGTATTAATTTTTTTTTTTGTAGAGATGGAGTTTTGCCACATTTCCCAGGCTAGCCTTGAACTCCTGAGCTCAAACGATCCACCCGCCTCGACCTCCCAAAGTGTTGGGATTACAGGCGTGATCCATGGGTGCCCGGCCTGGACATATATTCTTAATTTGCATTTGTATAGACCTGATTCTTTTCCTTACATTTTTTGCTCTCCACTGCATTTAGTCCATCCCCTCTAACTCTGCCAGTATTCCCTATGTGCTGTTTTGTATTTCTATATCTCTTCCCCCAGCAATGAGCTTTTAGATTGCTTCCAACTCCTTTCTTCCGACAGTATTACCTCATATAAACAACCTCATAGTGACCCCTCATGGATCTGTGTAGGAATTTTCCTGAGATGGAGATATCTATACCTATATCTATATCTCCCAAAAGAGGGTTTCTGGATTATAAGATATACGTGTATTTGCTAGCACAAATAACGAAGCTTTACACAAACAACCTAATACATGTCCCTTACAGGTCTTTTTTAGAACTTTTCTTGGGTACGTCTAACAGAACAAGATTGGAAAGTACATTCAATTTTACCCACACTGCCAACTTGCTGGCCAGTACGACTGTCCGATCTTTATTTCCATTGGCGGTGAACAACGTTCTCTACATCACGTCCCAGCCTAAGCTTGGTATTGTCTAGATTTCTATACATATAAAGTGCTTTATCATTGTTGTTTACATTTGTTTCTTAAATTTCTGCATTTGAGCATCTCTTTATGTGCTCGCTTTTGTGTTTCCTCTAATTCGAATCACCTGTTCATACCTTTGTTCTGTTTCCTGTGGAGGTTCTTACCTTTGCTGTTGGTTTTCAGAAACACCTTACCCAGCCTAGATAGTGTTTCCCTTATTGGTCTTAGACATTAGCCTTGGTCTTAGACATCAGCTTGGATCACGTCTCCTTCATTGAGCAGAAATCCGTAATTTTGATATAAAAAATTTACCTTTGGGAGATTAATTTTAAAAACCACTTCTGACCACAGGCCATAAAGATACTCCTGCCTTATTTTCCATGAACTTTATAGTTTTACCTTTTACCTTTGGGACTTTATCTCCATGGGATCCACCACTGTTCATGGTGTGATGCTCTAGGCCAGTTTTCTTTTCCTCTGTAATTAGCTAGTTCTCCTCAGTTTGGGGAAAGCCTCTTCTTTCCCCATTATGGAATTTTAATTGTCACAATAGGAATTGGCATCTTTATATTATAACAATGTCATCCCATCTAGCACAACAGGGACTCTCCTTTTAGTCAGATCTTGCTTTATGTCTTTTAATAAAGGCTTAAAATTTTCCCCATGAAGGTCTTATACAGTCTTTATTAACTTCATAGATCCTTTATCCTTCTCATTGCTTATTGTATTTTTATTATGTTTTGTATTTGATTATTGTAAGAGTGTTGAAATGCTGCTTTGTAGTTTTTTGCTTTAAGTTGATCTTGTATCTGGCAATTTTGCTCAGTCCTCTTACTCTAATAGATTATCTGCTAATCCTGATATTTTTCTATGTATTAGGTCATATTGTCTGAAAATAATGTTAGTTTTATCTCTTCCCTAGAAATGCTTATTATTTATAACTAACTAATTTCTTTTTTTTTTTTCTTCTTTTTTTGAGATGGAGTTTCACTCTTGTTGCCCAGGCTGGAGTGCAATGGCTCAATCTCGGCTCACCACAACCTCTGCTTCCTGGGTCCAAGCGATTCTCCAGCCTCAGCCTCCCGAGTAGCTGGGATTACAGGCATGTGCCACCACGCCTGGCTAATTTTGTAATTTTAGTGGAGACGGGGGTTTCTCCATGTTGGTCAGGCTGGTCTCGAACTCCCGACCTAAGGTGATCTGCCTGCCTCGGCCTCCCAAAACTAATTTCTTTTCTTTATAGCACTGGTCAGGACGTCCAATACTGTATTCCACAGTATTGGATCTTATACAGTCCAGACAAGTGTGCATCCTTGTCTTTTTAAAGAGAATACATTTAAAGTTTCTTCACCAAATCAAATGCTTTTACAATCTTAACCAAATTAAGAAAGTTTCCCATATTTTGAATTTTTAAAGAAATATTTTTTTCAAATTATAGTTATGTGTCAAACTTTATCAAATTTTTTTCTGCATCTATTAAGATAATAATGACTTTCCTCTTTGGTGGATTGATATATTGAGTTAAGTGGTAGATTTTATGATGTTGAAATTTATTGCAAACGTAGGATACATTCTACTTGTTCATGATATGTTACTTTCAATTTTTTGATTCAATTACTTAATATTTTATTTATAATTTTTGCTTCTAAAATCGTAACTGAAACAAGCCTATAATTTTTCCTCTTCTTGTATTCTTACCCTGTTTGGAATAAAAACTGTAGTATCCTCATAAAATCAGCTAGATAGCTTTTGTCCTTTTTTGATTTTCTGGAACAACTTACATATGATAGGAAATTAAGTGTTTCATGAGCTTTTTCTTTTTCCCCCTTTAACTTGTCCAAGGTCCACAGGATCCATGAACATTTGATGGAGCTTACCTGTAAAGCCATCTGGGCCTAGGGCTCTTTGTCAAGGGAGGGCTTTGTTTGCTATTTCAGTGTATTTCATACTTTGGTCTGTTCAAGTTTCTGTTTTTTCCTGCACCAATATCCAACACTTCTGAGTGTTTAGAGGTCATTGTTCAGCAAACTTTCACTCCTCCTACCCCGTGGGAAGATTTAATTCCCTTTCCTGTTGGTGTTGGGCTTGGCCACATATCTTGCTTTGATCAATGGAGCATTAGTGGACTTGACATGGGCAGAGGACTTAAATGTCCTCACAGCAGGATTTAGCCCTGTCTTCTAAAAAGCGGCTGTGCTGGAACGGGACAGTCTCTTCGCTCAGCTTTTTTTTCTAGTCCCGCACACCTGCAGCATATGACACTTACATCAGTAACAGTGGTTCACTGCAGCCGTGAGCTGGGGTGACTGGTATATTACCAGACCCTCCGGAGGAATGTATATAGTTTTTAAAAGTGCTACCCCATGACCAACCCAGTCACCGTCGTAAATAAAAAAAAATACCTGCTTACAACATCTCCTCTCATATCACAAAATAACTGAAGTTGAGAAAGGAATTTCATAGTTAAAAAACTTTTTTGACTCTTCCAGCAGCTATTTGTGTGTCTGCTGCACCTCTTCTTAGCCGTTGGTCTTCAGCTTCTCAACTGTGCTTTTGAACCCTGGAGAGTTCCCATTCTCAGATTACCTGTAAGGTGATCACATCATTGAATGCAAGGTGAAAACAGGAGGTTGACCAGACAGGACCCTGGGCCTGTGGACTGTCCTTCACTCACAGAACCCACATCCAACCAGTTATTCCAGTGAAAGCAATAAGGAATAGGTAGGAAGTACTGCTGCACAGAGATTCGTTAGAAGACATGGCTTTTTTTCTGGAACAGATGAAGTCAAACAGACAGCTAGTGGAGATGGTGAGTCGGGAACTTGACTTGGAGGGCTTTTTTGCTTTAAGATGATCATCAGCTCCTGGAAAGGTGTACGTTGAGTTCCCTTTTGTGCTAGGCAAAGGGCTAAAGACTGAGGGGAAGGAGGTCACAGAAGTAGAAGAGCTGGTCTCTGCCCATAAGGAGCTTCGGAGTCAGCAATGTCATATACAAAACCTGGAAAAATTATGTGAGAAACTTTCACAAAATGCAATAGGGATTAGAGAGGAGATTTTTAGTTTTGAGGCCAAAACAGTGATTGATAGGCATGGCTGAGGGAGGAGGAGGTAGCTGGAGAAGGAGGGAGAATGCTATGTTGTTTTCATTCACGTAGTGACCACAGAAATGAGGGATGGAGGGGCGAGAGAATAAGTTAAGTCAGGGCGGGGGTGGGGGAGAGTAGGGGGAGGTGTTTCCATTTTCCTTTAAGTGGATCCTTGGCTTCATTGCAGTAAATGGGGTTGTCAGTATATATTGCCCCTTTTGAAACCGACGAGTTTCACTGAGAATGGGATTAAAAGATTGCATGAAAAATTTAGGATCTGTATAAGGGAGAACATTTTATACAGCCCTGTATGAGGGCCGTCTAAAAGGAGTTAAATTCCCATTTGGGATTTTTTAAACCAGGATGAACATTCTATACCACAATGTCTGGTGGTTTTAACCAGAGATAGTACTGCCTCACCCCAGGGTATGTGAACATGTGTGTTTGTGGTAAGGTAGGGGTATCACTAGCAATTAGAAGGTGCAAGCCAGGGATGCTGATGACCCCGTCATGTACTGGAGAAGCTCTGTACAGCACATTGCCTGCCTAGAATGCTAAGGGCACACTTGTGGAGAAATAATGCACTTCCTAAGCTTCAGTCATTTGGGGTCCCCTTGTTTAATTTTTGCGGTATCTAGGTACCATTTCTACCACTAATTTAATGCTTTTTTTCTTTTTTGTCTTTTTATTCTTTTTTTTTTTTTTTTGAGACAGTCTTGCTCTGTTGTCCAGGTTGGAGTGCAGTGGCGTGATCTCGCTCACTGCAACCTCCGCCTCCCAGAGTCAAACAATTCTCCTGCCTTAGCCTCCCAAGTAGCTGGGAATACAGGTGCCCGCCACCAAGCCCAGCTAATTTTTGTATTTTTAGCAGAGATGAAGTTTCAGCATGTATGCCAGGCTGGTCTCGAACTCCTGAGCTCCAGTCATCTGCCTGCCTCAGCCTCCCAAAGGGCTGGGATTACAGGCGTGAGCCACCGTGCCCAGCCTAATTTAATGCTTTTCTTTAAATTTATTTTTATTTATGTATTTATTTATTTATTTATTTGAGAGGGAGTCTCTCTCTGTTGCCCAGGCTGGAGTGCAGTGATGCGATCTCAGCTCACTGCAACCTCTGCCTCCCGAGTTCAAGTGGTCCTCCTGCCACAGCCTCCCAAGTAGCTGGAATTACAGGCGTACACCACCATACCTGGCTAATTTTTTTGTATGTTAGTAGAGACGAGGTTTCACCATCTTGGCCAGGCTGGTCTGGAACTCCTGACCTCAAGTGATTCACCCACCTTGTCTTCCCAAAGTGCTGGGATTACAGACATGAGCCACCGCACCTGGCCCTTTAAATTTATTTTTAACTGACTTTTAAGTTTTTAGTTGTCATTCTATATCTGCATTTTAATTTACTTATTGTGATCCTTGCAATCATGAGTTTGAAATGCTATTGATATTTTTCTAATCATATTAAAATAGATGACTATTGCAATACAGAATGTTCATCTTGCACTCCGCTAGTGGCATGCATGCTAGCTTTGAGAAGTAGTAGCCAGATGGTCGCAGTGGATTAATTTATGGCTTGACCTGATTTTATGTAGTATATCCTTGAGAGTTGACATCCTTGGGACTCTCATTTTTAAGTAACCTTGTGTTCAGCAGAATTCACGAACTGAACGGGTCTCATGAGGATACTGTCCCTGATAGAGGTCAGACAGCACAAACAGCTGTGATTGCCTCTCTATATGTGCAAAGATGTCCATTTGGAAAGGCTTGATCTGCTTGGTGGGGTGGTGCTTATGTGCCAATTACCTTTGCTCCGGCCTGTGTCCACAGACTGCTGGCCATCTCCCAGTTATGTGGCCCTATTTACAAGGGCTAAGTGACCCTGAAAGTGTGGAAGAATCAGAGCAAACTCTGTCCTTACTTCCAAATAATTGGCTCGAAGCATATGTTGCATTCATGTTGGCCAAGAATGAGAGAGAAGGATGACAGAGTATAGCAGAAACACAGACACTCCCTTCCCAACACCCAACCAACAGAACGAAAATGCAGTTAGAAACAAAATCAAACCCAGCCCCACAGGCTCTTGCAGCAAGCAAACAAACAAAAAACAATTACAGCTTTATTTCAACCACTTTGAAAAGTGGCAGGCAAGGAAGGGTGCACCCCACCGTAGCCCCTCAGAAGCAGTACTGGAAAAGGAAGGCGAGAGGACCAGTTCCTGAGGGTTCCTCCTAATACAGATCAATATGGGAAGCAGCTGGTTGAGGAGGTGAGTGGATAGACTTGGTAAAAGTTAAAAAAACAAAAAACAAAAAACAAAACCCTTGGCAGAGTTAGGAAGGCACCTGGGGAGGCCATCTCCTAGTCTCTGTGTTGAGTTACAGGAAAGAGACCATAGGAGTGAGTCTGCCCTGGTTTGGCAGAGTGGGCCCTGGTCTAAGACATTTAACTCCCCTCCAAAAGAGGACAGAGTATAGAGCCCCCAAGGACAGGCCTCATGACTCCTGCCTCTCCTCCATGGCAGAAGTGTTCATGGAAAGCAGCAGCCAACCTAAAGTTGTAGCTCAGAGGTAGAACGACACCTGGTTCCCTATAAAGTGAGGAGAGTGTCAAAAGATACATCAGCTTGCTCTGGGAGAGCAAAGAGCAGTTCTGGACAGAGATGTTCACGTTATAAGTATGAACAAGATGGCAGTGAGTGTCATGACTGTTCTGTGAAATGCTGCAGCAGAGGAATGCAAGAGAGGAGCACAGCTTGTTGGCTGAGCACAGTGGTTCACACCTGTAATCCCAAAACTTTGGGAGGCTGGGTCACGAGGATCAGTTGAGGCCAGGAGTTTGAGACCAGCCTGGGCAACACAGCAAGACCCTGTCTCTATTAAATATATATATATATATTTTTAATAAAGAAAAGAAAGGAACACAGCTTGCAAAAATAAACATACAACCAATCTGGTCTATAAGAAAACCCAGTCCTAGAAAACTCAACCTCACAAGTATTTTATGCTATAGAAAGACTCAGCATCAATTGAGTAGAAACAAAAACTCAAGATGTCATCATGATAAAACAACAATGGGATTCTTTTAATTTTTATTTTTAATTGTGGTAAAATGTACATAACATAGAATTTGCCATTGTAACCATTTTTAAATGTACAATTCAGTTGTGTTAAGTACCTTCACATTGTTTTATAACCAATCTCCAAAAGTCTTCATCTTTCAAAACTGGAACTCTGTACCCATTAAACAATAATTCCCCATTTCTCCCTCCCCCACCCCCTGGCAACCAGCATTCTGCTTTCTGTATCTGAATTCGACAACTCCAAGTACCTCATATGAATAGAATCAGAAAGTATTTGTCCTTTTGTGACTGGCTTATTTTACTTAGTGTAATGTCCTCAAGATTCATCCATGTTGGATCATGTGTCAGAATTTCCATCCTTTTTAAGGCTGAATAATATTCTATTGTATGTCTCTGACATTTTGCGTATCCATTCATCCAGTGGATACTCAGTTTGCTTCCACCTTTGGCTATTGTGAATAACGCTGCTATGAACATAGGTGTACGAATTTCTCTTTGAGTCCCTGCATTCAATTCTTTTGAGTATATACCCAGAAGTGGGATTGCTGGATCATATGCTAATTCTATTTTTAAATTTTTGAGGAACTGCCATACTGTTTTCCACAGCACCTGCACCATTTTCCATTCCCACCAATAGTGCACAAGGGTTCCAATTTCTCCACACCCTTGCCAACATTTGGGACTTACTGTTTTTTGTTTTGTTTTGTTTTGTTTTGATAGTAGCTCTCCTAATGAGTGTGAAGTGGAATGGATTTTTTAAAAGATAGAGCCAAGAAAAGAAATAAAGAACAAAAACACAATACAACGTTAAAACCAGAACACACACACACACACACACACACACACACACACACACACACACGATGGACATAGCTGAAAATCAAAGAGTGAGATAATCCCAAGGAGGGGATTAAAGCAATAAGGACAATATAACAGCCATGGAGGAGAGGCACAGCCATCCAGCATATGGAGCAAGAAAAGAATGCAACCATGTGACCCAGGAAGATTTTCCCAAAAGGAAGAAACAACTGAATCTTTGGTTAGAAGGTTATGCCAGCCAGGCACAGTGGCTCACGCCTGTAGTCCCAGCACTCTGGGAGGCTGAGGCAGGCGGATCACAAGGTCAGGAGATCGAGACCATCCTGGCTAACACAGTGAAACCCCATCTCTACTAAAAATACAAAAAAAAATTAGCCAGGCATGGTAGTAGGCACCTGTAGTCCCAGCTGCTCCGGAGACTGAGGCAGAAGAATGGCATGAACCCAGGAGGCAGAGCTTGCAGTGAGCTGAGATCACGCCACTGCACTCCAGCCTGGATGACAGAGCGAGACTCCGTCTCAGAAAAAAAGAAGGTTATGCCACATATCTGAAAGTGCAGATGTAGAATGGATAACATATACCCTGGTCTAAAGTTTCAGTATTTAGACCTCAGACAGGAAAAGCAAGTTACACAAAATACTGGATGACTAAGTTGGTATCAGAATTCTCCACATCAGCAACCCCTACCATAAAGTACGAACAAGGTCTACAAACTTTTAAGGGAAATAACATTATTTAAATAATATAATTTAAAATTATGAATATAATTTTATATTATACTGTTAAGAATATAAAAAGATAAAAATAATATAAAATTGTTCTCTAAATATTAAGTTATTATTCCAGTGAAGGCAATAAGCAGGATGCCTTGACCTGAAAGAAGTCAAGAGACTATGGCAGTCATGAGCATTGCTTGAAAAAAAAAAAAAAAAAAAAAAACCTCCCTGTGATGAAATTGACCCAAATGACTCAAATCAGAAGAACAGACCCAGGAGTAGAAAAGCCACAGATGAAGAACAGTAACAACAGCAACAACAACAAAACACTGGTGAGCATTCAACCATTACAATGCCACCTTAGGACTAAACAATGGGGCAAGGGGGCATGGATGATTGTTAAAGAAATGTATAACTATTAGGCATCTGGCAAAATAAAAATTATGTAAGTGAAAAAAAATCAAGTGTGAGGAAGTGGAGAGGAAATGTAAAGTAATTATAGAGTATTTCTATAAAAACATGCAGTTAACCCTTGAGTTTTCGTAACTTTTTTCTGTGCATTAAATTGTGTGTGTGTATGTTTTCAAGTATGTTAACTTGTAACCGCTGGTCAGAATGTCATTTTGTTTCACTTCTGCTTTTTCTTCTGTTACATCCAAACAAAATTACATAGCTCTTACTGGAAAGAAAAGGTCATATGTTATCATTTTAAATGAACCCATTACCCTCTATCTAGCCTTCTACCAGTGTATGTGCATACAGAGATATCCAGAATGATGGTCACCAACTGTAAACACAATAGCGGGATATTGGATGATTTCTTTTCTTCTTTGCGCTGTTTTCTGTTGCTTTATTTTTTTTTTAATGAGCCTATGTTTTTATACAAGCCGTAAAATCATTGCTGTTAATCTCAACTATTGATCAGTAGTGTCATCAGTATTCTAATTGCGTCATAGTCATTGTTTTTTAAATTGTAGTGTTGACAAACACCAGAAAGAGCCCTTGACAATATTTTTGCAACTCATCTCTAAGGTGCTGGCCGCTGCCCAGAGGCCAAAGACATGGGCTGTGGAAAACATCAGCTCTTGTAATAAGGTGCCTTTGCCTTCTTATTGAATCATAAATCAAAACACAATAGTGGACTGATGAGCATGAAGTAGACTGACCTGAATCCCTGTGATGCTGATGGATGGGAGTATAGTGTACTGTGCTGTCAAACAAATGTCTGAACCTAGCAAATGACTTTGGATGTTTGGAGTCCGTCTCAATCTCTGCACTTGGCTGCTGTGAGTGCCTTTCACTTCCTCCATTGCGATTCTCCTGCCTCTGGGCCTTTGCACATGCAATTCTCTCTTCTCGAGATGCGCCACGCCCTGTTCCTCCTTCATCACCCAGCTCCTCCTCCTAGTGTTCAGGGCTTAGCTTTAGCCTCCTTCCCCTGGAAGGCCTTCCCTAATGAAGTTAGGAGCTCCTCTGTATAACCAAAGGCACTGCTCACTGGTTTTGCTGGGCACATTTATAACCATTCACTCAATGTCATGCTTCTTAGCAGACTGGCCTCAGGCAAATAAGAATCTAGTTCAGGAAGTGTAAGGTCAGATTTCCTCGTTGCCCCGTCTCATACTTCCTGTTCCTCTTCTGGGCTCTGCCAGAACGGTAACTCCACTCTTGTGGCCTCTGCTATGAACAAACCCCGCTCTCTTCCCTTCCTGCTACCCTATGGCCTCTTAGGTTTATTTTGTTCTCAGCAGCCCTCTTGGCTCTGGCTTCTGTTAGCAGCTACACGTTTTCTCGGTAATATTTCAAGTTCAACCTCATCGGCGAGGGTAGCTGTTTGGTTTAGCCTTTGTCCTCTAGCACGTGCCTTTCCTGCAGGGAGGGGCATTCCCAGCCTTGGAACAGGCCCCATCACTAAGGCCACAGACAGTGCCAGAGGGAGCTGGGGTCTGTGCAGCCATTCTTGAATTCCCCCAGAATGCCTTGCCTGGCCTTGAGTAAAAGGGATAGAAGTGAAAAAAGCCTGTTACAAAGCAGCATGTACGAGGTAACCCTTCATGTGTGTTTTATATATCAAAGAAAATAGACTAGTTATTATCAATGAGTTTTTCTGGTGGGATTTCTAGTTATTTTTATTTTGTTGCTTTCAAAGTTTCTGTAACAGGCAGGGTGCTGTGGCTCACGCCTGTAATCCTAGCACTTTGGGAGGCCAAGGCAGGTGGATCACCTGAGGTCAGGAGTTCAAGACCAGCCTGGCCAACATGGTGAAACCCTGTCTCTGCTAAAAATACAAAAATTAGCTGGGCATGGTGGCAGTTGCCTGTAATCCCAGCTACTTGGGAGGCTGAAACAGGAGAATCACTTCAACCCAGGAGGTGGAGTTTGTAGTGAGCCAACATCATGCCATTGCTCTCCAGCCTGGGTGACAGAGTGAAACACCGTCTCAAAAAAAAAAAAAAAAAAAGTTTCTGTAAAAACATTTTCACAGATACTTAACAGCATTGAAGCCCTGAATCATGGCGTTGTACAGAGCAGCCCCCAGGAAGAAGACAAGAGCCAATTGGCTCTGCCATTTGGAAGCATTGCCTTCTTCTCCCCACGATTCTCATTTCTGCCCCCAAATGATGTGTTTGTTGCCTTGCTCATTTCACCGGGGTGTCTTTTTCCTCCTCAGGTGACAGATTGACTGGGATCCCCTCGCACATCCTCAACAGCTCCCCATCAGACCGGCAGATTAACCAGCTGGCCCAGAGGCTGGGCCCTGAGTGGGAGCCCATGGTGCTGTCTCTGGGACTGTCCCAGACGGATATCTACCGCTGTAAGGCCAACCACCCCCACAACGTGCAGTCGCAGGTGGTGGAGGCCTTCATCCGTTGGCGGCAGCGCTTCGGGAAGCAGGCCACCTTCCAGAGCCTGCACAACGGGCTGCGGGCTGTGGAGGTGGACCCCTCGCTGCTCCTGCACATGTTGGAGTGATGGTGCCTCCAGCAACCGCTGGGGAGTGTGTCCCTGAGTCATGTGGGCTGAATCCTGACTTTCACTCAGAGCAGGTGGTTTTTTGTGTAGGTTTGTTTTTTATTTTTGATGATCTTCAGATGGAAGGAGAAAACAGGGTTTCCACTAGACATTACTTGAAAGGCCAGATTACTCAGCAGATCTCCCATGTTGGCTCAACAATTCTTTGTTTTTAATTGCTTGAAGATTGCATTGTTGTAATTGTTCAGTTTTTAAATGTGTAATGGCATTTTAATAGACTAGTAAATCACAGTGGTTCAAAATATATATCCATATATATATATATCCATATATATATCTCATGTCATCACATTACAGGCAGGTGTCTCATATGTAAAACATTTACCTGAATGTTGTCTGAGGACTGAACTGTGGACTTTACTATTCATAATGATAAAATAATAAAATGCGAATTACTATATATAATGTGCCTCACTCATGAGAAAGTACCGTGTTGGGTTTTTTTTTTTCTTTCTCATTCCTGTGTTGCATAGATTAAGGGTGTAAAATTACAATAGTCTTTTTTTTCTTTTTGGAACAGAATTAATAGTAACAGTGAAATGGTTACTTTCCCAAGTCAGGATAAATAGCTCAGGCAGGATGTCTGTATTAAATATTGTAAGACACTAAAGCTCCCTGCAAAGACCAGTTCAAGGACCAGCATGCATACCCGAGCCCTTCATCTTTAAAAGATCGCTCGAGAAAATCCTGTGCTGTTTATTGAAAGCATTAAGTCAGGGGACGAGAGGGGGTGTGGTCTTTCCATTGAAGCCAGAATGACTGAAGTGTTGTGCTCCTAAGGAGTATGATTTAGTCTTCTGTCCTTTTATCAATAGCACATGGTGTTTATAGAATGCTTTACTGTTTTCACGGCTTTTCCTGTATGTGATCTCATTTGGACCTCTCAGCAATGCTGTGGGGCAGTGGGCAAGGTGGTTCACCTCCTTCTGTACAGAGATTGAGTGATTGGCCCAGGGTGAATGAGGTTGGGTGCCGGCTCCTGAGCCTTTCCAACTGCTCCACAGGGCTCCTCCCCTTCTCTCTTGCATGCTCATTGAAGAAGCTTGAATCCTGCTCCCCGCCTACTAGGTGTATGGCCTTGGACAAGTTACTTACCCTCTCTACACCTCAGTTTCCTCATTGGCAGAATGGGGAAATGATTGTACTCACCTCTGAGGTCTTTGTGATGATTAAAGCAATAATGTCCGCCAACAGCACATCCAGATGCAGCTCATTGTCAGCTTTCAGGAAATGGTAGCTGTTAATTTGCCGCCACTGTGGCTGAAGGTATGGTTAGACCACAGGCAAAGCTGAATAGTGGCTGAAAGCTGAGGGCACTGTGGGAGGAGCTACTATTGCCACATTTCTTACTAAGCTTTAAAATGGGATTTGATTTTATAAACTTTACAATGGGGCCAGTCTGTGATCTATCCTTCTTAATAATTACGGAATCTGTTTCCTAATTCTAACATAACTCAGGATTTTTCAAAAGGGAGAAAAAAATCATGTTTTTTATTTCTCTCCATTCCAAGAATAAATTTATGGAATGGTAGAATTGAGCACGAAGTGGGTACTTAAAAAGATGACAATAGTGTGTGGATAACATCCTTTCAGGCATCTTGTAACCATATTCCTGTTACTAAAAAAGAGCTGCTATGCCACAGTTTATTCTTCCAGTGAATTCGGTTCAAAAGGATAGTCTACTGGCCTTATCAGTTCAAATTTTTCATTTTGTAGCCCAGCCAATAATTCATTATCTTATAAAATTCTCATGCTTTTGGCCATATCACTGTGCCCAGTGATAGACTGTACTGCTGTGGCATCTTCAGTGAATCACTTGTCATTTTGAACCTGGGACTTATTACATTGCTGTCTTCCCCCTGGGTTTCCTAATAGAGAGTTGCTTTGGCTTTTGTTCTCACAGCTCAGAGTCACATTCATGGATGAGTGAGTAGAGCTGGGCTCTGCTGCGTCTGACTAGATGGCATTTTAGAAGCAGGTCTGATGATTAGCTGGGTCATCTTTCCGCCATTCACCATTTGCAAGGAATCTGTCACGCATAAAGACACTCGTGGGCTCTGTCAGCAGTGAGAGACAATTAGTGAAGAACAAGCCCACGATGGGCCAGACAGACAGGGCCGAGGGGGCCCTTAGAGACCTCTGACTTGTTGCCCTTCACAAGCAGAGTGTCTTCACCACCAAATGGCGGCAGCCCCTCCCTGGCCTGCTCACGTGCTTGCAGAAGATTTGCAGAGTGGAAGAACAGAGCAGCTGAATCCCTATCTTGGTACTACCTCTGGCCATGAAGAATAATGCTACATAGCAGCTGCCTACCTCCTAACAGAACTGGGGAGGTGAAGAGCCTGCAGGGATTTCCTGTGTTTGTATGGGAGAAGATTCTACAATTTCAGAGACTGTTTATCCCCAAGAAAACTGAATGAATGCAGCGAGGTGGCAAGAGCATTTGCCGGCACTGACAGAAAGTATATGAATATATAGTCTTGCACCACTTTGGGTTGGGTTGGAGTGTGTGTGTGTGTGTGTGTGTGTGTGTGCATATGCATGCATGAGTGTGGCCCTTCATGTTTTTAAAACTATAACTTTTATTAATTTTTTCAACATGAAGTACATGTTTATTATGGCAGTTTGAAAAAAAACACAATAAGATGAAGAAAAATAAGAATTACCCCTACTCCCATCTAAGCACTGTACATCCCAATTTTTATCCCTGTCCTCCAATTAGTTTTCTCTGCCTGCATATCCTTTTCATAAAAAGAATAGGATTTTCTCTGCATTTCCTTATAAAAAGTGTTATATTTTCCAACTGATAATACACTTATTTTTTTTTGTCGATGTGGGACTATTTAGAGAGACTAAACTGTGTAATTAAAATGATGCATCTTTTTAATATTCCTCAATGGCATACTCCAAATGATCTTTATATTCATGGCTTAAAATTAACTAAATTAAGTTTTCAATTTTATTACAAGAATGGGATTATATTGTACCTGCTGCTTTACAAGTGGCATCTTTTATATAACATCAAACTGTCTTTCTGTGTCATTATTTCTCTGTGCCAATGATTTCAATATCCTTTGTGTTCACAACACACTTTCGAGTCCTATAATTTTTGTGGCATGTTTGAAGAGATAAAAGGACACTTAGCTACTAAAAAGATGACAATAAGTATAGCAATGTCTTTCACTCTCAAAACCATTGTCCCACTTTTTGCTCCATCCCCGTTTGGAACCATGTTCCAAGCAGTAGAGCTGTTTACGGCTCCCCTCTATGCACTCTTATATCCTCAAAAAGCAAAGTTTAGCACAGTCTGGGCTTTATTCTGAGATTTTATCTCTTCCTAACAGCAAGATGGCCTCTACACTGCCTGATGATCCAATCAGCTTCGTGTTCCATTTCCACAAGAGTACGTGTTCTGGGAGGGCAAATGAATTTTACCTGTTGATCCAAATGTGATGGCACGCTTATGAAGGGTTGATAGTCTACGTGTTGCCACTATTCGCTGCCGTCATTTTCAATGATGCACAGCTTTCCAGTGTGTGGATGCGCCGTCATGTCTTAACCACTTCCCTGCGTGGATCTTTAGGTCGGTTTTGCCTTTTCATTGTTATAAACAGTGATGCAAGGAAGGGAGTGTTTGTGGTTAAATCTTTACATTCATCATATGTTACAATGAACTGGATCCCTGGTTTGTTTAGCGCCAAACATATTTTAATTTTGTTCTCAATTAGCTTTTTTATATAGCAAACTACCCCCAAGATGTAATGGCTTAAAACAACAAATGTATTGGCTTAAAATTTAGCCCACAATTCTGTGAGCTGGCTGGGCTTGCTCTTCCGATCTGGGCCAGCTCAGCTGATTTCTGCTGGGCTCTCTCGTGTATCTGTGGTCAGCTGGTGGGTTGGCTGAGGCAGGATGCTCTAGGGCGGCCTCACTCATGTGTCTGGAAAGTAGTAGGCTATTTCCTGGGGCAATGGGTCGTTTGTGTCTAGGTCACACGCCTTTTATCTGTCAGGTTACCCTGCCTTCTTTACTTGGTAGTAGTGGCAGGGGTTCCCCAGACAGCAAGAAGGCAAGCCGCCATGTGGAAACACCTTTCAAGCCTCTGTTTGCATCCCTTTTGCTGACATTTCTGGCCAAAGCCAGTCATGTGCCAGCTCAGAGTCAGTGCGGGAGGGCTCTACCAAAAGGCATGGAGAGAGGAGCGGAATAATTTGGGTCCGTTTCGTGCAATCCACCACAGCCAATATTTTTAAATTGAGATTTCTGGGCCCTATTGAAAAACAATCTTTGGCTACTCTGGATCCCTGTCCTTGAATCACAGTAACAGGCAAGCCTTTCCTAGCATGCCATGGTCCTTCCCATCCCCCACCCCACAGAATGCACATCCTTTGCCCAGCTCCTTCCACCTGCTCACTACCTGCTCAGCCACATACGTTTATGGCCTCCAGACATACAGCCATGATGATGCTTAGCATAATCTCCTAGAAGTGGAATCGCCGGGCTTAAAGTATTAATAACATATTTTTAAAAACTATTTTGACTTTTTAATACTTTTTAAAAACTTTTAAAAAATATTTTAGGGATGGATGTGGTGGCTCACGCCTATAATCCCAGCGCTTTGGGAGGCTGAGGCGGGCGGATCACTTGAGCTCCAGGAGTTCGAGACCAGCCTGGGGAACATTGTGAAACCCCGTCTCTACTAAAAATATAAAAATTAACCAGATGTGATGGCCAGTGCCTGTAATTTCAGCTACTCGGGAGGCTGAGGCAGGAGAATTGCTTGAACCCAGGAGATGGAGGTTGCAGCGAGCCAAGATCGCGCCACTTCACTCGAGTCTCGGAGACAGCAAAACTCCGTCTTAAAAAAAAAATTAACTTCCGTGGCCCACTGTGAAAGTTGCTGTTGGACACACAGACACACACACACACAGGCCTGAGGCAGCAGGATGAATCTGTCTTCATCCCTTTCTCTGGGGAGTTCTCCAGGTGTGGCAGCTTTGGACAGAGCCTCACCTCATTCAGCTATTCAGCAAACTCTCAAGCAGAGGCTACTGCACACCAGTCACTCCGCTAAGCAGGGAGGCGAAAAGATTACTAATAAATACACAGTTCCTCTTCTCCAGGAACTCACTGTTTGACCAATGAGACAGACATGAAGCTCTAATTACAACACAATGCAATCAGGCCTGCGCCTGAGTATCGAGTCTATGGGAATGCAGAGGAGAAATGATCCATTTGCCTGGCTTCTTGGGAAGTGAGAGGTATGGGAAATAATAACACTGTATCTAAGGCTCTGTCACTTGGGCAAGTTACTCCACCTCTGGGTGCCAGTTTCCCCACATGTAAAATGCAAACAAATAACAGTACCCACCTATGGTCACAGTGAGGATTCCATGAGATGAAAGGTATAACATGCTTAGAACAGTGCCTGGCAAAGATGTTTTGTTAAACCATTGAGTTGAATTCTTTTGGCTATCAGAGTTTTTCTTTTTCTTTTTCTTTTTTGAGACGGAGTCTTGCTCTGTCGCCAGGCTGGAGTGCTGTGGCATGATCTTGGCTCACTGCAATCTCCACCTCCCTGGTTCAAGCGATTCTCCTGCCTCAGCCTCCCGACTACAGGTGGGTGCCACCACGCCCAGCTAATTTTTGCATTTGTAGTAGAGACGGGGTTTCGCCATACTGGCCAGGATGGTCTCAATCTCTTGACCTCGTGATCCACCTGCCTCAGCCTCCCAAAGTGCTGGGATTACAGGCGTGAGCCACTGCGCCCGGCCCAGTTTTTCTAATCTTCTTCACCCTCCCAGGGCTCTGAGAAGTGTGAGGGTAGAATCACCTCCTGCAGATGTTTGTGGTATAGAAATAGAAACTGCATAGTCCCTCAATATCTTTATCAGGACTCTAAAGATAAGTGGCTATGAACTGTGGCACACTTCAGAGCATACTCAGAGTTGGGGTGGATTCTGATCTAACAGTTGTCTACCATTAAATGAATAACTACAGTCTTTGAGCAAATTCTTGCTGATTACAAAACACTATGCAAGTTACCAGAGATACAAAGATGAATAAGCCATAGTCTCTGCTCTCAGGATCTCAGCCTGCTGGGGAGACAGCTATAACCACCAGCAACTATGGCAAGCACAGAGGGAGCAATTAAGTTGGCCACAGAGGAGGTAATACTTCAACTGAGCTTTTGTAAGTCCTGCCCAAGTTAGCATGTTGGTCTCTTTGGGAGGCCTTAATGTGTATGGGCAGCAGAATCCCATTTAATTTATTTTACATCCAGTTTGACAAATGGCTCTCCTTGCCATGGATATGCAAGATAAATATGCCTCCAAAATGTGATCTCAGAGCAATTTAGAAACTAAGTGGCAAATATCCTATACATCAAGATGACAGTGACATTGAGAAACATGTGGTTTGTTAATCCACAGTGGGATCAAGATCAGGCTTCAAGTTTTAGGTATTAGGCATATTTTGGGGTTCTTTTTTATGACATCCCTATCCCTTTTCCTCTAAAACTCCCACATATTCAAATTAGATGTTGCTGGCATACAGGGGAAGTTTTTAAATGTAATAACTGCCTGTTTACTTCTTGGAACTATAAACAAAGCTTAGAAGAACAGGGATGTCTATCTTGTTGGCATTTAGTGTTCTTACAGGAAAATTAAAGTCTCACAAAGACACAGTTCAGTGAGCCAATTAAGCCTTGTCTATTAAACTTATGCAAAATATATGGCAATAATTCTGATAGCTATTGTTAATTCAAAGCATAGGCTATGAAATCCAGGTTTGAGCACTTAAAAAGTAAAAAAAAAAAAACCCAACATCTTGGCAATACTCATAATGTTTCCATTTCATTTTCATATTCTATCTCTAAGCAGGGCTGTTTTTGATGTCAAATTACATTCTTAATGGAGAATATTTGGAGGAAATATAAAACGGATTGGATTTGATCAAGTAGTTACTAGTCTTTCTTCTGGTGACGTATAACCTCCTACTTGTCAGCTTCTAGAAGATGAATCAATTTTGTGAGGACTTGGCCAATATCAAGGTCTTCAGCACGACTCATCAGCCTGTTGCTAATTCAAGGACAACAAATGCCTACAAATGCTTTAAGTAAGCCCAGTTACAGACTGCTGATGAATTTGGTGCTCCTGGTGTGTGCCCTGGCCAAGAATGAGGGTGTCTGTCTAGGAATATTTCTTTGAATATAAATAGTAGGTAGTGGTTTATCTTTGTCCATTTAGTGTTGCTACATGGGAATACCTGAGGCTGGGTAATTTATAAAGACAAAGGGTTTATTTGGCTCACGATTCTGCTGACTAAAGACTGGGCATGTGGTGGAAGCCTTGGGCTACTTCCACTTATGACGGAAGAAGGCAAAGGGGAGCTCCCTGTTCGGAGATCACATGGCAAGAGGGGGAGCAAGAGCTTGTAGACAAGTGATGTATGACAGTCTCCATCTTCCAGGGACTTCTGCCTCCACATCATCTCTTTACAACCAGAGCCCCCAGACAGAGGAGGACTGAGTCTTTTGTGGCTAGCACATTGGAGATAGTTGATTTAATGGACAAATTATATAAAGTGACATTTATTTTTTATGCTGGGAAATTACTTCCAACAATATATTTTTGTCCAACCATCTGCTTGAATCAAGTTTCTGTCAGCCTCTGGAAGTAATAATTATTCCCTGCTCTGAAACTGAGCTTCATGCTGGTTTTCTGCTGAGGGAGCAGACCCTTTGGCTGTCTGTTATCTATTGTCAAGAGCTCTTTTGTCACTCATTATTGTCAGCTGCTGATTTCCCAACAGACACTTTAAGGCTATAAATAAACCCTCCCAACACAAATCCCCTCCTTATGAAAGTGTGAAAGACAAAATACACCAGTAAATTAGGATATGATTTTTATTCAGGCTGTTGCCATAGGAGGACATTCATTAGTAAGAAATATCTCAAAGAAAAGAATGAGCCTGGCTTTTATGGAGACAAAGAGAGTCTTATGGGAGCATGACGAAGGACGGAGGTGGGTCTTACTTCAGAGTATGCAAAGCCTGTGTGGTCCTTGGCAATTAGCCAGTTCCTACAACCCAAAAGGGCAGAAGATTTCTTAACATCTCTACTTTTTAGAGTACAAGACTTAGATTAAGTTCAACATTGTCAGTCCTCCCTTTTGTTGAAAATGAACATCATTGCCACTGTTGGGACTCAGAAAACAATACCCCAAAATGAAAGCCTCCAAAGCAGCCTCAGAAGCAAAGTCTCTCTCTGACCTTCTGCTGCCCGCTCTGTCTCTCACCCCTCATTCTCCCCGGAGATAAGCCATAGAAACTGTAATCCCTCTTCCCCAAGATGGGTCATAGAAACTAGAACTCCTTTTCCCCAAAGCCAGCCATAAAACCTAGAAATATTATTCTAACCTTCCACCATTCTTCTGTGTAACACTTGGCCATTAAGAAACTAAGACCCTCATCCCAGAGGGGTCCTACCCCATACCTGGGAGGAAGGAATGCTGCATGGAGAGGCCAAGAAGGATCTGAACAGCCAGGCCTTGTAGGTTTCCCCACGCAGTCTATTTCCATTAGATCATAGCCTTTTTTGTCCAATCACATTTCCACATGACTGTCCCTGCTTCATCAAACCTAAGCATAAAATCAGAGAGCTTCTCCTGAGTCTCTGGGTCTTCGTTCTGAAGGCTCACCTGTCATGTAAAACTATGATCAAATAGGCTGTTCATTGTTTGAAGCAATAAAGTGCAAATGAAACCTGTCTTTACATGCACAGTGGGGCATATGCTTCCATAAATGCCTGATTGTGTGTGCAGATGAGTGTTTAACACACCCAGTTACCTGTTTGCTATATTTATATTTTTAGGGTTAATGTAAGTGCTTTCATTTTTTAAAATGAAATTGTTTTAAATTGTTTTTTAAAAAGCTATAATCAAATACATTTGTTACTTTTTTTCTGGTTAACTTGTCTTTTGTTATAGGGTGTTGGCCATGATCCTTATGATGGGGAGGAAGGGAATCACCAATTTTCTACCCCATCCCACTGAGCAACTTAGAGATGACCTAAGGCCTCGTTACCTGTGTGGAGTAACTGGGAATTGGAAGGTGAGGTCCAATTATATCCAAGTCTTGGCATCAAACTGTGAAAGACAAAATGCACTGGACAATTAAGGATATGATTTTATTCATGCCCTTGCAATAGGGAGAACATTTATTAATGAAGAATAACTCAAAGGAAAGGAAGGGGTCCTGGTCTCCCATGAATCCTCATGGGAGCCTTGAGGAAGGATGAAGGTGGGTCTTATCACAGAATATTCCAGGGCTGGGTTGTCCTTTGTGGGGATGGCTGTTTCTTTTGAAACACAAAAGGGTGGGAGATTTCTTTGTCTCTCTCTTTTTTTTTAAGAGACAGGGTCTCACTCTGTCTCCCCAGCTGGAGTGCAGTGGTGTAATCACGGCTCACTGCAACCTCAGCCTCTCGGGCTCTAGTGATCTACCTCAGCCTCTCAAGTAGCTGAGACTACAGAACTACAGGCGCACCACCCCGACCAGCTAATTTTTTTTTTTTTTTATATAGAGATGGGGTCTCCCCGTGTTGCCCAGGCTGATCTCGAGCTCCTGGGCTCAAGCCATCCTCCTGCCTTGGTCTCCCATAGTACTGGTATTACAGACATTGGCCACTGTATTTGGCTCATGTAGGGGGTTTGTTAACCATCACTGCTTTTAGGGAACAAAAGCCTTGGAGGAAGTTTAACAGTGTGAAAATTCTTCAACTTTTAAGAGGCCAACGCAAATTTGAAAAAAAAAAAAGTTTTTATAAGGTTTAGGTATAAGATATCAGAATTCTGACATCTTAACTGTTTGCTTGTTCAATAAGAGGTACTTAAGCTAACTCCATATTTAATTTGAGTAAAGAAAAACAAATGGCCTGTCTGACCAAAGCTAAACAACAGGAAAGGAAACACAGCTCCTTTTACTTTCCTAGAGAATCATGGACCAATTTTCAATTTGGACCAATCATGGAACCTTTTTCTGTAGCTTATAGAAATTCATTCAAAGTGTACTTTTTGAGCACCTGCCATGTGCCAGGCATGAATATAGGTGGTAGGGATATAGCAGTCAATGTGACAGTCTGTAATTTCTCCCCTTGAGCCCCTTGCTATGGAGAAAGAGAATGCAGCAAAGGGCAGGAAGAGCCAGGCAAAGGAGTAGTACTGTTGCCAAAAGGTCAGCCAGAGAAGACCCCCACAAGAAGGTGACAGGAGTAAAAACCCGAGGGAGGGAGCCGTGCTGAGGCCTGAAAGAACATTTTGGGCAGAGGGAACAGTAAAATGGGAAAACCCTGAGATGGGAACTGTTAAAATAATTAATCAGGAGGACATTTACATGAGTCACCTTCAGCACCTTTGGTTGCTACCTAAGCAAATGGAAAACCAACTCAATGTAAACAGTAAAATGAAACCAGCGTAACCAATCAGAAACTGCCAGCTAACTTCTAACTAGAGACTTTACCAATCAGAAACTGACCTCTCACCAGGGACTTTCTGCTTTAACCAAATATTTTCTTTGTCTTGCTTCCATGAGCACCTTATAAAAGCCCCCTCCTCTCCTCCCCTCGGAGCGCCAGGCTGCTTGTGGTCTGGTGCTGCCCGATTCCTGAATCATTTAAAGCTCAAATAAACTCATGACATTTTAATATGCATACATTTATCTTTTAACAGAACTTGGCCAAGATTTTCAAAGAACGGCGAGGAGTTCAGAGTCTCTAGAGTGCCGTTGTAAAGAGGGGAAGGGTAGTGGCTGAGGCCTGAGAGCTGAGGGAGCAGAGGCTGCAGGGTGGTACAGACAACTGTGATGACTTTGGATGTTACTCAGGTTGAGGCAGGAAAGTACTGACATGATGGCTTTGAGCAGAGGTGGGACACCATCTAACATATTTTCAAAGGATTACCCTAGCTTGTGTGATAAGAGGATTGAAGCAGGCAGACCAGTGAGGAGCTGTTGCACTGCTCTTGAGAAGAGAGGGGCTCCAATCAAGATGGCCATAGTGAAGTGTGGTGGAGGATGCTTAGGTCTCCTTCAGGAATTAAACATTTATTCCTCCAGCAGCCAGGAAGCTCCAGCTAATGGCCTTTGGCTGTCAGCCCTCTTCAAGTATTGCCTCTGCTAAAGACAGTTGTCTTGCCCAGTGACACTTCCCCTGCCTGGAGGCTTGTTAGTGAGGGCTACAAAGGCCTGGCCCTGCACCTCAACTCAGGACAACTCCTAAGGGTCACCCCAGTTCAGAGCTCCTCAAGGAGTCCGCTCAGGCCTTCCTTGTGACTACGTCACAGCCCAGCTTCTTCCTTTCCACAGGCATTGATTCCAAGAGTACCCCCTAATAAACTCCCCACCCACTCAGCTCCATCCCAGACTCAGCCTCCAGGGGAACATAGCTTGTGCATTGAGGTGGTGAGCAGTGGTCAGGTTCTGAATATATTTTATTTCATTTTCTTTCTTTTTTGAAGACAGGGTGATATGGTTTGGCTGTGTCCCGACCCAAATCTCACCTTGAATTGTAATAATCCCCAGGTGTCGAGGGCAAGGCCAGGTAGAGATCCCTGAATCATGGGGTCGGTTTCCCCCATACTTTTCTCGTGGTAGTGAGTAAGTTTCATGAGATCTGATGGTTGCATTAATGGGAGTTCTCCTGCACAAGCTCTCTTACCTGCCACCATGTAAGAGAACCTTTGTTTCTCCTTTGCCTTCCACCATGCCTTTGTGAGGCCTCCTCAGCCATGTGGAACTGTGAGTACATTAAACCTCTTTCCTTCTCCACAGAGAATCTAAGTGGTCTTACAAAGGAACAAAGCTAGCCATCAGCACGTCCACCAGGAAATGTTTCCAGCAGTATTTTTTTCTACAAGGCCCATGGTGCAATAATAGACTCCCATGAGAAGTTGAAAATAGGCAAACTGCTTACAAACTACCTTTATCATACACCCCGAGGATAATTCCAAGGCAACATTGAAGTAATCAAAGCGACATGACACCACCTTGTATAGATACAGTTTCACAGTAGAAAGAAAGTTCGCTGTAGGGAATAGGAGTTAAGGAGATGAATCTTGAGCTGGGGCTTGACGGGAGTGTGGAGTAAGTGGAAAGCCTGGGAAAGGTGTGCTAGAGGAAGGGGAAGGTGAGAGAGGGCCCAGAAGTGAAGATGGTTAGGATGCCTAGGAGGAGCCTTTGTTGTGAGTCTGCCTCTCATGAAAATTACATCTGTTAAGTAAGGTGGGGTGAGTCAGCTAATTTTTAAAACCAGGCCAAGAGTTTGGGTTTCACCCTTTAGACTACCAAGAAAACAAAAGAAATCTCAACACTTTTAAAGTGCCAGTGTGAACTGTGAATCTCCAAATCAGAAATGTGTGGTATTTCCCAAACTTATTTGACATTGAAAACCTCTCTTCCATGACACCACCTATTAACATCTTTGGAAAGATTTATCCCACAGACACATTGAGGTAGAGAACACTCAACCTTGGGGTGTAATGGGAAAACTAGTGGGTCAAAGGAGCCAGTAATAACCAAGATTTTTAAAAAGGTATGAACAGTATCTTGAGTGGTATGCAAAAAACATTGATTTATTCTCCTCCTCCAACAATTCATGTTTACTGTTAGCAGCATATTATGGGGCACATGGAAAGAGACCCGTGGTTTTCTGGAACCTTCTTTTCCTTCTTTAATGATTAATAAATCTGTCACATTTTTTATTATATGACTTGTATCCTTGCAAAATATCCCCTGGCTTGATATCATGCTGCATTTCTGTTCAAGCAGTGGTTGTATTGCCTGTTCCTCAAGAGGCAGTGGGCATTGTCTCTGGTCGTTGTCAGATGCCAGGTGGCACCTGTAAGACAAGCAGGAAGGAACTGGTCTTGCCCTATAACAGCAGCCCCGAGCCAGGAAAGTTCTGTCTATAGCCCCAGGCCTCTGCGGTCTGTCCCCACGCTTGCCAGGACTTCTCATCCCTTTGCTATCTTCTCATTTCGGTTCTCATTTGCTTACTGTGGTGCCTCCCCAACTAAGCTGCTTGGTAATTGAACTTGAGTTTTATCTTCCCTTCATTCTACTTCAAAAATACCCGAACGTAGCTTGTTTGTTTTTCCAGTGGGGCATCTGACAAGTCTTTAGCTTCTGTTTAGCAATAGTTCCCAGTCAGAGGTGATACTAAATCCCCCCAGGCCTCTACTATGTGGCCTTTGAAAATGTGTGGAGGCATTTGTGTGTGTGTGTGTGTGTGTGTGTGTGTGTGTGTGTGTGTGTGTGTGAAGCTGTCATCATACATTGGCGGGGGTTAGGGTTAGCATTACTGCCATGTGATGGGCAGGGGCTGGGGATAATCCTACAGAATGAAGAGTTGCCCCACCCAAAATACCAGTAACACCCCCAATAAGCACTGCTGTATGCTTCACATGAGTACCACTTTGCTAATTTTCAATATCTAAAGCACCACCTATGCCATTATTAGTTTAATATATTTCTTTGAATTAATTCACTTAAATTTTTTTTATTTATTCCAAACAGCAGTATACTAGAAATGATGGGTCAATGTTATTTATATATTTTACAGTACCCATAAAAATAAATGCCTAACACCTAATACAAACTATTCTTAATTAATGATACACACATGAAGTCGGGAAACACTGCAGCTATGGCCACATGCCCAGTTAGATTTTATTTATGTATTTATTTACTGTTATATAGAGACAAGGTGTTGCTCTGTTCCCCAGGCAGGCACAGTCATAGCTTACTATAGCCTCGAAGTCCCAGGCTCAAGCAATCCTCCCACTTCACCTCCCAAGTGTCAAGGATTACAGGTGTGTGTCACCACGCCTGGCTCATTTTTATATTTTTTGTAGAGATGAGATTTCACTATACTGCTTAGGCTGATCTTGAACTCCTGGCCTTAAGGGATCCTCCATCCTCAGCCTCCTGAAGTGCTGGGATTACAGACATGAGCCACCGTGCCCAAGCTCCTGTTGGATTTTGATGGGAATATTAGCCCCACACACATTTTCTCTTCTGAACCAGGAATGTCTGTGCAAGTACACCACATAGACTCCTTAGCATGAGCCATATAAGGGCAAAGGTCACATGTTTAATGTCCCATAAACATCATTTATTTTGTTTAAAGTAGTCTATCCCAATGACAATGACAGCATTCTTGACCTGAGTCAATTCTCTTTGCTGGATCCAAAGTCAAGGATAAAAGTGAGGGTCACTTGGCATTTGCCTCCTTGAAATGTAGCTCTCTGAGGGCCCACCTGTGTCTTGTGTCCTCTTCTTTCCTAATGAAGTGTCTGGCACACGAAGTCATGATTAACGAAGGTCTCAGTGAATGAAGGAAACACAAAAACGTATGTGTACCCCTCAGTACGGGGAAAGTGATGGAGAACTGTAAATGCTACTGTCATTGAGTCAAAAAATCTTACACATGTTTCTTATGCAAGTTATGTAACTTCTCTGTGCTTCACTCTCCTTACCTCTGAAAGACAGATAATCATAGAACCAACCTCATAACACCGTTATAAGGAGGCAATGAGAGAGTATTTGTTGAGTGCTTAGAACAGTGTCAGGCACGGAATAAATATAGAAATATTTGATGATGAATAAACAAATGAATGAGGGGTGCCTGGCTTTTACTCAGGTTTGCAATGTTTGCTGAAAGAGTGAATCAACAAATCCTAGACCAGAACGTTCCAACACTCACATCCTTGGTGCTCAGCTGTTCCCAGGAGTAGTAGTAGATGCTAAAGTAAAACATCCCAAGCTCCGGTGAGGAGGTCTTGCTATGGGCAGCACAGAAAAGCTTTTCATAACAGATAGCCTAGGGTGATGCCCCATGTATCACCTTCCCCACTCCCCCAACCCCTGCCTAGTTACAGGCTGCACAGGAACTGCATACTGGTACAGTCCTCCCTTGGTATCCATGGCAGACTTGTTCCAAGACCTCTGCAGAAAGCAATACCTATGGATGCTCAAGTCCCTGGTATAAAATGATGTAGTATTGGCATATAACCTACCACATCCTCTTGTATACTTTATTTATTTATTTTGAGACAGGATCTCACTCTGATGCCCAAGCTAGAGTATAGTGGAGTGATCTGGGGGTCACTGTAGCCTCAACCTCCTCGGCTCAGGGGATCCTTCTGCCTCAGCCTCCCTAGTAGCTAGGACTACAGGCACATGCCACCATGCCTGGCTGATTTTTAAAAATTTTTTGTAGAGATGACTATGTTGCCCAGGCTAGTCTTGAACTCAAGCAATCCTCCCATCTGGGCCTCTGAAAGTGCTGGAATTATGTGAGTTACCATGCCAGGCTATCCTCCTGTATACTTTAAATCTTCTCTAGGTTACTTACAGTACCTAATACAATGTTTGCTATGTAAACAGTTGTTATACTGTCTTGTTTTTTCTTTGTATTATTGTTATTGTTGTATTGTTATTTTTTTCAGTATATTTTTGATTCACAGTTGGTTGAATCTGGGCATGTGGAACCCACAGATGTTTGAGAGCTTATATGTCTGGAAAAGACTTTATTTTATTTGATAGCTTGGCTGGGTATAAAATTCTATAAAATTCATTTTTCTGCAGAATTACTTCTCGTTTCTAGCATTATTGAGAAGATTAATGGTCATTCTGATTTTTTATTAGAGTCTAACCAATTTTTCCCTCTCTAGAAGCTTTAGAATTTTTTCTTTGATTCCAATGTTCTTAAATTTCACAATGATATGTTTTGACTAATATGTTTTATTCATTTTGCTGGACACTTGATAGGAACTTTTATCTCACAATGACTTTCAGTTTGAAATTTTCTTAAATTATTTTTTGATGATTTCATTTACCCTGTTTTCTTTTTATCTCTTTCTATGACTCATAGTGTTTGGATATTGGACTTCCTGGCTTGATCCTTAAATTTCCTTACCCTTTCTCTCTTATTTTTTGTCATTTTGTTGTCTTTTGAAAGGTTTAATCAAATTTCACTTCCAACCTTCTTACTGGATTTTTAATTTATAACATAATGTTTTTAATTGCTAAGACTCTTTTGTTGTATGAATGTGCCATTTGAAAATAGCATCCTATTGCTTCATGTTTACAATATATTCTCTTAACTCTCTGATAGTTTTTGTCTTCTTATCTAATTTCTGTTTTCTCTAAGTTACTTTAATCTCTTTGTTTTTAGTCTCTGCCTTTCATGTTAGAGGCTTTCTTTAAAAGGTGATCATTGGCTGTTCATTTATATTTAAAATTGGGGCCCTAAAAAGCTGAATGAGACTCTGTATTGTGGGTGGGGCTTCAAGACCATTAGCTCACTTGTAGGATTATCAGGCTGAGCTGTTTGTTGGATAATCCTAATATCAGCATCTTTAGATCTTTTCTTTTGGCTTGTCAGATGTTTTCAGAGAAGAATCTTCTAAGATCCTGCACAGTTTTCTGGGAACCTAGTGATGGAAGAGGGCCATGAGCTGTGGCAGAGGGCTTCAACATTTAGTATGTAGTCCTCATGCTTTCAAAATGATTGCTGCCTTCAACTGTGCCATGTATCCCACACTTCAGAGACCTTCTGTTTTTGCTGTCTCTAAACCACAAATTTCTGCTGAGGGAAAGAGGGGTTAATTTTCTGATCACACAAAGTAAGCATTAGAATTTGGGCTGGGGAGCAGGGAGGATTTGTATTTGTGTCTGTCTGACTCCTAGACTTTTGTCTTCCCCTTTACTCCCAAATCATAAACCCCTGCTACTTCTAATTCTTGAGGCTTTGTGGTTCTATTTTAGAAAATGGGCTACTACTTAGCTTGCTCACTTAGGACATAGCTGTCCTAGACCTGCTAGGTCAGTTGTCTTTCCTCTTTCTGTTTTCTAACTCACAACATTTTACGGCTTTCATTTTCCCTCCAATTCTCCTTTCCTCCTTCGGTTTCCTTCCTGTATGTTAGTTAGTGGGGATCCATAAAAAGTACAGGAAAACATGTGTGTTTAATATCTGCTATCTTCAAGTTGTATTTGACATATATATATATATATTTTTTAAACTTGGAAGTCCAAGATCAATATATATATTTTACTGATAAAATGTTCCAATATGTAATTTGCTCTCTTAATGACTACTTTTTTTAAGTAAGGAAGTTAAGGAAGCTACAGCAGTAATTCTTGAGGCATATTAGAATATTTCTTACTGACAAAATACTTTTGAACCAATTATTACAGGGATATGGTTCAACTGAAATTGTAGTGACCTAATTTACAAAGATAAAACTGTCTATTTTAGAGATTGCAGTAAATTTCAAAAGTAAATGAGGGAATGTGAAAGGAATGAGGTAAATTGCGAATACCCATGGTAGAAGAACACTAGGAAATAAAGCCCTGGACCAGGTTGAACTGGGAATGATGCTTCATCAGTATAGTCAGAAGCAACATGCCTGGACATAGAATCCAAATTGTTTTTGAGTGGGGGGCCCAGAGACAAAATTGATTTTCCTATTCTAAGACTGAGCCACAATGTTAGGAAATTAGAAAGAGAAATTTAAAATAGCTCAGAATCAAGATTAAGAACAGCAAAAGAGGACTTGACAATTTCACTTTTATAAAATGCTATGAGCATGTTTGTGTTTATGGGAAAGATTTAAAGTTGAAAACATCCAGTATTGTTAAAATTATGAAGAAATAGGCAATTTAATTTACTGTTGGGGAGTATAGACTTATTAAGTAGTAATTGGTAATTATTTATTAAAATTATAAATGTGGATTTAGTTTGACTCAACATTTCAACTCCTACAAGTAATCCTATAGGAAAGACTGAAAAGTAATGTACAAGGATGTTCATTGCATCATTGCTTGTAATAACGAAAACTGAACACAACCAAAATGTTCATTATAGAGGATTATTTCAATTCATGGTGCTACAGACTCAAATATAACTAGTCTTTTGTGGTCCACTCTTATAAGGAGATTCATTCAAAAGAAACTAATTTAGTATCTCTCAAAGAACATTGAAAGAGACCTAATTCATAACCTATAACTCCATTTATAATTTATCCTTGTTTTACAGCCTTATTATTGAATACTTGGAACACCATATATCAGGCAAAAGACATAAAGTCAGTTAAAATATATGTATACAATGATATCTAAAATATGTTGTTCAACTTTACCAAAATGTTATAAAATAGAATATATGGTATAATTTCATTAATGTTTAAAAAATATAAAGGCTTCCAGTTTTGAGTAATGGCAGAGTAGTTTGTATCAGACTAAACCTTCCACTGATTATGAACTCATTCTTCTCTCTCTCCCTCTCTCTCTCTTGCACACACACACACACACACACACACACAAGAAGGACCAAAAATAGGCACAAACTGGAGGAGATATTATACATATTGAACTGGTTTTTCACCTGCAGACATCCACCACCTGCAGAAAAAGTAGACTTTTTCAACTAAAGAATTAGAGGCTTGAGTACAGGGCTGCCAGAGCAACTGGAAATTGAAGTGGGTTGTTGGGGGATCCCAGGAGGTTAGGAGTAATAGAACAGGGAGGTCCCAGAATTATGTACAAAATCTTCTCAAAACCTTGGCTGACTCTTTAACCACAAATGTACAGGGCAAGACTCCAAAGAGCATAGCAGAAAACATCAGCTGGAAGGCTGAGCAGGGATTTCAGCAGCTGCCTAGTACTGGAGAGATACAGTTTGAAGTTAAAATCTCACCAAATTAGTGGGGCTTGATAAACATGTCTTGAATTCCATCAGTATGCCAGAAGCATCATGCCCTAGATATAAGGATCATATCCCAAAACTCAGAGTTGTATCCTAGGAGTAAGAGCAAAAATAAAATATAACTAGCTTAACAAAGCCTAGAAACAAGCCTACACAGGATTAAGGTTATCCACAAGAAATTTACCTGCCTACTAGAACAAAACCAAATACTCATCTGATGAAAATGACAGAATTTAGAGTTTCTACATTGTCCAGCATACAATAAAAATTACCAGACATGCAAAGAAGCAGAAATATATGACAATAATAAAAAGAGAGAAACTCCAGAAAATAAAAGGATACCCACAAACAAAGCAGGTATTGGAATTAGCATATAAGGACTTTAAAATTACTATTGTAAATATGTTACAGAATTTACAGGAAACAATAGGTGTAATTTGTGGAGACATGAGGATTTCAGGAAAGAGATGAAAATGCTGAAAAAGAACCAAATGGAAATCAGAACTAAAAAAATGCAATCTCAGAACTGAAAAATACAATACCTGAAATGAAAAATACAATACCTGAAAAAATGATGGATGGGATCAACATCAGTTTGAAAACAACAGAAGGAAAGATCAGAGAACTTGAAGAAAAGCCAACAAAAATCACCAACTAAAGGAGAAGAATATTTGAAAAGAAATTAACAGAGCCTTCCTTACCAATAGGGAAATAATAAGCAATCTAACATCTGTGTTATTCAGGAGAAAAGAGAATTAATGAGGCAAAAAATATTTAAGGAGACTTGGCTGAAAATTTTCCAAATTTGGAGAATATTGTCAGTTTATGAATCTAAGAAGCCCAGTATACCTCAAACAGAAAAAGATAGAAATTCATATCTAGGCACATAATTGACAAATGGCTGAAAACCAAGGATAAAGAAAAAAAAATCTTTAAAACAGCCCAATAAAAGACACATTTAATACGTGGAAATAAATATAAGAGTCACTGAAAATGATTCATCAGAAATAAGGAATGATTTAGAGGTGGGAGCAGGACTTCCCAGGCCCTCTCCCAAGCAAAACAGAAATTTAACTGGTGAAAAGTATTTTTTAAAAAATCATTCCAAGTCTCTGGAAATTGTCCTAAAGACATACGACATAACAACACATGGAGAAGTATTTATTCAAGAAAATCTGCTAAATATTGGTAAGAACACTGACAGTCTGTGGCACTTGAACCATGACTTGCTCATTCCATGTCCTCACCTCTCCTCAGGTCTGTGTTATGGAAGCTCTACCCTGAGAATGTGCAACTAAGAAAATGAGGACGGGACCTTCCTCTCCCTTAAGTTCCCAGTCTGGGGCTACAGTTTTACCCTCAGAAGGGCAGGCTACTGACATTTTTTTGTCCATCCCAGCCCCGTGTTGCAGGAGCTCTATTCCTGGTAGACATGGCCAAGAGGAACAGGTCTTGCTTCCACCACCATGCACCGCCACCAGTAGGGTGGAAGCTCTGCCCCAACTGCAGCAGCCAAGAGTACTGGGGCTCCAAACACCTACACCCCAGCCAACTCATAGGGTGGAGGTTTCAGGCTGAGATGGGCAAGCCAAGAAGACCAGGGACTGCTACTCCTCCTCAAAGCCCGTTATAGAGTGGGGATGTCACCCCGGGAAAAGCAGGTCCTAACCCCAAACTCCTTTTGAGTGGCATGGGGGTTCTTCCCAGAGAGAAAGGCAGGCCATAGGATCAACCCCACATATCTGCCTCAGGGGGCTGATTATTTGGAAGAGAAAATGGAGAACACCATGTCTAAAGCTATTGTGAAATGGAGATGATAGTGGACAACAATTAAAAGGAGTCTGGTAACTGTGACATAAGCAAAATGGGAGCACAGAAGTTTTCAAACAGATGAAAAGACAAGACCCAACTACATGCCATATACAACAGATACACTATAAATGTAAAAGCAAACAAGTCAGAAATTCAGAATTTTTAATGGGATGTATCTGTATACCTCTCTTTGAGTATTCTTGCTTGGCACATAGTGGGCCCAGAATTATTGGGTTTTAAATTTTAACCTAACGACTTAATATTTATTTATTTACTTAGGCTAGTCAAATGATATAGTGGGTGTTTCTCTACTAATGACTCCCTGTCATCTTATCCATGCTCTCCTATAATTTTTAAAATAAATGTGAATCTTTGTTTATCTTGCCTCACATTAAATGGAAACATTTTTTTAAAAATTTTGTGGGTACATAGTAGGTATAGGTATATAGGTAGGTAATGGGGTATTCATCCCCTCAAGCCTTTATCTTTTGAGTTACAAACAATCTGATTATTCTTTAAGTTATTTAAAAATATACAATTAAGTTATTATTGACTATAGTCACCCTGTTTTGCTATCAAATAGTAGGTCTTATTCATTCTTTCTAACTGTTATTTTTGTGTCCATTAACTATCCTTCACCTCTCCCGCAGCTCCCCACGACCTTCCCAGCCTCTGGTTACCATCCTTCTACTCTCTATGTCCAGGAGTTTAATTGTTTTGATTTTTAGAACCCACAAATAAGTGAGAACATGCAATGTTTGTCTTCCTGTGTCTGGCTTATTTCACTTCATAATGATATCTGGTTCCATCCATGTTGCAAATGATTGGATTTGCATTACTTTTCATTGCTGAATAGTACTCCATTATGTATATGTACCACATTTTCTTTATCCATTCATCTGTTGATGGACACTTAAGTTGCTTAGAAATCTTAGCTATTGTAGACAGTGCTGCAACAAACATAGGAGTGCAGATATCTCTTTGATGTATGGATTTTCTTTCTTTTGGGTATATACCTAGCAGTGGGATTGATGGATCATATGGTAGCTCAATTTTTAGCTTTTGAGGAACCTCCAAACTATTCTCCATAGTGGTTGTACTAATTCACATCCCCACCAACAGTGTATGAGTGTTCCCTTTTCTCTACATACTGGCCAACATCTGTTATTGCTTGTCTTTTGGATATAAGCCATTTTAACTGGGATGAGATGATATCTCATTGTAGTTTAAATTTGTATTTCTCTGATGATCAATAATGTTGAGCACCTTTTCATATGCCTGTTTGCCATTTGTACGTTTTCTGTTGAGAAATGTCTATTCAAGTCTTTTGCCCATTTTTTGAATGAATTATTAGATTTTTCCTATAGAGTTGGAATCCTTATATATTCTTATTAATCCCTTGTCAGATGGGTAGTTTGCAAATATTTTCTCCCATTCTCTGGGTTGTCTCTTCACGTTGTTAGCTGTCTCATTTGCTGTGCAGAAGCTCTTTAACTTGATGTGGTATCATTTGTACCTGTTTACTTTGGTTGCCTTTGCTTGTGGGGTATTGCTCAATAAATTTTTGCCCAGGCCAATGTTCTGGAGATTTTCGCCAATGTTTTCTTGTAGTAGAAAACATAGTTCAAGGTCTTAGATTTAAGTCTTGAATCCATTTTTATTTGATTTTTGTATCTGGTGAGAGATAGGGGTCTAGTTTCACTCTTCTTCATATGGATATCCAGTTTTCCTAACACCATTTGTTGAAGAGACTATCTTTTCCCCAGTGTATATTCTTGGCACCTTTGTCAAAAAGTGTTTTCATCCTAGGTGTGTGTATTTGTTTCTGAGTTCTCTATTCTGTTCCATTGGTCTATGTGTCTGTTTTTGTGCTGGTACCATACTGTTTTGGTTACTATAGCTTTATAGTATAATTTGAAGTCAGATGATGTGATTCCTCCAGTTTTGTTCTTTTTGCTTAGGATATCTTTGACTATTCTGGCTCTGTTTGTAGTTCTATATAAATTTTAGGATTTTTTTTCTATTTCTGTGAAGAATATCATTGGTATTTTGATAGAGTTTGCATCGAATCTGTAGATTGCTTTGGGTAGTATGAATATTTTAACAATATTGATTTTTCCAATCTATGAACATAGAATATTTTTCTCTTTTTTTGGTGTCCTCTTCAATTTCTTTCATCAGTGTTTTATAGTTTTCATTATAAACATCTTTTGCTTCTTTGGCTAAGTTAATTTCTGGGTGTTTAATTTTATGTGTGGATACTGTAAATGGGATTACTTTTTTCATTTCTTCTTCAGATTGCTAACTGTTGGCATATAGAAACACTACTGTTTTTGTATGTTGATTTTGTATCCTGTAACTTTACTGAATTTGTTTATCAGTTCTAATAGTTTCTTTGTGGAGTCTTTAGGTTTTTCCAAATACAAGATCCTGTTATCTGCAAACAAGGATAATCTGACTTCTTCCTTTCCAGTTTGGATGACCTTTATATCTTCCTCTTGTCTTATTGCTGTAGCTAGGACTCCCAGTACTATGTTTAATAACAGTGGTGAAAGTGGGCACATCCTTGTCCTGTTCTAGAGCTTACAGGAAAGGCTTTAAGTTTTTCCACATTCAGTATTATACTATCTGTGGGTGTTTCATATCTGACTTTTATTATATTGAAGTATATTTCTTCTTTCCCCAGTTTTTTGAGGGTTTTTAATCATGAAGAGATGTTCAATTTTATTATATGCTTTTTCAGCATCAATTGAAATGATCATATAGTTTTTACCTTTCATTCTGTGGATATGATATATCACATTGATTAATTTGTATATGTTGAACCATCCTTGCATCCCAGGGATAAATCCCATTTGATCGTGATGAATGATCTTTCTAATGTATTGTTGAATTCGATTTGTTCGTGTTTTGTTGAGGATTTTTGCATAAATATCCATCAGAGATATTGGCCTGTAGTTTTTTGTTTTTCGTTGTGTGTGTGTTTGTGTGTGCGTGTGTGTCTGTGTGTGTGTCTTTGGTTTTGGTATCAAGGTAATACTGGCCTTGTAGAATGAGTTTGGAAGTAGTCCCTCCTCCTCTATTTTTCAGAATAGTTTGAGTAGGATTAGTATTAGTTCTTCTTTAAATGTTTGGTAGAATTCAGCAGTGAAGCCATTAGGTCCTGGGCTTTTCTTTACTGGGAGACTTGTTATTATGGATTCTATTTCATTACTTGTTATTGGTCTGTTAAAGTTTTGGGTTTCTTCCTGATTGAATTTTGGTAGGTTGTATTTTTCTAGGAATTTGTCCATTTCTTATAGATTTTCCAATTTATTGGCATTTGGTGCTTATAGTAGCCACTAATGGTCCTTTGAAATTCTGTTGTATCAGTTGTCATGTCTCCTTTTTCAATTCTGATTTTATTTGCATCTTTTCTCTTTTTTTCTTAGTCTGGCTAAAGTTTTGTCAATTTTGTTTAACTTTTTTAAACATCAACTTTTTGTTTCATTGATTTTTGTATTTTTTTATTTCAGTTTCATTTATTTCTGTTCTGATCTTTATTATTTCTTTTCTTCTACCAATTTTGGGTTTGGTTTGCTCTTGCTTTTCTAGTTCTTTAAGATGCGTTGTTAGATTGCTTATTTGAAGTTTTCCCTCTTTTTTGATGTAAGCACTTATAGCTGTAAGTTTCCCTCTTAGTACTAATTTTGCTGCATCCCATAGGTTTTGGTACCATTTCTTTCAAGAAATTTTTTTAACTTCCTTTTTAATTTCTTCATTGACCCACTGGTAATTCAGAAGCATATTGTTTAATTTCTATGTATTTGTAAAGTTTCCAAAATTCCTCTTGTTATTGATTTCTAGTTTTATTCCATTGTGATGAGAGAAGATGCTTGTCATTATTTCAATTTTTTTGAATGTTGTAAGACTTGTTTTGTGACCTAACATATGGCCTATCCTTCAGAATGATCAATGTGCTGAGGAAAAAAAACGTGTATTCTGTAGCCATTGGATGAAACGTTCTGTAAATATTTACTAGATCCATTTGATCTACAGTGCAGATTAAGTCTGATATTTCTTTGTTGATTTTCTGTCTGGAAGATCTGTCCAATGCTGAAAGTGGAGTGTTGAAGTCTCCAGCTGTTATTGTATTATGATCTATCTCTCCCTTCAGCTCTAATATTTGTTTTATATATCTGGATGCTTCAGTGTTGAGTCCATATATATTTAAAATTGTTATATCCTCTTGCTGAATTGACCCCTTTAACATTATTTAGTGACTTTCTTTGTTTCTTCTTATAATTTTGGGCTTGAAAGCTATTTTGTCTGATGGCACTATAGCAACTCCTGCTGATTTTTGTTTTTTTTCCATCCTTTTATTTTCAGTCTATGTGTGTCTTTAGAGGTGAAGTGTGTTTCTTGTAGGCAACATATTAATGGGTCTTGTTTTTTCATCCATTCATCCAGTCTGTGTCTTTTGATTGGGGAGTTTAGTCTATTTACATTCAATGTTATTATTGATAAATAAAGACTTACTTCTTCCACTTTGTTATTTGTTTTCTGGTTGTTTTGTGGTCTTCTCTTTCGTCTTTCTTTCCTTCCTGTCTTCCTTTAGTGAAGGTGATTTTCTCTGGAGGTAAGATTTGGTTTCTTGCTTTTTATTTTTTGTGTCTCCATTATATGTTTTTTTGGTTTGAGGTTACCACAAAGCTTGCAGATACTCTCTTATGTCCCATTATTTTAACCTGATACCAACACTGTTTGCATAAACAAACAAACAATCAAAGAGAACACTAATACAAGCTCTACACCTTAACTTTGTCCCCTTGCTTTTTAACTTTTTGTTGTTCTATTTATATCTTATTGTACTGATGATGTCTTGAAATGCTGTTGTCATTATTATTTTCTATTGGTTCATCATTTAGTCTTTCTACTCAGGATAAGAGTAGTTTACATATCACAATTACAGTGTTAAAATAGTCTGTGTTTTTCTGCGTACTTACCATTACCAGTGAGTTTTGTACTTTCAGGTGATTACTTAGTAATGTTCCTTCCTTTCTGATTGATGTATTCCCTTTAGCATTTCTTATAGGACAGGTCTGGTGTTGATGAAACCCCTCAGCTTTTATTTGTCTGGGAATGTCTTTATTTCTCTTTCATATTTGAAGGATATTTTTGCCAAATATACTATTCTAGGGTAAAAGTGTATTTTCTTCTTTCAGCACTTTAAATATGTCATGTCATTCTCTCCTGGTCTATTTCTCTTTTCATTTCCACTGTAAAGTCTTCTGCCAGGCATAGTGGAGCTCCATTGTATGTTATTTGTTTCTTTTCTCTTGCTGCTTTTAGGATCCATTCTTTATTCTTGACCTTTGTGAGTTTGATTATTAAATGGCCTGAGGTAGTCTTCTTTAGGTTAAATATGCTTGGTGTTCTATAACCTTCTTGTACTTGAATGTTGATACCTTTCTCTAGGTTTGGGAAGTTCTCTGATATTATTCATTTGAATACACTTTCTACCCCTATCTCTTTCTCTACCTCCTATTTAAGGCCAATAACTCTTAGATTTGTCCTTTTGAAGTTATGTTTTAGATCCTATAGGTGTGCTTCATTGTTATTCATTTTTCTTTTGTCTCTTCTGACTGTATTTTCAAATAGCCTGTCTTCAGCCTCACCAATTCTTTCTTCTGCTTGATCCATTCTGCTATTAAAGGACTCTGATGCATTCTTTAGTATACCAATTGCATTTTTCAGCTTCAGAATTTTTGCTTGATTCTTCTTAATTATTTCAATCTCATTGTTAAATTTATCTAATAGAATTCTGAATTCCTTCCCTGTGTTATCTTGAATTTCTTTGAGTATCCTCAACACAGCTATTTTGAATTTTCTGCCTGAAAGGTCACATATCTCCATTTTTCCAGGATTGGTCCCTGATGCCTTATTTATTTCATTTGGTGAGGTCATGTTTCCCTGGGTGGTGTTGATAGATGTTCTTTAGTGTCTGGCCATTGAAGAGTGAGGTATTTATTGTAGTCCTCACTGTCTGGGCTTATTTGTAGCTGTCCTTCTTGGGAAGGCTTTTCAGATATTTGAAAGAACCTGGGTGTTGTGATCTAAGCCATATCTGCTTCACTGGGCACCCCAAGCCCAGTAACACTGTGGTTCTTGTAGACTCATAGAAGTACTGCCTTGATGGCCATGGGACAAGATCTGGGAGAAGTATCTGGAGAACCAGGCAGAGACTCTTGTTCTCTTCCCGTACTTAACCAAACAAACAGTCTCTCCTTGTTCAGAGCCACCTAAAGCTGGGGTGTAGCGACACAAGAACCTCTGTGGCTACCACCACTATGACTGCTGTGGATCACACCTGAAGCCAGCACAGCACTGGATTTCACCAAAGGCCTGATGTAACCACTACTGCCTATGTAACCACTACGTGGCTATTGCCCATGTTCACTCAAAGCCCTAGGGCTCTTCGATCACTTGATGCCAAAACCAGCCAGGCCTGTGACCTTCCCTTCAGGGTGGCAAAGTCCCCCAGACACCAGGTGGGTCCAGAGGTGCTGTACAGGAGTCAGGGAATACAGTCAAAAACCTTAGAAGTCTATCTGGTATTCTGTTGTACTGCAGCTGAGCTGGCACTCAAACCACAAGGTGCAGATCAGTGCACAAGATGCAGTCCTTCCTCCTCTTCCTTTCCCCTTCCAAAGGCAGAGGAGGCTCACTCTGTAGCCACTGCCACTCCAGGCCATAAGGAGTACTGCCAGACTACCACCTATGTTTTCTTAAGGCTCAAGGGCTCTTAAGTCAGCTTATGGTGAATGCTGCCTGGCCTGGGATTCACTCTTTAGGGCCATGTGCTCCCCTCTGGCCCAGGACAGGTCCAGAAATGCCATCCAAGAGTCAAGTCCTGGAGTTGAGGGCTCCAAGAGCCTGCTTGGTGCTCTATCCCCCTGTGGCTGTGCTAGTACCTAAGTTGCAAGACAGAGTTCCCTTTGCTTTTCCCTCTGCTTTTCTCAAGCAGAAGGAGTTTTGTCCCACAGCCACCACAACTGGTAATGTCCTGAGTCTCACCTGAAGCCAGCCAGTCTCAGAGGCCCACCCAAGGCCCCCAACATATTACCCGAGTGTTGCTACTGGTTATTCAGGGCCCAAGGGCTCTTCAGTTAGTAGGTGATGAATGCTGCCAGGACTGGGTCCTTTCCTTCAAGTAAGGAAAGTACAGGAGTAAGTATGGGAAGAGAACAAGAGTCTCTGCCTGGTAATCCAGATAATTCTCCCAGATTTTGTCCAAGACCATTAAGGCAATACCTCTACGAGTCTGCAAGAACCACAGTGTTACTGGGGAGTGGGTCCCTCCTGGCCCAGGGTATGTCTAGAAATGTCATCTGGGAGCAAGGACCTGGAATGAAGGCCTCAGGACCCTGATTAGTGTCCTTTCCTGCTGTGGCTGAGCTGGTATCCAAGATGCAAGACACAGTACTCCTCACTCTTCCCTTTTCTCTCCTGAATCAGAAGGAAGGGGTATCTTTTGGAGCCATGAGCTGTGTAGCCTGGGGTAGGGTAGGGGTGATGTCAGCACTCCCTTGGCTGCCCCAACTGGTGTCTCAGTAGGTCACATGCCCCACCCCCAGTCCACTCTCTTTAGGCCTTGTTCAGCACTAGGATTCATTCAGTCTTCCAGTCCTTATGGCCTAGACTGCCTTTTAAGTTTATTTAGAAACACAGCGCTATAGCCCATGGTGGTGAGGTTTGTGGGAACTCAAGTTCTGACCACTGGGATTGGCGATTCCCTCTGGCTAGGGCTGGTTTAAATGCCTCCTCCATGGGTGGGCGTTAGCTGAGTTTGGTCCTGTTTCCCTTTCTGCTCTAACCTGACAGCACACTGGGGAAGGGTGGCATCGGCAATTCAAGACTGTTTTTTCTATCTCTTCAGTGGCTCTTTCATCGGTATGAAGATAAAACCAGGTACTATGAGGGCTCACCTGATTTTTGGTTCTGATGAAAGTGTTTTTTTTCTGCGTAGATCGTTGTTAAATTGGTGTCCTTGCTGGGGGGAAGATAGGTGGCACTTTCTATTCTGCCATCTTGCTCTGCCTCCAAATCTCCCACAATTTTTATTAAGCAGATTTTTTTCTTCTGAATCTTCTATATTCTTTATCTTTTTTCCTCATGATTTTTTTCTGTAGCTTTTTGCACTATGTTCAGGGAGAATACCTTGATTTGGTCTTCCAAATCACTGTTGTCTTTTCGATTGTATCTGTTCTGTACTTCATTTCTGGTATTGAGTTTCTATAATTTGTTAATCATATTTTTAGTTTTTAAAGATTTCTTTCTTTTTCTCTGATTGCTACTTTTTCTACAGCTCTTTTTTTATGGATCTAATAAGGATTTTATCTCAGGAAGCTTAATAAAATTACTTGAATGTTCTCTTTGGCTGCCTGCATTTGCTCTCTCCTCAGAATTTAATTCTCTACTCATTCAGCTTTCAGGCTATAAGGTTGGTTTTAAGGTCTGGTGATTCTCAGTTATTCCTTTTCGAATATAAATTGATCTGCATTGGTAACTGGTCTCCTTTCCTCACCAATTGTTTAGGTTCCCTTCCAACATCTCTTGCCACGTCTGCCCCCTAAATGTGGTGACTAACTGTAACACATGTGTTTTACTCCAAGGTTCATGGGCAGGTGGGGGAGGCCAGCAGGTTGCCCTCAAATAAACAAGTAGGGAAAGTTACCTTTTAGAGCACCTCAGGGCATTTCACACCTGTCCCAGGTTGTGTCTTTCCTTAATTAACAGTTCAATAATAACTGGAGCAATGCTCTACTTTTCTCTCTGGCCCTAGTTCTTATTCTAAGGGTCTCCCGCGACTGATCCTTTACTCAGAGAGCCTGGGAGCAAACACAATAACTAGCTGCTCTATGTGCCACTGGGAGAGGTGGGGCACTGGCCTGGCACTTCGACTATCTTGTCAAGCGTCCTACAATACACTTCTACCCTGTCCTGTTGACCTTGGGTTGATTTTTCTCTTGAGAAAATTAGCATATTCAGATTTGACAGTAATATCAAACACCTACTCTATGCCAGGAGCTATGCAAGGCAGAAATAATACAGTAATGAATACAACAGATGGTGACTTGTCCCAGTGAAGTTTACAGGCTGGAGAATTATTTATCCAGTAGGCCCCTCCTTCACTGTGGTGGACTGTGTGTTTCTCAGTGCTTTGGTATTCCTGTCAGCCTGCTACCATCCAGAAATTCTTCAGCTCCCCTCAACTGGCATTTTCTAGGTAATGTCTAGGACTTAGTCTTATCTTACGGATCACATTTCACTGGGATCTGGAAAGGAGAAAGCATGTTGGCTTAGTGCACCACCTTGAACCAACCCCTTTTTTTTTCTTCAAGTGGAAGAGGAAGAGCTAGTGGAGTTCAGATGTTCTTTATGAGTCTATAAACAAAAGAAGTCATTTCCACCCCCAAAGGAAGGCTTTGAATACAATTATTCCTACATTGGTTCTGGCTCTGTAACTGGAGTTTCTATGGAGATTGGCGGGAGAAATCAGAGTCCTAGTCATATTCTAACATCAAGGAGCAAGTCTAGGAATGGGACTGCGCAGCTCACCGTCTTGCTTTTTCATTTTGCTTCTTCTAACATTTTTCATGATCCCCTAATCCGTGTGACTTTTAAAAATATGGTTTGGAAGTGCCACTTTTGAAGCATGTGAATAGAAGAGCATCTCATCCCCTCACTCTCCCCGGTACATCCCAACCCCTACCATGCTTCGAAAGGACTGTCTCTACAAATTTTGCTTCACTCCCTGATGTCTGGAGATCAGTCAGATAGGTGGATTTCTTCAGGTCTTCTTTGGAACCCAAAAGATCTCTTTCTGCCTTTCGGTTGCTCCCAAGCTTTGGCAGAAAACTCTATTTTCAGAATCGGTACTTTTTCTAGTTGACCTTTGTTGATAAGTTCCTTCCTCACTCTGGTTTCAGTAGATTTGTTTTTGTTAGAACCAAACTGAGTGAAAGGCTTTCCTTCTCAGAAATAAGAACTAACACCTCACTAGGCAGCTTGTTTAGCCACCCTTAGGCAAACACCAAATTGAGCATTTAGCAATTCCTTTTTTGAAGCTGGAGGGAAGGGTCCAAGAAAGCCAACTCCCAGTTCCAAGAAAGTGCAGACACTATTTGTGTACTTTTCTTCAGATGGTTGTCATTTTTAACCAAGTAGCTACACTGTCAACCTCTGATATCTCTGTGACAACATCTATGTGACAAAGTCAATCAAACCACCCTTGGCCTACCTACCCCAAAGCAACAAAGATCTTATCTTCTGATGAGGATTAAGAAAGACTGAGTCCTCTCAGAAAGGAAGAAGTTAAAAAAGGTTCAGGCAGCACTTTGTTTGTTTGTTTGTTTGTTTGGCAGCAGCAGTATTTTGTGGCTGGTTTCTTTTACCACACAAAAAAAGACTGTGGCTAATAGATATGTCACAGCTTTTTAGAAACACGTCAATTTTTTTTGTGTTCTGCAGCTCTCAAAAAAAAAGTGTGGGGGGGGGGTGGGGATCAATCCTTTGCAGCTTCCAAGAAAATGGTTTTTCTTTTCTTCTTTTTGTTTGTCACACATCTAAATCCTAGAATCATTTAGAAAGAGGGAGGGATGAACGTTTTCAAAAGAATTGGCTCCCTCACTCCACATATGCAGTTACAAGCATGTGCAGAAGAGAAGGTACTGTTGGTATTACTGGGTCACAATTTGGACTTTTGATTTAAGTAAAGAAGACTTGTACTATATAGTCAACATTTATTATATAAAGTTGCCCCTGAGACTAATCTTCAGAAACTAGATAAATAGAACTGTGTGCTCTGATAAAGTGTCTCCCTTGGAGATTATCTCACGAGGATATGAAAACATTATACCCTACACCAAAGATGTGAGTGATTGAAATATATAGGCTGGGCGGGGTGGCTTACCACCTGTAATCCCAGCACTTTGGGAGGCCGAGGCAGGCGGATCACTAGAGGTCAGGAGTTTGAGACTAACCTGACCAGCCTGGTGAAACCCCATCTCTACTAAAAATACAAAAATTATCTGGGCTTGGTGGCATGTGCCTGTCCCAGCTACTTGGGAGGCTGAGGCAGGAGAATCGCTTGAACCCATGAGGCAGAGGTTGCAGTGAGCTGAAATCTCGCCACTGCACTGCAGCCTGGGTGACAGAGTAAGACTCTGTTTCAAAAAAAATTAAAAAAGGCCAGGCACGGTGGCTCATGCCTGTAATCCCAGCACTTTGGGAGGCCGAGGTGGGTGGATCACAAGGTCAGGAGTTCGAGACCAGCCTGGTCAACATGGTGAAACCCTGTCTCTACTAAAAATACAAAAAATTAGCTGGGCGTGGTGGCAGGCGCCTGTGATCCCAGCTACTCAGGAGGCCGAGGCAGGAGAATCGCTTGAACCCGGGAAACGGAGGTTGCAGTGAGCTGAGTCTGTGCCACTGTACTCCAGCCAGGGCGACAGAGCGAGACTCTGTCTCAAAAAAAAAAAAAAAAAAACGGAAAAGAAAAATATATACATATTATACACACATACACACACTATCCCCCCACCCCCGTGTGTGTGTGTCTTAAACACTCATACATAGCTAAATTTGTATATAAAAGATTTGTATGGAGGGCCTTGTTTTTGAGATACATCATGAATATAATGTCTATTTATACCTCTTTCTTCTTGGCTGGGTAACTCTCACTTTTCTTCTTAATCACCCTTAAAATAAATGTGGCCTCTTTCTGATTTAACGTTTTTGAACTTTTCAATACCTATACATAAATCAGTGGATCGACTTCTGAAGACAGCGTTGTCTTCAAGGGAAGGAGAGGAAATGCACACAAAGAGGGAAGCAGGTTTCCTGGAGCCTTTGGCTCAATGTTAGGTCCAGCTTGAGATTCCAGAGTTAGGAGCCACTAAAGATGGAACTGGCCTTTGTGGTTTCCTTTCCATTCTCTTCCTTTCCTTTCCATTTCCTTTCCATTCTGTGATTCTTAAGGGTACCCTCAGTCTTTGGAATTAACATCTGACTGTCTCAGGGGATTGCGTAATTGAGTAAAAACAGACCCAAAGTGGCAACACGAAGAGACTTGGAATTAATATATCTTTGGGGCCAAAATATTCAGCATAATTAAGCATAATTTGATTAATGTGGGATATAATTTAATTAGGCATATGGACAAAGGAGGGAGAAAATGTTCTCCACTGTGAAGACGAGATCACTCTATCATACATGCTGGAACTAAAATTAGAGGGCAGGTTTGAAGATAATACAAAAACCCATATTTAAGTCCAAGAGGTTTCTTAGACTTCTCTTTTATTTCCACATGTGGACTTATTCAGCAACCTGTAGTGTCTATAAAATTTAATGTAAACTGCTACATTTGGCTTTCTACCAAAAGAAATTCAAACCCTACACTTTTGACATTTAAAATATGAAGTATTACTATAAGCTAAATATAAAACTAAATCTCCTTCTTTCTTTTACTGAATAATTATTTACTGAGATAGTAATATGAGTCAGGTACCACATAAGACATTAAGAATTTAAAGACAAGTAAGAAATAGTCCATCTCAGACCTCAAGGACTGAGAAAGGCTGAGCATGTTGGGTCCTATAATTACTCCTGTAATCCCAGCACTTTAGAAGGCCAAGGTGGGAGGATCACTTGAGGCCAGGGGTTTGACATTAGCCTGGGCAATATAGCAAGATCCCATCTCTAAAACAAAAACAAAACAAAAAAAACACCACATTAGACTGGCATGGTGGCACATGCCTGTAGTCCTAGCTACTTGGAAGGCTGAGGCTGGAGGATCTGTTAAGCCCAGAAGTCCTAGGCTGCAGTGAGCTAGGATCCTACCACAGTACTTCAGCCTGGGTGACAGGGTGAGACCTTGTCTCTAAAACAATAAAATAAAATAAAAAGGAGCAAGGGAATGTCAAGCAATGATTCATATAAAGACAATGAAGGGTACGTTCTGAGAATGGAATCCCAGAGGCCTCTCCAGGAGGCTTCTCAGGATGTGGCAAGAGGGTGATCCAAGAGAAAGAGCAGCCAAGATGGAGGCTGCAGAGTCCCAGCCTCAGAAGTGACACACCAGCACTTCTGCCATAGTTTTTTGATCACACAGATCAACCCTGGTACGGGTGAGAGGGGACTAAAAAAGGGTATGAATACCAGGAGCAGAGGCTCACTGGGGACTGTCTGGGGAGGCTGGCTACCACAGTTCTCCAGAGACAGGCAGAGGACATAAGTCAAATAACAAAGTACTGCATTTTATTAATTGAGCCACCATCCAATAACCTCCATTACAAGTTTTAACTAAAAATGAATAGAAGCTGTAAGGCCTAAGCAGAATCTCCTACTTCTTCCTGAATCTAAACCTTGGGATCTTAGTACCTTCTAGAAGGATGCAGAGAGGAAAGATAACAAAATTGATAGAGACAGGAGACAGCCAGAGGTCCCTGGCGAAACCCTGCCTTCAAGCCTAAAACAGCCTGAAGGCTGAAAAACCGTACTGCTGGTCCCAGATGAAGCCTACTATTTCCCGACTGATTCTTTCTGAATAACGCCCACCTGCACACAGGGAGGACGGGGTGGGGCCTCGGGAAGTTCACGGAATTTGCAGCGAGGAGGAACCTGGCCTCTCCTGTTCCTGTGTGGTGAGCTGGGATTCAATCTGTGAGGTGGGAATCCTGCTAGCAGGATTTTCTCTCACTTTGCAGATAATTATTTTCCCTTTTTCCTTTTTGCCCAATAAATTCCTCTCCTCACCCTTCTATGTGCCCGTGAGCCTAATCTTTCCCAGTCGAGTGACAAGAACCTGGTTTTAGCTGAACTAAGGAGAAAATTCTGCAACAAAATGACAGAGAAAATAAAATGACTTATCTCCTTAGTCACTTGTATGAGGAGGTGGAGAATCAGAGAGGGGGCTGAGTGCACTTGTCCACCCGAATGCATAGAGTGGGAGAGAAGGAGAACCATTCCTAAGGAGGGCATCTCTGTCTACTAACTACAAGTTGCTATCTCTGGTCCCACACTCTGACCAATCAGATTAGCAACTCCTCTTCCCTTGGGTTGGGGGCAGGGGTGCTAGGAAGAGGTGGGAATGGCCTGGGAGAAGGACTGACAAGTCCTTTTTCCTGTACAGAAGGTATTGTCTTCCCTGTTTTTCGTATAAGGAAACTGAGATGTGGAAAGGTTAACTGAAGTTTGGTGAGGCCTGTTTCCAAGAAACCATGACTGAAAATCCCAACTTTTAAATTCAGCCATAGTGGTCACATCAGGTCAAAGACACCGTAATTGCTGCTGAACTTGTGGTGAACTCCAGATTTATCTTTTAGGCATTTCTTCTATGTCACAGGTATTTGGGCTATGCATTAAACCAAAGATCCACTTAAAGAAATACAAACACAGGAGGGAACTTGGAAACATTTTTTGCAATCTGTTCTTTGCAGAGATAAAGAAACTGACATCCCTAGGGAATGAAGCCTAGGTCCTCGTGCCCCCGCCACCCCCCAGTCTGGTGCTTTTTCCTCAGTGGCACTGTGGAGGGGTTGTTGAGTATGTGTTCCCTGTGAGGCTGATTGGAACCTTCCTCTTCCTCAACTGAGTGAGAGGCAGGTGAGTGTCATTGAAAGAACAGTTCTTGGAGCTGGAAGCCCCCAGTGAAGTCCCAGCTCCATTCTGCATAATAAGCTTGTGTGATCTGGGTATATTCTCCTCAGTTTCTTCTTTTGAAAAATGGGTATAATGAAATTTGCCACCCTCTCGAGATGGTTGTAAGGATGAAAGAAGATCCTAACTATGAAAGATCTCTGTAGGGGCCAGGCACAGTGGCTCACACCTGTAATCCCAGCACTTTGGGAGGCCGAGGCAGGTGGATCACTTGAGGTCAGGAGTTTGAGACCAGCCTGGCCAACATGGCAAAACCCTGTCTCTACTAAAAATACAAAAGTTAGCCAGGGATGATGGCACGCACCTGTAATCCCAGCTACTTGGGAGGCTGAGGTAGGAGAATCGCTTGAATCTAGGAGGCAGAGGTTGTAGTGAGCCGAGATCATGCCATTACACTCCAGCCTGGGTGACAGAGTGAGACTCTGCCTCACATAAAATAAAATAAGGATCTCTGTAGGATCCCAGGTGCTGGGCAAAGGTAAGGAATCAGTCTTTATATCTATAAGATATACAACTGCCAAGCTAAGATGGACATGCCTCTAGCTGCTGATGCTTTTTTTTTTTTTTTTTTTTGAGACAGAATCTTGCTCTGTCACCCAGGCTGGAGCGCAGTCACATAGTCTTGGCTCACTGCAACCTCCACCTCCTGGGCTCGATCCTCCCACCTCAGTCTCCCAAATAGCTAGGACTACAGGTGCATGCCACAAAACCTGGCTAATTTTTATATTTTTTGTAGAAATGGGGTTTTGCCATGTTGCCCAGGCTGGTCTCAAACTCTTGAGCTCAAGCGATCTGTCCGCCTTGGCCTGCTAAAGTGCTGGGATTACGGGTGTGAGCCACTGCGCCCAGCCTGCCTCTTGCTTCTTACATTTCACTGCCTTGAGAGTTTATCAACTCCCCACCCATAGGCATTTCACTTTCTCCTCCTCACATGATTTTGTTTCACCTGACGGTAGTCCAGCTGAATTCTGGAGATAGGCAGTTCAAGTAATGGGAGAGGTCAGTGACTCAGTCTTCTATGTGGGATTAAGTTTTCCCTTCCCCAGGACCACAAGAATGAGCAGAGTATGTGGATCTTACTTTGAAGGAACGAAAACAAACAATCCTATCATTTAATAGGAGCTTTAAAAGCTTTCGCAGCATGGGTGAGTGTGGCCATCGAGACTGTCTGGCAACTGCCCCTGCTAACAGTGGAGATTTATTATCATAGAAAATCATTTCAATCTGCGGAGGTTCCAAAGGGACCATTTTATGGTCATGGGCATAATTAATAGCAGAACTGTTTGGGAAGGACGCTAATATTTATTCACTGCCTACCACGCGCAAGACAGAGAGTGAGGTGGGAGGCTGGTGCCATTCTGATTCTGCAGAAGAGAAAGCTGAAGTTCAAGGAAGTTAGGTGGGTTGCCCACAGTTATAAGCCTATAAACAGTAGCGTGAAGACTTGAATCCAGATCTTTGCACTTCCTGTAGTGTAACACAGGGAGGGTTCAGTGCATTTTGAATCTGCTAGTTTGTCTCTTTTGAAAATGAGAGAAAATCTGTGGGGAAATATGAGAATTACAATAGCTTACCCAATCGTCCAAAGGTCACAAAGCCCCAGAATTTGGAAACCTTGGGGTAAAAGGGAGATCAAAACGATGATTAAAAATGAAAAATCAAAGTCTCAGCTTCTGCTGCCTCTTGACACCAGGCACAGATACACTTTTAATGACAGGCTTTTATCAGATATTGCCGTCGGCAGATCTCAATGCCAGGGCCGCTAACGAGTGGAGGGTAAGGAAGGTCACAACACAGAGGATACAAAATAAGGATTTGAAGCCATGTCCGTCTGGCAAGAAGAAATTAAGCGAAACTCAGGAAGTTCTTAAATATGTCGAAGGAGACTGTGTTTCACAACTTCTACAAACAAATTCCAAAATACGTAGACTTCTAGGAAGCAGAGAAGTTAGCAAATCGCCAAGGTGTTAATAGTCGGTTCTTGGTATTGTTAAAGCACAGTTTGATTTGCACATCTGACTGAAATACTTGCTTTAGCAAGCACACTCTTTCCTAGTAGTGCCTCTTAATGCTTCTACTAAAAGGCAACTCATCTTTTTGATGGCCTGAGCACTTTAGTCACAAAAATAAAATTTACTGAGCACATACTACGTGCCTGGCTGTGACTAAGGCACAGGGGATACAAATGAAAACAGAATTACACGTTAACGTTTATGGAGTTCATAGCTGGATGGGAAAAGCAGTCAAGTCAACAAGGAATTATGGCATGTAGACTTCATGTATAACATGAAGGCAGGACAAGGTGCCCAGGGAAATGCAGTAGATGGGTACCTAACTCAGTCTTGGAAAGTCAGCAAAAGCTTCCCGGTTAAAGTGCCACCTGAGCTGAGACCCAAAGGATGAGTGGGAGTTAATGGAGTGTATTCTCAGTGGAAAGAGAAACATGCACAAAGGAATAGGGATGAGAGAATGGGGTGTGTTTGGGGAACTGAAAGAGATTCAGTCTGGACAGACTGTTAAGGATAGAGATGGCAGGCCGGGCGCGGTGGCTTATGCCTGTAATCCCAGCACTTTGGGAGGCCGAGGCAGGCGGATCACGAGGTCAGGAGATCGAGACCATCATAGCTAACACGGTGAAACCCCGTCTCTACTAAAAATACAAAAAAATTAGCGGGCATGGTGGTGGGCGCTTGTAGTCTTAGCTACTCGGGAGGCTGAGGTGGGAGAATGGCATGAACCCGGGAGGCGGAGCTTGCAGTGAGCCGAGATCGTGCCACTGCACTCCAGCCTGGGTGACAGAGTGAGACTCCGTCTCAAAAAAAAAAAAAAAAGATAGAGATGGCAGATAGATGGGTGGGGGCTCACCTTCTATACCATGTGAAAGCATTAGGGCTTTATCCCAACTGACTGTTGCAAGGGTTTAAGCATGAGGATAAGATGATCATATGTGTGTTTTAGAAAGGTCATCATTCTGTGCATGTGTTTCAGAAAGATCTGTTTGGGGATTTGGAGCATGCAAGGCAGGGTGGTGGGGTGTGGGATGGGGAGGGCAAGACCAGTAGCAGGAGACCCAGCAGCTGGAGTTGCTGTCATCCAGGCCAGAGATGGGGGTAGTCTAGTCCAAGTTAATCCATTAGAGCTGGAGAGAAGTAGACAGATTCAAGAGCTCCTTAAGGGGTAGACTGAACCAACCACATCTTGAGATTGTTGTCAGATGTGTGGAATGAGGTAGGGAAGCAGTCAAGAATGGCTTCCAGGTTTCTGGGCTGTATGGCTGAGGATACCAGCTCCTGGACCACAGAACCCTGCAGAAGGAGCAGGTTTCAAAGAGGTGGTGAGGAGCTCCATTTTGGAAATGCTGCTGGAGGAGTGGTGGGGTACAGCCAAGGGGAGCTGTTCCATAAGAACCACCGTCAGAATCTCAGGAGAGAGATCCAGATGGGTTGTGGAATTGGGAGTCATCGGCACATGGATGGCAGTTGATGCCAAGGCTGACATCATGTGACAAGGCTAGCTCCAGCAGCCCTGTCTTCAAAGAGGGTCTGGAAGCTCTCACTTTTTCCTGGTTTGTGCTTGTCGGACCATATGCAAGTAATTAAAACAGGACATTCATTAACATGCCACTTTATGCCTTTTAGTCTCCCTATGTCTCCAGGGCTAGTGGGTGAGGTACATAGAGAGATGCCATGCACATTTTATATAGGACCAAGTTCATGCAATGCCAAGCAGTGACAGAGCCCAGCTCAGGTTCCTCCAGGTGCTCTTCTGACCACACTGTAATTCCTCTGAGGTCACCCTAAAGAAAACACTCAATTCATAGACAATCATGACAGGACTGAAATTCATGATGACAGATAAAAGGGGGCATCTTTTCTACCAGGCTCAGTGGCTTTTAGCCTCTGCCATCCTCACCCCCTCACCCTTGCCCTCCACTGCAGCACTTCTCACCTGGTGTTGGCCTGTCTACCCCCAGCGGGTCTCAGAGGAAGGGCCGTGGCTCCATGGCTCCCAAGTCTCTGGACACTTGGCCAAGCGAGGGTTGTAAGTCATAGCCCAATCAGGCCCCAGCTGCTCAAAGATGCAACTGGAGGTGATGCCGTAACATAAAGAGATAGCCCCGGAAGTGATGCAATAACATAGGGATGTGGTCAGTAAATTGGGAATGGGAGAAGAAGGAGCTTTTCCTGCTGACCCCGGAAATCATGGTGCCATGGAGAGAAGGTAAAGTGGAGATCACCAGGGCTTGGGGCTTTGTTTTGGTTTTGTCTCAGAGCAGTGAGATTATTTTTCTAAAAGACAACTTGAAGGGAACTCCAGTATGTAAAATGGTTTTTAAAAAAAGACCTGCCCTAACAAAAGTAGGAGCCCTGGGGCCTGAGCCAGCTTCCTCTTCCTCACCCCATACATACTCAGCCCGGGCCTCCGAGCCTTCTTGCAACACTTTTGAAAACCGATAGTTTAGTCCATACCTTCCAGGATGGTGGGAAGTACATAAATTTGAAAGCATGGAATTATAGTCAAATTCCCCTGGGTTTAACTCTAGCCAGGCTGTTTATTAGCTGTGTGTATTTTGGATAGGTTATTTAAGTTTTCTGAGCCTCAGATTTATCATCTGTAGAATGGGGAGGGAGTACAGAATTGCTGTGAAGGTTTAAAGAGAAAAAATAACTAAAATATTGAGCACTGTGCTCAGCATTGAGTATATTCTCAGTACATGGGAATTATTGTTATCAATTGCTGAACATTTAGATATTTCTAGACAAGCTGGAAATCTGGATTTTAATAGATGGGCTAGAAATTGGGATTTTTATAAGAATCTCCCAATTTTTAAATGTTGGCAAGTAATTTTAAAAAATGAAAAACATTGTTTGAGCTCAATAAGACACGCTCCCGCAGTCAGTTTGGGACCTCTGTCCGTGCAGGAAGGAGGTTAGATCTGGAGGGGAAGGGCAGGAGCCCAGAGCTTGGGTCCCTGGGCAGGACTTGTGGGTTTCAGTCATGGGTGGAGACTGGCCCTGCCATCCTGCTGTAAATGCAACCAATTCTCAACCAGAAAATTTTTCAATCTACCTATAGCCTGCTTCCAGTTGTCCCACCTTACTGAACCAAACCAATGTTTTCTTTTGTTGTTGTTGCTTGTTTTTTCTTTCTTTCTTTTTTTTTTTTTGAGACAGAGTCTCCCTCTGTCACCCAGGCTAGAGTGCAGTGGCACTATTTGGCTCACTGCAGCCTCCACCTCCTGTGATTCTCATGCTTCAGCCTCCCAAGTAATTGGGACTACAGGCACGTGCCACACCTGACTAATTTTTTGGTATTCTTAGTAGAGATGGGGTTTTGCCCTGTTAGCCAGGCTGGTCTCAAACTCCTGGCCTCAAGTGATCCATCTGCCTCAGCCTCCCAAAGTGCTGGGATTACAGGCATGAGCCACCACGCCTAGCCCAATGTATTTCTTAAATGTATTTGATTGAAGTCTCATGTCTCTGTAAAATGTATAAAACCAAGCTGCAGCCTGACCACCTTGGGCACATGTTCTCAGGATCTCCTGAGGGCTGTGTCACAGGCCTCTCTCATATTTGGCTCAGAATAAATCTTTTCAATGGCGTGTGTGGTGGCTCACGCCTGGAATCCCAGCACTTTGGGAGGCCGAGACAGGCAGATTGCTTGAGGCCAGGAGTTCGAGACCAGCCTGGCCAACGTGGCAACCCCATCTCTACTAAAAACACAAAAATTAGCCGGGCATGGTGGCACATACCTGTAATCCCAGCTACTTGAGAGGCTGAAGCACAAGAATCACTTGAACCCTGGAGGCAGAGGTTGCAGTGAGCCGAGATTGTGTCACTGCACTCCAGCCTGGGTGACAGAGCGACACTCCGTGTCAAAAAAAGGGAATAAATCTCTTCAAATATTTTACAGAGTTTGATTCTTTTTGTTTACTCTGGGATGGGGACTGGGGTATGCAGGGAGGTGTGCATGTACACACTTATGTGTGTGTGTGATGGAAGGGGTTAACACCCAGCTGTTTGCAGACCACACTAGGTGCTATGCACGTATTACTTCATGGTCAATCTATTATTATCCCCATTTTAAGACTGAGAAAACTGAGGCTCAGAGAGGTTGGAGAACAGGCTGAGGTTCAGTAAGCTGTCATAGCTGAGCTGAGACTTGAATGCCGGTCAGATTTCAGAATCTGGGCTCCTCGCACTTCTCACCACACTGCCTGTCCCTTACTCCCCCCGACCTCCTTGTCCTCTCTCCTGCCACTTCTTCCCTTCCCTTTCCAAGAATATCCTGTTTTACCCACTACTGTAATTACCAGTATTATGGTTATACTTTCTGTTATCCATTTCAAGGATGTCATAGATTATGGTTTATCAAATGCTCCCATGAACAAGATCTCATTTGGTCCCAACAAACCCTGTGAGATAGACAGGTGAGTATTAAGCCCACTTTGCAAAGGAGAACAGAGCTCAGAGAGGTGGGAGATATACGTTGTGCACAAAGACCCCTGCTCTTCTGTCTCCAAATCCAGGGCTTCTTTGCTCACGCTGCTTTACCGAGCTCCTTCAAGGAGGCCCTGCAAAGCCAAAGTCAAGTGTGTGCTGATCGGCAGGTACACCCAATGTCTGTGAAACTGGATCTTGATTTTAAATTTCAATATTTTGATATTTTGTTCATCCTGGATTTTTGACACCAATTTTCACTTAAAAATATTGCATTAAAATATTATTTGATTATTGCGTTTATTTGGTGCCCCTAAATTTTGCACCACAGGCAGTGCCCCCACTGATCTCACCCCGATCCCAGCCCTGCGCCTGTCTGTACCAGTGTAAGGATTACGTTGTGATTGCAACTGTGACGTAAGCATGTGAGAGCGTTTTACCACAGTGCCGAGTCTGCCTGCCTTTTCTGACCCTTCTTTGTTCCTTTGTTTGGTTCGGAGTGTCACTCCCCTAATCTCCCTTCAAGGAACCCTGTCTGACTGGAATGATCTAGTAGGAGTGGGTGGGCACGTTGGGTGCCAGGACAGTGATGCCTGGCCTTGGAAGGGGGGCCCTTGCTGTTAGCTGGTGGGCGCTCTCAGTGCTTTGGGCAAGTGAACATAATGAAGCCTTGTTTCTGGAAGGGATCATTCGGGAATAAACTTTCATGGATACCTTCTTGCTCACCCCATCTGCTCTCCCGTGCTCCCCCTCCAGCCCTGTTGGCCACTAGGGAAATAGAAGGAACAGCTTGATCAAGGTTTTTCCTAGAAAAGCCTTTCCATGGGCCCATTATGGAAAACGAAGCTGTTTTTGTTTTCCTTGATTAATCACAGTGTCTTGTTTCCCAAAGCAAATGTGGCCTTGGCTCTTCCGAAAGAACACAGGCTGTGCTGTAAAGAAGGGCTGCAGCCGCCTGGTGCTTGACAAGGTCCCCAAGACGGGAAGGGACACATGTAGCCCTGTCCTCCAGGACTCGGCTCTTCCTTTTTTACCTTCCAGGGAGCTCAGGTTACCAGTTTCCTTTGTGTTTTTCTGCCAGTGTGAACAGGAGAAATATTAGCCTTTAGAGATTTCTTTACAGTTCCTTGAAAGCTGGAGGGGTGAAATCAGCCAGAGAATTATATAACAGCAAAGCTCATTTAAAGCAACAGTGTCTTTCTATAGGGCTGTGGTGGTTCCTTACCAGTTTTTGTTACTAACTATAAAGAAAAGGATGCTAATTTTGTGAATAAAATAGAGGGGCATTCCCTTCCCTCATTACTTTCTGTTTGTTCATTGGACGGACACAATTCCTAGGGTGTTGATTTAAAAAAAAAAAATTGAAGCCTCTTTCAAGGAAGACTAGGGGAAATCATGTACATTAACCTCAGGCAGACACGGCATACTTATTCTTGTTAGAAGTCAGAAGAAAAAAAATAAAGAGAAAAGCTTTCTAAAGCATTTGTTTGTTTTAATTTAAGAGTCACGGGGAATTTTATAAATACTCGGCTAAATTCTTCAAAGGGAGCCATGTTCTTTAAATTTAAGCACTAGGCTGGGCGCAGTGGCTCATGCCTGTAATCCCAACACTTTGGGAGGCTGAGATGGGCCGATCACCTGAGGTCAGGAGTTCAGGACCAGCCTGGCCAACATGATGAAATCCTGTCTCTACTAACAATACAAAAATTAGCCAGGCGCGGTAGCATGTGCCTGTAATCCGAGCTACTCTGGAGGCTGAGGCAGGAGAATCACCTGAACCTGGGAGGCAGAGGTAGCAGTGAACCACACCACTGCACTCCAGCCTGGGCGACAGAGCAAGACTCCATCTCAAAAAAGAAAAAAAAAAAAATAAGCACTAGATCATCTATTCCTACGTTGTTTGACCTAGAGCTTAAATACATCTCAAAGTGCACCACACACATTAGCTCAGCTGATCGCCATACTCCCTTGATTTGACCTTCTCTTTCTTCTCATTTTAGAGATGAGGAAACTGAGGCCAAAGGATTCTGTTACTTGCCTGGCTTCACAGCTCACCTGGAGATTCTGAACTGGCATCTTCCTCTCTCTGCCATCACCCCAGACCCTACCCTCTTTCCTCTACACCAGTGGTTCTCAATCAAGGGCGATTTTGCCTTCCAGGGGACATTTGACAATGTCTGGAGGCGTTTTTGGTTGTCACAATTCTGTGTATGTGTGTGGGTGGGCGGGGGGCAGGGGATTATGTTGGCATCTAGTGAGTAGATAACAGAGATGCTGCTAAACCTACAATGCTCAGATGGCCCCTAACAAAGAAGTATGTTGTCCAAAATGTCAATGGTGCAGAGGGTGAGAAGCCCTGGTCTATACAGAGCTCAGCAGTCCAGAGCAATTGCAACCTCTGGGAGTTGCCAAGAGCTCCTCTGCCCAGCAACAGGCTTGGCCTCTCTCCTGTGGCTGCCACAAGAGTTAAAGCCACTGTCTGGAATGCCCTTTGGCAGTGGCCAAGTGTCCCCTGCAGAACTGACTGCGGGACATGCGGTGCATCAGCCGGAGCTGATGTGTTTTGTAATTTATAGTCACAGGGCGCCTGTCTTCATTTAGCAGTAGGCCTGCTGGCAGCTTCCCTGCCAGGGAGGAAGCAAGTTCCACAGAGGCCCACAGCCCCCGCCAGCTGCCGGCCCGTGGTATTTGGGGACGGCTGTTGCTCAGAGACACCTGGGAATAGGCCGGGGCCGAGATGGCGCTGAGCACTCGGTCTCCCCTTCAGACCCATCCATCAGCAGCGGTCCCTGCCAGAAGATGGCCTATTGAACATTTCCAGAAATAGCACAGCCAAGCCCGTCAACTGCTTTCTTGGAAATACATTCAATAAGGATGGCGGTCCTCCAGCAGGGAGAGCAGAAAGCCTGGCCTGGATCAGTCTGCTGAGAAACAGCAATGCCTGGCTACAGGCCATGTCGGTGCCTTGGGAAAGGGGAGCGGTTCTCATGGGACTTCCCAAGCCCTGCAGCCTCTGAAGTCACTTCAAAATGTTCTCAGTATGGAGGGAGAGAGTCACACCTTGCAGAAGGCCTTAGGCCCTGCCGACTTCTTCTAACTCAGTGACCTGCACATCTTGCTGTGTTCGTTCAGACACCCCGCAGACAGGAAGGCGATTCAGGCTTGGAGGCAAGGTATTAACTGTCAGCAGAGAGAGACCTCTGCATCATCTGGGGAACGTTTATTGCAGTCCCTCCTCTTGTGAGCTTCACTCCCAAGTAGAACCAAAGGAGCATCAGCAGGGGGAGTATTTTCTTCCCCAATCCTTCGGTCATTCCTGAGGTACAGGAAATACAAGGCAAAGATGTCATATTGAAAGAAAAGCTTATAATTTCTACTCCTCCCCTCCCCACTTCCCACAGAATTAACTTTCCCTTAACTTCCCTAACAGGGGCCTGACATTGCGGTTTGAATTCAGCCACCCTGGGAATCTGCACCCTGAGCTTTCTCCAATTTCTGGGATGGCACAGTGATGGCAGGGCTTAAGAGTGCCTCAAGAAGGCCAGCTGCCTTTAAAAACAAGCTCCTGGAAGATGTAGGTGTCACATAAAAGCAAGAGACCAAAAACTCTCTGCAATTTGGGGTGTTCAGGAAATGTTGATTGATCACATTTTTTAAATTATAAGAGACTGCTGGACATGGTGGCTCACTCCTGTAATCCCAGCACTTCAGGAGGCCCAAGTGAGAGGATTGCTTGAGCCCAAAAGTTCAAGACCAGCCTGGGCAACATGGCAAAACCTCACCTCTACAAAAAATCTAAAAATTAGCCAGGTGTGGTGGTGCACACCTATAATCCCAGCTACTTGGGAGGCTGTGTGGGAGGATTCCTTGAGCCCAGGAGACTGAGGCTGCAGTGAGCCATGATAGTGCCACTGCACTCCAGCCTGGGTTTACAGCAAGACCCTGTCTCAAAAAAAAAGTGTAAGACAGTTACCAGGTTCATCATAAAAAATTCGTGGGACCTGGTTTTATTTGCAAGAGCCACTGACTCTCAGGACAAACAAGATTTGAAGCCCACACTGAGCTATAGGTGGAGGCAGGGCTGTGAGAATACAATACAGGATGCCCAGTTAAATTTAAATTTCAGGTAAGCAATAATATTTTTTGTATAATTGTATTCCAAATATTATTATTATTTATCTGAAATTCAGATTTAATGGGCATCAGGTGTTTTGTTCAATCTGTTCACTCCATTTGGGGTATAAATTGATCTAGTTTTTAAACTGATAACAGGGAACACTGACACATATTCAATACATATGAAAGACGATACCAGTTAAGAGAAGAAGAAGGAGATTAGCAATGAAGAGGGAAAGCGAGAGAAATACCAGGAAGAAAAGGAGATGGGCATAGCGAAGGAGAAAAAGTTCCAAATGAAAGAGAAACAGGAAGTGCTGAGGAGAGAGAAGAAAACAGGAATGTTTCTGAAGGACCAAAAATGTTTGATAAATTATGACTGTTACACAGAGAGCCATCTCCCTGGGAAATGCTGTTGAGTTGGCTAACCACTGTTCCTGGATCTGCAGCTCTTTGTTCTGTCTGGTAAAACACACAGTGACCACTAGGGAGAAATGACTCTCTAAGCCACAGTACCATTATCTGGGTCACTATTACCCCAGGCTCAGGTTGTTAAATAAAATTTATAGGAGGCCATTGCTTTGGACAGAGTCCTTCCACTGGGCTCCAACAGACCAAAGCAAACCAGAATAGTGTCACTTGTGCTACCTGACATGTGCTCAAACTGAACTTTAAAACGGGCCAGTTTTCCAAAAATCAGGAGATTTACAGCAACCAACTGAAAGTGAAGTGGTGTCATTCATCTGGGGTGATACCTGAGGTTCACTGCCTCATGCCAAAGAAATCGAGGATGCAGACACACACAGAGTGAGTTTAACAGGCGAAAGAAAGAGAATAGGTCTCTCTCCTGCAGAGAGGGGGATTCTCGAGTAGGTCTTCCGGTTCCATGGTGAAATGCACAGGGTTTTATAGATGATCTTGAGGAGGCAGTGTCTGATTTACATAGGGCCCAAAGGTTGGTTGGACCAGGTGTGTCATTTACATAACGTGCGAAGAAGATGGCTACCCCACCCTAATCTTTTATTATGCAGATATGTGCCATATTGCCTGTTTCTTTACTGTACACGTGGTGACAAAGAAAAGGGAAGATGGAGCCTCCATGCTGAACATGCCTGGTCCCCAGGTAGCCTTTTCCTATTGGCATAGCTGCCAGCATTCATCCATGCAAGCTTCCAGTTTGCTTATCTATGTTTGCAGCTCAACTTTTCAGGCCACTCTTTGTTAGAAAAGAAATGATTCGGGGGCTGCTTTTTATTAAAAGGGTAACCTTGCTGAGGACTCTCTTACCCTCACTAACTGCCTAATTTCTTTCTAGCTCCTGTATCAAAAGGGTCCCCATCCACCTGCACAGGCATGAGAGGGAAGTCCCCTGTGTATAAACCCTTTAAGGAAAGTAACTTTGAAATGACCAAGCCACTTCATGTTTCTTGATCTTGCTATCCCCAGGCTTTTCTGCCCATCCATCTGCTTGGTTCTTCAAAGCACCTTTTCTATTTTATAGATAAGATGCTGCCTGATTCACAAATCGATAATAAAAGCCAACTGGACCTTTAAATTCAATGTGTGAAAATTTTGTTCTTTGACAGGGTGAAGCCACATCTAAGGCTGTGTCCAACTCCAGGACCTAAGGGCCCTCCCTACTCCTCCCACCTCCACCCCCCCCCGCCTTCCCCCACAGGTTGCTGTCATTCATGGATTGAGGATTTTCGAAAAATTGGGATCTAAACAACAAAATGGATTTGGCTGCCACAATTCTTTGAAATTGTTTTGTTGTGGATGATTCAGAAAACCCTTCAACAGCTTCTTTCACCTCAGGGTCAATGTGTTTGAGGAGGAGAGTCATCGTAGGCCTGTGTGCAGACAATCGAGGTTCCTTGAATTATAAACACCCTTATTCCCATCCCCACAGATGGGAGGTCAGGTTGGCTTAACCCAAAGGGAGAAGACTATGTAGGCTGGGGGTAGGTGTGGTAAGAGAGGAGGCCTCCCAAGGAGGGGCCTGTAGTAGTTGGACCTGCCATCACCATGGACGCTACGGAATTGAAAAGAGGAGACAAGCAGGGACCCTCCTCTTAGGGGCCTGTAGGGGATGGACTGGTGGGAGAGGGTCAAGCATGGAAATAAAGGAAAGCCTTGAGTCCCTTTAAGGGAAATTCCAGGCACCTAGCTAGCCCTGAGGAGCTTAGCCCCATGCTAAGACCCTAGTCCAGATAACAACTGGATAAGCAAGAAGGTAATAGTAGCCTAAAACAGGCTGGGCGCGGTGGCTCACGCCTGTAATCCCTGCACTTTGGGAGGCTGAGGTGGGTGGATCACTTGAGGTCAGGAGACCAGCCTGGCCAATAGGGTGAAACCTTGTCTCTACTAAAAGCACAAAAATTAGCCAGGCGTGGCGGCGCATGCCTGTAATCCCAGCTACTTGGGAGGCTGAGGCAGGAGAATTGCTTGAGCCTGGGAGGCGGAGGTTGCAGTGAGCTGAGATGGCGCCACTGCACTCCAGCCTGGGCGACAGAGCAAGACTCTGGCTTAAAAAAAAAAGTAGCCTAAAACAATAGCCAAGGAAGCCAGAGTCACAGGATGTTTGGTTCCCTATAGAAACTAAAGATAGCATCTTAACGTGAGTCTCTGAGTTGTTTTTCAGAAACCTGGACTCTCACCAAACCCATCCCCCCTACATATAGATCTCAGATAAGGAGGAACTAGGAACTGAACTCTGATCACTGTACTTTGTTCTAAATTTCTTCCTGAAGGGCCTAGAGAAAGTCACACCCAAAGAGGTAGAGCTAACCTTTATTTCTGCTGGCCCCAGATTTTTAAACAAAGCTTCTCTTTCTTAACCAGTTGCAAATCAGAAAAGCTTTGAATCTACTTATGACCTGTAAGCCTTCTGCTTCAAGATATCCTGCCCTTTTAGGCCCAAACCAGTATGTAACCTGGGTATTGGTTTATGATTTTGCCTGTAACTTCTGCTTTCCTGAAATTTACCGCTGCCTTTAAAAACTCTTACCTGCAAGCCATCAGGGAGGTGGGGACTTAAGCATTAGTTGCCTGGTTCTCCTTGCATGGTGCCCTGCAAATAAACACCTTCCTTTCTCCCACTGCAAACCCTGATGTAGATATCTGATCTTACCGCACTGGGGAAGTGGACCCCAGTTAGATTCTATAATATAATAAAGGGGCTGCCTTTGGCTACCTGGGCTGGGGAGTAGGTCTCCCCATAAACTCCAGTGAGGAGCAGAAGAGACACACTAAATGTCTCACCATGCTAAGACGTCATTCCAGATACCTGGAGATATCTAGGCTGTCCATTTGGAACATCATCATTGCAACAATAACCTTTATGGAGCATCTACTCTGGGCCATTGCATGATCTGAATTGATCCTCAACAACTGAGTCAGGAAAAATTCAGTGTGGTCAAAGGAGAACAGAAAATTCCAGGCAGTATTTTCACATGCCTTGCAAAAAGGAAACTCTTGAAATAACTATAGAAGCTGGGGGCTGATAAGACCCTGGAAAACCAGGGTGTGGGCCAAGCTGGCTAAGACCAACTGGACCCAACATGGTGCTGCATTTGACCTAGGTTTCTCCCAAGACCTCATTATACCCTCACCCACCAGTACCATGATGTTTCCAGGAACACCCATATTTGGTGTAAAAATGGGTGGCACTACAGTTCCAAGAAATCCTCACCTTTTTCCAGGAATCTTTATGAATATTCCACCCCTTGGTTAAAGAAATCAATAATGATAGGAACCCCAAGCTCCATGTGACTCTGTCTTTTGAGTACGCCAGCACTCCCTTGTCTTGAGTGTGTATTTTTACTTTGCAATCAAGCTCTCTGTCTAGCCGGGCGCAGTGGCATATGCCTGTAATCCAAGCACTTTGGGAGGCTGAGGCAGGAGGATCGCTTGAGTCCAGGAGTTTGTGACCAACCTGGCAACATGGAGAAACCCCATCTACACACACACACACACACACACACACACACACACACAATTCAAAAACTAGCTGGGCGTGGTGGTGAACACCTGTAGTCCCAGCTACACAGTGGGTTGAGGTGGGAGGATCACTTGAGCCTGGGAGGTCGAGGCTGAGATCATGCCACTGCACTCCAGCCTGGGCGACAGAGTGAGACCCTGTCTCAAAAATAAAAATAAACAAATCTCCATACTTTCACTGTTGTTCAGCTCCTCCTTGAATTCCTTCTCATGAAAGTGTCAAGGGCCTGGACACTAGCTAGGGTCGAGGTCCCACCATTGTTTGGGGACCTCTCCCAGCCCACCAGTGTCACAGCGATCTCATGTTGTAGGTATAATATTATTTATATTACTACAGCAATGCCCTAAGTCAAGAGATGGAGAAATTAGGACTGCAAAAAGTTAAGTTGTTGTCTAAAAGTCAATTGATTAGTGAGTGTTGGGGCAGAGATTTGTCTCAGGGATGCCTCTCTCCCAGCCCAGGGATCATCCCTAACCCTCCAGTCAGACTGCCGGGTTCAAATCTCAGCTCCATCACTCACAAGCTGTGTGGCCTTGGGTAAGTTACTGAATCTCTCTGCATCTGTTTCACTGTGTGAAAAGTGGTAATAAAAATAGGACCTAGCTCATGGAGATGCTGCAAGGATTTAATGAAGGCTGGGTGCAGTGGCTCATGCCTGTAATCCCAGCACTTTGGGAAGCCAAGGTGGGAGGATCACTTGTGCCCAGGAGTTTGAGACCAGTATGGGCAACATAGTGAGACCCCCCACCTCCACACACACACACACAAAATTAGCCAGGCATGGTGGTGCCACCTGTAGTCCAGCTACTTGGGAGGCTGAGGCAGGAGGATTGCTTGAGCTTGGGAGGTCAGGGCTGCAGTGAGCTGTGATTGTACCACTGCACTCCAGCCTGGGTGACAGAGAAGGACTCTGTCTCCAAAAGAAAAAAAAAATAGATTTAATGAGTGAGAACTCTGACTTTTTTTTTCTCTTGCCCAAATTCCTATCTAAGGGGCCTGGAGAGTCACACCTTAGAAACCATAAAATCTCATTAGACAGGCTTTATTAGCCATTTTTTAAAATTTTTTAACTTTTTTTTATTGTGATGGGGTCTCACTATATTGCCCAGGCTGGTCTCAAACTCCTGGGCTCAAGTGACCTCCTGACTTGGCCACCCAAAGTGTTGGGATTACAGGTGTGAGCCCCCACACCTGGCTGAGTTTTATTAATCTTATATAATATGGCTTACTTTACAACCTGACTCAGATATAGCATCACATGACAGATAGCATACCCTGAAGGAAACCAAAATATTTTACCCCAAAATATATTTCTTTAACATATTTTGAAATGGCTGCCACAGGGCCAACAGATTGAAATGACTTTGCAAAGCCATCTTTTGTGGGGAAATTTTGCATCTGTAGAGAATCTCCATAAATGTAGCCAGGACTTTCCCCTTCTAGGTCTTTCCCTGATTAACTGAGAGTCTGACACCTTTAAAGTCTGAGAAGAGACATTCACCATCTATTCTCTCTGAGGGCTGCCACCTATAACGTTCATCTACATCAGAACCTTGGCCTCCACAACCTCCTTATCTTAATTCAGGCTTTCCTTTCTACTGATTTCAAGGATTTAAATCAAGCTTTGTGATGTCACACTTTTTGGGCCAATCCAACGTATACTTTCCACGTATTGATTTATGATTTTAACTGCAATTCCTGTCTCCCTGAAATGTCTAAAACCAAACTGTAACCTGACTAGTTTAGGCTTCCTTTCTCAGTTCCTCTTGAGATTGTGCAACCTGGGATGAAGGTACTCACATCGGCTTGGAATAAACTTCTTTAAATATATTTTGGCAGAATTTGGTTTTGCCATTAACATAAGTTTATAAGTGTAAAGTACTTAGGACATGTCTGTCACATACAGAACACTAAGTATTAGTGCTATTATTATTCCTATCATTGTTAGTGTTCAGTTATTTCCAAGAAATGATACGAGCCTGATGGGCCATCAACATTGTCCTTGGGAGGGTGCAGCAGAAGGGGCTGGTTCTGCCTCTGCTCTGTTCATGTTAGTGGTGGTGAATCTGTACGGTCTGTAGCAACCTCAATTCTTGCCCCTTCAGAAGAAAGAATTTGACCAAGGGGCATAAGACAAAGGGAGAGACCAGGGCAAGTTTTAGAGCAGGAGTGAAAGCTTATTAAAAAGTTTTAGAGCAGGAAAGAAAGGAAGTAAAGTACATTTGGGAGAGGGCCAAGTGGGTGACTTGAGAGATCCAAGTATCCTGCTTGACCTTTGACTTGGGGTTTTATACGTTGGCATGCTTCTGGAGTTTTGCATCTCTCCTCCCTTGATTTTTAACTTGGGGCAGGCCGTCCACATGCACAGTGGCCTCCCAACACTTGGGAGGGGCTGCATGTGCAGTGCGTTTACTGAAGTTGTGTGCACGCTCACTTGAGGCGTTTTCTCCTTATCAGTTGAGCATTCCCAGAGGAAGGTCATTTACCAATTAAACTCCATGATTTTGCCTCTTAGTGTCCATGCTTGAGCCCACTTGCCCAACTCCTGAGATCTTATTTGGAAGCGGCTGATCACGCACTTCAGGTGTTTTCCATCTATCAGGAGACTGCCAATAGGTCTATTGGGTGCTGTCTGTGATAAATTATTATTTTAGAGAGACGTTTTAGCAACCACTCAACCATTACCTGATGGTTGCCTGACATTCCTGAGGGGAGGGAGCCCTCTCCTGCCATGCTCATGTCTGCCTAACTGCCAACTTCAACAGTTTTAGTTTTTGTGGTTTACGCATGTGTCATTGTCCAGGCAACATTTTAAATTTCTTATTCTTGTGAACAAGGTACAGGGGCTTCCTTAAGTCTACCAAGTAGTTATTCATAGAAAGATGATTCAGAAGACTCAATTTTCTGAATTTACCTTTTATCTCTGCTTGTTAATAATGACTCTATTATATGCCGGTGAGGCTAGACAATGCTGCAGTAACAAATAAAGCCCTGGAGTCACAATGATGTATCAGAACAATTTTTTTTCCCCCTTCATAGAATGTCTAGGAAAGCTTTCCTCCATGCATTGACTCGGGGATCTAGGCTGTTTCCACCTTGTGGCTCATCAAAGGCTTTCATGGTCACAGCCAAATGAAATGAGAGAAGTGGAGGGACTCTCCTAGTGAACTGCCTTTACCTACATTTACACACTCCTCCTCTGTTCAAAGTCCATTAGTCAGACTTGTCACATGGCTCCAACCACAGCAGGTGAGGAAGTAGGAGGAATACATGGATTTTCTCTTTCCAGCACCCTAATGGTCTCTACCTCAATGCACAAACCCAGCTTATGGCCCCAAGTGAAGAACTGCTAGTTGCTTTGTTAATCAAGTAATGAGAACCTTTTTCTTATTAATTATGGTCATGTATTTATTTGATTGAGACATAGTTAATTTATTCACTCTTTCAATAAGTATTTGTTGAGTATTTCCTCTCTACCAGGCACCTGTGGGCCCTGGGGATATGTCAGTAAGTGAAACAGAACAAAACCACTTCCTTCATAGAACTAGCATTCCAGTGGGAAATTGTGAAAGATAGATAATTAACCCCCAAAAATAAGAAAGCAATATATTAGGCGTTGATATGTGCAATGGAGAAAATAAAACAGGGAAGAGGTTTCAAGATGCAAGTGTGTGTATCTGTGTGTTTGTGTGTATTGAGGGAGGAACTTAAAATAGGATGGTTAGTGAAGACCTTCTTGCAAAAGTGACATTTGAGTAGACGCTCAAAGGAGGCAGGAGAGCTCTGGGGTAAAAGCCGTCTGTGAAGGGGAAGAAGGGAGTGCAAAGGCCCTGAGGCAGGAGAGTGCCTGGCATGCTGAGGGCAGTGAGGATGTCAGTGCGTCTGAGGAGAGTGGTGGGATATGAGGTGAGGAAGGTGATGAGGATGTACGCACCCTGGAGGGCCTTGTAACCTGTTTAAGGATGTTGCTTTTACTCTTGCTTAAAAACCTCCAATTTTCTTCCCACTTCCCAACATACATACTGTACGTCTGTCAGTTCCCCTGCAGCAGTGGTTCTCAAATTTCAACTGGCATTAGAATCACCTAGAAGGTTAAAATCAGACTGCCGTGGTTTACCTCGCAGAGTTTCTGTGGTAGGGCCTGAGAATTTGCAATTCTAATTGGATCCCAGATGCTATGGTCTGAACGTGTGTGTCCCCTCAATTCATATGGTGAAACCTAATCCCCAGTGCAATGGTACAAGGAGGTGGGACTTTTGGGAGGTTATTAGGTCATGACAGCAGAGCCCTCATAAATGGAACTAGTGCCCTTATAAAAGAGGCTCCAGAGAGCTACCTGGCCCCTTCCACTGTGTAAGGTTGCAATAAGAAGGTGCCATCTATGAACCAGGAATAGGGCTCTCCCCAGAAGAGAGACCCCTATTCCTCACTGCCCCTCAGGATGCCAGGCACTCTCCTGCCTCAGGGCCTTTGCAATCACTAATTCCCCATCTCAGACGGCTTTTACACCAGAGCTCTCCTGCCTCAGGGCCTTTGCACTCACTAATTCCCCATCTCAGACGGCTTTTACCCCAGAGCTCTCCTGCCTCCTTTGGGCATCTACTCAAATGCCACTTTTGCAAGAAGGTCTTCACTAGCCATCCTGTTTTAAGTTCCTCCCTCAATACACACAAACACACAGATACACACACACTTGCATTTTGAACCAACAACCTTCTGTGTTTTATTTTCTCCATTGCACTTAACATGAAATCTAGCCGGGCACAGTGGCTCACGCCTGTAATCCTAGCACTTTGGGAGGCAGAGGTAGGCGGATCACTTGAGGTCAGAAGTTTGAGACCAGCCTGCCCAACATGGTGAAACCTCATCTCTACTAAAAATACAAAAATTAGCTGGGCGTGGTGGCGGGCACTTGTAATCCCAACTACTGGGGAGGCTGAGTCAGGAAAATCGCTTGAACCCAGGAGGCAGAGGTGGCAGTGAGCCAAGATCACACCACTGCACTCCGGCCTGGGCAATAGAGTGAGACACTGTCTCAAAAAAATAAATAAGTAAATAATCAAATCTGCCAGTTTCTTATCTTGGACTTCGTAGTCTTCAGAACTATGAGAAATAGATATTGTTGTTTCAGCCACCCAGCTTATGGTATTTTCTTATAGCACCTGAGTGGACTAAGACACCAGGTGATGCTGATGCTACAGGGAACACACTTTGAGAACCACTGCTCTAGTGAAACAAGCCCCCTCTTGCTTTCCTACTTCCCCATGAAAACCTGCCCTGATTTTTGGACAAGGCCAGCTACATAATTTTTGAGGCTCAGTCAAAATGAAAATGCAAGGCCCCTGTTCAAAAAGGCAGGGGGAAAAAGGGCAGTATAAGATACTAAAATATCAAAATTATCCTTCTAAAATATTTTCTAGGTGGAGCATCCTTAATCCAAAAATCCAAAATAAATGTTTTAAAATCCAAAACTTTTTGAGCACTGATATGACACTCAAAATGCCCTAATGAGCATTTTAAATTTTAGGTATTCAGATTTGGGATGCTCAACCAGTAAGTATAATGCAAATATTCCAAAATCTGAAAAAAATCTGAAATTCAAAACACTTTTGGTCCCAAGCATTCCAGATAAGGTGTATTTAATACACTACATCACTTAGAAAGTATAATGAGAGTAATAATGACACATGAATAACAACACAAATTTTTAAATAGCCAAAAAATATTTTTGGTGTTGTAAGTTTATATAACACAATACATAATAGTATCTTATATTAACGTGACATTATAATTAATCTGGCTTGCTTTGCTGCATATTCATTAATTTCTGATGTGTTTTCTTGCATATTTATGTATTTATTTGATCATAAAAATTTGTACTTTTAACAGCTTAATTTTCAATGATCTAATTCAAAGCAATGTCAGTTGCTATTGGCAAATGTAAGATCACGAATACTTTTTGATAAATTTAATTTTGACAATTAGAATCTACTGATGCAACTCTTACTAGAATAAGTTTATTTTTTAGGCTGTAATGATATTGGGATACATTTCTGATAAATTATCTTGAAATATGAATTTTAGTACATCTAGAGGTGATGATTCCTATAGAAATATTTTCTAAAAAGATTTAACTCTTCATACAAATCAGTTTCTTATAAATCTGAATTTAATTGTACATGTAAATTTTAATATTAATTAATATTTCCTCCAGCAGTTCCTGCAAGTTGTGGCAGTTACACAAGAAACAAAAAAAGGCTTCATAATTTTTATATAATTCAAGGCACTTCTTTATGCATTCTATCACTGCATCTTCAAATATAAGGAAATTTAACTTTTTTTTTTTTTTCGAGACAGAGTCTCGCTCTGTTGGCTAGGCTGGAGTGCAGTGGCACGATCTCGGCTCACTGCAACCTCTGCCTCCAGGGCTCAAGAAATTCTCCTGCCTCAGCCTCCTGAGTAGCTGGGATTACAGGTGTGTGCCACCATGCCCGGCTAATTTTTGTGTTTTTAGTAGAGACGGGGTTTCACCATTTTGGCCAGGCTGTTCTTGAACTCCTGACCTCAGGTAATCCGCCAGCCTCGGCCTCCCAAAGTGCTGGGATTACAGGCATGAGCCACTGTGCCTGGCCAGAAAATTTAATTTTTAAATTGTCTTGCTAATTTTTGGTTTATCTGAGGTTTTCCTGCAAATAATAATGTTCTTTTCTGTTGAATAGGATAATCTTTACATTTAATTTCTATTTCCAAGCCTGTGGATATTTGGTTTGCAATGTTGCAATGGTTTTCAAAACCCTTTGAAGAATTTTAATAACTCCCTGATATGCTTTATTGCAATGTCTGTGTGTACATCTTGTTTTATAATAACTTACTGACAAACTTTGCTGCCTGAGTACCAGCAGTTCCTGTCGCAGTGCTTAGACTGGAGAGTTAATATTTATGCAGATGCTGCAGGAACAGGCTCTGGGGACAGACTCTCCTGGGGCTGCCCCTCCGTGGAACCCCAGTGCTGCTCCTCTCTGCCACAGCCACTACTTCTGCTACTTCCATGCATCTGCTGCTTCTGCTACTACTGCTATCACCACCAATGTAGGCCCCGGTCCCAGCCCAGCTGCCCCCTCAGATACCCCTGGTGCCCAGGACAGCCCCAGGTATGCCCGTGCATACCAGATGGCCAGGCCAACTCCTGGTGCTGCCCTTTGCCATGCCTGTAGGCATGAGCCTGCACGTGTACACTAACACCTGGAATCTCCTCTGCTCCATGCATGCTCTATTGTCTGATCTGACTTCACAACACAAGGTCAAAAATAAAATTGTCAAGAATTTCAAGACAGTAACAGCAGAACATTAAACCAAGCATGGGATTCCTTCTGAGAGTAGGCCCTGTGTGCACAGGTTGCACACCCATGAAGCTGGTCCTGCTTTGGATTAAGTGATTTACCATAACTTTTGCCCATGTACCTCTTATATTATTTTCTAACAATGTGTTACACTAAATTGTTTAAGGTCTATTTTCTCCACTAAATCAGAGGTCAGCAAACTATGGCCCAATGGCTAAATCCAGCCATTTGTTATTTTTTAAATTGTTTATATTTAGGGTGTACAACATGATGGATTTTGTTGTTGTTGTTTGTTTGTTTGTTTGTTTGTTTGTTTTTGAGACAGGGTCTCACTCTGTTGCCCAGGCTGGAGTGCAGTGGTGCTATCTCTGCTCACTGCAACCTCCGCTTCCTGGGTTCAAGTGATTCCCATGCCTCAGTCACCTGAGTAGCTGGGATTACAGGGGTGTACCACCACGCCTGGCTAATTTTTGCATTTTTAGTAGAGATAGAGTAATCACTATGTTGGCCAGGCTGGTCTTGAACTTCTGGCCTTGTGTTATCCACCCACCTTGGCCTCCCAAAGTGTTGTGATTACGGGTGTGAGTCACTGAGCCCAGCCAACATGATGTTTTGGTAAACATATACATGGTGAACAATACATGATATACACATACATTATTACTGTCAAGCAAATTAACATACCCATCATCTCATATAGTTACCTTTCTTTTTGTGTGATAAGAGTCTCCAAAATCTACTCTCTTAGCAAATTTCCAATATACAATACAATATTAACTATAGTCTTCATGTTCCACATGAGATTTCTAGATTTATTCTCCTATAGGAACCACAACTTTGTACTCTTTGACCTACATCTTTCCATTTCCCTTATTCACCCCTTCCCGTGGTCACCACAATTTACTCTTTGCTTTTATGTATTTAACTTTTTGTTTCTGCCTGTTTTGTAATAAAGTTTTATTGAAACACATGCACACTCATTTGTTTACATATTGTCTATGGCTGCTTTCAACGGCAGGTTTGAGTAGTGTGACAAGGAATGTTTGGCCTACAGAGCCTATAACATTTGCTGCCTGGTCATTTATAGAATAAGTTTGTTAATGCCTGCATTGGACTATAGGATCCCTGAAGGCAGGAATTATATCTCTCCAGTTCACTTCTGTGTTCCCAATGCCTAGAGCAGGGCCTGGCATATAGTAAATGCTCAATCAACCCTTGCTAAAAAAAAAAAAAAAAAGAATGAAACAAAAACATGAATATATGAAGAGCCTAGCCTTTTTTGAAGTAACTCATTTTATCTTAAAGAAAATCATCTTTGGCTAGAGTCACAGAGTAGAAAAAAAAGTAAAAGAAAATCCTGTAAATTTTGATTCCTTTTCTGTTTTGTTTTCACGTAAAAATGATGTTTAAAATTACTTACCTTATGGTCAAATTGACTCTCCAGGGAAATCGAAGGTGATTGTCTTGTAGCTTGGCACGCCCTCTGGCACACACTCCAGTCTGGAGAGGCACAGGCGTTGAATAGAATAGAATAGCATTCATCATTCAACAACTATTTATTGAGCAAAGCATGGGGCTAGGCATGATAACAGAAATGACAATGATTCCACTATGTCTTACTCAATAGACCTGTAGAGCCTACAGACCAAAGAAAAAAAGACTCACAAATATATATACTCATATATAACTATACCATAAAAAGTGTTAAGTAAAAAGGAAAATGTCTGGATGAAGTGCTTTGAATTTTCAGAGCCAGGACGGATTCCTTTTGGCTGCAGAATCCAGAAAGGCTTTGTGCCAGTCATTCTCTATTTGGTCTCAGATCCGATCCCTGCTCTTCTGCGTTGCTTTGCACCACAAGATGCTGGCCCCTGCAAACTACATTTCCGTGGCTGCCCTGCCAACTGGCTCTATCTAGGCTCTGTCAGTGGGAGGCCATGGAAAGAGATCGGAGGACTGGACAAAGAGAGGAGAAGTGCCACGGCTCCTTTCTTTCGCGTGCTCCAGAGAGAGGAGCCATGGTATTTCTCCTCTCTCTCTGAACCTCAGTTTTCTCACTTTTCCAATGGAAAAAGCAATTGTGTCTATTTCTTGGGGTTTTTTTAAGAGAATGAAATGAGATAAGGCATGCAAAATGCTTAGCACAATACCTGATAAGTAATAAGCATTTAAAGAATACAGGCTGGGTGCAGTGGCTCACACCTGTAATCCCAGCACTTTGGGAGGCCAAGGCAAGTGGATCAGTTGAGTCAAATAGTTCGAGACCAGCCTGGGCAACATGACGAAACCCCACCTCTACCAAAATACAAAAATTAGCCCTGCGTGGTGGTACATGCTTGTAGACCCAGCTGCTTGGGAGGCTGAGGTGAGAGGACTGCTAGAACCCTGGAGGCAGAGGTTACAGTGAGCCGAGATCGCGTCATGCACTCCAGCCTGGGTGACAGAGTGAGACCCCATCTCAAATAAATACATAAATAAATAAATAAAATACAGAATAGAGCTGTTCTTGCTTTTGGGCTTGTTCAGGGAAGTGGGAAGGAGTGCAGTGATCGGTGATGTCTGCTAAAGGTGAAAGGTGAGAGAGTAGAGCTATGTGCGAGGAATATTTAGTAATGTATATTAAAACTGTATTGATATAAACAGTTAACTGATATTAATATATTAAAACTGTATTATAAAGATAGAACTGAAGGGACCTGGCAAATGGACTGGCAGACTCTAGAAAGGGATTAGGAAAAATCAAAGACCTGGAATGGTGATACCAAAGCACACACAGTCAATACACAAGAACCAGTAGGCTCAGGAGAACAGATTATGAATTTACTTTTAGACAATGGTGTGCAAACCTTTCCAGTTGCAAAAAAAAAAAATGCCTACAGTAATACCTTCAAGACACTTTAACAGGTGGGGATTTTTGTTAGAGATATAAATATATGCAGTGAGTTAGCAAAACAAAAACAAAAACAAAACATTTCAGCAGCTGCACATTCTGGCCTCATGGAGAACTGGAAAACTATCCAGGAAACCACAGCAACTGCAGTTCCTAGAGCCTGGCCTCCTCTGAAGAGGAGAAACCATTGTTTTTTACTTAGCAGTTCTACCTTGCCCAAGGTGCCTTCTGTTTACAATCTCCCTCTTTCTGGTTTTCCCTTTCTTGCCTCTGTGTCTGTGGCTGGATTATCTGTCTTGCATTCAAGATGATTAGGTGGGATATTTACCACCCAATATGAAGCTTCCCAACTGGGCTGCATCCTCAGGTTAGATGCCCTGGGCTCAGCATAGCAGTTGTGGTCAGCACAGCAGATTCACCTGAAACAACGCAAAGACCCACCTTTCTCAGAAGGAGCTGCGTAATCAGTAGGTTTTATAGCCAGACTGGTGAAGACAGGGTGAATTAGAGATGTCTTTTGTTTGTTTGTTTTTGTTTTTGTTTTTTTTTTGAGATGGAGTTTCGCTCTTGTTGCCCAGGCTGGAGTGCAATGGCACGATCTGGGCTCACCGCAACCTCCGCATCCTGGGTTCTAGCGATTCTCCCACCTCAGCCTCCCGAGTAGTTGGGATTACAGGCATGCGCCACCACGCCCAGCTAATTTTTGTATTTTTAGTAGAGACGGGGTTTCACCATGCTGGTCAGGCTGGTCTCAAACTCCCAACCTTAGATGATCCGCCCGCCTCAGCCTCCCAAAGCGCTGGGATTACAGGTGTGAGACACCACGGCCTGCCTAGAGATGTCAGTGGGAGCTCCAAGGAGCTGAAAAGGTTAAGACTGGATTGTGATTGAGGGAATATTGAGGATACCTAATTACTTTTGATATTCTACATTTCATATGGATTTGCTCATATAAGATCAATATCTGTCCAAGGTTTAGGGCAGAGCAGGCAGAAGTTATTTCTGGTAAAGATAATTATTTCAATGAGACCCCAAAACTTAGATGATTTGCAGAGGGAGGAATTTTATTACTGTCCCTTATAAGGACGTAACTAGTTTCTTAGAAGAACAACTTTGAGATTGGTTTGGAAGTGGGAATGTGGTGAGGTTAAGATTTCTTTACTGCATTGAGAGTAAAATATTCTACAGCTCAGGAAAACAAACAGAACAGCCCAACCCTCTGTGATTCTTCCCAGAACTCTTCTCATCCATCATCCCTCTTGATACTGAAGAAACCCAGAGCTTGCAACACACATATTCCAAAGATAAGTTGATACAAGCTCACTTATGTGAATTTCTTTAAAAATGAAGAGAGAGAAAAAAGTGGAGAGACAGAAGACAAAAAAAATACACAAAATTAAAAATAGCTAATATTTGGAAAATCTATTATTGATGGAGCTCTAAGGGGCAGATGAATCCTTATTCTTCAAATTCCAGGTGAGGAAAAAACAGAACAATTGTTTATGCAGCTGTACCCAAGAGGTGGTATGTGCACTTTTCCTCTAACTCTTAACAGAGAAACACCACAGCACTCAAAATCCTCTTTTAGAATAATTTGAATTAAAAATAAAGAATTTCACAAATATCACTGAAGAAGTAGAAATTTTTAAATAAAAGAAAAATAGCCAGTATCTTATTATCCTCTAATTCTGCCCCCTTATTTTGTAAGTACATTTATAATTCTAATTCACATGCATATGCAATTTTTATGTAATTGTCATCAGAAGCCCTTGGGCTCACTACGCAGACCTTCTGAGTCTGAATGCTGTCTCAGCACTTGGCATCTATGTGATTTGGCCGGTTACATAAACTCTCTGGGCCTCAGTTTTCTCATCTGAGAAGTAGGTATAATAATAATAATACCTACTTGAGGATTAAATGAGACAACATCTATAGAGTGCCTAGTTCAATGCCTGGCACATGCTCAGTCAATGGTAATCACTCATTGTCCATCGTTAAAATCAGGGAGCTTTGTAAGCCAGACTGGTTGGACAGGAGAGCTTAGCAGTTAAAGTGTGTTTGCTCCCTATTTTTTCCCTCCCCACAATGATGCAATCCTGTATCTCTTTCCTCTGGCTGCCCGGCCCCACCCAAACCAAGATAAAAGATGTAACACACACAACAAACATTACGTGAGCACCTGATACGTGCTGGAAGGGCCCTATGAGGACTTGGGGAAATAAAATCCTGCTGCTAGCTGCTGCTGTAAACACATTGCCATGCCCCAATGCCATGTTGAGCACCTCATATGCATAATCTAAACCAGCACCCATAAATGTGGCCATAGTGACTCTCATGCAGTTGAGGAAGCCATTTCTCAGGAAGGTTACAGTTATGGGCTGAAGTATGTTCCCCCCAAATTCATATATTGAAGCCCTAACTCCCAGTACCTCAGAATGTGACTGTATTCAGAGACAGGGCCTTTGAAGAGATGCTTAAGTTAAAATGAGACCATTAGGGTGGGCCCTCATTCAATCTTCTTATGGTGTCCTTACTGATGTCCTTATAAGAAGAGGAAATGTGGACACCAGGGATGCACACACACAAAGAAAAGACCATGGGAGGGCACAGCAAAAGGGTAGCCATCCGCAAGTCAAGAAGAGAGGCTCAGAAGAAACCAACCCTGCCAACACCTTGCTCTTGGACTTTTAGCCTCCAGGACTGCAGTTTAAGCCACCCAGTCTGTGATATTTTGTTATGGCAGCCCCAGAAAACCATTATAGTTATATAACGTTTAAAAGCTTAGAAGGGATTCAGCCTTAAAAAAGAAGGAAATTCTGACACATGCTACAACATGGATGAACCTTGAAGACATTATGCTAAGTGAAATTCTAAGCAAAAGAACAAAGCCAGCTTCAAACTATACTTAAAACCCAATTTCAAAGTATGCTATAAGGCTACTGGAACCAAAACAGCATGGCACTGGTCCAAAAACAGACACATAGAGCAATGGAACCGAATAGAGAGCCCAGAAATAAAGCCACACACCTACAGCCATCTGGTCTTTGACAAAGTCAACAAAAACAAGCAATGGGGAATGGACCCCTATTCAATAAATGGTGCTAGGCTAACAGGCTAGCCATATGGAGAAGATTGAAACTGGGCCCCTACCTTTCACCATGTACAAAAATTAACTCAAGATGGATTAAAGACGGAAATGTAAGACCTAAAATGATAAAAATCCTACAAGAAAACCTAGGAAATACCATTCTAAACACTGGCCTTGGAAAATAATTTTTAGCTAAGCACTCAAAAGCAATTGTGACAAAAACAGCTTGACAAGTGGGAGCTAATTAAACTAAAGAGCTTCTGCACAGCAAAAGAAACTATCAACAGAGTAACCAGACAACCTACAGAATGGGAGAAAATGTTCACAAACTAGGCATCTGACAAAAATCTAATATCCAGAATCTATAAAGAACTTAAATCAATAAGCAAAAAACAATTAACTCCATTAAAAAGTGGATAAATGACATGAACAGGCACTTCTCAAAAGCAGACATACAAGTGGCCAATAAACATATGAAAAAATACTCAACACCACTAATCATCAGAGAAATGCAAATCCAAGCCAAAGGAAATACCATCTCATACCAGTCAGAATGGCTATTTCTAAAAAGTCAAAAAGATAACAGATGTTGCTGAGGCTGTGGAGAAAAGGGAACAATTATACACTGTTGGTGGGAATGTAAAGTAGTTCAGCCATTGTGGAAAGCAGTTTGGAGATTTCTCCAAGGGCTAAAAATAGAATTACCATTCAACCCAGCAATCTCATTACAGGGCATATACACAAAGGAAAATAAATTGTTCTACCAAAAAGACACATGAACTTATATGTTCATCACAGCACTATTCACAATAGCAAAGACATGTAATCAACCTAGATGCCCATCAATGGCGGATTGGATAAAGAAAATGTGGTACATATACACCATGGAATACAACATAGCCATAAAAAGAATGAAATCATGTCCTTTGCAGCAACATGGATGTAGCTGGAGGTCCTTATCCTAAGCGAAGTAATACAGAAACAGGAAACCAAATACTGCATGTTCTCACGTATAAGCGGGAACTAGACATTGGAAACACATGGTCATAAAGATGGAAACAAGAGACACTGCGGACTGCCAGAAGGGGAGGGCAAGGAGGGGCAGAGGGTTAAAAAACCACCTTTTGAGTATTATGCTCACTACCTGGGTAATAGGCTCATTCATACCCCAAATCTCAGATTCATGCAACTTAGACATACCCATGTAGCAAACCTGCACATGTACCCCCTGAATCTAAAATGAAAGCTGAAATGAGAAAAAAGAAGACATGCTAGTAAAATAAGCCACTCACAACAGACAAATTCTCTAGTCCACTCATATGAGGTACCTAGAGTAGTCCAATTCTTAGAGACAGAAAGTCCAATGGTGGTTGCCAGGGTCTGGAGGGGAGGGAGGAATGGGAAATTATTATTGGAGAGACACAGTGTTTCAGTTTTGCAAGACGGAAAGTGTTCTGGAGGTAGATGGTGAGGGCGGTTGCCCAACAATGTGAACGCCTCTGAACTGTACCCTTAAAAATGGTTAAAATGGTAAGTTGTATGTTGCCTGTATTTTATGCAATTAAAAATTAACTTTTTAACGAGTTTAGGGGGCTCCTACTCTCTGTAAAGTTCAATCTCATTGAATTCTTGACTCATTGCTTTTGGGGACGATGAAGGCAGGGAGTTGGAGGAGGGACTCGGGGAAGGCAAGAGAGGGCTCAGGATGAGGAAGGCCTGTTTGCTTTTCCTGTTCTGTGGGAACATCTTTAAGTGAATGCTGGCATCACAACAGCTGTGCAGTGATCGCCACCTCTGTCAACGATGATGATAGAAGAGAACAGGATTTCCAAATGAGTGGCTGAATTCCCTGAGCGTTTTTTATTTTTAATGAATTTTTCTCTTCCTTTTTTCCAACTTTTGGGCCTGCTCTTTATCGCGCACAGAAAGAAAACATTTCCTCAGTGGTGGCCAAAGCTCTTTTCAGGTTCTTCCACAGCAACAATAAATCAGCACAGCCTCTCCTTGTGGCCACCGTAGATTTGCTGACCCTCTGCGTCTGCTCCCTGCCAAACCCAAGAGCTGAGGGTTGGGCCGTCAGCATCTGCCCCTTTATGCAAAGGGTTTCTGAAATGACAAGTCATGCCCACAGGACCCTGCTGTAGAATTCCTCAGGGCTGGGCAGGGACTGAGTGGGACAGAGAGAGACTCCAGTCCCCCTTCTTAGATGTGTTCTCAGAGAGATAAACATTTCTATTTGGTGGGAAAGGATCCCACCAAAAATGGGCTGCTGGTATGGTGTCTGGGCAGAAAAACCACTGAAGTGTCTCCCACAGGGCAAATCAGGAAAACGTGGGCATCAAAATAAATAACAATGGGTCAGGCGCAGTGGCTCATGCCTGTAATCCCAGCACTTTGAGAGGCCGAGGGGGGCAGGCCATTTGAGGTCCAGAGTTTGAGACCAGCCTGGCCAACATGGTGAAACCCCATCTCTACTAAAAATACAAAAATTAGCCGAGCATGGTGGCAGGCACCTGTAATCCCAATTACTCAGGAGACTGAGGCAGGAGAATTGCTTGAACCCAGGAGGTGGAGGTTGTGGTGAGCCAAGAGATCACATCACTGCACTCCAGCCTGGGCAACAGAGCAAGACTCTGTCTCAAAAAAATAAAAAATTAATAATAATAATTATAATAATGGCAGCACATTGAACCCATTAAATATAATAGGAAGCCATGACTCCACCTAACTGAATACATAAATGGAAAGTTTAATGAAGAATAGGATATATGTATGTTTTTAAACTACCTCACCACAAAATACTTATTAATTACTAAGAATGACTTATTAATTACAAAGTCTAAACAAAATACTTATTCATTACAAAAAGTACAAGAACCAGTGGAAAGCCTGACAGACGCTTCCTTAAGCAAGAGATCAAAGTGAACACTATCATGATGGGACAAGCTGAGCTCATGTGTCACCTGACAGGATGCAGCAAGAAGACCCCGACATCCCGTTGGTGACATTCCTGCCAAAGACACATAGCCTGAATCTACTTGTAGGGAAACACAGACACACCCAAACTGAGAGGCATTCAGCAACACAGCTGACCTTGAAATATTCAAAAGTGTCAGGATCAGGCCAGGCACGGTGGCTCATGCCTATAATCCCAGCACTTTGTGAGGCTGAGGCTGGTGGATTGCCTGAGCTCAGGAGTTCAAGACAAGCCTGGGCAACATGGTGAAACGCCGTCTCCACCAAAACAATACAAAAAATTAGCCAGGCATAGTAATGTGCATCTGTGGTCCCAGCTATCGAGAGGCTGTGGCGGGAGAATCGCTTGAGCCTGGGAGGCAGAGATTGCAGAGAGCCAAGATCATGCCACTGCACTCCAGCCTGGGAGACAGAGTGAGACCCTGTCTCAAAAAAAAAAAAAAAAAAAGTATCAAGAAAGACAAAGAAAGACTGAGAAGGTATTCCAGACAAAGGAAGTAAAAAACACAGCCAGCCTGTAGTCTCAGTACTTTGGGAAACCAAGACAGGAGAATCACTTCAGCCTAGGAGTTTCAGACCAGCTTGGGCAACATAGTCAGACCCTGTCTCTAAAAAATAAAAATTAAAAAAAAAAAAAAAAGAACCAACCGTAACTTGGTTCTGGACTGGATTATTTTGTTGTAAAGAACATTATTGGGACAATTGGCATAACTCAAATGGGATCTGAGGAATAGACAGCAGGGCTATGTCAATGTTGATTTCCTGATTTTGCTGGTTAATGTGGGGTCATGCAGGACCACATCCTTGTTTGGAGGAATTCCACCCTAAAGTATTTAGGGGCAATGGGACATCAAATTGCAACTTACCATCAAATGGTTTAGGAAAAAATAATTCTTTGTACTGTCCTCCAATTTTTCCATAAATGTGATTTTGTTTTTCAAAATAAAAAAAATAAAAAAGAAAAGTAAGAAAAAAAAGAAGTCAGTGCCTTGTTTAGCTGGGAGGAAGGCCATGGTCTTGGGCACAAGCCTGAGATGTTTCTCGAAATTGAATTGCCTCTTTGCTGACTCCTGTGGGGACCTGGGTGGAAATGGAGGAGGGAGGCCTAAGATATCAGATGAATAAGTTTGCTCATAATCTTGCTACTCAGTTAGAAGGATTCATGATGATTTGTTGTGTAATCTTTTAGGAATGTGTGTGTGTGTGTGTGTGTGTGTGTGTGTGTGTGTGTGTGTAGAAACCTTTTTTTTTTAACTGGACAACATACTATGCCTACCGTTTATGAGCTTGCCTACTTCATGGTATTCTTCAACATCATTTTTAAAGGTTAGCTAATGAGTATCCCATTGGATGTGAATCATCATTTAGTTTACTAACCCCAGCTGGAGTTGGATTTGACATTCCTTGGTCCACCCTCCATACCTCATATTTTCAGTTCATGCTGTGCCTCAATGAGAAAGAAAAGAGGGAAGAGCTGCCAGGTTCTTTCTGGAAGACCTTATATTGTTTCCCACTTTCCCATGAACAGAATTGGGCAATGGGAGGAAGTTTTGAGGAGAGATTAAGATCATGCTCAGATGAGCTAGGTTTAATGACCAATTCTCCTCTTACCAGCCATGTGAAGTTGGACATGTTACCTGACATCTGTGTGCCTCAGTTTCCTCATCTGTAAAAGGGGGTGAAATGAAAAGTACCCATCTCACAGCGTTATTGAAAGATGAACAGACTCTAAGTAGCTGGCACATGTAAGTGCTCATTGGTGTTGGCCATTGTTAATACTATGAATAAATGTAAGAGGCAACTTTTGAGGTCTGCAGAAGGTTAAAAAGACACCAAGTGGGGCAACCTCCTCTGCCGAAGGGGAAATAGTCCTCTGTGTTGGTGGTGAGGCATAATTATGATGGAAAAAACATTTTCCAAGGTCTGGAACTGACGTGTACTCCTTGTGACATTTTAATCTGTGAGTAATAGATTCCATTGCCTACAGGGCTGCAATTTTTCCATTTATTGCTTTTTCCTCTTCTCTCCCAAACCTGGATTCTGCCTTTTCTCAGCTCCAGCCTGCCTCTAGCAACCATGAACTGTTTCTGGATAATCCCCTTCCCGCGCCAGCTTCTCTACTCAACTCAGGCAAGGAAGCCGAAAGCCCCAGAGCCACACTGCCTTTCTCGGGGAAAGTGGAGAGGACCTACTGTTTGCTCCATTAGTTACATTGCTTTCCATGCTCATGACAACTCTCTAATGCAGACACTGCAATGATCCAGGGTGCAGCAGAGGGGTTCCATGAATGGGCTTTGGAATCAGCGAGTACAGGACTGGCTTTGCCTCTCATACACTCACTGTGAAACCTGAACATCTGAGGCTCAGTTTTCTTATCTCTAGAATGAGCGGGACAATACTAATGACCTTACAGGACTATTAGGAAGATTGAGTTAAATCACACATGTAAAGTATATGCTTGTATTAGTCTGTTTTCACTCTGCTATAAAGAACTGCCTTAAACTCGGTAATTTATGAAGGAAAGAGGTTTAATTGACTCACAGGTCAGCATAGCTGGGGAGGCCTCAGGAAACTTACAATCATGGCAGAAGGGGAAGGGGAAGCAAGGCACCTTCTTCACAGGCGGCAAGAAGGAGAAGTGCCAAGTGAAGGGGGGAGAGTTCCTTATAAAACCATCAGATCTCGTGAGAACTCACTCATTCTCACAAGAACAGCATGGGGAGAATCGCCCTTATGATTCAATTACCTCCACCTGGTCTCTCCTTTGGCACATTGGGATTATGGGTATTATAGGGATTACAATTCAAAATGAGATTTAGGTGGGGACACAAAGCCTAACCATGTAAATGGTTAATTAAACCTATTTCCTTCAATGATACAGCCCCTAGAGCACAATGGATGCTCAGTAGATGCTAATTACCATAATTATCATTATTTGGAGTTGAAAAAATGAGCCTTGGGGTAATATAATTATTATAACTATAATTAATAATTATACTCTTCTCATTACATTTTGGAGGTGCAGAAACCCTGGTATACTTATCTCTAAGTTTAGTCCTTTTCCCACTGTACACAGCGGCTTGTCCCACTGTGCTGAAAACTACCATTCCCCTATCTTCTATAGTAATAGAAATTCTAGATGATTGTATGACCACCAGCTAAGATTACATTTCCCAGGCATCCTTGAGGCAAGATGTGGCCATGTGACTAGTTTGGCTGGTCGAATGCGCGTGGAAGTGGTATTTGAAGCTTCCTGGTTAGGTATTTACAAGGAAAGGGCCTGCTTTCCCTTGTCCCTTTCCCTCTTGGGTTGACTGAGTGGATTTTGACATAGAAGGATATAAACTTCTATCTTGTGTAAGCCATTGTATTTTGAGTCTCTTTGTTACAGCAGTCAAACCCTCAAAGAGAGGGAGTAGCAGTGTTGGTAGTAACAGGACTCAGGCTAGGAGTCAGGAGACTTGGCTCTATCCCTCATTTGCTTCATGGCTAAAATATTCATTTGCTCCCTTATCTGACAACATTTTGCCAGCACCTGTACAAGACATTAGCAAGAGATAAATAAAACATAGCTCCAGAAATTATCTAATCCATCTGCAGTCTTGGTGATGTTATCCATGTTAATCTTTCAGGACGATATGCTCACTTATAGAGGATATGGAGTTCAGTTGCAGATGCAGACCAGGGCTCTTAAATAATTGCTCTGCAGGTTCCAAACATTTTATGGGTTCAGAATGGGTTACAAGGCTGTTAATATACTGAGCAAAATGCTTAAAACAATCATAGATGTTGAGACACTTACTAATTGCAAATCCTTTGCAAGATATCGAACCTCAGTTCCAGTTGTCATATGGAAATAATGGTATGAAGGGAATTAAATTAGAGAACACATATAAAGTACTTAACACTCTATCTGACATTTAGGAAGCAGTCAATAAGTGCTGTTGACAATGACAACAATGAAAACAATGACAATGATGATGATGATGAAGGCATAGGCTTGATTTTCCACTGCCCTGGAAAATCGGCCAACCAAGGCCCTCAGAAAAGCAGTCATCACCAATACTCTGCCACCCATGTGTACTCTGAGGGCCAAACGAGGCTGTCTTTGTTAAAACACTTTTTAAGAAGGGAGATGTGATAGTGGGGGGACATCTTTGACAACATCCAAACCTGCAGCATTCCACCCTACCTACCTTGGTCCCTCAAATTACTTTTCTTGTCTTTGCCAAGCTCCCATCTGATGACTGCTGCTGCATTGCAATGCTTTACTATTAACTCTGAGGGGTTATTCTATTGACTAGTGATCGTCATCTAGTCTCCATGTCCACTGGGATCTGTCCACATACATGCAAAATTCATCAGATAAAAGTCAGGAAAAGGAAAAAGTTTTAGTCTAATGATTATATTAAATAACCTCTTTACCTTTGAATACTCATAATGAGTTACCTTTTTGAATTCTGGAATGCTGACTCTCAATACAAGGTGCTATACATGGAATTTCATATATATTGTATTGTATGTTCCTTAATTCCACAGACTAATGATTATTATCCTGACTGCAGGTAAGGAAACTGATTCAGGATGTAACTTCCTAGGTACATAGAGGCAAATCAAGAAACTAATAAAGTTTAAGCTCAGCCCCCTTGTTTACACAATCCTCTTCCAAGACCCTGTACTGATCTCGAATCCATGTTTGTGCTCTTTTTCTTAGAGAGCCCCCCGAATTTTATCAGCTACAAGCCCTACAAAATCTGGATCTGTCCCTATAAGTCATATAGATGCTAAATATTGGAGCCAGAATTTGAACAGCAATTATTTAGTATTTTAATTAAGTGTAACTTGAATTCTTTGTAATTTATTAAAATAGTGGTATAGGCACATAAAGTTGTGCCAATGAACCAATGCTGGTCCATGAGTTTGGGATTGGAATCTCCCAGTGATATGCCCAAATGATATGCTGCATAAATTTTATGGAGTCAATATATTGGTATCAGCACTTCCTATTGCCCAAGGTTCTACACTTGATAATGACCATAATACCTTGGTTTTACAGAACATATATTCTCTAACATGCTCAGAGACTGCATCCATTATTCTGACGAGGCAGAATTATCTCCTTCACATTGTAATTGCTAATCAAGCTGAGAAAACAAACATCTTAATGGGGGAACCAGAGTAGAAGATGAAGGGACTGATCAGGAGCATATAGGAGACACCCTCTGGGAATTCCAAGATATGACTCAGGGACCTGTCGAGTGAGGGCACTGGGCAGTTTGTCTTTAAAAGTGAAGAAATACACCTGACTCCAGTCTGTCCCCAGACTTGAAAGTTCTAACTGATCTCATTTTCTCTTTCACATCTTCAAGTCTTGGATTCCTGTATTCATCTCCTCCAAACACCGCACCCCCAGCCCCCATCCTTCAGACCTAGAATTGGGCATGGCAGGGGAGCATAGAAAAGAGAAGACAGTCACCATCATCCAACAGTATAAGAATGTGAAGATGGGAAAAGGATGTATGTGGCCACCTTTTTTGTTGCTGTTTTTTTCTTGTTTTTTATTTTTATTTTTTATTTTTTATTTTTTTTTTGAGATGGAGTCTCACTCTGTTACCCAGGCTGGAGAGTGCAATGGCATGATCCTGGCTCACTGCAACCTCTGCCTCCTGGGTTTAAGTGATTCTCCTGCCTCAGCCTCCCAAATAGCTGGGACTACAGGCATGTGCCACCACACCTGGCTATTTTTTGCATTTTTAGTAGAGACGGGGTTTCACCATGCTGGCCAGTCTGGTCTCAAACTCCTGACTCAGTTGATCTGCTCGCCTTGGCCTCCCAAAGTGCTGAGATTAAAGGCATGAGGCACTGTGCCTGGCCACATGTGGCCACCTTTTGCCTCCCATTATGAACCTGGGTTATGTTGATGGTTGAGCTGAATGCTCCTGTTGTGACACCAACCCTATCCTTCAGGATGGTTAGCCAGAGAGAACTCTCAGATTCTCTTTCTCTCTCATCTGCCGCCACAGGGTCTTCCCTGCCTAACAATCTCTGTGTATGGTTTAAATCACCTCCAGAGCTTCACCTGGTAGAGAAAAACAAACTCACCTGAAGTTTCCAATTCTTCTAATTTAATTCCAGGAAAAGTGCCATCTGCACATCTTTGGTATCAAGATCTCTGCTTATCTCATCACCAAAATGTCAGCAAACAACAGTAAAAACTATGACTCACATTCAAACCAATCTGGTATTAAAGATAGGGAGGCGTGACTTTCTTTATCCCTTGAGAGGAGAGATAAAACTAATTCTTTCTCATTTTTCCAGGAAAGCAGGGTGCACGTTGGGTAAAGAGATGGGTGGAGGATAAGCCAGAACTTCTGAGTCCTGTGCCAACTGCTCCAAGCTTGGCAAAGGCATGCCAAGAAAACAAAGACATGCTGGAGGTCAAGGTCCCTGCGGGGGCCTCAGTGGAGACAATGGAAATATGTGGTGATTCCCTTCGTCCAGCACCCTCCCTTGGAGTCAGAGACGGATGCTATGTAATGTGCCACTTTCCAGAACAGCTACTGGAGGGTTGTTTCTGACTATTTGACAAGGCTTTGAAATCCTGAACCACCTCCATTATAGCTAGAACAGCTATCTCTCTCTTTTTTTTTATCCCCCTACTTCTTTAATATTAAGGCTGGGCACTGTGGCTCATGCCTATAAACATAGCACTTTGAGAGGCTGAGGCAGGAGAATTGCTTGAGGCCAGGAGTTCAAGACCAACTTGGGCAACATAGCGAGACCCCCATCTCTACAAAAAATAAATATAAAATAATTAGCCAGGCATGGTGGTGAGCCTGTAGTCCCAGTTACTTGGGAGGCTGAGGCTGGAGGATCACTTGAGCACAGGAGTTTGAGGCTGCAGTGAGCTATGATCGCCACTGCACTCCAGCCTGGGTGACACAGTGAGACCCTGTCTGTCAAGAAAACAAGCAAAAACAAAAACAAACAAAAACTCCCCCACCACCACCCCCAAGCAACAACAAATTTAAATAATTAATACACACATGGGGGAAAATTAAAAAGTTAAGATGAGTTTGTAATAAAAAGAAATAGTTTCCTGCCTTGCTTCACCCTAGCCAGGTCCCTTTTTTTGTTTTTTGTTGTTTTTTTTTTCAAGACAGAGTTTCGCTCTTGTTGCCCAGGCTGGAGTGCAATGGCGCAATCTCGGCTCACCACAACCTCTACCTCCTAGGTTCAAGCGATTCTCCTGCTCAGCCTCCCAAGTAGCTGGCATTACAGGCATGCGCCACCACACCTGGCTAATTTTGTATTTTTAGTAGAGATGGGGGTTTCTCCATGTTGGTCAAGCTGGTCTTGAACTCCCGACCTCAGGTGATCTGCCTGCCTCGGCCTCCCAAAGTGCTGGGATTACCGGTGTTAAGTCATCATGCCGAGCCAACAGGTCTCTTTCTTTAGATACCATTTCTTTTTTTATATTTTAAAGTTTTAACTTGTCTAGTGGTTGCCTTCATATTGATAAATACATTTGCTATACTGACGTTTCATTATTTATCAACTTTATAATTTAAACACTGACTTCCTGTGAGGATAAATTATTGTTTCACTCAATTCCTCCTCTAATCCCCTTACCCTTCACAAAGTTGCATCACTGTTTTCAGTTCACAGCTTTTGTATTTCAAAATGTTATCTTTGAAGGATGATTTATCTTATTATATCTTATCACCTAAAACCAATTCTTGCCAATTTATTCCAAAAAATGAGGTGTTTTTTTTTTTTGAAGGACAGATACCCATAAAAATCAAAGAAGGTGGCTTTGAAGTCAGGTTTCAGAAAAGCCAGCAGTAAGAGTTGTCCTGAAAATTTCAGGAGCAAGAATTAATGCATTGTCTCTTTAGGGCATTGCACAGTGTAAAGTAATGGGGATTTAACTTTTTATTTCTGAGAAAGATAGAGTCTGATTGGCTTACATTGGGCCACATGCTCACCCATCAACTAAGGAAGGTAGGGCAGGTTGACAATCTCATGAAGACTTCATGTGTTGGGGATGGTAAGTGACCCAAATAAAAACTGGAGTGCTGTTACTCAAAGATGAAAATAAGGTTGCTGGGTACTCAGCTCCTCCCTTTGTGAGACATTATACATTACATGATCACCACTTCCTTCCCTTTGCTTTTCCTTTCCTATGTCTCTCACTTAAATCTATGGTCTTACACTAAGAAGATTCATTATATTTATATCTTTTTTTGTGCATACTTTGTGTTTTTGCTGATTTCAAAAATTAAAAAATCATTACACAGGGCTGGGTGTGGTGGCTCATGCCTGTAATCCCAGCACTTTGGGAAGCTGAGGCAGGTGGATCACTTGAGGTCAGGAGTTTGAGACCAACCTGGCCAACATGGCTAAACACTATCTCTACTAAAAATATGAAAATTAGCCAGGCATGGTGGCAGGTGCCTGTAATCCCAGCTACTCTGGAAGCTGAGGCAGGAGAATCGCTTGAACCTGGGAGGCGGAGGTTGCAGTGAGCCGAGATTGTGCCATTGCACTCCAGTCTGGGCAACAGAGTGAGACTCTGTATCAAGAAAAAAAAAAAGAAGGAGAAGAGATAAAAATTATTGCACAGTTTTTACAGTACTATCTTTTTGGAGAGAAGAAAATTGTGCTATGATTACATTCATTTTCTTATATCTTTTTATTTTTCCTGGAATTTCTAATTGCCTTCATTTTGTATTCTCTGCCTTTATCCTATGCTTATGCTCCTAAGAAGTCTCAAGCACACTGCCTGTTAAGGAAGCTCTTTTCTCCCCCAGAGCCCTCCTCTTGGAAAGCTCCATTTATCACTCCCCTCATTTAGACTGACTGTCTTCTGGGACTGATCATAAGTTGTCATTTTCCTTCCCTTCCTTTCTCCCCCAAGTTGGGCACATCATTCCCTAAATCTCATGATTTCATCTTTCTTGACTCATGTGTCTTCTCAAGTAACTCCCCAGTGAAGAATGAATAAGAAGTAAGCTTTTCAAGTATCGCATGTCTAAATATGTCTATTCTGCCTGCATTGTTTAATGATATTTTGTCTGGGATAGACTTCAAAGCAAAGATAATTTTTCTTCAGTTTTATAGGTTTGCTCCATTTTCTTTAAGCACTCAGTGCTGCTGTTCAGAATTCAGATGTCAGTCTTTTTCTTTCTTGTTCCTCTATAGAGAAATTTTTTTGTTGTTGTTGTTCTGAAGCTTTTTAGTATGGTTTCACCTTGGAAAATTTATTTGCATTACTTCTTTTTCTCCCTTTTCTGTTTTCCCTTTTTGGAACTCCTATTAGTCAGATGTTGGATCTTCTGCATCGATCCTTTATGACACTTATTTTTTTCTCTCAGATTTTTGTCTCTCATCTCAACATTTTGGAAGTTTCCTTCAACTTTATCTGTCTACCCCTCCCTTGAAACTGACATAGCAGGAGCACCATCATCTCAGACAAACACCACCACTTTAAGTGCCAGCTCCCTTTCTGGACTCATGTATTTCAAGGAAATCACTTCTGTTCTAATTACAAGCAGCCAGAAAGAGCAGACAGTAAAACACAGATAAGACAGCTCGGGCACAGAGGGAGGTCGGGGGAAAGTCTCTTGGGTAACTGCCAAACTTCACCCTCATACAGTAAAACAGTGGGCCTTAATAAGCACATTCATTTCCCTTCAGGTGCACTAAGTTAGGGAAGCTAAAAGCAGACTGGGGGGATATGCCTGCAGCTACAGAAAGATGTATGGGGATAGATACATAACTCACCCTCCCGGATAAGTACAACAAAGAGACACAGAAGCAGCCCAAGCCTCTGATAAACTCTCCCACCCTGAATCCTTACAATCTCTTAGTCTTTAAGAGAGTGGGCTCTGACCTAAAACGCCCAGAAGCCCCTCTCAGGTTTATTTAAAATAAACTTGTCCCCGTTGACTGAAAAGCCACCCTTTGTGTTTCTCCCCTCTTTCTTTAATTCTTACAGAAACTTTTATTTTGGCAATCATATTTCTAATTCCTAAAAGCTCTTATTTGGTATATAGTTGCTCATTTTTCCCAGCATACCATTCTAATTTTACGGATGCAATTGTTTCTGAAGTTTCTTTGAAGACATAATTCAATTTTTAACATATTCTTGTTTTTTAATATATCTGTCTCCTCTTGGATCATATTTTTTATTTTGTTCTTTTTCATCAGTGTTGGAAGCTTTTCTGAAATGTATGATGATCTTGATGTTTTAAAAAAGAAAGAGGCAATGTAAGGCTGAAAGGAGTCTTGAGAATGTGGCTGGAGCTTGCCACATAATTGGCTCCACATTGCAGAGAGGGTGGGAAGAAGACCATGGCACTGGGGTCCCACAGTGTCAAAACATAGAGGTGTTTGGTGTCCATTACCCATATTGGTTACTCAGTTGTTACATGACAACTCATCAATTTCTTTAAAGAATAGATAAATAAATGTTACTGGATGAATTGTATCCCTCTAAAATTTGCAGTAAGTCTTAAACCCCAGTATCTCAGAATGTGACTGTATTTGGAGATAGTCTCAAGAGGTAATTAAGTTAAAATAAGGTCATTAGGGTAAGCCCTAGTGCCATTTGACTGGCATCCTTATAACAAGAGGAAATTGGGACACATACAGGAAGACCATGTGAAGATACAGGGAAAAGACAGTCATCTAAAAACCAAGGAAGAAACTGACTCTGCCAATGTCTTGATCTTGGACTTATGATCTCCAGAATTGTGAGAAAATAAATGTCTATTGTTTAAATCACCCAGACTGTAGTAATTTATGATGGCAGCCCTAGCAAACTAATATAACAATGCTTCTTTTGGAGGCATAGACGGTAAACACTGGATATGTGATATAAACAGACTGGTCCTGTTTTAGGACTCAACTCTCACTCCATCCCTGTGCCCGCTCTGAGCATAGTCTAGGTTTTCTGTTCTCTACTCTGGTGGATTGGTCAATATTATTTCATCTGATTTTCAGAAATTTGTTTAAATTTCAAATCTGCTGATAGCTCTTCTCTTGGTTTCTATTTTGTTATGAAATTGTAGCTTTTATTACAACATCAGTGTCCTCTCTGGAGGAAAAGGACAGAAATGTGTGTGCTTGGATTGCCGTATCAAACCTCCAGTCTAGGTCATTTTACTTCCACCACCTTTTATTAAAAGCCTACTATAGACCGGGCATGGTGGCTCACACCTGTAATCCCAGCACTTTGAGAGGTCGAGGCAGGCAGATTGCCTGAGCACAGGAGTTCAAGACCAGCCCAGGCAACATGGTGAAACTCCATCTCTACTAAAATACAAAAAATTAGCTGGGCATGGTGGTGCGTGGCTGTAGTCCCGGCTACTCAGGAGGCTGAGGCACAAGAATTACTTGAACCCAAGAGGCAGAGGTTGCAGTGAGCTGAGATTGCACCACTGCACTCCAGCCTGAGTGACAGAGCGAGACTCTGTCTCAAAAAAAAAAAAAAAGAAAGAAAGCCTATTATATACTAGGACCTGTTTAGCTACTAGTGATACAAGATGAACACCACAAAATACCTGCTTTTAAGGAAGTCAACAAGTGAAGGAAATAGTGATGTTATGGCATGTGGCAGATGTAATTGATTGGCTCACTCAACATACCTTTTGGCTTTCCATCCTCTGCTATAGAGACTAGCAAACTAAAATATACGTTTTGTGGAACCTCTTGCAGATAGGGTTCAGGTATGTGGCCTGTGTTCTTCTAATGAGATGTACTAGCATAAGTGGAAACAGAAGTGCCACATGAGGTGGCAGCCACACACAGGGTGAATGAATTTTCTGATAAGAAGAGTGGTAGAAGTGTCAAGTTCTTCTGATATGGCTGTCGCCATGCTTATATCTTCAGGCCTTCAATGGGTAATTAATGATGAGGATCAACAGCAGCCGCCGCCATGTCTCACTGAAGCAGCTAGTGTGGTTGTGCTCTTTCCTAGCTAGATAACATTGAAACCTGGTTCCCTATCCCTCCCAAACACTCTTTGAGCCACCCAATATCCTTTAACACATTTATTTCTGCTTGAACTAGCCAGAGTAACTTGGTTGTTTGCATATAAGAACCTTGACATGGAGGCACATACTGGATATATGGGAATGGAAGCAAAGAGGCTTTCCCCTACCTGGAATGAAAGAAAGTATTTCACAGAATGAATGGCAACTGAGCAGAGACTTACTGGATAAGGAGAAGTTTACCGAGTGAGCAAATGTAGGCGATTTCAGGCAATGGTACATCAGTGAGAAAGCTCATATTCATTCATTTATGTATTCAGTACTCATCAGCACATATTATGTTCTAGGTACCGTGCTAGACCCTAGGCATACAACAGTGAGTAAGACAATTATAATTCCTACCCACAGAATGTTTACATTTTTCCAAATTGTGCATGCAGATTAGGCTAACCTGTAACCTTTTAGATATGGAGATCCCTGTTCATCCGAAGTAACTGCCTTTTGAGAGGTGAAGAAATACACTTTCTTGGCTGCCTTCCTACAAGTAAGTAAGGGTGAGACAATCCTAAGACTACTGAAATATTTGGTTATATCCAGGTAAAAATGATTGTCCTTTTCTGAATAAATAGTCCTGTCTATCTGATATAGTTTGGCTGTGTCCCCACCCAAATCTCATCTTGAATTGTAGCTCCCATTATCCCCACATATCATGGGAGGGACCCTGTGAGAGGTAATTGAATCATGGGGGACGGGTTTTCCTGTGCTGTTCTTACGATAGTGAATAAGTCCCATGAGATCTGGTTGTTTTATAAAGGGCAGTTCCTCCGCACATGCTCTCTTGCCTGCAGCCATGTAAGATGTGCCTTTCCTCCTCCTTCATCTTCTGCCATGATTGTGAGGCTTCCCCAGCCATGTGGAACTGTGAGTCCATTAAACCTCTTTTTCTTTATAAATTACCCAGTCTCGGGTATGTCTTTATTAGCAGCATGAGACCAGACTAATAATACACTATCCTGCCTAATCAGTGCCCAAAGTAGTGTGTGTTGGTGCTTCAGAAAGTCAGGGCTAGAGGAGGATAGGCATTGACAAGAGGCATAAAAACATGCCAGTGCCATGGCCCACTTTTCCATATCAGGTCTGATGGAGAGAAAAATCCAATTGTCGAACCTCAAAACCACTTCAGACATCCACTATCATTATAGTCTCTTGGCTTTGTGTCTTAGACTCCAAATGGCCAAGCCCAGTCATGGAATGACAAGTCCCAAGGAACAGCATATGATGGGGTTGATGTTCCTAGGCCTGAGGAAATTTGCTGTCAACGGCCTTCTGTGTGCTGATAATCCTTTTACCTGGAAGGCTTGAAGCTTTGGCTGGGTTTTTGATTTATAAATGACTTGAAAGATAATGTCCCTTCCTGATTCACAGTGAGTTATTGTCTATAATACCATCCTCACTTTTCCTTGGCTGTCTCCCTCTTGAGAATTGGCTCAGTCATATGCTCATTAATTAAATCCATGGGAACTGATGGGAAGCCAATGGCAATGGCAATCCAAGAAGGCAAATTTCAGATTCCAATAGCCAGTTGCAGAGTCTAATTTTCAAAGATTTCATTATTAGAACGTTTTGTGAAAGCAATCTATAATAACAATAGTTAACATTTACAGAATGCTTCTTATGTGCCAGTAGCTATGATAAGTATTGACATGCACTTTCATCTTTAATCCTCACAACCTCACTCTGACATTGGTATTCTTATTGTTGCTGGATTAAGATGATGACATTGGGGTGGTTAAGTAAACTGTTCAAATTGAGTCAGCCAAGAAGTGGCAGAACCAAGATTAGAACCTGGGGCAGTCAAAATCTAAGGCCTGAGCTCTAAAATACTTCATTCTATTGTCTCCCTTTTAGAGCTGGTGTTTTGGTTCTGATAATTTATCCTCCATTGCCCTCCTACGCCTCCTTGGCCCTGGCATAGAGTTTAAACAAAATTAAGGTTTACTTAAGCCAAAGATTTGATCATAATTATGAGCCGAACTTAATCAAGTTAGTTTCATGTATAGGCACAGCCTAAAATACAGCATTGGAAGTTTCTTCTCTGATGGGTCTAACTGGCATATGAATTGCAGCATTCATGGCTCCAAAACAGTTGGGATTTTAACTCAATAGAAAAAACAGGGGTACATTATTTAAAATGTCCTTTCTAAGGTGCCGTCACATTGCAAGTTGTTTTATGACATTCAGTGATAACCCACTGGTGTTACTACTACGTGTGTGTGTGTATGTGTGTATTTATATATTTATATTTATTTCTAAGATCTCTACATAGAATATTACAGAAATTCAGCTGGAATTTGATCTTTACAAATCTGGAGATAACCAAATCATTTTTCGGATTTAAGTGAAGACACTCTCCCTGCTAAAACAGCACTTTTCTTAGATTCATTTCTAGAATTGCATTGGTAATGCATGAAAGTAGTATAAATGTGTTGCTAACCCATCTGCAGATGGTGGTTCTCTTTTTAGTAAACATGCAGGGGCTGTAATAGCACTGTTTAGAACAAATGGGGCAGGTTCTCTGATTAAGACTGATCGCAACGAATTTAACCATTTCTCTACATTATGAGGAGATGGGAATTGAAAGCAATCACTTCCTTTTGATATATTTCCTTAATATTATTTAGATTTCACCCTTGAGATACAAATGCTATAAGTTATTTCAGCCTTCTGAGCACAGGCAAGTTAGATGGCCAGCATCCAGATTGGATAAGAGAGGAAAAGTGGCTTAAATGCAATCTCTTCCATTGCAAACTCCCAAACTGTGAAGGACAAAGTCCAGTTTAGAAAATACAAATGGCAGTTTCTCTCCAAAGACTCTTGGAGGTTTTCTAAATAGATCCCAGAATTCCAGGAATTTATAAGAAGAGGACCTCAAGTATCGTCCAGAGCACACAGGAGAGCCCGTGCTGGCTCTAGTGTGAAAACCAATCACACCTCAGTACAATCTCCTTCACCCTCATAATGAAAAGGAATATGCCCTGACTGCCATTTCTCATTTACTTTATTTTATCGTGTTGTTTTTTCCTTAAAAAAAAGAGAGAGAGAGAAAGAGAGACAGGGTTTCCCTATGTTGCTCAGGCTGGTCTTGAACCCCTGGGCTCAAGCAATCTGCCAGCCTCAGCCTCCCAAAGTGCTGGGATTACAGGTGAGAGCCACCACACCCAGCCTGTGTTGTATTTTCCTAACAAAATAAGTTTGTTGTAGAAAAGTAGAAAATAGTCCACTGTGAAAAGTTAGACAAAAAGATACATAAAACAAAGAAAAAAGAGGAGGCAAGGAGAAAAGAAGAGAGAGAGAGAAAAAGAAAAAAAGAGAGAGAGAAAGAAGGAAGGAGGAATGAATGAAAGGAAGGAAGGAAAAAGAAGGAAGAAAGGAAGGAAGGAAGGAAGGAAGGAAAAGGAAGGAAGGAAAAAGAAGGAAGGAAGGGAGGGAGGGAGGGAGGGAGGAAAAGACCCAGTGATTCTACCACCCAGAGGTAACCTCTATGGATTTTGGGTACATATCTTTTCAGTGTTTTTCAGTAGATCCATGTAGTATTTTTTCTGAGAGGAATCCTACTCTGAATAGGGTATAAGAATATGATGCTGGGTGCTATGGTGCATACCTGTAATCCCAGCACTTTGGGAGGTTGAGGCAAACACTTGAGGCCAGGAGTTCAAGGCCAGCCTGGGCAATATAGCAAGACCTCATCTCTACAATTTTTTTTTTTTTTAATTAACCAGGTGTGGTTGTGCAACTATAGTCCCAGCTACTTGGGAGGCTGAGGCTGGAAGATCGCTTGAGCCCTAAAATTTGAGGCTGCAGTGAGCTATGATCACGCCACTGCTTTCCAGCCTAGACAACAGAGAAAGACCCTGTTTCAAAAAAAGAGATATAAGTCTAATCACTTAGGTAATTTAATTTATCTTATAAGCCTGTATTTACTTGCAGGATAAAAAAGTAATTTAGTTCAGAGTTTCACCACCACCCTTTCCCAAGGCCCCAAAAGGTCACATCTTTGTAAACCAAAAATAAAATTCTAAGCCCCACCACAACCATCTGAATGGACTTCTTCTTCAGTCAGGGCACTCTTGAAATTTAACCCGAAAGACTGGTTCCAGCCATGATGGGAAGTCGGGGTCGGACGTGTTTCATTATACCTCTCCAGCATTAACATCAACGCAGACTCTAAGTTGGCTGAGAAACATTGTACAACCTATTCTCTCTGAAGCCTACTACCTGAAGGCTTCCTCTGCACATAAGAACTTTTGTCTCCACAATCCTTTATCTTAACCCAGACACTTCCTTTCTATTGATCCCAGGTCTTTAGATAAATACAACCAATTGTCAACCAGAAAATTTTTAAATATACCTGTAGCCTGGAAGCCCCACTGCTTCCAGTTGTTGAGCCTTGCTGAACAGAACCAATGTATTTCTTTTTTTTTTTTTTTTTGAGATGGAGTCTCACTCCGTCACCCAGGTGGGAGTGCAGTGGCATAATCTCGGCTCACTGCAACCTCCACCTCCTGCGATTCTCATGCCACAGCCTCCTAAGTAGCTGAAATTACAGGTGCCTGCCACCATGCCCAGCTAATTTTTCTGTATTTTTATCAGAGATGGGGTTTCACCATGTTGGCCAGGCTGGTTTCGAATTCCAGGCCTCAAGTGATCTGCCCGCCTCAGCCTCCTAAAGTGCTGGGATTACAGGCATGAGCCACTGCTCCTGGCCCAATGTATTTCTTAAATGTATTTGATTGAAGTCTCATGTTTCCATAAAATATATAAAACCAAGCTACAGCCTGACCCCCTTGGGCACATGTTCACAGGCCCTGTTCACTCATATTTGGCTCAGAATAGATCTCTTCAGATATTTTACAGAGTTTGACTCTTTTGGTCAACGTCTTCATTCCTGGGTCCAGATGCAATGTCAAGGCATCCAGGACCTGATGCTGGGTCCTCACCTCCCATGTGGTCATCTCCTTGTCTCTCCGATCCTCCACCTGGCTGGTGCTCAGAACACACAGCACTGTTGAGACCTGCCTTGTTCTAACTGCTGGTCCCTCCAGGGCCCCCTCTCTTTCAGCTGTGTCTGTATCTCTCTTGAGTCCTCCTCAGCTGCAAGAAACTCAGTGAGCTTGTCCGAGGCCCTGCTGATTGCATAGCACTCTCAGATACATAGGTCCATCTGCCACAACCAGGCCACACTAGGGCCCAGGACATGCTCCCTGATTACTGAAAGCCCTTCCGGCACACAGGCAGCTCATCTCTGGGTCATTTCTTCTTCCCGGTCTTACCAAGAAAATGCAGCCTTCCCTTCTACAAATGTCCATGTATTTGAGAAAAGAAAAACGCTCAGAGCAATTTGAGCTCTGTGAGGTATGCCGGCCTGGATAGACATAAGTATGAGACATCAATCATCCTCCCCCGGCGTCCCCCACTTCAATCATCCTCCCCCAGCATCCCCCTTCACTTGGCAGACAATTGTTTAAAATTCATGTTCTTGGAAGTTGTGGCACAAAGAACAGCATATCATAAATAACCTAACCAATAGCTATGTTATTTTCATGTAAATTCTTGGTAAACAAATCAGGAACTGCCTCTTCCTTTCCTTTAAAAACCCACTTGTAACTGTGGCTATTTATTCAGAGTATTTATTCAGGGCATCTTGAATCTATGCTCCTGGGTTGCAATCCTCAAGCTTGACCTAAATAAACTCTCTATTTATATTAATTTTGTCTCAGCTTCTTCCTTTTAGGTCAGCATATTCATAAGCTCTCCAATTATTTTACCCCTCCACCCAGTATCTGAAGGCATGAGAATCTGCTTGAGCCCGGGAGGCATCTGAAGAACATTTATAAGAATCTTTTCTCTTTCTCATAGGATCTTCCAAATCTATTGTTCATGCTCTGAATTTTTGTTGTAATTGTTGTTGTTCTTCCCAAGGGCTCAACTTTTAAAAGCCAGGGCTTGGCACAGTGGCTCATTCCTGTAATCCCAACACTTTAGGAGGCTGAGGCTGAGGCTGAGGTGGGAGGATTACTTGAAGTCAGGAGTTTGAGGTTACAGTGAGCTATGATCATGCCGCTGCACTCCAGCCTGGGTGACAGAGTGAGGCCCTCTCAAAAAACAAAACAAAAATGTCTTCTTGCTGTTCAATTTAATTGCTCAGACTGAAACGGTCTTTGCAAAAATTATAACCATGAGAAAAGTATGACAATAAAAGGCATCTGATTTAAGCAACCCTTATCTTGCCTTTAGCCTCCCAATTGCCCTTAATCATTCCTGGTCTTGGGCCAAACTAACTTTGAGAGACATTTAGTTTACAGTGTAAATGATAATAGCCCTTCCCCAGTACTAAACCACCTTTGTAAAGTTAGTGAAAGACCACAAAGTTAGGAGGATGAGAGGAACCTGAATTCTGCTAAGGTGTAAATGATTACCAGCCGTTAATTCCAGAGGTCACAAGTTTTGCAACTTCCCCAATTACTCCTGCAGATAACATCACTCTTGTAGAATCTAAGTTTGGCCTTTTGAGATGTCTTCTCAGGTTTTTGCATTTCTGATGACTGATGGCTCCACCTGGACCTGCCAACTGCTCCTGTGGCCCCCACCCAGGGTCCAGACTTAGCACCCACAAGGACCATTCTCCACACCCCTATGATTGCATCCCCAGCCAATCAGCAGCACCCATTCCCTGGCCTGCCAAACTATTCTTGAAAAACCCTAGCCTCTGAATTTTTGGGGACACTGATTTGAGTAATAAAACTCCAGTCTCCTGTTCAGTTGTCTCTGCATGAATTAAACTCTCTATTGCAATTCCCCTGTCTTGATAAATTAGCTCTATTTGGGCAGTGGGTGAAATGAACCTGTTTGGGTGATTGCAAGGCAAAAACTCAAAATGGCCTCATTCGAAGAGTGGAAGGGCCATAGGAGGAAATGAAAAAGCAGGAAAGCAAAAGAACACCAGCTACAATTTTAGAATGGAGTCCCTCGAGTTGTGCTTACAGGACTGTAGCTCCTGTATTACTCCTAGGGAGTTAACTGGCACCAAGGTGGCAACAGGCACATATCTGGAGGAGGTGAAAAGTAGAATGACATTTGCTCTAATCAAACATAAAGGAGGAAAGAGCTTTCTAAGAGAGGCTATGGTGTCCCTTAGGTGTTGCTTGTACCTAAGTCCTGCTGTTGAAGCCTTTGCTTATGTAGATGCAAACACACAGGCACTTCCCTGGATCTAGACTTTGCCCTCTAAAGCCCAGAACAAAGGTGTCCATCCATGAAGAACCAAGTTTTCTTATCTCTCACCCTCACTGTGGGGATGGAGTGGAGGCGAAGGAAAGGGGGGAGAAAAGGAAAGCCCTTGAGCGCAATAATCTAGAGAGAAATGTACTTTCTACCAGCAATGTAAGTATGATTTATGTGACTCCTCCCAGCTAGGCTCCTTTTATTTCCTCGAGTTGGAAATGCAGACCAGAGGTTTGTACTTATTTTCTGTCCCAGAAGGCAACTGTCTTGGTAGAGGAAGGTTTGATATTGGTCCAGGATCTGAGGTAGAGATCACAGCCTTGAGACAATGCCAAGGCAGCCAATTAAGAAGGTGTTGACAACACTTTCCAGGAACAATTTTCTAGATGCTTAACTTTGACCGAAGGTTTAAGCTTCTAATAATCCCCAGGAAACACACATTTTCCAGGGAATAGTGCCTGGACTCTTAAGAACTTCCAAGAAACTTGGGTTCTCAGAAGACTGCAGCCACCAAGCACACACACCCATTCAAGAGCTTTATGGAAAAAACAAAGGTGATATAAACTAGATTTCCTCACATGCCCGGGGAGAGTTGGACAAGTAAAGTCACAAAAGAAGTGATTTAGGCCACTACATTGTCCTTGGGAAACTAGAACTTACCCTACCCTCCCTTCCTTTAACCACTGGCCATAACAAGGCTGGAAAGCCACAGTCTGTCAGCCCAAATTGTTCAGGTTAGTGCTGGTCAGGCCTTGCTTCTTTCATCTGGGATTTTTCTCGGCATCCTTGCTCAGCTGAATATCACTCAAAATTATCACATACTGCTACTAAAAGCTGAAGCATATATGCCCATCAACCCAGCGACCTCACTGGAAGTCCTGCAAGGTAGGCATCCATCTCCATCTTACAGATGAGAAAACTAAGACTCAGAGAAACTAAGGGATTTGCCCAAAGTTCAGTGCAAGTACAAATTAGAGCCTGGTTGTTCTGATTCACACTTGAGAATTTCCAAGACTAGGTAAGAGCAACAGAAGACCTTGGCCAGGGTGCTGGGGAGGGTCCTGCTGCTCCCAGCATTAATCCTTCAGTGACTACATCCTGGGGAGGCCTGGAACTGGCTGGAGTGGGAGGAACAGAAAGGAGGCATGTGGAGGTCTTGGGACAGCAGCCTTTTATCAACTCTCCCAGAAGTGTTTCTGTAATTTTACAATCAGTGCTGCCAACGTGGTGCCCAATGGCTGAATATCAGCCCAGTCATAATTACATTAATCAAGAAATAGAATAGTGGGATAAAGATGGGAGGAATGAACTCCATTTGGGTGGGAAGTGGAAGCATTAACAACAGGGTCCACCAGACCATCAGAACCACAGAGGGGAAGGGAAGGGCATTTCAGGGAGAAAGAAGAGCACAAAAAGGCTGGTGGCAATAAATGAAAACAGGGCCTACAACCTGTTTTCTGTGGTCAACTAAGGAGGTGAAGTTAGGGGTTCAGAGGGTGGGGAGGTCAAACATTTATGACAGATGAGACTGGAGGGACGTAGAGACCTGGTACATGATGTCTTGACTGGGAATTCTGATAAAACCATTTTTTGTTTGTCTTAGACATGTAGACATTCTTGGGTTATTTCTTCACTCTAAAGCATAAATTATTGAATCTTTGAATAAAAATTTTAACCAAGTATTATGTATAATGAACATCTTCATCCCACAGAGACCTCCATTGTGTCCTCAGTGCCTCACATGCCCACTGAGGCACAGGGTCCCACTGGCCACTTCCTATCGGGCTTGTCTTACAACTGCATTTCACCTCCCAACAATCTTGCTGGAACTGGATTTCTTTGCAAAACACCAGACTGCTTAGATGAGTGCCTGACTTTTGCCTACATAGTCCCAGGCCTCTTCCCTGGGGCTGGATACTTGCTACTCCCCTTTCTCAACCAGGGGCTGCAGATTTGCTGTGAATGAAAGTATCATTCAGAATCACACCATGAATTCCCAACTGCCTTTAACACCACTTTCACCTGGATTCCCACTGGTTCCATTGATCTGCTGATTTGGATTCCCTTATATTACCAAGGCCTGCAGGTAGGACACCTGAGGTCAACATGGGTGCTCTAAAATGTGCTTCCTGCTATTCCCCTCAGAGGTCGGGTGCCATAACCACGTGAATTTCTTCAACTCTCCGTTCCTGTCTTGCAGAATCCCAAATATCCGAAGTGCCCTGCTCTTTCCTGCTCACCCTTGTTAATGGAGAGCCATCATGCATTGTGCAAGAGTCCCATGATGTGATAACAACAAAGAAAAGCAACTTAAGTTGTGCTTATCTCTACAAGATGTCCAACTCTCAGTGCAAATATTTAGACAGGTTTGGTCTTCGTGAATTTGATCGCTCTTGAAAGAGAGGATGTACAACGCTCTAGACAGCCAAATGGAGACACAAGCTCAGTGCAGGCAGGGGTCTGCTGAGGGGGTCTGTTAAACCCCTGTATCATCCGTTCTCACACTGCTATAAAGATATTACCTGAGACCAGGTAATTTATAAACCACAGCGGTTTAATTGACTCATAGTTCTGCATGGCTGGGGAGGCATCAGGAAACTTGCGATCATGGCAGAAGGAAAAGGAGAAGCAGGTACCTTCTTCATAAGGTGGCAGGAGAGAGACAGAAAGAGAGAGAGAGAACAAGAAAATGCAACACTTTAAAACCATCAGCTCTTCAGAGAACCCACTCACTATCATGAGGACAGCATCGGGGAAACTGCCCCATGATCCAACCACCTCCCCTGACACGTGGGGACTACAACTGGATATCAGATTTGGGTGGAGACACAGAACCAAACCACATCAGTCCCTATCTGTTTTAACAGATTTTGTTTTTCCTGCTCATTTTAAACCCTGGTGACCTAGGTTTATCAACTCAAGAGTAGAAATAAGGCATAGTAGAAAAAGGTCTTGAGGGTTGTGAGGACTGAATTCTAGTCTTGACCATATGGACCTTAAGCAAGCTGGGTTACTCAGCCTCAAATACCTTCTCCTTCTATAACTTTAGTTTCCTTAGCCTTAAGAGGGGACTGGGGGCTTGACCCCTTACTAAGATGGTGATTCTCATTCTTCTAGTGCTTGCAGCACACTTTCAAATAAAAGAATGTGGATAGCACTATTGAAAACTTTAAAAGACTGAAAACAATACAAAAATGTCAGCAGTCACTAAGTACAATGCTGACTGTAATACAACAGTGTCTCCCAGTTACCATAAAATTATCCACAGTTATGGCTCAATAGCTGACCAGCTTCACTACTTCATGGGTTCTTTGAATGGAATGGTTTACAGCCCTGACCATACTCTCTTATATACCCCAGAGTCAGAGGTTTCCCACATTCTGGAAGCTCTGCAATCCTTCATTAGCCTTGGCTTGACAACACACCCATATCCCTTAGAGCACATTTGTTCCAAGTCACGCAATCCACACATCTCATTGTTGTATCAGACACATGAGCCGAAATATTGAGGACTCAGATGAACCCAGACTGGTTTTATATATTAACAAAAATTGGGCTAAATATTGAAGATGACTGCTCCAAGGGCATGCCAGCTAAAAAGTTTTATAGTTCTATGAATTAAAACAATAAAACATTTTGAGAAAAGAAAATCTAGTTGAGGTAGAGTATTTAATTAAGGCATTGAGTCTATGTCAGTTAAAGAAGGAAATCCTTGTTGATAAGACAGAGAGCTCTGAGGGCTTAAAGGGGCCCCAGTGAACCTACAGAGTTTGAAGGGCATTGTCAGAAAAATGAATGGAATAAATCACACAGAATATGGGTAGTAATGAGACAGAAGTTCAGCTTCTCTCTGTTTCTAACAGGTATATATTTTTTAGAAAGTAGCATTTAAAGTTTTTTTTTTTTTTGTAGTAGGAAGCAATTATTTTTATGTTCTTAGAGATTATTATTTTGGGGGTACTAAACTATTGGCTCCATTGTATTCCTATAAATTATTTTTCATTTCCTCTAATGCTCTTTCCAAACATCTGTTAGTTTATTGTTCTGGGCACAGAAAATTATGATCAGTTTAGTAGTTGCATAATACAGATTCAGATTCGTTTGTCAAGGACTGGAAAAGATCACAGCACTTCAGAGCCAGGCAGCAAATGGATCAAAGGAAATCCTTATTTCGTATACTATAGGGTGAGATTTATCTTTAAATATCAAAAAATGGACATTTGGAGTTTATATTATTATCATAAAAATACTGTTCTGCTTCTGAGAAAACAAGCTACCCAGCTAACAACCTGCACTTGTGCCAAGAAATGAGGTGGGTGTGAGTAACGAGGATGGTGATTTTTCTTTTCCTCTCTAGTGAGCCTCATTCAATGGGTCAATGAGTTTACTTTAGTGTCTTCTCTATGCCAGACATGTGCTCGATGCTGGGGACGCAGAGATGAGTGAAAACAGACAAGGTCCCTGCCCGCATCTAGACCAGCTGGGAAGACAGGCAACTGTGTAAGCAATTGCCTTAAATTGTAGTGAGTGTTACAACCAAGAGCGTAGACACACAGTGGAAGGCCCATAAAGGGAGATTTAACCTGGCCCAGACATCCAGAACACCTCAGTGAACGAACACCTGGGGGACAAGCAGAAGTTAACGAGTGAAGTCTGGGCCATGGAAGAGTGGGTCACAAAGAAATGAGATAAGGGAGGGCATGGTTCCCAACAGGAAGTGAGTGGCAGTTCAGTCTGGGTGAAAGACAGAATATAAGATGATATTGTGAAGATGCTAGTACTGAGAGGGATGCAGTAGGCAGGTCACACAGGGCCCTGGAAGCCACATTAGTTTATCTAGGAACAATGGGAAATCGTTGGGAAACTTTAGAGAGGACGCTAGCATGAGTGGATTTGTGTTTTTGAAGAATCCCTGGAGAGGACTGGTAAAAGTGTATGTGTCTGTGTGTGCATAATACACAGACTTTTACCAGTCCTGTCCGAGATGTACATGCTCACATACACACTAGGCAATCAGAGAATCTATCTACAAAGCCATTTTCCCTTTCCATTATCCATCCACAAACTTGATGGCTTTCAGTTGAGGAATTGAAATAGGGTTCTCCACTTGAATAAGATGAGTGAGTAGGGGTTCCTTGCCAATAGTAGGGGCTTGATTTCCATTTCACAGATGTTGAGAGACAGTTGTTTCTTCAGTAGCAGTATATTTTTTACGACACTGTGCCCATGGCAGGTGTTTGGCCAAAACTACCTCCAGTGCACTGCCCGGCATCTGTCCTCCTCCTGAGAATCCCTCTGGAGGCACCTTGCTCCTTTCTTTCTAATCTTCCTTTTCTTCCTCTCCAGATCTGGAGACTTTCATCAGCCCTAGGCGAGGGGCAATATGGACAACATTGGTGTTTGGGCTCCAAGCTACTTTTTATGCCCAACTTCTCTTCCTTCTGATTTCTTTCCATTTTATAGCATTCTCATCTCTCCAGTTACACCAACTGGCCCCACATCTCTAAATATTATCAGAAGTCTTTAAAAAATGACCCAGAGCATTTTTTTCAGCTTCTCCTAGTTGTCTATCTCCTCTCTTCTTCTGACCCCTGTTAGGGTTGCGTGAAAACTAGCATTACAATATTTCTGTTCCATCTATACCTGATTACCATAAAGTGCAATGACTATGCACATCACTGTGTTGGATTAATCTGGGCTAAGTTTTATTGGTCACTATGTCATATTCATGTGGTTACTGATGTAACCTGGCTGTTTTTATACACTGTGATCAAAATCTAGGGCAGTGATCATAATCAAGGCATAAAGTAGGGACCAGTCTGCCTCGTATCTCAAAAACTGTGCAGTATTAAGATGACTGTTGGGCTTCTATTAAAGGTAGCTGTTGGCCGGGTGTGGTGCCTCATGGCTGTAATCTCAGCACTTTGGGAGGCCAAGGCAGATGGATCACCTGAGGTTGGGAGATTGAGACCACCCTGACCAACATGGAAAAACTCTATCTCTACTAAAAATACAAAATTAGCCAGGCATGGTGGCGCATGGCTGTAATCCCAGCTACTCAGGAGGCTGAGGCAGGAGAATTGCTTGAACCCGGGAGGTGGAGATTGCGGTGAGCCAAGATTGCACTGTTGGTGGCTTCCTGGAAGACATCATGTTGAATGAATGAAGTCATGAGTAAATAAACGGAATGTGGAGCTGCACTGCCAGAATTAACCCCCTGAACAAAAGTAAAGAGCATCCCAAGTTCAATGAGGAGTACCCTGGGTAAACAAGGAACTCCTGAGAGATGAAAAAATCCAAGTGCCTGCGCTCTACACTGGGACTTTGGTTAACAGGGCAAGGAAGAGAGCTTTTGGAGATAATACTTGATGATGCTATACAGTGTCCCCTTAGTCTCTGAGATTCTTATCCCAAGTAACCCAAAGAAGGGAGATAAAAAGGAAAGAGCAGTCTCCCATTTGGAAGTCAAAAAGGCATTATAATCTCTTAGGAGTACACCCTCTCCTAAATTCCAGGGCCTTGGCAGGGAAAACACTGATATTCATGGCAGCCAAAGAAAATGACCATATCAACTGAACCAAGAGGACACAGCAGCAGCAGAGATCAAGAGGGACAGTGGCAGTTGGACTGTAGCAGTAGTTACAGAGGAAGGGAGTAAGCCACACAAGCAATTCTGGAATAAAGGGAAATGGCTTGAGGGCCTTGCAATTGCAATGATCTCCTGGGGTTGAAGCTTAAGTTCATTCACATTGTGACTGTCACCAAGGCTTTAGGTCATTCATTTAGTTTTAGTACCTCATTTACATACCATCTGTGTGTCAGGCACAGTGGCTGTGTTGGCCTAGGCCAGGGGTCAGTGAACCTTTTTTGTATAGCTCCAGAGAGTAAATATTTTAAGTTTCATGGGCCATATGGTTCCTATCACAACTACCTAACTTTGCTGTTGTAGTGCAGACACAACCACAGACAATGAATAAACAAGAATTTGCTTATTGGATGTGTTCCAATAAAATTTTTCTTATAGAAACAGGTGGTGGGCCACATTTGGCCCATGAGTCTGCTGAGGCTCAGAAAATGATCCCCAGTGTGAAGGCCTCAGAAACAGCCTCAGAAGTAAAGTCTCTTTTGGACCTTCTCCTGCCCTCCTGTCTCTCGCCTCTCATTCTCCCTGAGGCTAGCCATAGAAATAAGAATTCCTCTTCCCCAAGGCAGGTCACAGAAACCAGAACCCCTTCTCCAAAGCCAGCCGCAAAACCTAACAATATTACTCTAACTTTCTCCCTCCCTTTTTGTGTGGGAGTTGGCCATGAAGAAACTCTCTGACCTGGGCCGGTGCGGTGGCTCACTCCTGTAATCCCAGCACTTTGGGAGGCCAAGGCAGGTGGATCACGAGGTCAGGAGATCGAGACCATCCTGGCCAACATAGTGAAACCCCATCTCTACTAAAAAAATACAAAAATTAGCCAGGCATGGTGGTGCATGCCTATAATCCCAGCTACTCGGGAGGCGGAGGCAGGAGAATCCCTTGAACCAGGGAGTTGGAGGTTGCAGTGAGCCAAGATCGCACCACAGCACTCTAGCCTGGCGACAGAGCAAGACTCTGTCTCAAAAGAAAAGAACTTCTCTGACCTGCCTTGTCTGATTGTAGGTCATAAGCCTCCCATTCCAGAAAGCGTCCTGTCCCATATCCAGAAAGCGTCCTGTCCCATATCCAGAAAGAAGCAATGCTGCACAGAGAGGCCAGGAAGAACCTGAAAAGACAGGCCTTGCTGGGTCTCCCCACTCAGTCTATTCCCATTAGCTCTTACCCTTTTTATCCAGTTGCAGGCCTACACAGCTGTCCATTCTTCATCAAACCCCAGCATAAAAATGGACAGTTTTCCCCATGTATTTTTGTCTTCACTCTGAAGGATCCCATGTCACATAAAACTATGTTTAAAGAAATTTGTTATGAGTTTCTCTTGTTAACCTATCTTTTGTTAAAGGAGTGTTGGCTGTGGCCCTTATGATGGGGAGGAGAGGGATCACTCCCTTTCCACCTTTACAGGCAAGAGTTTGCCAACCCCTGATTTACAGGAACAAAGTGTGCTAGTTATTTTGTTGCCTTTCAGATCAAATCCACAGACTCCTTCTACCCTGCCCTTTATTCCAAGAGGCTGCCCTCTGCAGACTATGATACCCAGGCTCCTTGCCTTCTGGCTCCTGGTTAGGCTTGGGTAATCAGAAGCATGAGAAATGAATCAGAAGTTGGGAGGAGAGAGGGGTGGAGAAATGTTGTCACTCTACACCCTCCCTTCTGGGCTGGGCTGTGGCAGTGGCTGTGCTCGTCTATATCTGGTCACAGCTCTGCCTGGTGGCCCATACCCATGGCTACACCTCTCACTCCGTTCCCACAACAGCTCCTTCATCATTCACCTTCAGCCCTAGGGGGTTGGAACTAGTGTCCCCCTGTTCCCAGCCCTACATGCTTCTCTATCCTTTGTCTGTTTCCCTTCGTAAAACTCTCTTCAATTGCTCCTTTGAGTGTGCCATCTATTCCCTGCCGGACAGTGTTTGAATACGCCCTCGTGGTGGACATTCACTGTTTTTAGATGTAACGGTATTGTTCCAACCTCAGATCCAGGACGGGATATGTAATCTAGACATGGCCAATTAGGGCACTGAATCACTCAAGCCACAGTAGTTGGTTCTGGAATGTTCACATGAACCAAGTTGTTTCTTTTTCTTTTCTTTGTCTTGCTCTGTCACCCAGGCTGGAGGGCAGTGGCATCATCTCAGCTCACTGCTGCAACCTATGCTTCATGGGCTCAAGCGATTCTTGTGCCCGCCTCAGAGTAGCTGGGATTACAGGTGTGCACTACCATGCCTGGCTAATTTCTGTATTCAGGTTTTTCCGTTGGAGGAAATACTAATACTTACATAGAAGCCACCAAGAAGTGCCATCTATTCCACTGAATTTGAACCTAGAAGAGTAAATTTGAAGCTTCCAGAAGCTACTATGTGAAGCCTGAGGACAAGGCCCAACATGAAAGAAGGCAAAGTCCAGAGGTGGCCTTGTATGAGTCCTTGGAACTGGCTGAAGCTAGCTCTGCTCATCAATGATTTGTCAATGAGACAGTAAAATTCCTTATTTTTTTCCTCAAGAAATTCTGTCACTTGTATTCAAAAGCAAAACTTATTTCTTAAAAAAACAAAACCCTTAACTACTTTATACCAATGTATTACATTCTCTGGATTATCTAAGCAAGGGGCCAGTCCGATGTCATCTTTGGATTAGATACACACTAAGGCAGTGTAGTTAAACCCCACTGAATTTCAGCAGGGATAGAAGCCAGAGTTGGTTTGCCATCAACCCACTTCCAAAAGGAAATGGCAGGAGTCCAGCAGCATCATGTAGTTACAATCTCCCATGCCAGGAAGAAACATCTCCCAAGCTCAAATTCTACCCACTTTGACACTTGAAAAGTAAAACATCTTCATACGAATGAATGGGGAGATGGGTGTGATTGCTGGCAGTGCAACAATGAGTTGAAGCTTGATTGTTTATTAACTGTTGTAAACAAATTATGAATTTGTGCCAGTAGCCAAAATAGAGACAACTGGGCATAATAAATATTAATTCTCAAGGAGATCATCTAACAAACTACCTAAAAGATCCTTTGTGGACTCCAAGGGTGTTAATTATATGAGACTTTATTCTCTATTCATTAATTCATTCAAGATTTTGTTGAGTGAATGTCAGCCTGCTACAGTACAGGGCTGGCAAATTGTTTCCATCTCTAGTGCTAATTGTGGTTATAGCTGCTCAGTGGGCTGTATTGAAAAAGACTGAGTCCAAATCTGGGCTTCATGAGAAAGAGTATCATGAAGATACTCTTCATGATACTCTACATTAGAGGTGTCTTCTGTGAAAGTGGAACAAAGGAGTGTCTGAGGTATTTGTCATTCCTGCAAGTTGGAAAAGGCCTTATCTGGCATGAGAAGGAGTAGATTTGGGGTAAATCGTTTCCATCTTATGTGTCTTTATTTCCTTAAATTGGTAAATCGAGGAAGTTCATCTAATAATTTTTAAGGTTCTTCCTTCCTACTCTTATTTATTTATCCATTATTTTATCTGTCCTTGCATTTGAGGTGATTTCTCACCTTGTGAATGCATTCCTCCCTAGCATAAAAACCAAAATCTCATTTTCCTAGCCTCCTATGTAGTAAGAATACAGCAATGGGATCTAGGTCCATCAGTCAGATACATCTGTCCTACATTTGTTTAGAATATTATGTAGGAGATGAGACTATTTCACCCCAAAATATGGCTGTAGGTGGCCAGAATGTGTACCCCAAATATGCCTCTTTAAAATAAGGATCACTTTGAGCTGATTATTTGGGGAGACAGTAGACACAGGAGAAGCTCTGAAAACAGAGTAGAAGTTAAGCTTTTGTAAGAGAAATTTGCATCTATAAAGGAAATCTCCATCGTAAGGGTGTCTCATCTCTGTAGAAGAAAAAGAATGAGTCTAAGTTACTAAAAACTCTTATCAATAGAGAAGGCAACTTAAACACAAGTAAGGTTTTTTTTTTGTATAGTTACCCTTGTTTAAGGTGCTTTTCCTCCCTCTAACTGGGTAGGAACTTTCTTTGTTTCAGAGAATAGTATTTAAGCTTGAAGTCAAAGCTATGATACTTCTGAGATTTATTCAAAAGCTTTGAGATATTTCCTGTATTATTTCATTTATGTTGCTATAAAGGAATACCTGAGGCTGGGTAATTCATAAAGAAAAGAGGTTTGTTTGGCTCACAGTTCTGCAGGCTGCACAAGAAGCATGGCACCAGCACTTGCTTCTGGTGAGGGTCTCAGGCTGCTTCAACTCATGGTGGAAGGGGAAGGGAAGCTGGCACGTGCAGAAATCACATGGTGAGGGAGGAAGCAATGGGGGTGGGGGAGGTACCAGGCTCTTTTTAACAACCAGTTCTCGAGGGAACTAATGAGCAAGAACTCACTTATTATGACAAAGATGGCACCAAGCCATTCATGAGGGATCTACCCCATGACTCAAACACCTCCCATTAATCCCTACCTCCAACATTGGGATCAAATTTCAACATGAGGTTTGGAGGCAATACACATTCAAACTATAGCATTCCCCCTGAAGGATCCCAGGGAATTTCACACCACAGTATGGCATTCTGATATGCTGATTGTAAAAAATTAAAGTAAAATGCTGGGAGATACTTCACACTGATATTGACTTATTTACCTTAAGACCAGCCCTGCCAAATAGAATACAATCACCTTCCATTACCCTTCCCTGAATTTGATTATCTATCATAGGTAGAAGACTGAAGAATCTACATCTGGATGAACTTCTTCACAAGATAATATCTAATTTTGAAGACAATCATTTACAAGCTAATTTCTGTCCCTTGGTTCATTCATTTTCCCTAAGAAACATTTTACTACTCCTCAAAAGAAATTCCTACCATTTTCCATCCCTCCTCTCCCCCTTATGAAGAAGGGTGTGTAATCATCTGGACCTCATTAGGTATTTGGGTAATCACTCTCCTGTGATTTTCCCTTGTGCATTTTAAAATTAAATTTGTATTCTTTTGCTCCTACTAATCTCCTTCTTATCAGTTCACTTTCAGTGAACCTTCGGAGGGCGAAGGGGAAGCTTTCCTTCTTTGACCCTACACCTGAATATCTCCCATGTGTACATACATGAGGTATACATGTTATTAAACTTTGTTTTTCTCTCATTTTGTTACAGCAGTCCATTCCAACCAAGAGCTCAGAAAGGGGAGAGAAAAAATTAATTTTTTCCTCCTTACACTAGTGATGGTGCACAGAGTCCATCTGGCAAGGATAAAGGCAGAGACATTCTGTTCATTAAAGCAGCAGTGATAGGGCCAGCTCTGGTGGCTGTCCCAAGCAGGGGGCAATGATGACTTCACTGAGCAGCTCTGCAGCACAGGTTGGGGCACTGTTCCTGTCTGCTAGCCTCTAATCTTTTGTCTCTGGGCCTCCCTTGGAGCCCTTCAGCTGTTTAATTCTTTTTGAAATAAACTCATTTTACTGCTGAAATGAGTCAGAGTGGATTTCTTTGTCTTCAAGGAACTCAAAAACATGATCGGGACTACGATCATAAGATCGTATGTGCCTTCAAATAGAATTTATTCTCCTTTAAAGATGAAAAAATTAATTATGTTTTATAAATTATGAAGAGGATGCTTAGCTAATGGTTTTCAAAATGTATTTTATCATAATTATCAGCAGGATAGTTGTTGCAAATGGATAAATATGTGTTATAGAGAGGTTATTCTCACTTGTATCGTCTTCATTATTCTAAGTGCACTAGAGAAAATGTAATTCCTTCAATGTTTTTGTTTCATAGCTTTACATTGAGAGAAGAAACCCTCTTCTTAATCGTTGCTAGTGTGATTTTCAAGAGTTTGCAGGAGTATTTTGGTAGGATTTTATAGTTTTAGTAATTCCTTTAATTTTCTAATGAAGATTAGAGCTAAGTATCTCATAAGGATAAATGGCCACAGCAAAGAAACTCACTTGACTAATTGCCCTTATGGAGAGTTTCTTTAAAGGATGAAAGAAGTTCTTGAGACTTACCCCCAAATTCTGTGTACAAGAAAGATCACATAGTTTTATTTTCTTTAATAAATCAAAACTCCCCCTCTACCTCCAGCCCACCATGCTAAGGAAACATAGGTGTTTAGTGACTCGTTGTAGGCTAATGGGGCTTAAAATGGCTTTACCTCTTTCCTATTATCCATCAACAACCATGCTCCCACTTTTCAAATAGTCAATAGACATATTGTTGACTTTTTATGCAAAAGTGGTATTTATATGCAAATTCAAGCTCCTTCTTTGTAAACTGTTGTTCTCAAGGTCTTCCAGTGTTGAAATTTTGGAGCCTAAACAATTAGGTTTCTTCCTTCTCTTGTCCTCCCAGCCATTCCTCCCCTAGGAACCTTAGACATTTCTGGTGTCTTACAGCAGCACAAAGACTTACTGGATACAACTTCTAATTCCGGCCATGAGAGAAAAATAGATACCAGACTTGTCTTCTCACTTTAATGTATTTTTGTGTCCAAGTGTAATGTCGGACACAACATATGAAGAAGTGGTTTCCAGGCATTATAAAACAGACAATAGAGGAATATAATTCTTGAGAGGAGAAAAACACACAAAGAGCTTCCCATTCATCTCCATGAAAATTCAATTTATAAGAAAAAAAGTAAATTAACTAGGGGCACATTGCAAATAAAGGCAAAGGGAGGTGGAACCCAAAGAGAATAAAGTGTTTTTCTGGGCAAAGTAAAGAGAGATCAGAGTTCAGAAATGCTGAGGCTGCTTGGAATTTTCAAAGTAGGATACTTGAGAGGAGAAAGTCCCAAATTTTGCATATGGGTTTCCTTGAGTCTAGCTGAGTACTAAGCTGCATGTGTTCAGGGTTCTCTGATAGAGAACAACTACTAGTAGAGTATGAGCTGAATAAGGGGTTCAAGATATTCCAGTTTTGATAAACCAGAGGGTAAAGACTTCACTAAAAATCCACAGCAATTAGTTGACCATTATAATGACCAAATGTTAGAAGTAGGGCTATTCTAGCCCTAGAGTAAGAACAACTTTAGACTTACCCAATAAAGCCTAAAATCAAACCCTGATTGCCTTAAACCATTTGGGCTACTATAACAATTAAACAATTTGTGCTACTATAATAAAACATCTAAGCCTCGATGATTTGTAAAGAAGAGAAGTTTATTATTCACAATTTTGGAGGCTGAGAAATACAAGATCAAGGTACTAGCAGGTCAGTATGTGGTGAGGGCCCAATCTTTTCTTCCAAGATGGCATCTTATTGGCTTACCCAGAGCAGAGGAAAACTGCATCCTTACATGGTAGAAGAAAGGGGAAAAGAGGGCAGAATGGTGACTGAAGCCTCTTCTATAAGGGCCTAATCCCATTCATGACGGAGGAGTCCTCATGACCTAATGGCATCTTAAAGACCACATCTCTTGATGCTGTCACACTGGCTATTAAGTTTCAACCCATAAATTTTGGAGGGGACACATTCAAACCATAGCACTGACAGACCAAGTGAAGTTGAAAGTAAATTAACTGCTAGTGAGAATAAAACTCAGCACTAATTAAAGGAGGACTGTCAACCAAATAACATTCTAAAGATTCAGCACACAATAACAAATTACTAGATAAACAAATAAGCAGGCAAATGTGTTACATATCCAGGAGAAAAAAACAGTCAATACAAACAGATCCAGAGTTGACAGAGATGTGAGAATTAATGAGTCAGGACTTCAAAACAGATATAATAAATGTATTCAAGGATTTGTTAAAATATTGACATTGTATACAGAAGAGAAACCTAAACAAGGAAGTGGAAATTATAAAAAAGAACAACTATAAATTCCCAGAGTGAAAAATGCAATATGTGAAATAAAAAATTCTCTGGATGGGCTCAATGGCAGATGTGCCATTGCAGAAGAAAAGTTCAGTACACTTGCAAACCGGTTAAAATAAATTATCCAACTTTGAAAAAGGATTTAAAAAATAAATACAGCCTTAGTGACCTGTAGGGCCGTATCAAGAAGTCTAACATATTAGTAATTTTAGTTCCAAAAGGAGAGAAGAGAAAAACCGGGAAAGAAAAATACATTTGAAGAAATAATAACTAAACTTTTTCCAAATGTGATGAAAAATAACAACCCGCAAGCCTCAAAAATCTGAACAAATTCCAAGTGGAATAAGCACACAGAAAACTATTTCTAGCCATATCATCATCCAATTTTTGAGAACAACAATGAAACAAAACAAAAAATTCTTAAAGGGATAAGTTATCACAGGAGAATGATAAAAATATGCACTAACTTCTCATCAAAATCAATGCAAACCAGAGAACAATGGAATCACATTTTAAAGGCTAAAATGGTAGGGACACCCTATCAACCTATAATTCTGTATTCAGCAAAAATACCTTTCCAAGGTAAAGTAGAAATAAACATACTTCCATAGAAACACACGTTGAAAGGATTCATTACAATAGGCTACACTACAGAAAATGTTAAAAGCAGATCTTCAGGTTGAAATAAAATGATAACAGAAGGTTGGGCTGGGCATGGTGGCTCATGCTTGTAATCCCAGCACTTTGGGAGGCCAAGGTGGGCAGATCACTTGAGGTCAGGAGTTCGAGACCAGCTTGATCAACATGGCAAAATCCCGTCTCTATTAAAAATACAAAAATTAGGCAGGCATGTGGTGTGCACCTGTAGTCTCAGGTACTTGAAGGCTGAGGTGGGAGAATCACTTGAACCCAGGAGGCAGAGGTTGCAATGAGCTGAGATCGTGCCACTGCCCTCCAGCCTGGGTGACAGGAGGAGACCCTGTCTCAAAAAAAAAAAAAAAGAACAGAAAGTTGAATCTACATGGAAGAATGAAGAACACCAGAAATGCTAAACATGCAGGCACATATATAAAACATATTCATTGTTTTTTTATTTGTTTAAAAGACAATTGAATATGTAATATATAAATAATAATGTATTGAGGAGGTTTGTAACATATACAGGAGTAAAATATCTGACAATAACAGCAAAAAGGATAGGAGGACATAAAGGAGTGTATATTGCTTAACCATACTGTGTATGCGTGAGGTGGTATAATATTAAATTCATAGTAGACTAGAATAAATTAATGGTGTATGTTGTAGTTCCTCTTAAAAAGACAAAATAAACAGGCATAGCTAAAAGTTAATAAAGAAGATAAAGAAAATACTAAGAAATATTTGTTTAACCCAAATTAAGGCAAGGAAAAAAGAACAGCTGTAGAGGACAAATGTATTGAAAAGGACAGAAACAGCAAAATGATAGGGTTAAACCCTATGTTATCAATAATTACATTAAGGCAAATGGACTAAACACTACAATCAAAAGGTAGAGACTGCCAAGCTAGATAAAAGCAGGGCACAAATATATGTTGTTTACATGTCCTAAACATAAGGATACATATTGGTTAGGTGTTAAATTTGGGGGAAAAAATATGCCGTGCAAATACTCACTGTAGTAAAGCTAGAATGACTATATTAATATTAGACAGTAGATTTCAGAGCAAAGAATACTGTCAGAGATAAACAGGAATACTTCATAACTGGGTCAATTAATCAGAAATCTATAATAATTCCAAATAAACTTACACCTAATAACAGCTTCAAAATACACAAAGTGAAAATCCGACAGAACTAAAGAATGAAGTAGACAAATCCGTAAATATGATTAGAAATTGTAATACCTTTTACTCAGTACTTTAAATTATACAGAGTAAGTTGCTGATTACCCAGAATTAAGTTACAAATCAGTAACAAAAAGATACCTGAAAAATTCACACATCTTTAGAAAGTAAGCAACATACTTCTAAATAATCCACGGGTCAAAAAAGAAATCATAAGAAAAACTTTAAAATATTTCAAAATGAATGCTAATGGGAAAGTACAATATGTTAAAACATGTGGGCTGCAGCTAGAGAAGTGGTTAGAATGAAATTTATAGTTTTAAATGCTTTATTGAAAAAGAAAAAATATTTAAAGTCAGTGATCTGAGCTTCTATTTTAAAAATCTACAAAAAAGAACAAATTAAAGCTAACATAAGGAGAAGATATGAAATACAGAGCAGAGAACAATGAAACGAAAAAAAGCAAATAATAAAATTGATATACCTCTGGCAAGACTGATCAATAATAAAAAGGAAACACAAGTTACCAACACCAGAAATGAAAGTGAAAACATCAGTTCAGTTACTTCAGACAGTCAAAATACAAGGTAATACTATAAACAATTTTGTGCCAGTAAATTGGACAACTTAGCTGAAAAAAAAATTTCTTGAAAGATACCAACACTGATACGAAAATAAATTAAAAATCCATGTAGTCTCATATCCATTAAAGAAGTTAAGTTTATAGTTGAAACCTCCCCAACAAGAAATTTCTAGATTTGGTTTGTTCCACTGGTGAGTTTGTCAAACATTTGAGGAAGAAATAAAATTTACCTTACACAAACTCAGAAAAAACAGAAAAAGCAAACACTTTCCAACTCATTACATGAGTTGGAACATGTAATGAATTGGAAAGTGTTTGCTTTTTCTCTTTTTTCTGAGTTTGTTAAGGTATTATGTTGAGGCCAACATAATACTGATACAAAAACCAGGTAAGGATATTACAAGAATAAAATTATAGACTAATATTGTTCAGGAACATAGTAGGAACAAAAATCCTTAACGAAATACTAGCAAACAAAATCTAGCATTAGAGAAAATAATACATTTTGACTAAGTGGGTTTATACCAGGAATGCAGGATTGGTTAAACAATAAAAAACTAATCAGTATAATTTACCACATTAATGAAATAAGAAAATGTGATGAACTTAATAAATTCAGAGAAAGTATTTGGTAAAATTTAGTACCCATCTATTATAGAAATTCTCAGAAAACTAAGAATGGAAAAAATAATTAATCAGTATGATAAAGGATTTTTATGAAAAACTCAGCGTTATTATGAATAAGTCTGTTTGAACGTTCATAGCAACCTTATACATCATGCCTCTAATCTGGAGACTATCCTAATGTCCACCAACAAGAGAATTAACATACAAACTATGGTTTATTCATACAATGAAATAGTACTCAGCAACAAAAAAAGATAAATTACCGATACATGCAACAAAATTGATGAGTCTTAAAACACTGTGATGAATACAGGATGCAAGACACCAAATTGCACATACCGTATGCCTCCATTTATATAAAATCCTAGAACAGATAAAACCTATGCATGTTGATAGTAATCAAAACAGTGCTTTTCTTGATAGTGCTGGGATTGCAGAATATGGTGTCTACTGAATGCGTATCACATCCACATCATCATAAAGTTGAAAAGCCCTAAATAGAAAAATCCTAAATTGGGGTCATTTAATACCTTTTTTTTTTTTTTTTTTGAGATGGAGTTTTGCTCTTGTTGTCCAGGCTGCAGTGCAATGGCATGATCTCGGCCCACTGCAACATCTGCCTCCTGGGTTCAAGCGATTCTCCTGCCTCAGTCTCCCCAGTAGCTGGGATTACAGGTGTGCGCCACCATGCCCAGCGAATTTTTGTATTTATAGTAGAGACGGGGTTTCACTATGTTGGTCAGGCTGGTCTCGAACTCCTGACCTCAGGTGATCTGCCTGCCTTGGTCTCCCAAAGTGCTGGGATTACAGGTGTGAGCTACCATGCCCGGCCCATTTAATAAATATTGATGTGTACTTTCTAATATATGCCAAGTACTATTTCTACGTACCAGTCATAGTAAGTTCTGTAAAAAAATAGTGCAGAGGAAGGGAAGAAACAGTGACGGTGGTGGGCAATAGAGTGTGCTATTTTGTGTAAGATATCCTTTGAGCTGAGCAGAGACCTGCAAAAGGTAAAAGAGTGAGGCATGAGGGTATCTAGGGAGAAAGCTTTGAAACAGAGGGAAAAGCATGTGCAAAGACTCTGAGATGAATGTGCTGGGCATGTGTGTGGCACAGCAAAAAGGCCAATGTTGCTAAAGTGGCATGAGTAATAGGGACGGTGGGAAGAGATGGGGTGAGTGAGAGGCTGGGAGAACATTTTCATTCTAAATGATCTGAGAAGTCATAGAGGGTTTTCCATAAGGAATGATGGCAGCTGACATTTTCATGATATCACTCTGACTGTTTTACTGAGAATAAATAAATTACTAAGGGGGCTCAAGGCAATAGTAGGGGCAGTTATTGCAATCTTCTGGACAAGAGATACTGTTGACTTTTGACTAAAATAGTAGTGGTGGGGTGTTGAAACATGGTCAAACTCTGATCATATTTAGAAGGCAGAGTCATCGGGGTTTGCTGATGGATTCAATGTGGGACATGAGACAGAAGTCAAGGACAACTCCAACGTTTTTCTTTGGGAAATTGTAAAGGTTAATTTTATGTGTCAACTTGACTGGGTCACAGTGAACCCAGACATTTGGTCAAACATTACTCTGGGTGTGTCTGTGAGAGTGTTTCTGGATGAGACTAACATTTGAATCAGCAGAATGAGTAAAGCAGATTGCCTTTCCGATGGTGGGTGGCCCTCATCCGATCTGTTGACGGCCTGAATAGAACAAAAAGTCTAATCCTTCCTCCAGGAAGAGGAAAGTCCTTCTGCCAGACTGAGCTAGGACACTGATTGGATCTAGCCTTCAGACTCGGACCGAAACATCAGCTCCCCTTGGGTCTCAAGCCTGCTGGCGTTCAGACTGGAACTTACAACACTGGCTGGAACTTACATCACTGGCTCTCTTGGTTCTTAGACTCAGACTGGACTACACATTAACTCTCCTGGTCTCCTGGTCTCCAGCTTGCCAACAACAGATCTTGAGACTTCTCAGCCTCCATAATCACATGATCCAATGTCTCATAACCTCTCTCTCTCTCTCTCAGTTCGTTTATCTGGAGAACACTGAATAATACAGCAACTAAAATAATGCATTTGCCATTTATGAAGATAGAGATCAAGGTTTCTGTTTGGCCATGTTAAGTTTGAGATGCCTCTTAGACATGCAGATGGAAATGTTGAGTAGGCAGTTCAATATATAAGTCTGGGGTCTAGGGATGAGGTCAAGGCCGAAACTAAAAAGTAGGAGTTTTTATCATTTGATAAAATTTATATCCACTAGACTGAATGAGACCACCTAGAGAATGAATACAAAGATGAGAAGTGGTGTAAGGACTGAGCCCTCAGATACTTCAATATTTAGAGATCAAGAAGATGAAAGAAGTCTAGCAAAGGCCGCTGAAAGGGAGCTTGTCAGCAGGAAGACTGAGGGACATCCTAGAAGCCAGGAGAAGAAGTGTTTCGAGGAGGAACAAGTGATCAGCAGTACCAAATGCTACTACTGACTTATGGAGAAACGAGATTGGGCCATTAAACTGGCAACAGGCAGGTTACTGCTGACTTTGACAACAACATTGTCAGTGGAGTGGGTTCAGGAAACAATGGGAGGAGAGAGTGAAGACAAAAAAAAAATAGAAAAATACTTTACAAAGTTTTGACCCAAGACAATTAGAAAGATGGAACAATAGCAAGAGGAATTTTGGAAGTCAGGGAAAATTTTTCAAAGATAGCTACAGCATATCTGGATATTGATGGGAATGATCCAATAGAGAAGAAAAATTCTATGACAATGTAGACAGAAAAGGGGGAGCATTGCACGTATGAAGTCCTTGTGTAGGTGAGAGAACATGGGGTTCAGGGATTGAGGTATTGTTCTTAGGTAGAGCCTGGAAAGATCAAATATAGTAGTAGGAGGGAAGACAGAACTTAAGGAACAGATGCAAATAAGTTAGTGGATTTGATAGTGGGTGAGTATGAAAGTTCTTTTCCTAGTGCTTTTATTTTCTCTGTGAAAATCCAGATTACACCAACCTGGGTTTTAATTCCAGCTCTGACACCTTTTAACAGCTGTGTAATATCGGTCCCATCACCTCACTTCTTCATTACAATCTGGCTAGATGAATTTAGAAAATTTAACTGACTCCACGATGGTAGCATTGTACACTGTGCAATTTGCAGTACATGTGATTTATGATATAGACCATGGAAACTATGCCATAGTAGACTATGTGATATTGCAAGCTCAACTTAAACTTAAAATCATAAATTTTCACAAATTTTATAGGTCAAGCCTCCTCACCACATTTAAATACCTTTTCATAATTTTCTCCTCCAAGTTGGGTGAGTAAGTACTTCAACTGTTGTATTAGTCCATTCTCTCACTGCTATACAAAGAAATACCTGAGACTTGGTAATTTATAAAGAAAGGTTTATTTGGCTCATGGTTCTGCAAACTGTACAGGAAACATGGCTGGGAAGGCCTCAGGAAACTTACAATCATGGCAGAAGGCAAAGGGGAAGCAGGCACATCTTACATGGCTGGCACAGGAGGAAGAGAGAGTGGGAGGTGCTGCACACCGTTAAACAACCAGATCTCACGATAAGTCACTCTCACCACAACATCACCATGGGGGATGGTGTTAAACTATGAGAAACTACCCCATGATCCAATCACCTCTCACCAGGCTCCACCTCCAACATTGGGAATTACAATTAGACATGAGGTTTGGGTGGGGACACAGATCCAAACCATATCAACCCTTTAAGCTCATTTCATTTCCATTGAGGAGTTCATTTTAAAGTCCCCAAAATAGCTCCTTTTTCCTCTTTTTGTGAATTACATATTAGATACTTCTCCCAGTAATTTGAACAGTGGAATTGGGTTATGATCCTCTCCTTGTTCCAGGCAATAGCCTCTGCTGATGATTTCTGGGCTGTTGGCTCAACTTCTTTGGTGTAGCCATTTGATTCTTCATACAGACATCCTGGCAATAAGCATCTTCATATTTTCTAAAGGAAGTTGTTTGTTAACAGTGCTCCCCAAATCTGGGTTGATCTGTTCTCAGCTTTGATTGCTGCACTCATGAAATCTTCTGTAATCATTTATTTAACCTCTGCAGAATTCAGATATATTTGGCTGTAGCACCTGCCAAGATCCGGCTCATTCTTTAGTCTTTCCCTGACTTTACCATTGTGAGACTCCTGGCTGCCCTTCCCATTTGTCTGCAAGGATTGGCTTGCCAGAACTCTGTGGCCTACTTCAGTGATTTTCATTTTTTTGGTTTCTCTGTAAGTTTCATGTTAACTTGTTATTTGGTCAGTTTCATTGCTTCTTTTTATTTGAAGATTATTATTTTTTAAGTTGCTACTTATTGGAAACTTTTTATCTCAAGCCTATTAAATTTGATGTAGAAATCAGATTCTGGCTTAGTACTCTGGTATATTTCTCATAATCCTCCTGTTCTATTTCCCCTTCTCTCAATGACCTTCTCAGCTGATGTCATATTTGGGCTGGTTACCCCAAGAAATGGATGGGGTTGGATATGATAACACTAAGCAAGCATCCCTAGGCCATGCTGAATTGTAGAATGACAGAATGTTAAAGCTGGGAGGATACCCAAGGTTGGTTAGTTCAATTTCTCTCCCAATGCAAGAATTTATTCTACAGCATCCATTATTACCTCCTCTGCTGAAATCCTTCTAAGCAGGGAAAGCTAATTAGTTGGATAGATACATTTCTCCTTTTTTTCCAGTTCTAATTATTAAACTTATTTTTTTCTTTCATCAAATTGAACTCTTCCTCCCTATAACTTCCTCCCATTGGTTCTATGTCTGCCCTCTGGAGGGCTAGAGAATAAGTGGATTTAATCTCTTAATAATATGATAGTAATTGCTACCATGTGTTGAGTATTTGTAAGGTTCTGTACCAAGTGTCTTATGCACTGTATTAGTCATGGTTCTTCAGTTGCAAGCAATAGAAACCAACCTGGCCAACTGTTTTAGTTATCTTTTGCTACATAATAAATTACCCCTAAAATTAGTGGCTTAAAAAAACTAACATATACTACCTCAGTTTCTGTGGGTCAGGAATTCAGAAGCAACTTAATGGGTGCTTCTGCATCAGTCTTTCTCAAAAGGTTGCATCCAAAATGTCAGCCAGGGCTGCAGTCATCTGAAGGCTAGACTGGGTTTGGGGGATTCACTTCTAAGCTGCTTTACATGGCTGATGACAAGAGGCCTCAGTTCCTCACTAGCTGTTGGCCAAAGCCTTCAGCCTTGTTGCCACAAGGACCTCAATATAGAGCAACTCTAACACAGAGAGAGAGAGAGAAGCCACAGTGCCTTTTATGACCTAATCTCTGAAGTTACTGAATATCTATATCTATATCTATATCTATATCTATATCTATCTATATATATATATACACACACATATATCTCACAGTAAACACAAGGCTTCTGGGTCAGAGACAAACTGTTTATTTAGTTACAGAATATTTTAGTGGCAGTTACTCATGTCCCATTTCCCCCACTCCGGGTAACATGGTGAGAGCCAGGTGGATCCTGCTCATGTTAAAGAGAGAATCTATATTTTAGAAGAGGAATTATGAAATCATGAATCTCAAATCTTGTATAGGAGCTGGAACATCTACACTTTCTCCTCTCCAAAAAAAGGGACAGAGGACTTGGAATGTAAACTGATATCTCTTGGGGGAAAGGAGGAAGGTCTCTACCTACAAATATAAGCATTTGACTCTGGGGAAGATAAGAAAGGTATTATTATTATTTGAATGGGAGTAGATGGCTCCATGAGAAAAGAAACAAGTTGTCTCAGTCTGTCTCCCTTAGAACGTGAAAAGCAAATGGCTCTTGGGAAAAGGAAAAATATTATCTATCTTCATGGCATGTCAATTTCCATTGCTCAGAATGCTCTGATCATTCAGACACATGAAACTATTCATACTGTTTTCCAACAGTCACTACCATTACTTCTTCATCATTGTATGTATTAGGAGCAAGTCACTAAATTTCCGTGATGAACACAGATACAAAAATCTTCAACAAAATACTAGATAACAAAATTCAACAGCACATCAAAAAGATATTACATCGTGATCAAGTGGGTTTCATCCTGGGGATGCAGGGATGGTTTAACATACAGAAGTCAAAAAGTGTGACACATCACATAAACAGAATTAAAAACAAAAACCATATGATCACCTCAATAGATGCAGAAAAGGCATTTGACAAAATCAGGCATTCTTTATGATAAAAACTCTTAACAAACTAGGCATAGAAGAGACTTACCTCAAAATAATAAAATATATATATGCAAACCCACAGCCAACATCATACCAAATGGGGAAAAGTTGAAAGCATTCCTCCTGAGAACAGCAACAAGACAAGGATGCCCACTTTCACCACTCCTGTTCAACATAGTTCTGGAAGTCCTAGCCAAAACAATTAGGCAAGAGAAGGAAATAAAGGGCATCCGAATTGGAAAAGAGGAGGTGAAACTATTGCTGTTTGCAGATGATATGATCATATACCTAGAAAATCCTAAAGACTCCAAAAAAAGACTCCTAGATTTGATAAAGGAATTTAGCAAAGTCTCAGGTTACAAAATCAGTGTACACAAATCAGTAGCACTGCTATACACCAACAATGACTAAGCTGAGAGTCAAACAAAGAACTCAATCCTGGCTGGACATGGTGGTTCACACCTGGAAACCAAGCATTTCAGGAGGCCCAGGCATGTGGATTTATTGAGCCCAGGAGTTTGAGACCAGCCTGGGCAACAAGGGAGATCTTGTCTCTACAAAAAAGTTACCTGGGTGTGGTGGTATGCATCCATAGTCCCAGTGACTCCGGAGGCTGAGGCAGAAGGATGGCTTGAGACTGGGAGGTCAAGGCTGCAGTAATTGCACCACTGCACTCCAGCCTGGGAGACACAGTGAGACTCTGTCTTAAAAAAAAAAAAAAAGAAAAAAGAACTAAAGCTCTTTTACAACAGCTGCAAAAAAATAAACTATCTAGGAATATACCCAACCAAGGAGGTGAAAGAACTCTACAAGAAGAACTATAAAACTACTGAAAGAAATCATAACTGATATAAACAAATGGAAACACATTCTATGCTCATGAATTAGAAGAATCAATATTGTAAAAATGACCATACTGCCCAAAGCAATCTACAGATTCAATGAAATTCCCATCAAAATACCAACATCGTTTTTCACAGAATTAGAAAAAACAATCATCAAATTCGTATGGAACCAAAAAAGAGCCCAAATAGCCAAACCAATTCTAAGGCAAAAAGAACAAATCTGGAGGCATCACATTACCAGACTTCAAATTCTACTGCAAGGCTATAGTTACCAAAACTTTTATAGTTCTATAAAAGTAGGCATATAGACCAATGGAATAGAACAGAGAACCCAGAAATAAAGCCGGATACATATAGTCAACTGATCTCCAACAAAGCATACAAAAACACAAATTGGGGAATGAATACTCTATTTCATAAACGGTGTTGGGAAAACTTCCAAACCACAAGTAGCAGAATGAAACTGGCTCCCTATCTCTCAGCTTATATAAAAATCAACTCAAGATGGATCAAAGACTTAAATATAAGGCCTACAATCATAAAAATTCTAGAAGGTGACATTGGAAAAATTCTTCTAGACATTGGCCTAGGCAAAGATTCATGACTAAGACCCCAAAAGCAAATGCAACAACAATAAAAAAACTAAATAAATGACACCTGATGAAACTAAAATGCTTCTGCATAGTAAAATAAATAATAGAGTTAACAGACAACCCACAGAATGAGAGAAAATACTTGCAAACTACGCATTTGACAAAGACTAGTATCCAGAATCTACAAGGAACTCAAACAAATCATCAAGAAAAAGACAAACAATCCTATCAAAAAGTGGGCAAAGGACATAAATAGACATTTCTCAAAAGAAAATATACAAATGGCCAAGAAATATATGAAAAAATTGTCAACGTCACTAATCAACAGGGAAATGCAAATTAAAAAACAATGAGATACCACCTTACCCTTGCAAGAATGGTCATTATTAAAAAATAAAAAAATAATAGATATTGGCATGGATCTGGTGAAAAGGGAACACTTATACACTGCTGGTGGGAATGTAAATTAGTACAACCTCTATGGAAAACAGTATGGAGTCTCCTTAAAGAGCTAAATGTAGACCTACCATTCAATCCAGCAATCCCACTACTAGGTACCTACTCAAAGGGAAAGAAGTCATTATATGAAAAAGACACTTGCACATATATGTTTATAGCAGCACGATTCACAATTGCAAAGATGTGGAACCAACCTAAGTGCCCATCAACTAATGAGTGGATAAAGAAAATGCGGTATATACACACCATGGAATACTACTTAGCGATAAAAAGGAATGAAATAATGTCTTTTGCAGCCACTTGGATGGGGCTGAAGGCCATTATTCTAAGTGAAGTAACACAGGAGTGGAAAACCAAAAGCCATATATTCTCACTTATAAGTGGGAGCTAAGTTATTCAAAGGCATACAGTGATGTAATGGACTTTAAAGATTCAGAAGGAGAAGGGTTGGTGAGGGGCTAGGGTTAAAAAATTATACATTAGGTACAATGTACACTACTCAAGTGATGGGTGCACTGAAATCTCAGAATTCACCACTATATAATCTATATAATTTATCTATGTAACAAAAAAAAAAACCACTTGTACACCCAAAGCTATTGAAATAAACATTTAAAAAAGGAAGCAAGTCACTAACTCCAGCCCACGTTCAAAGGGAAGGGATTAAGGCTCCACCACTTGAAGACAGAAATATCAAAAAATTTGGGAACACTGTAAAACCACCACATCCTGCCCCAATTTCACACACATGCAAAATATAGGCACCCCCTCTCAAGATTTCCAAAAGTCTCATCCTATTATATGTCAGCTTAATTTACAGATAGGTCATTTAAATCAAGACCAGGTGCATATGAGGTTACTTGGTTGTAGCTCCCTAAGTACAGTTCTTTTTTTCTTTTTTTTAGAGACAGGGATCTCGCTATGTTGACCAGACTGGTCTCAAACTCCTGGCCTCAAGTGATCCTCCCATCTCAGCCTCCCAAAGTACTGAGATTAAAGGTGTGAGCCACCCTGCCTGGCCCTTAAGTACAGCTATCGATCCAAAGATCTGTGAGCTAAAGTGAAAGTTATCTTCTCCACACACCCAACACACATGGTGAGGCAGGCATAGGATAACTGATATTGATACTTCTGTTCAGAAAAGAATAAAACAAGAAGCACACAGGAGTCACTGGTTCATAGCAATTTTGAAATCCAGTTGGGAAATATTAGAATTAGATTAAGGCTCAAATTATGGGAATAATTCTCCATAACTCTTAGCTCTGTTTTTTGAGTTCTTAGTTCTGCCTTCTTAGTCGTGCTTCCTTTTTCATGAAGATATTGGGACTCAGAAAACAACATCCCAAAGTGAAGGTGTCAGAAACAGCCTCAGAAGCAAAAGTTTTTCTCTAACCTTCTCATGTCCTCCTGTTTCTCAGTCTCATTTTCCCTTAAGGGTAGCCATAGACATGAGAATCCCTCCTCTCTGAGGCAGGTCATAGAAACCAGAACTCTTTTTCCCCAAAGCCAGCGAAGAAACCTAAAAATATTACTCTGACATTCCTTCCACCTTTCTGCATAAAAACTGACCATAAACAAATTACCTGGCCTATTTTGTTTGACTATAGATCATAAGACCCTTATTCCAGACAGCACCTTGCCCCACATCCAGAAAGAAGAAATGAACACTCAGAAAGACCAAGGATCTACACAGGCAGGCCTTGCTAGGTCTTCCTACTCACTCTATTAGCAGTAGATCATACTGTTTTGTCCAATCATATTTCTAAAAAGCTGCCCATACTTTGTTGAACCTAAGCATAAAAATGGACAATTTCCCATGTATTTTTGGGTGTTCATTCTGAGGGTTCTTATGTCATATAAAACTATGATCAAATAAATTTGTATGCCTTTTCTCCTATAAATCTGCCTCTTGTCAGTGAAGCACATTTTTGCAGCTGAGCAGTTTTGTCAGCCTGCTTCCTCCTATTCATAGAAGTTCGGGGGTGCAACCTTCATTTTGTATTATCTCTATCCCTTTTGGTCTAAGCTGGTGGTGTTTCTGTGGATATAATTCTCTTAAAAACACTGTTAACCTTATTGGGGTTTACTTCACTTGGCAAAAGCCACACTCACAAATCATTTGGAGAGAAACTCTTCTCTGCCTTGAGCTTTTGCTGAGTTGACGACATAACAAGACCCTTAAGCTTCTTGGAAGTCCTATTATTTGATTGACAGGATCTGTGAGACCCACCCTTAAACTCTTTAGAAGACCTTTGGTCTGAGTGGACAGATCTTGAGATAGACCTTTGGTCTTTCTGATATCTTAGAAAATAATTCTAGAGTCATACCTTTGGCCTCATCTTTAGACCAAGCTTTCCTGATAGTGCCCTGGATTTGTATTTTTGCTTGGAAGCCATTTCTCAATGTTAGTATTATTTGCTATATTGGCAGACTGAGAATTTGAAATCATCAAGTCCCAGCTCCTCCATGTTTAACATTACTTTTGTTAATTTTTTTTATCCTACTATCACATTTTATATAAGTAGCAAAAAGAAAACAGGTGGCGGCCTCAATATTCCCTCTGGAATCCTCTTTACCTAGGTCATGCAGTTCATTCGGTATATTTTCTACTTTCCACAATACTGCAGGTGACAGTATTGCTAAACTTTCTACCACTGCATAATAAACATTCCCTTTGATCCAGTTTCCCAATAAATTTCACTTCACTTTCCTTTAGGCCTTCACCACAGCCTCTTGAAAGGACAATAACGCTTCTACAAACAATTGTTTCAAGGCTCTTGAGACTTCCTCAAATATTTCAGAGCTTCTACTCACTTTCTGGTTTCAAAGTCACTCCCAGATTTTAGTTATTTGTTATATAGCATCCCATTTCTAGGTACCAAAATCCATATCACTTATTTTTGCTATATAACAAATTAACACTTAGTGGCTTAAAACAACGTACATGTATTATTTCACAGTTTCTGTGAGTCAGGAATTTTGGAGCAGCTTAGCTTGGCAGTTCTGGCTCCAGGTTTCATATGAAGTTGCAGTCAAGATGTTGGCCAAGACATGTACAGAAAATAGCTATGGGATCAGAACCCCAGCCTCCCAGATGGAATCCAGGGGAAAGGCCAGTTACACAGTCTGGACCTCACAGTGAGGGATGAATGGGAAATCCTCCCCTCCAAAATGACAAGGAGCCCATAGGCCAAGAATTCTGATTAGAATTAGGAGCTGGGGGCCGGGCGCGGTGGCTCACGCCTGTAATCCCAGCACTTTGGGAGGCCGAGGCGGGCGGATCACGAGGTCAGGAGATCGAGACCATCCTGGCTAACACGGTGAAACCCCGTCTCTACTAAAAATACAAAAAAGTAGCCGGGCGTGGTAGCGGGCGCCTGTAGTCCCAGCTACTCGGGAGGCTGAGGCAGGAGAATGGCGTGAACCCGGGAGGCGGAGCTTGCAGTGAGCCGAGATCGCGCCACTGCACTCCAGCCTGGGCGACAGAGCGAGACTCCGTCTCAAAAAAAAAAAAAAAAGAATTAGGAGCTGGGTCAGGCTCTGGCCGGCATAGGGAATGCCTGGGACTAAGTCTGTGAGTGGCAGAACTTTGGTGCCCAAAGCCAGGCAGGGATAGGCTCACATTAGGAGCTGCTGCATGACAGCCCTCTCAGCATTTGGGGTTAGTTACCACATAACATAATATTCAAATTCTTTATCCTTCAGTGGCCTTTCTCCAGCCACGCTCTACTTCATCAAAGTCCTTCTGATTCTGTGGTAGTTAATGCCTCAGGCATAGTCTGTCCAGTGCAGAGAACAGAGGGGCCATTAAACGCATCCAGAAACTACGCCCAAGGGGCTTATTTCTGGGATGAATCAAACAAAAGGAGATTGTCATGACAAGAACTTGGGTAAGGATTGAGAAATGTCTCTAGATTCATAGGAACACGTCCAGTTTAAGTTCACCATTCATTAGAACCTTTTACAGTCCTAGCCCATCAAATTAGCTCTTGAGGTACAGACATGAACACCCACATATATTTCTTCCCAATTGAGAAGCACCCATTCTTGATTCTCAACTCCTTCAGCCAGCTTCTCCACATCAACTTCTTATGTACACTTGGGATTTATCCACTCCTCTCCCTCTCCTTCCATGTCCAAGCCATCATCATCATCATTGTTCACCTGAAAGACCACAGTAAGCTAACACATCTCTTTCTTACATTCCTGTGTTCCTCCAATTCTGTTCTCCCCACAGCATCCAAAGTAGTCTTTCCAAAAGTTGAATCAGACGTTTGTACACAATATAAATAAAAGATCACTCCTCTGCTTAAATGTCTTCAATCACTATTTAATCCACTTTAATTTTGTTGTTGTTGTTTGATTGTTTGTTTTTGAGGCAGGGTCTCACTCTGTCACCCAGGCTGGAGTGCAGTGGTGCAATCTCGGCTCACTGCAACCTCTGCCTCCTGGGTTCAAGCAGTTCTTCCATTTCAGCCTCCCAAGAAGCTGGGTCCACAGGTGCCTGCTATCACACCTGGCTAATTTTTTTGTATTTTTGGTAGAGACGCAGTTTTGCCATGTTGCCCAGGCTGGCATTTAATTCATTTTGAATTAAATTCAGACTTATAACCAGGGCCCCCAAAGTCCTGTGGGAGCTAATGCTCACTTCAGCTACCTTGTCTTTTCCCGTGCCCTCTTCACTCACTGTGCCACAGCCACACCAGCCTCCAGGACCTGGAGGTCTCAGGCATTACAAGTCTTTCACACCTCAGGACCTTTGAATGTGTCAGCTCCCAGCTGGAAGGCCTTCGTCATTCTGATCACACCCCAACACACATGTGTACTCTGTTCTTTGCTTGATTATGTCTATTTCATCCTCTAGACCTTCATCAATCGTCCTATCTGTACTATTTTCTTACTCTCCAATGAAGGCATACTTTGTTTCCATCAGATAATGCATCACAAGTTGTAATTATATGTTATTTACTTGCTTATATGCTATTTTTCTCCACCAAACTAAAAGCTTCTTGGGGTAGAGACTGCTTTGTTGCCCATTGTGTACTTAAGACTTAGTGCAATGCTTGGCCAATAATACCAGGCTCTTGACAGATACTTGTTAAATAAATATTTCTTTAAGTTATCATTCACATAAATTACAAAAAGAAGTTATTAATTAGGATACACAATACATTTCCAGATTTTTATAAGGATTAACTTTATTGTTGTGAGGAATAAATGAGATATGTGAAAACTTAACAGTTTACCATCTGCCCCTTATCCCTCCATTACTCCCTCCCTCTTTCCATCCCTCCATCCCTCTATCCTTTCCTCCCTCCTTCCATCCCTCCCTCCCTTCATCCTTCCACTCCTTCCTCCCTCTTTCCATCCCTCCATCCCTCTATCCTTTCTTCCCTCCTTCTATCCTCCCTCCCTTCATCCCTCCACTCCTCCCTTTCTCTTTCTATCCCTCTATCCCCCTATCTTTCCTCACTCCTTCCTTCCCTCCCTTCATCCCTCCACTCCTCCCTTTCTCTTTCTATCCCTCTATCCCCCTATCCTTTCCTCCCTCCTTCCTTCCCTCCCTCCCTTCATCCCTCCCTCCATCTCTCCATCCCTCTCTCCCTCCCTTCATCCCTCCCTCCATCCCTCCCTCCCTCTTTCCATCCCTTCATCTCTCCATCCCTCCCTCCCTCTATACTCCCTCCCTCCATCCCTCCCTCCCTCCATCCCTCCCGCCATCCTTTCTTCCCTCACTCCATCCCTTCATACCCCCTTCCCTCCATCCCTCCCTCCCTCTTCCCATCCCTCCATCCATCCCTTCCTCCCTCCCTCCCTCTTTCCATCCGTCCATCCATCCCTTCCTCCCTTTATCCCTCCCTCCATCTCTCCATTCCTCCCTCCCTCCCTCCATCCTTTTCTCCCTCTCTCCATCCCTCCCTCCTTCTTGTACTAAGAAAAACATGGAACTCTCTTGACTTTGATTTTCTTTTCTGCCTACCTTCTCTCTCCATGAAGTTTGACTACAATGAGATTTTTAACTCCCTAAAGAATCTCTCCTTCAAAGGACATGGATTATAGAGGAAAGAGCATTTTCTTAATGCTCTGTTAAAACCACCTATAAAGAAATCGCTCTATAAAATGTTGACGTCTCCTAAGACCTCACAAGCAATTTTTAGATAAAGTCATCACCCAGAATTTTGAATTCACTCTCAAGGATCAAAGCATAGAACCACACCTGAAGTAAATTTAGAAATAACAACCACCACAACTAGTACTCAGTGAGGTTTTCCTTGTGCCGAGGCTATCTCATCTCTTTTAATCTACCCAGCAGCCTGGGGAGAAATGTACTGTGATTACCCCATCTCCCGGTGAGAACCTAGAGCTTAAGAAGCAGGACTCGACTGCAGGACTGTCTGATTCTGGAACCCTCTGACACTTTCCTGCACGGATTCCCAGCATTTATGCCTCTGTCTCTCTGTTTTGTACTTCAATCTGGCTCAAGTCTAGGCCTCTCCCTCTCTTGTCACAGCTCTTTAGGATTCCTTGTGGCAGCCAGCCTGGATGAGTGTGCCTAGTTTTTCTGTGAATTCTCTCTACTTCATAACTGCTGATCTCGTCTTCCCACCTTCTTTCTTTCAAGTTATTCTACATTCCACATAGATTAATGTTGCTGAATTTACATGTTTTTGTATATCACCTCAACTCAAAAAGTTGTACTAATCCCCCTGTTTAAGATGTCAGATCCAGTTCTGCCTTTTATTAGCTGTGTCTTTGAGCAATGTAATGAATTTTTCTGAGTCTCAGTTTTCTTATTTCTAAAATGAAAATGCACATCTGTAATCCCAGCATTTTGAGAGGCCGAGACATGCAGATCGCTTGAGCTCAGGAGTTCGAGACCAGCCTGGGCAACATGGTGAAACGCTCATCTTTACAAAACATACAAAAATTAGCCGGGCATTGTGGCACACACCTGTGGTCCCAGCTACTCAGAGGGCTGAGGTGGGAGGATCACTTGAGCCTGGGAAGACAAGCCTACAGTGAGCTGCAATTGGGCCACACTGCACTCCAGCCTGGGTGACAAAATGGGACTCTGTCTCAAAAACTAAATAAATACAATTAATATGATGATATCCACTCCATGAAGTCATTAAGAAGATTAGACAAGGTTGTCATTCTGGACAGGTGAGGCTGTGCTGCTGTGATAAACAAGCCCTAAAACTCCGTTGTTTTGTTGTAACTCCTGCTACATGTGCCTCTCAAGCTCCTCATCTTTACTTCGGGGCTCAGACTGACAGAGCAGCCTTTATCTGAAATGTGGGCAGATGTGGGCCAGTGAATATGAATGCTACAATCTCCTACAGAAAATGCAGAGCAAACACCCGCACAGTGTCTGACGCCTGGTACGTGCTGAAGGAACGTTCTCTCCTTGGAGCTCATCCTCAAGTGGGAAGTCTACTACACCAACGTCTAAACCTTTATGGGAAGCCTGTTCCTGCAAGATGTGTGAAGTTCAGACACCAACCATTACAATCTTCTTTCAGCGGGCTTACACTGTTGAATGATTAAATTGTTCTTTATGTCTCCTGGCTTCAAAAACTGTGTGGGTTACTACATCTGTTTCCTGGGGCAGCCATACCAAATAACCCCAAACTCAGGGGCTTAAAACAATGGCAATTGATAAACTCACAGTTCTGGAGGCCAGAATCGAAAACGCAGGTGTTGGCAGGGCCACACTCCCTCCAGGGGCTCTCGGGGGAATCTGTTCTTGGTTTCTTCCAGAACCTGGTGGCCAGATCACTCCAACCCCTGCCTCTGTGGTCGCATTGCCTCTTCCTCTTCTGTGGGTTTCCTCTGTGTGTCTCCTATAAGGACACTTGTCATGGTATTTAGGGCAGACTCAAATAATCCAGGATGGCCTCCTCACCTTAAGATCCTTAATTTAATTACATCTTCCAAGACTCTTCTTTCAAAGAAGGACACATTCACAAGTTCTGGGAATTAGGACATGGGCATATTTGGGGAGGGGGACCTCCAATCAACTCACTACTATCGTCAAGTGCATACTCTTAAGCAGTTCAAAGTTCGCAACTCGGTTATTTTTCACCTATTTTAGAAAGAGGTTGATTTTACACACCACATTGTTCTTTCAGTGACCGACATCTTATAAAACCCAGAAGTAAGTAAAGAGCATTTATTGCCATGGTAGCCAGTTTTGTCACTGAGAAACAGCCCAATGTATGTTCACACTGTCGTATTAGGAAAGCAAAAAGAGTAATTATATTAAAATAAAATACAGCTTCCTCTCTTCTTTCTTTCCTTTATTATTTCTGTGACTGACAGTCTATCAGATGAGGCTTTTTTTTTTTTTTTGCTGAGGTTGCTCATACAGACCATGTTGATGTCTCTAGAGGTTCTGCATGTAAGGAAAGCCAGATTTTTCACCTTTGACAAAAGTGGAATTTTTCCATTTAATTCTGCATTGACTAAGGTCTTCTGGGAGATTCTGTGCAGTCTCTGTACCTGAAATGCAAAGTCATTGTGAAAGAAGCTCTACGACAGAATAAAAATTATTACAATTCCAAAGGAGTTGGCCTATAATTAATTGTATTTTAAAAGGAGTTTCATTTGCTTTACTGCTTTTTTGGAAGAATTAAATGTAATTTGATCTCTGGGAGAAAATACCAACCTCTTCATGTATATACTTGTTTTGTTTTTTTCCTAGCATTTGGTAAAAGTTAATGAGGCACATTTTTTTGGTATTGTTAGCACAAGTCCTTACTCTTGGTGTGAAAATATATTGACATTTGCTACCGTTTCTATATCATGTGTAAGTGATAGAGGAAGGGAAAAAGAGAAAGAATAGCAATTTGTTGTCATGGAAATGAATTAATACAAAACTGGTGGTTTGTACTATGACTTGAGATGCTTGGGAAGGGGGAGGAGGAAGAATGATAACATCTATATGATCACAAAGCCAAAATTCTTAGAGAAATACTGGCAAATATCTGGAGTGATTTTTATTCCCCATCTATCTAAACCCCTCACATGTTAAACCTATGATGATCTAACAGAACCAGACAAGGCCCTAAGAACTTTCACGTCTCTGAGCAAGGCACAGCCAAGTGCAGTGTTGGTAGATTCTGCATCCAGTCTCCGCATTTCTTGGACAAGTTTGACTCCAACTTAGATAAAAATAACAGAGGCATTTTTGGGCGGGCACAGTGGCTCACGCCTGTAATTCCAGCACTTTGGGAGGCTGAGGTGGGCAGATCACGGGGTCAGGAGATCAAGACCATCCTGGCTAACACGGTGAAACCCCGTGTCTACTAAAAAAATAAAAATACAAAAAATTAGCCAGGCATGGTGGCGGGCACCTGTGGTCCCAGCTACTTGGGAGGCTGAGGCAGAAGAATGGCATGAACCCGGGAGGCAGAGCTTGCAGTGAGCCAAGATGGCGCCACTGCACTCCAGCCTGGGCGACAGAGCCAGACTCCATCTCAAAAAAAAAAAAAAAAAAAAATACAGAGGCATTTTCAGCAGCTCCCCTTCACTTCCTGCAATTAGATTGGCTGCCCAATTTCCACTAATGCCCCATTTTCTGGCAAGTAAAACCACCATCACGGGATTAACGAGAATTACAAGTCAGGTTTTAGGCAGAATTATCTTTAGGCATTGACCAGGGCACATTTTGACCACTCCCTTGCAGTTGCTAACTAAGAGTCATATAATAGCACACTGACTACCTGCACCCATCTGGAACCCATTATTCCTATAGATAGAATCTCTGACAATAGACCATTTTACCCATGAATTGCTTAGGGCGTTTTTCAAATCCAGCAGAATGGCTGACGCCAACAAATGTAAAGACCCTCACCAAGGAACCAATTCAGCATAGGAATGCGGTTTCTTCAATACGCTGCCTGTCCCGTGACTTCACCCTTCACTTCTCAACAGATCAACAATCCCTACACGTTAGTCCATCACCTGTACAGACTCCTTAGAAACAGTATCCCCAAACCTCTTGCGGAGATGGATTTGAGGTTTTTTCTCATCTTCTCCTTTAGCTGTCCTATGATTATTAAACTCTTTCTCTGCTGCAACCCCCAGTGTCTCAGTATGCTGACTCACTGTGCATCAGGCAATGAACCTATTATAGTTACAGAAGGACTGTAAATCACAGAGTTGTCCCTTGTGGCCATGTCTGGACTATTGACCCTAGCTCCTAATCTACTTCCAGCCATTGGATCAGGGGTGGAACCTGGCTTAATTTGACCAGTTGCAGTAATTTGCTCCTTTGGGCATGGTTCATTGGTCCTGGAGTGGCCATCTGAGACAAACCAAATTAACCACGATTGTTCCCCAGAACTTTTCAAACTGGAACTAAGAAAAGAGAGCTGGTTTCATTTTGGAGGTGAAGATGTGGGCTCTGAGGCCTGGAATCTAAATGTGACCATGTGACCTACCTGTTAAAGAGATCATTTTAAGAGAATGAAGCATGGAGTGGCAGATGAGAGATGGGGAGAAATTCTACTGGCAGAGAATGTAAGTTCCCAATTCAGTTGTCCTCATAGTCCAGCTGCACTTCACATCTTCCCGCAGTTATGAGAATCCACCTCCAATAAATTCCCATTGCCTGACTAAATTATTTAAAGATGGGTTTCCATGCATAGAAATCAAAAAAAGTTCTAACTGGCTGGGTGCTGTGGTTCACACCTGTAATCCCAGCACTTTGGGAGGCATTGGTGGGTGGATCACTTGAGTTCAGGAGTTCGAAACCAGCCTGGGAAACATGGTGAGACCCTGTCTCTGAAAAAAAAAAAAGTTTTAACTAATATACCTCTCCTTACCCTTTTTGATTGTGACTTAAAGTATTCTCAGTTAAGTTCTAAGCATCTTAGGAGATGCTAGAGGCATGGGTGAGCCAAATAAATGAAGTCGCAGAGCCCCGGCATATTGCTGTGTTATGTGAGGCCAGAGGAAACCCAGGGAGTTCTTCAATGGGAATATTCTATTTTGATTTGCTGAGATCTGCTGAAGGCTCCTTCTTGGGTTAAACACAAGTATTCCCCCAGCTTGCAGAGACGTTTTTGTTTTGTTTGAAAAAGTACTGTATCAAATGCAGTCCTTTGGTTGGCAGAGCTCCTTATATATCTTCTACATCTCTTGTGGCACTTTCACATCCATTATCACATTTTTACCTCTTAAGCGTTCCTAGAGGTGAGTGAGGCCAAATGGTACATTACTATTTTAAAAGGAGGAGGCAACTGCATTCCAGAAGGATTAAGTGTTTTGTTGAGAGCTACTGAGTTTGTCCAGGACAAAATCAGCCTGAAAATTGGGTTTCCTGACTCTCAGGATTTAATCCGTGCCCTACCCACATTTGACCAAAAACAAATGAGTCTTGCGGCTTCTCTGGTTCTTAGTCTGAGAAGGCAAAGACAAGGGGCTGGGAAATGCCCCTCCAACTGGCCATGTGGACTTGTAATAAGCATGTAAATACCATGCTGGGACATGGCGGCAAGGCTCATTTGCTGCCTTCTCACAAAGTGGAATGGGAGAATTCGTTGCACGGTATTAACCAATTGGTTGCCTAGTAGTCTGGTGAAGTGTATTAAGGACATTACCAGAGCAATGTAAGCTAAGGCCAAGGAGGACAGTCTGACCAGAGGAAGACCACAGAGTATGTGTTTCTACATTTACATATGACTCAGGAGAGTTTGGCATCATAGCTGGGACCATTTTCCAAACTGAAAGAAGGAATTTCTCTACTTGCGAGGGTGGCTGGGCAGGCTCCATGGAGACAGAAGTTTGCCTGCAGAATTACTTGGCTTTGTGTATAGCTAGAGGTGGTCAACTACACTTCCCCTTCCAACAGGCAGCCAATTGGAGAGGGCTAGGGTTTGCAGATGGCTCTTCTGCTCTTCTCACCATGGCCCTGGCAAAAGCAACCATTCAGACTCCATTTGTGGTGAAAGGAAACACAGTTGAAGGGTATGTTTTACCAGGGATGAAAACCAAGTGAACCCAGGAATATATCGTGAGGCTCCTTTTTTCAGCTCAAGGCCCTGAAAAGAAAACTGAACTTTGTTGATAGTATTTGACTATTGTTCGTGTTTAAGGGCCTCCAAAATTTGGAAATGGGGGAAACAGGACTGACTTTTTAAGTGCTTAACTGTAATAACTGTAGTATTGGACTAAATGTGAAAGATCAACGGAAAAAGACAGGATGACTTCCAAAGCCCTTGGACTAGCTGGGAGTGGGAGGATGGTGGTGCAAGGGGAGGCAGTGGTTGGGATGGGCAACTGTGGAAACAGAGAAAAAAGACAGACACAGAGACAAATATTGGTGGTGCTCATTCAAACACTTCCCAATGGAAAAGAAGCCTTAGCCAATGGATTTTGGGGGTGCAATGCCACTCCTAGTGGGTAAATGTATCTAGAGGGGTATAATAGCTCTTGTGTTTGTGCCTTCACATTCTGTCTGTAAGACTATCTCTGTGTGACATGAAAGATGTACTGAGTAGCTTACTTTGCTACTGCATACCTTTGGCTTATCCAATTCTCTTTGATCTGATGTCACACTCAACAAGTAATCTCCTGATTACTGTTTAGCTCCTACAGGGAAAGAATGTATTGATCCTAGAAACTTCGGATATTCTTGTCCTTCTAAAGATGGTTTCTTACGAGAAGTGAATAACTTGGCATTCTGATGTTTTATATCAGCCTTTTGAATGTAATTAGCATGAGCCTGCCCTGAGAGACGCATGGCATGATGTGTTGACAAAGTCAGGTCTGAGCTCACCAGTCTAATTATCCAACTACTGATGATTGTAAATTTGTAAGGTAATAAATGATACACTGTCAGGCCATTTGGGAGACGGCCGGCCAACCTTCCCACAGTGGGGTATCCTGATATCACCCTGTAACTGAGAAATCACATTTGGAACTTTAATACAACCCTCTTTGAGGAAGAAATAGCTACAGCAAGGTAAAAATAGAGTGTTAGTGATAGGAGGTAGGAGTGGTGCTAAAAATGTTTATGGCATGAATATAGTAGCCGTGAGAATGTGTCTCACAGACTTCCAACCACAGGGAAGTAGCTGTGCTCTGAAATCTATTGTTATATTTGCACCGAGGCCACACTTCCAGTGGGTTGCTCCCAGTGACTGAGCATAGCAGGAATACTAAAGCGGGCCCATTCCTGGGAAACAAAAGACTCCTCTGATGGCTGATGTTGGCATGAGAACTCCCCAGCAGCCTTGCCAAATCTCTTCTAGATTGCCTAGCAGTCTAGAATGCTTCCAATCAAGCTTCCTTCCCATGCTCCTTCTTGGGGTCAGATTTTCATCATGCTCCTTACATATTTAGTCTTGTCTTTTCAAATTCCCTAAACAATCACAATGAAAAACATTGGATGAGATGTGAAAGGTCAATGGAAAAAGATAAGATGACTGATGACTTCCAAAGCCCTTGGACTGGCTGGGAGTAGCCAGGATCTTGCAGGAAAGAGATGGTATACTCAAATCGGGATACTTTGAGTACAGTTAAATAAAGGAATTGTTTTCAAAGTTATGGGCAGGGTATAGAGAAGCCACAAGGGAGAGTGTAGTTGTTCATGAATAGCTAGGTACAGCTCTCCACCCTAGGCCTGAAGGAGCAAGGGGAGAGAGCAGTTACTGAAATCCCAAGATTAAGAGGGCTGTGGGTAGAAGCTTGCCTTAAAGGCGCTAGGATCTTTGTATAAGGAATGCAGCCCATCTGCAGAATCCCCAAATGGAGTTGCTAAAGGAATCAAGACCCTTGCTTCCATGTACTGTCTCTCTCTGATCTCCTGCTTGCAATTGGCCCAGCCCAACTGGAAGCTGCAGGGAAATGAGCCTATTGATACCTCATGCGTTAGCCTCATGCATCCTACACAGGGAGAGAAAGGTGGAGAGTGGATCTGTAAAGGCAGGTGGGATGTCTCCAGCCGCAAGACAATGGTGCGCTTTTATGTGGTAGCAGCGAGCCTTCCCTTAAGGCTTTCCTATGGCAGCAATGACAAAAGAGAGCCCCGACCTGGGAAATGAAAGACACAGACTCCACTGAAGATAGTGTTGCGTGAAAGAAACAGCAAAGACTGTGAAAGAAATTCCAGCCCTGGTGTTCTGCCTGGACCTAGACAGGACCTAGCCCTGGATTGAAAACCGGAGCTATTGGTTTTTAGGCCTTGGGATATGGTGCTTTCTTCAGGATTGGACTCATGAGATAGTCTCCAAAGAGGTCAGTAGGTGGGAGGATATCTTTTCAGCCCAGAATGGGCTAATAAGATAAATTCAGAATTAAACTGCGACGACTGCTCAAAAACACAGAAAAGAAAAGGAACTGGATGGAAACAAAGGGAGAGCCTGCTGCTGGCATCTTTCTTTTTACCACTCTCCCCTGGGAGGTTTGTCCCTGTGGCATTGCAGTCTCAGTTGGAGACTTCTTGGAGGGAGCAGCAGAGCTTCTTGAGTCTAAACTGACATTGAAAAAAGGCTCTGTATTACAAGAATACATCTGAATTCATCATGGAAGTCAAGAGGAAAATGTGATTGAGGGAATTCCTAAACTCCACCCTGTCTCATCATCCCACGTCCTTATCAAGCACCATGTTTTATGGAGCCTTCCCCTGTCTCCTGGATCTGCCTACTCCTCTTCATTCCCATGGCCACTGCCTGAGGCCAATTCACCATCCTATTTGCTTGGATTACCACAATGGCTGCCTCACCAGTCCCCCTGCCTCTGGCCTGACTGAAATGTCAGTCAGGATGCTGTTGGCTATGAGAAAACTGTGACTAAAATTGGCTTGCTGTTGCACATAACCACAGGTTCCTCGTAGGGGCAGGCTCCAGAACAGCCCACCAAGGCTCTGGCCCTACTTCTTTCTGCACCTCTTAACCTTAAACTCACCCATGTGGTAACTTCATCAGGCTGGTAGATTGATAACCACATCCATTCCTGGTGTCATATCCGGTCTCTACAAAGTCCAGAGGTAGAAAAGTCCATCTCTTCTTGTGTGCTTCACTTATACAGGAGGAAACCTTTCTAGAAGCCCTCAAGGAAACCCCCCTAATGCATTTGGCCACCCAGAAGAGGGGGATTTCTAAACAAGCTGGGAGTTCTGTTAGGAAGGAAGAAGGTGGCTGCTACATCCATTTTTCTACACAGCAAACTTAATGATCTTTCTAATGCAGAAATCGATCATATCATTTTTCTGCTTAAAGTCCTTCAGTGGCCACCACTACTCTCACACAAAGCCCAAATGTCTTACATGAGCATATGAGGCCATTTTTACTATGACCCCTGTCTACCGCCCCAGCCTTACTCCTCTCCCTACCCTCTGTCCTGCAGTCATGCTAAACTGCTTGCATTGATATAAACAAGCCATGTTCTCCCCTCTTATCAGTTGCTTCTTGGCTTCTGCTGTTTCCTTTGCTTGGAGAACACCTTGCTTCTTCTGGCTTACTTGGGTCATTTTGGGAAACTCCATATAGATACCAGTTCTTCTCAGGAGGCTTCCCTTGGCCCTGCTGTGTGCTTACCCTTATACTATCCCTTGGCCTACCTTGGCCAAGCCTTCCCTTGGCCCATCTTGTGCCTACTCTTACACTATCTGGAGGTATTCAGACGACCTATTTGCCAACCCGTTTCTCTTCCCGGACTCCAGGCCACAGGAGGGAGAAGTCTGTGTGCCTACTGTAAGGAGCTGTCTGGTGCCTTAGGTAAGACTCAGTTTCTAGCATCAGACAGCCCGGATTTGGTTCTTGCCTTCAACTACTGTAACTAATCATATTCAATTACTATGAGTAACTAAGGTCACTAACTGCTTTGAGTACTCAAGGTAGTTAGTGACCTTGGGCAAGTTATTTAACTCCTCTGAACTTTTGTTTCTTCATCTATAAAGCAGGGACAATAACACTCACTATCTCATGCAGTGATTGTGAGGGTCACGTGGGATGATTTGTGTAAAGCACTTAGCACAGTGCCTGACACCAAGCTGGTGCTCAGTGAATGTTAAGCTGAATGGTGATTTGGTGAACAGAGCTGAGTCTCTCCCACTGTTCTGGGGATGTTAAAAGCACTCTGATACACGTACCTGGATACAGGGCTGCCAAGGCTAATCTTATATACATAATTGAGGAGGATGTAGGGATATGTTGGCTTCTCAAATAATTATTATACTAGGCTATGTTGCTGAATTCTTAATCCTGCCATTACAGATTGACTATTTCATGTTAGCAATCAATCAATATTTACTAAGAAAAAAATTCTTGATAGTGCAGTGGCAAACTCACTCATTTCCTGCTCCAAAAGACATGGCCTTGTCCAACTAGTCAAGCTGTAGACAGCAAGTGCTCTTGGACTTCAGAGAAGATCTCTACATTGAACTTGGAGGATGATGATGACATTTAGACAGATGGAGATGGGAGAAGAGGACCCAGACAATGAGAAGAGAAGAGGCTGGAGAGCTCTGTGCATGGCAGAGGATAGCATATGAACCTCTGGTGACCAGAGGGTCTTGCAGGTACGGACTTGGGGATTTTCCCTTGAAAAATGTGAATTCACTTGAATTGATATTTTATCATAGAATTGTAGAACCAGAAAGGAATTTTAAATCCCCTTATTTGAAGAAACTGGAGCTCAGAGAAACTAAATACTGGGTCCAAATTCACCCAGTTAGTTGGTGAGAGAGAGAGAGAGACTATAAACCAAGGTTATCTGACCCCAAATCTAGACTTTAGAGCTCTTTTACCCACTACCAAACCACCTCTTAATTAGTTTAGTTATATTTCTTCTTCTTCTTTTTTGTTTTTTTTTTTTTTTTTTGAGACAGAGTTTTGCTCTTGTTGCCCAGGCTGGAGTGCAGTGGCGTGATCTCAGCTCACAGCAACCTTCACTTCCTGGGTTCAAGCAATTCTCCTACCTCATCATCCCAAGTGGCTGGGATTACAGGCATGTGCCACCACACCCAGCTAATTTTTTTATTTTTAGTACAGATGGGGTTTCTCCATGTTGGCCCGGCTGGTCTTGAATTCCTGACCTCAGGTGATCCGCCCACCTTGGCCTCCCAAAGTGCTGGGATTACAGGCGTGAGCCACCGCGCCCGGCTCTTTCTTCTAATACGATGCTGAGATAATGAAGTGAGAGAAATTGGGGATTCATTGTGGGTGGAGGGGGTGGGTGAGAAGGGAGCACAAGAGGAAAGAGAAGAGGAGACCCAGGAGGAAGTGGGGAGGTGGGAAACATGTGTCTCTAACCTTCAGCTTCTTCCAACCCTCTTTGCCTTCTGAACAGAGCCTAAAATGCATTCACACAAAAACATAAATCACCCAAAAGCCAGAAACAAAACATCATGCTCAAGTAGCCTGTTATCAGGAGGGGCCTGGAGTGGAACACTATGTTGCAAGAACCAGCACTTCTGAAACCCAAGTTCCAATTCCAGTCTGCCACTGACTCATATTATAGCCTTGGGGAAAACATGCAGCCAATGGAACCACATAGAACATTCTAAAGGAATAATTCTGAAGATACTTGAAGACTGTCGCCATCATCCAGCCCTCCTCCCAAGGCTTCAGGTCTTCAGGCTAAATACCTTCCATTCTTTATCAGTTCTTTAATTTCTAATTTACCCCGATTGCCCTCTTCTGGATAAGTAGCAATCTGTCAATGTCTCTTTTCAAGGCACTATGAATGGGACATAGATTCCAGCTGGGTGGGTATATCAGTCCAATTCTCTCCTTGCCATGCACTCTAGACTTGTATTAATGGAGATTGAGTGCGGGGCCTCTTTGGCACTTTGTCTTACCAGTACTTTCCTCCCATGTGGATGCAGATCCACTCAGTTACACACGCATCCATCCAACAAGGCTATCATCTACTACAGACTCCTCCATTTTCTCCAGAAACAAATTCAGAAAGACTTTGTTAAATGCCTGGTGGAAATTCAGATATGTTATGTGCACAGACATATCTTGATTTACCTGTCTGCAGTCACAATCAAAACAAAAAATTGTATTTGGTCTTTCTGAGCTTATGTTGCCTCCTGCTGGTTGCCATCTCTTGTTCCAAATGCTCATGAATCTTTCTGGTCTACGACCTGGCTCAGGTCACCTCCATGCTTACCAATCTCTCATTGTCAGGACCCACCTGCTTTCTCTAAAAAAAAAGGAAAAAAAAAAAACTTCTTCCTTACTTTTGGTTGTCTCTAGTTTTCCAGCATCCCCTCCATTTTTCTGATTACTGAGAGGATTACATAGAGCAGTTCAATCATCTCATTGCAAAATGCCTGATTATCCTGGCATGTAATTTTTATTTATTTATTTTAGAGATGGAGTCTTACTCTGTCACCCAGGCTGGAGTGCAGTGGTGTAATCATAGCTTACTGCAGCCTCTAACTTCTGGGCTCAAGAGATCCTCCTGCTTCAGCCTCCTGAGTAGCTGGGAACATAATGGGTGCTACCACACCTGGCCCTGGCATGTAATTTTGTAACATCTTTCTTATAAAAGACACTTCTGGTAGAATTTAGGTTATAGGTGAAGATGCAACATAATTTTTTTTTTTTTTTTTTTTTTTTTGAGATGGAGTCTCGCTCCGTCACCAGGCTGGAGTGCAGTGGTGCGATCTCAGCTCACTGCAACCTCCACTTCCCGGGTTCAAGCAATTCTCCTGTCAGGCTGGAGTGCAGTGGTGCGATCTCAGCTCACTGCAACCTCCACTTCCTGGGTTCAAGCAATTCTCCTGCCTCAGCCTCCCGAGTAGCTGGGATTACAGGCACGTGCCACCACGCCCAGCTAATTTTTGTATTTTTAGTAGAGACGGGTTTCACCATGTTGGTCAGGCTGGTCTCGATCTCGTGACCGCGTGCTCCATCCGCCTCGGCCTCCCAGAGTGCTGGGATTACAGGCGTGAGCCACCGCACCTGGCCTTTTTTTTTTTTTTTTTCTGAGACGGAGTCTTGCTCTGTCGCCAGGCTAGAGTGCAGTGGCGCAATCTCAGCTCACTGCAACCTCCGCCTCCTGGGTTCAAGTGATTCTCCTGCCTCAGCCTCCCGAGTAGCTGGAACTACAGGTGTGTGCCACCATGCCAAGCTAATTTTTATATTTTTAGTAGAGATGGGGTTTCACCATGTTGGCCAGGATGCTCTCGATCTCTTGACCTCATGATCCACCCGCCTTGGCCTCCCAAAGTGCTGGGATTATAGGCATGAGCCACTGCACCTGGCCCTAATGTAATTTTTTAATACCTTTCTTATAAAAGTCACTCCTGGTAGAAATTAGGATATAGGTGAGGCTGTAACTAAGACTTGTGATAATAGAGAATTGGCACAGAGAGAGGATCTCTCTGATGCCCACACCTCTGTAACAGCCCACGTGTAAGCAGTCCTGGGCTCCTATGGCAGCATCAGTGACCAGGATCCTTTGATCTTGCTGTTCCATCTCTAGAGAGTTGCTTTTGCCCATATGGTTCAAGATGGCTCAGCAGCATCATTTCATAAGCCTCCTTGGCAGTGGAAAGGGGAAAAAGGGAGGAGGAAGGCGCAACCCTGAACTTGCATATGTTGCTTCTATTTATATCCTATAGGCAAGAACTTACACACAGGCACTGAGCCGAAAGGAAGACTGGAAATGCAATCTTTATTCTGAGAAGTAATATGCTCAGCTAAAAGTCTGCAGTTCTGGTTCTATGGGAAAAGAGAAGACAGATATTAAAGAAAATTAGCAGTCTCTGCCACACTTCAACTTCCTCTGTAAATCTCTTACATTCCGCATTTTCCCATATCTGAAACTGTAGAGTCACTTCTACTTTTCCTAATTCTTTTTTAGTTACTCACAAAATCCTATTTATTTTATTCTTTTAATCAATTCTATTTTACCTCCTAAAATATTTTTATCCATCCGTTTCTTCCTATATTCACAATGATCGACATCCAGATACAGACACTCATCAGTCTTTGGTTTTGCCAGCCCCAACCCAGAGTCCACACTGGTCATCTTCCACCTGCTGGGGGCTTAGCAGGAAAGGATAGAGGATAGCTCTCCCCTCTGGCAAGTGGCATGGGACATAGTTTTCTGCTGCTCTCAATACCGATGCCTATTTGGCATTGGACTGGGGATGGGGAACCAACATTCTTCCTTCTTAGCCCCCTGTCAGGAGGTATAAGAAATCACTGCTTCTGCCACTGCGACATCCTTCCCAGGTCCAGCTAATTCCTACTGACATTAGTTCAGCCTCACTCCCCAGAGAACAGTGCTCCTCTAGCTTATGTCATCTTTTTCCCCATCTTTTGGGTGCTGTGTTTAGCCATTTTGTCATTTAACAAGACAATAAGAGCCTTTTAACTTGTGTCTCTGGAAACATCTTGTCCTCCTCTCAATCATCCTGTGCAGAGACAAATTAATCTCCTTAAAATAATGATCTCATTTTTAAAAACTCTCCTACTTAAAAATTTCTAAAGGGTGGGCCATTTGTCACAGCAGTGGTAGCAATAAGCAAATGCATGTTGCCTTGCTCAAGGTCATTTCACTAATTGATCAAGATACTCTTTCCAGCTCAATGCAGATGAAGCTTTAGAATCCTTTCCCACAGTTGGCACTACCAACCGATTAGAATTGGCATGGAAGATAGATCTTGTTTATCACCCTTAGCCTATAAAATTTTTTCCAAAAGTTAGGCTTTTGACAGTGCTCTATCTCTGAACGCTTTTTGTGTGTTTCAAACCTTGTTTATCAATATATGCAGGGTCTATTTCCTCAAATAAACCACACATTCTTTATTCTGGTTTTCTTTTCCCCTTAAATGTCTGGGTTCTGCTCACAGAGTTGTTTACAGCTGTCCTTGGTCAAAGAGGAGATGGTGAAGGTGCTGAGGGCCGAGCCAGTGGCAGAAGAAAAGAAGGCCAGAAGGAAAATCTAAACTCTCATCAAGAAAGGCAGTAAAAGGCTGTAAGCAGAAAACTGGTACCAGGTGTGAGATCCAGGGAGCGAGGCAAGGTCAACAAATGGAAAAACCAGAGCTCAGGAGCCAAAAGGATGGGAAGCAAGTGGGGTTGCAGAGTGCAAGTTGGGACAAGGCAAATTGTTCATACCTAAGTGTTTCTTGGAGCTCTCAGACCTGCCTCTGTGCAGGGTCAGCCATTAAACAGAACTCCACATGTAATATGCACTCACACATGAATAAGCAAAAACATAAATCAAAGTAATACCATCTAACCCTATGTTGAAATGCCATATCAAACATCCATTTTCTAGTTTCCCTCAGTCTTCTACACCCAAGTTCATACAAAAATATTGGCTTAGCAACTTTCCTTTAAATTACTGGTTCTTCTCTAAATGTCTTTAACATTGTATTTAAACCACAGTGGAAAAGATAACTCTTGGTAAGTGCAGTAATAATAAAACACATCATTTTAAAGGTGGCAGATGGAAACCAGAAAGACTCCATCCAGGGATTTTTGCAGATTAGATTCACATGAAGCTTTAGTCCCCGCTCTGCTCCTGCTAAAGCTAAGTGATGGGCTTCTTGCCACAACCGCCTTTGCAAAAAATAACATCTTGCTCCTACCAAGAAAGCAGGTGACAAGCTCAGCAGCTGTGCTTTGGTTTGTTTTTCTCCACAGCAGGAACATGTGCCCCGGAGTGGGCATTGTTTGTGGAATCAGTAGGACAGTAAATGCAAAGGCAAGGAGATAAAGATCAGTCAGGAAGGAGAAAGTGGCACTTGGGGGCAGAACGAAACACCAAAAAAGCCAGGTGATGGAAACAAAGCGAACTATCATTCGCCCAAGTTAACAGAAGCAAGTTGACTCAGGCAACTGTGAGAAAAGCTAAGACTGTTTGCATGCACGTGGTGAGTCATCTAATGTGTAAGTCAAGCTACCAGCTAGAATTAATCTTGTGCATGGAAACAAATTCGAGTATTTTGAACATGAGCTAATGAGATTGACCTGTAGGATCACGCAGCTCTAATAGCTGAATAGGCATGTCAAGGATAAAGGCAAAAGCTAGGGGTGCCCTCGGGAAGTGCCTTTCTTTGTGGCCTGTGCATTCGCTCTTTGAGGGATGCCGGCTGAGCTGAAGAAGATTTGCCGCACCCATGCTGCCCTCAAGTTCCTCTTTATTTATAGTACTATTCCAGGTAAGATGTCTTCTGGAGTACAAGTACAAAAGCTGTGTTTATGGCTCTTTCCATTTTACAATGAACTTTCCTACAGGTTGTGGAATTTAGCATGATGGGATGACCAAGTGCTAGTTGCTGTTGTTGTTTAGATTGGTAGGGGTCATTTGTTGGTTATTTTGGCAGGCCAGTGTCCATCCCACATTCCTTTGGTAATAGTGCCTAGTTCCTTCTTGGGATTTGCCTCTTCCCTTGGAGACAGTCTGGTAGGACTTTGATCAAGTTGTGCCACTCTCCCTCAGTCAAGGAGCAGGCACATGAACTGGGGATCTATGGGCTCCCTCCCTACACTTTTGGCCTTGACCAGAAAGACAAACAGATTGAAAAAGAGTAGACCCATTTTAACAAGGAGTAGCTCCCAGAAAAGAAAGCTGGGTGTTCCTGACACCATAAAGATCCATAAGTGTTCCCTGGTGCAAAGCCTGGTGCTCCAGCCATTTCTGAGTTTGGTCTCTGAGCCTATTGTTTTTGCTGTCCTGCTGCCTTCCAAAAATCTCCCGTTTTGCTTAAGTTAGCAAGAAAGAGTTGGTTTCTGTTACTTGCAACCAAAGAACCCTAGCTGCTACAGATTCATGTACTCAAAGTTTCCACTACAGATGTTCAAGGGAGTGGAGACTACTGGTAAATCCAATAAGCTGATTATGTGAATATTGATTAAGAAAACTTCTACATATTTTATGAGGGCTATTACACAATACCATATCTTGTTTTCCTTACATCTCCCTGACCTGAAGTCTCTCTTCTAATTTGTTGTTTATTTCAACTCCTTTATCAAACATTCCCCAAGATATAGTGAATGGGCGATATATTACCTAAAACCCTGATTATCCACAATATCTTTCACCCTGACAGATCTTATGGGAGTAGAAGGGGGTGGTACTTTGATTTTTAAAAATAATATAAAAGATATGTGTATTTGACTTTCAATTTATAAAATGAAAGGTAATCATTTGTGGAAAACAAAAATATAGCAAAAGATTCAAAAATAATGGGAGAAAAGGGGCCATGTAATAATAATAATGTATCTTATTGAATCGAAGACAATATCAGTTGTTGGAAACACTATTATTTAATGTACTATTAAGAAGAAAAAATTGCTACCAATGAATTTACGGCACACTATCCGCTCTAATCTAAATTTTTGTGTATCCCAAATTCATCTGTTAGATCCTTCTGCCCAATTTGAGGTAGAGCCTTTGGGAGGTGATTAAGTCAAGAAGACAGAATCCCCCTGAGATTAGTGTCCTTATAAAAGAGATTGCATAGAGATTGCATATGCCCCTTCTTTCTGCTCCTTCTGCCATATAAGGTTACAGTGAGAACAAAGCTGTCTGTGAGGAAGCAGGCCCTTACTCTGAATCTGCCAGTGCCTTGATCTTGGACTTCCCAGCCTCCGGAACTGTGAGATCTAAATTGCTGTTGTTTATAAGCCACCCTATTGTATTTTGTTATAGTAGATTAAACAGACTAAGATACCATTCCAACTTCAGAGATATTGCAAAAAGGCAAAAAAAAATGTTTTAAAGTGATGAAATTTGGTAATAAAACTGATAGCTCAATGTATGGAGTTCTAACTAAATGGCAGGCCCTGTTTATTTTTTTTTTTATACTTTAAGTTCTAGGGTACATGTGCACAATGTGCAGGTTTGTTACATATGTATACATGATGGCAGGCCCTGTTCTAACTGTTCTACATGTATTAATTCATTTAATACTAACAATCTAATGGAGTAGTATGCTATGTAAGTATACAGGTATGATATACAAGTAATATCCATAATTAGCCAAACAAATGGCTTAGAACTAATGTAAATTCAAAGTGGAGTTATTAAAAGCTTTATTTGAACTGACAAATTTATGTTTCAATCAAAGCAATAATTAAAATTGTGTGAGAAAGCAGTGCTCTGATTTTTTTTTTTTTTTTTTTTTTTTTGAGACTCACTCTGTTGCCCAGGCTGGAGTGCAGTGGTGAAATCTCGGCTCACTGCAACCTCCACCTCCTGGGCTCAAGCAATTCTCATGCCTCAGACTCTGGAGCAGCTGGGACTACAGGCACCCACCACCATGCCTGGCTAACTTTTGTATTTTTGGTAGAGACAGGGTTTCATCATGTCAGCCAGGCTGGTCTCAAACTCCTGGCTTCAAGTGATCTGCCACCTCAGGCTCCCAAAGTGCTGGGATTACAGGTGTCAGCCACCATGCCCAGCCTTGATGTTTTCTTTTATGAAATCAATATCAAAAATTGTAACCTTGTTTTTTACTGAAAAATTCATTCTTAGTTTTGTTTCAATCCTTAAAATTTAAAAACAAAATGCCATTGCTTCTAAGCTTTGTTTTCTAAATCTTGAAAGGCCCCTGGGCCAAAAGCAATCAATATTTTGCTTCTTTCCCTGTCTCTATTCTAGGCTGTGTAAGTTTACAGTGTTATTCAGCATTTCTCTAAAGGTATTTTGTGGAATACTGGTGTGGAGATGTTCTGTTGTAACTTGAATAAATCCCGGGGCCTACGTGGCCAGTCTCAACAGGGTTAGCATTCAAAGAAACAGTTCAGTAACCAAGTGTGATCACTCTCTTTCACTTTCTTTCATTTCTCAAAGAATATTAAAGAAGATCCAATCCATAATTCCTAACTTCATTTCTTAAATTTTTCTTTTCCTCATTCTTCTCCTTTTACAATTGTCTCACATCTCAAAGCTTTCTCAACACCTCTCTTCCCCCATTTTTTTTCACTCAGCTCCACACCAAATTATCTTGGACACCCTCTACCTTTGCAGGATCTTCTCTTTTCTTCCTCTTCCTGTTTCTTTCCATCACTTTAAATTTCTTTCAAGAAAGCCCTGACCCTGTCTGATGACAATCCCTCATTCCAGATACCCTGAGTCTTCCACTTCTGATTAGTTGAGGATGTAGAGTGAGGACCATGAGATGAATATCAAATTGAGGGAAAGGTGCTGAGTGAACAATGTTAGACGTTTTCATTGAGGGTACAGGTCAAGAAAGAGGCAAACCATTTGTTCATACATTAATGATATTTTGTTTCTTTACTTTAAAAAATGCCCTGTGGTCATTTATATTCATGAAAATTTACTGACACATTAGTATATCAAAGGCTCTGAGAAGTCTTGCAATTAAGAATCTGAATTATCTTTGTTTTATCTAGTATTTCTCAAACACGTTTCAAAATGATAATTTTCATCTCCCTTCCCCACTTTACACACGTAAGTACCCATGAAGATGATTAGGGTAAAGTGGTCTTAAATAATAAAAGATATAACAAAAACAATTGAAAGTATATTTGTAACATACACATAGCTTTGTTGGATGGATGTTTCAATGAGGACAACAGTAGTTTGAATGCAGTATGCATTTTTCACATAACATGGAAAGTAGTGCCATTTTGCTCTTTGTCTTGCAGTTGGAATATGAGATAACCCATGCAGAATAGCTACCAACTGAGTCTGTCTGGCCAGCATTTACACAGATACAGTTGCACAAGTGGCCCTGTACAACAGTTATCCTTGAATTTGATTTGTCAAGATGGTTTGTGTTATTACCTCTGTGGTATCTTGATTTACCTTGGGTAGTGGCCAGTCCCTTAAGTTAATGTTGGCTATTAGCCCATTAGCTGTTACATGAGTTTACTGTCAGTGGGTGTGGAGGGTATGATTATTTGCCGATGGACTTGTCCACAGCTAGAGGTAATATGTACCTGGGTGTCTGAACAAGTTTTCATGAGGGATCATCTAGAAACGATTGGAAAACAGCACCCGAAGCCACATGTGCTCAGTTTGGCATGCAAAACCTTGCATACTAGATTCAGTAGTGGGGGCAACAGGTGATGAATAATTTGCAAACTGGTAAAGTTTTAGTTGGACCTGATAATATTGGGAATCTTCCTATATAAAGATACAGAATATTCATTATTAACAATAAAAAAACAGACAATAGATAAACAGATTTTAGGCAATCTAAGAAGAAAATTTAAATATTCTGGCTCTTTTTTTTTGCCTGTTTTACTTTGGATTGTTGGTATTTGGAGCAATGCTGGATGCCACGACTCAAAATCATTATCATTGCTTGAGACTTATAATTTGTTTAAGATTTGCACCACTTCAACATAAATGGCTGGTTTTACTAACATTCCACCTGAAATTCTGTATACTTCCATGGACATCTTAAAAAAATACATATCCACAAATTTGCTCAGCTTAAGGAAAAATTGGAAAAAACTTAGATGCCCTAAAATAGGGAATCCTTTATTATATTACATTCATATATGGTAACCATTAGTGCTGTCCACCAAATATTTCCAATTCTCCTGCTGGACACATAGTAGGATTTCATTTCTTTCCCACCTTAGCTTAAGTGAGGCCATGTGACTAGCTTTAGCCAAGGAAATGTGAAAGGAAATACAATGTGGCATCCAGGCAGAAACTTTAAGAGCCAATGTATCACCAAGGCAATCCTAAGCCAAAAGAACAAAGCTGGAGGCATCACACTACCTGACTTCAAACTATACTACAAGGCTACAGTAACCAAAACAGCATGGTACTGGTACCAAAACAGAGATATAGATCAATGGAACAGAACAGAGCCCTCAGAAATAATGCCACATATCTACAACTATCTGATCTTTGACAAACCTGAGAAAAACAAGCAATGGGGAAAGGATTCCCTATTTAATAAATGGTGCTGGGAAAACTGGCTAGCCATATGTAGAAAGCTGAAACTGGATCCCTTCCTTACACCTTATACAAAAATCAATTCAAGATGGATTAAAGACTTAAACGTTAGACCTAAAACCATAAAAACCCTAGAAGAAAACCTAGGCTTTACCATTCAGGACATAGGCACGGGCAAGGACCTCATGTCCAAAACACCAAAAGCAATGGCAACAAAAGACAAAATTGACAAATGGGATCTAATTAAACTAAAGAGCTTCTGCACAGCAAAAGAAACTACCATCAGAGTGAACAGGCAACCTACAAAATGGGAGAAAATTTTCGCAACCTACTCATCTGACAAAGGGCTAATATCCAGAATCTACAATGAACTCAAACAAATTTACAAGAAAAAAACAAACAACCCCATCAAAAAGTGGGCAAAGGACATGAACAGACATTTCTCAAAAGAAGACATTTATGCAGCCAAAAAACACATGAAAAAATGCTCATCATCACTGGCCATCAGAGAAATGCAAATCAAAACCACAATGAGATACCATCTCACACCAGTTAGAATGGCAATCATTAAAAAGTCAGGAAACAACAGGTGCTGGAAAGGATGTGGAGAAATAGGAACACTTTTATGCTGTTGGTGGGACTGTAAACTAGTTCAACCATTGTGGAAGTCAGCGTGGCGATTCCTCAGGGATCTAGAACTAGAAATACCATTTGACCCAGCCATCCCATTACTGGGTATATACCCAAAGGACTATAAATCATGCTGCTATAAAGACACATGCACACGTATGTTTATTGCGGCACTATTCACAATAGCAAAGACTTGGAACCAACCCAAATGTCCAACAATGATAGACTGGATTAAGAAAATTTGGCACATACACACCATGGAATACTATGCAGCCATAAAAAATGATGAGTTCATGTCCTTTGTAGGGACATGGATGAAATTGGAAATCATCATTCTCAGTAAACTATCGCAAGAACAAAAAACCAAACACTGCATATTCTCACTCATAGGTGGGAATTGAACAATGAGATCACATGGACACAGGAAGGGGAATATCACACTCTGGGGACTGTGGTGGGGTGGGGGGAGGGGGGAGGGATAGCACTGGGAGATATACCTAATGCTAGATGATGAGTTAGTGGGTGCAGCGCACCAGCATGGCACGTGTATACATATGTAACTAACCTGCACAATGTGCACACGTACCCTAAAACTTAAAGTATAATTAAAAAAAAAAAAAAGAGCCAATGTATAATTTTTTTTCCCATGGTCAGTTTTTCTTCTACCTGGGTCCTGGAGTGAGAACATTATGTCACAGAGCCGATCCCTAACTGATCTGCAATTGACACATAGAGTGGGCAAGAAATTAAAAATTGTTTTATGTCACTGAGATTTTGGGGTTATTTGTTACTACAGCTTAACCCAGACCATTCTGGCTGATAGGCCACAATGGGACACTAAACAGTTCACGAAAATTACATAGTAGAAAAATGTCAGATGATAAAGGACAGATACAGGTTATATATTCAGTAAAAATTGCAAGTTTTAAACAAGTATTGGTTAATCATTGAAAAATACATATGAAATGGAGTTTCCTGGGATAGACTGGATCTTTAGAATTCTGAAGCTGAAAATAATTCAATGAAAAAACGTGTCTTTGGTAAGTGTCCATCAACATACGGATAAGCAAAATATGGCGTATACATGCAATAGAACATTATTCAGTCTTAGAAAAGAAAATCTGACATGCTACAACATATGAGGACATTATGTTAAGTGAAATAAACCAGTCACAAAAAGATAAATGTTGTATAATTCCACTTATATGAGGTATAAGTGTAGTCAAAACCACATAGACAGAAAGTAGAATGATGCATGCCAGGGACTGGAGGAGACGGAAATGGAGAGTTGGTGTTTAATGAGTATAGAGTTTCAGTTTTACAAGATGTGAAGAGGAAAACAAATCATTCCCTTTTCCTGGGCTTGGGAGAGGGCTTTGGGTCTCTCCTGCATGAAATGGAGAAGCCTGATGATTCCTGGTGTTGAAGAGTAAGCTCACCCTGGCCTCAGAGATGTCAGTTGGTGGTTGGGTGGGAGCCAGCCTCAACCTATGATTCTAAGATTAGTGTGGGGGCTGAGGCCCTTGGTCCCCTAAAGGTTTGTTGTAAGATCACTAACATGAAGCAGATTGATGAATAGGAGAAAAGGCACACACATTTATTTCACATGTATACATGGGAGGCTTCAGAATGAAGACCCAAAGAAACAAGGAAAATTGTCCATTTTTATGCTTAGGTTCAACAAGGTATGGACAGCCACGTAGAAATATGATTGGACAAAAAGGGTCTGATCTACTGTGAATAGACTGAGCAGGGAGACTCCACAAGGCCTGTCTGTTCAGGTTCTTCTTGGTCTCCCTGTGTAGCTTTCCTTCCTTCTGGGTATGGGGACTTTTACCCTCTCTGGAATGGGGGCTCTCTGCAATGGGTGTCTTCTGACCTACAGTCAAACAAGGTAGGTCAGATCATTTATTTCTGGCCCGTTTTTGTATGGAATATTTTTAGGTGTTTTGGCTGGCTTTCAGGAAAAGGGGTTCTGGTTTCTATGCCTCGCCTTGGGGGAAGAGGGATTCTAGTTTTTATGGCTAGGCTTGGGTTGCAGGGGAGGGCGGGAGAAGATCAGAGAAAAACTTTTGCTTCCGTGGCTGCTCTGAGGCCTTCATTTTGGTGTACAGTTTTTTCAGCCCCAGCATTAGCCATTTGGTCTGGGAGCTGGAGGGCCTGTGTTGCCGTTTAGAGGGAAGAGCCAAGGAAAGAGTGTGTCCCTTCCCAAGGCTCTCATGGATGTATGAGGACCAGTCAACAGCGAAGGGTGGCTGACTGTGACAGAGCCAGCAAGAGAGGATTCAGTCACAGAGAAAAAAATGCAGGCCCCCAGCCAGGGTCCTCCCGCAAAGTATGACAATTCAGAACTACTGGGGATGATACAGACAACATTCAGCCTCCAGTGTGTGTTCCTGTCTCTCCCTCTAGAGGACAGTTCTCGCTCTCAAAGTGCGCTCGGTGTGTCGTGTCGCCATGGTAAAAAGGCAGGAGACAGCAAACGCTTGATCCGAGCTGCACCATGCCTCGTTTTCACTCTCCCTGAAGACAAAAGAAGGTGGCAAGTAAGGAAAGCTCACCCCAGGGAGTTTTCTCGGAGAACACAAGCGGTCCCAACAGGGTAAAGGAGAAAATAATTATCTGGAAAGGTTGCAATTAATAGTATCAGGTTTAACCTTTGTGCTAATATGGGAATCTAAGGCACTAAGTCATCGCCTAAGACCTAGTGCTCTCTGTACGACAAAGCTTTAGTCTTATAATGTGGAAGTCAGTGCTTATTACATCCAATGCCTGAGTTCCCAGCGGACAGAGTTCCTTCTCAGGCAGCCGGCCAAGGACACCAGAAATTAAGCAGGGGTCTGTGGCTCTGCCGTCTAGCTATGACCAAATTTAAATTTGTGCTTTTTGCCTTGCCTGCCAGTGAACCTGCTGCTAGACTGAGATGTAAATGCCATTTCTGGTGTACATTAAGAAAATGTGAAACAATTAGCTCAAAGCCGTGGTTATGGAGCAAAAATATTAAAAATATAAGTTAGAAAATCCTTGTGACAATGTTCATGTGAATGGTGAGGGTAGGGAGTCCATTGCATATATGTGTGTGCATGTGTGGAGGAGTACGTGTGTTGAATAAATATGCATAAAGAGTGCATCAGCAGTAGATCCAAGAACTTATGTATGGGGGTGGGTGTGGAAATCCACATTTTAGTAACATTTTTTCCTTCTTCACAGTCAAGTGACGTTTCTTCAAACATCTGTTCTGTGAGCAAAGTAGGGAGGGACGTACATCAGTGTTAAGTGCTTGGGAGAGGAATTCTGGAGGAACACTACCCACTTAATTTAGCTCAGCTCTATGAAAGATTGCAGGGTTTGGGACTATTTCTAGCCACATCTGAGAGTCTGTGAAAAGTGGAAGTAAAGTCATTAAGCGGAATGGGCATTTATACATTTGGTAATTTGTCTTGAGTCAGAAAGTCTAGACACTCCCCTGGGAATGGGGGGAATGTGGGCCATGGTTATGACCTTCAGGACTCTGGAAACAGGAATGACAAAGACCTGGAAGGTCCTGAGGCAAATGGGCTCAATAGATCTTTTTTTTTATTTGAAACAGAGTGCAGTGGCACAATCTTGGCTCACTGCACTCTCCGCCTCCCAGATTCAAGCGATTCAGCTACCTCCTGAGTAGCTGGGATTACAGGCACACACCACCACGCCTGGCTAGTTTTGTATTTTTAGTAGAGACGGGGTTTCACCATGTTGCCCAGGCTGGTCTCGAACTCCCAGGCTCAGGCTAACCACGTGCCTCGGCCTCCCAAAGTGCTAGGATTACAGGCGTGAGCCACCACACCCACCTTCTTGGTGAAGGCACATAAAGCAAAATGAAAGCCCACTGGTCTGGTGTTCAGACACAAGCCAGGCCTCACCCGACTTGGAGACAGGCAGCCCCAGCCAGCAAGAGAGTTACAGACCTCAGCTAGATCTGGGGACCACCAGTTTCCTACCAGGGCAACCTGAGAATGTACTCTCTCTGTGCCGCAACTCTTTCCCCTCTCAAATAGGCACAACCATTGTAACAACCAGAAGAGCTAACATGGATGAAGAACTTCCCGCGTACCAGGCACCATAATAAATGCTAGATCCATGTACTCTTCTTGATAATCCTACAATGTAGTATTATTATATTTCATTGATTCTAAGATGTTCTTTTTTTTATATTTTAACATTCTCTGTTATCAGGATGAATAATTGATAAGAAAGCCTGTAAGTCATGGTTAAATTTTTTTTTAAGAGACAGGGTCTTGCTATGTTTTCCAGTCTGGTTTTAAACTCCTGGCCTCAAGTGATTCTGCTGCTTCAGCTTCCCAAAATGCTGGGATTACAGGCATAAGTCACCGCACCCAGCCAGTCATGATTAAATTTATACTTTTAAATCTTTTTTAGTGATATATAAATTGATGATGTGTTAGATTCAGTGAGGAAACTGAGGCAGAGATTTGAAAACTGAGGCACAGGTGGGCTGAATAACTCGCCTAAGTTCACACAGTTAGAAAGTGGTAGAATGAGAGTTTGACTCAATGCTGTTTCTAGAGTTGACTTTCTTCTAAGGTGCTAGACTTCCTGGTCCCTCCACTTACCAGCTGTGTGATCTCAGGCAAATTCCTAACCTCCCTGTGCCTCTGGGATTTTTTCATCTGTGAAATGGTGATAATAATATTAGCAACGGCTTCATAGGATTGTTGTGGAGGTTAAACAAGTTTACATATGTAAAGTTCTGAAAATAGTGCCCGACATATGGCAAGTATTCAATAAACTTTAGCTACAATTACTTTTTCTTCTTCTAAAGAGAAAACCAGCATCACTTGTTACGTATAGAAGACAACTGGAAAAAAGAGGGTTGTAACTAGCAAAAGGAGAATAAGTTCATCTCTGTGTCCCTAAAATCGTCTTGGCCCCAGGACAGGTATGCTTACCATATTTTGGGAAATGGCTTTTTGTTCTATCTCTCAAAAATTGAGAGATCAAGTGAAAGCGAGATGGGGGAAAGTGGCTGAGAGGGAGTGGCTGTGAGAGGTGAGGAGGGAAGGACAAACAGAAGGACAAGGTAGGGCAGCAGATCTGGGGCTGCCCTGGGTTTGCTTCAGAAGGTGGGAACAGCATGGTGCTTATGCTGGGGTGGCCATAGCAGTTGGAAGGAGCTATACTGACTGGAATGAAAAAGAGTTTCAATCTGCAGGTTGCAATTCATTAGTAAGTTATGGGATGAACTTGGTGGGTCACAATCAGTATCTTTAAAACTATAGGAGCAGAGGCCAGGTGTGATAGCTCACACCTTTAATCCCAGCACTTTGGGAGGCCAAGGCGGGCCTGATCATCTGAGGTCAGGAGTTTGAAAATAGCCTGGCCAACATGGTGAAACCCCATCTCTACTAAAAATATTTTTAAAAATCAGCCAGGAGTGGTGGTACACACCTGTAATCCCAGCTACTTGGGAGGCTGAGGCACCAGAATCGCTTGAACCCGGGAGGCAGAGTTTGCAGTGAGCCGAGATTGCACCACTGCACTCCAGCCTGGGCAACAGAATGAGACCCTGTCTCAAAAAAACAAACAACAAAAACAAAAAAAATACAAGGGAAGGCAGGGGAATGCAAGGGAAGGCAAAGTAAATATCAGAGGATATCATATGTAATAACAATACATATTGTTTTATTGAACTTGTATCTCAGTTAAGAGTGTATAGATGTGTGTAATGGGTTGAGATGTAAAAGGTTCTCCGTGGGTCTCAGTGCAAAAGTTTGGAAGCCACTGGACTAAAGCAAAGATAAGATTAGGTGTTGGCTGAAAAATAAATATACAGTATAAATTTAAAGTAATATGTTTTATATTAACAACCAGGGACCCCTGCTTTCTAGTGTAGCTTTCTAGAAGCATTCAGGGACCGTGACACACCACATGACATCTGTAAAACACTCTCCCTTTCTGCACCTCTTGGCCTTGGGGAAACTACTCACCCCCGACACCACCCCTCAACCCTGCCCAGATCCTGGGCTGACTTTGACTTTGCCTCTCCTTGGCTCAGCCACTTTGCCTTAGACCCAATTCCTGTCCCTCTCTCCTGCATCTTTCCAGATGTCCAGGATAAGGGCCAGCTTTTGTTGATCCACACAGCCTGGGACTCCACACAGGAACCTAGTCACCTCCAGAGGCTGAGCTGTCCTCTTTTGTGTTTTATGTAAGTGTTCTTGAAATATATATGACAAGGAATGACAGTGAATTGGAGAAGTAACACTCCCCAGTAGTGATAGCAGCTCAAACTCATGTGGGGCCTGAGTCTGAATAGGCTCCAAATCATGGGTTGGGTGATGGATCCTAAACCAAGAATTATGGCTCAGATTGGAACCAGGTAAAACAGCTCTGAAAGAATAGATCTAGCTTCATTTATACTAAAAAGTAAACAGAGGCAAGTATTAAATCTGAATCAAGTTAACATTGTTTAAAACATACACATGCGGCCAGGTGCGGTGGCTCATGCCTGTAATCCCAGCACTTTGGGAGGCTGAGGCGGGTGGATCACCTGAGGTCAGGAGTTTGAGACCAGCCTGACCAACAGGGTGAAACCCCATCCCTACTAAAAATACAAAAATTAACCAGGCATGGTGGTGGGTGCCTGTAATCCCAACTACTCAGGAGGTTGAGGCACGAGAATTGCTTGAACCCAGGGGACTGAGGTTGCAGGTGAGCGGAGATCGCACCACTGCACTTCCTCCTGGGTGACAGAGCGAAAAAAAAAGCACACATGCAAATTTCAGAATAATGGGATCAAAATGCCTTCCAAAAATTTCGGAAGCTTTTTCTCTGACAATACTGAACAAGGCCAAGTCCAAGTGGTATGAAGCAACTCTCAATAAGATGCCTGGCACAGGACCAGCCGTTGCTTCCTTCCTAATGTCTATACTCATCAAGCCACATGAACTTGTGGCTTGATACTTGAATAACTATTTTTAAATTATTTTTGACCTGCAGGTAAAACAATAACTGGAAATCGTCAGTTTGCATCATAGGGAGGTCCCCAGAAGAAAAAGAAGTCAAATCTTATCAATATGTAAAAATGGAGGTGATCAGCCTGTTTTGCAAAAGATAAATGAAACATAGACATTAGCAGACTCATTATAATTCATTAAAATTATCTCAAGGTTAAAGAAAAGACAAAACCTGGGCATCATTGAACATGATAAAGACTTCACATGCAAGAATTCCCATAATGAAGGCATTTAAAACACAGCTACTACATTTGTAAACTTATGTTGTTTGCAATTCAAGTATACCTTATTATTCAGTGGCTTCTTTTTGGTCACTATTACATAAGTAACTTTTTCATTAACTATTTATTCTTCTTATTAATAGAATATATCCCTCACTTTTAATTCATTTTTGAACTGATTTTTATATAACCTTTTACAAATTTCCCAGAATTTTTAGAAACCTAACTATTGAATAAATTGAGACATGAATATATTACCTCTTAAGTCTTGTAGAAAACCAGGTCAAAGTTGGCAGGAGACAGGAGAAGAGGTTGGCCAAATCCCTGGGGTCTAAAAGGGATAAACAGCAAATTGGTTTTATCCTGAGGCTCTGTACCCAGGACCTGAGCTTAGAGGAGGCCCAATTTCTTCACAGCCATTCCTCAAAAGCATTCCTGGAACTCCCTACTTGTAAGCTCCTTTAGGGCTTGTGCACATTCTCTGGGATTTTCTTGGAAGTAGCCAACCTTCATTCTTTTCAAAATGGCCAAAAGTCAGTTGGATTTAGATCTGGTGGATCAGGTCAAATGCATTTAAACAAGCTATGACTTTGAAGTGACAAGTCTGTCTTTCTCATTTAGTTCATAAACAGACCGTGTAGGAATAAACACATCAGTTCCTTAAGGGACATGGAAAATTGTGTGGTGGGTGGGGAATAACTAACAGAATTATTAATCTTAATGGCATGCAGCCATGATTAGAGCTAATAAAGTTGATGCCAAAGCTTGACTTTAATGTTTAACAACAAGGAAAAATTAAAGATAAGGAATAAATTCTATCTCTTCTAATAAGAGCTAGATTCCAGGACAATCAAAAATTCCAAGGAGAAGAACCGAGAGCCAGAAAGATCTCCCAGAAATGTTCCCTTCTGTAGGTAATTCCTCTTCCCTCTCAGGATTGAAAAATAACCAACCTAAACTGGGGAAGGGCGATGGAAAAAGGAAAGAAAAGTTCAGCCCTTTCTTTGTTGATGCAAATCACATGTATAATATCAAAAATTAGAAAATAAAGCCACTCGTAAGCCTGGCATGGAGAGATAAACCCTGTTAATATGTTTGGGCATATTGCCTTCAAAATGCTGATATATAACATATTTGTGTAATTCTGTATTTACTTATATATGTACATATAAGTAGACATACACACATAAAATATATTTTTCTTTTAGATGGTATGCTATGGATGCTTTTTAGTAATTTTGCTTTCTGTTAATAAAATGAATATTTTACATGTCAACAAATATATACTTATTTTATAATTTTAGATGGCTACTTCACAGTATTTTCATGAATAGATCATAATTTATTTAATCGAAGCCTAATTTTGAACATTTACATTTTTATAAGTGTTTATTTACTGTTTATAAATGCTAAGGTATCCCTATTCAGGCATACAGCTTTAAGCATTTGCTCAATTTCTTCCTCCCCATGGTGGAAGAAGGTCTCCTTGCTATGGTCCGAATATTTGTGTCCCTCCAAAATTCATATATTGAAACCTAACCTGCAGGTGACAGTATCAGGAGGTGGGGCTTTTGGGAAGTGATTAGGTCAGGAAGGTGGAGCCTCATGATTGGAATTAGCAACCATAGAAAAAGAGACACCATGTGAGGTCAGAGCAAAAAGGGTAGGCTGCCTATGCAGTAGTAAGCAGGCCCTCATCAGACTCTGCTGGCACCTTGATCTTACACTTCCCAGCCTCCAGAATGGTGAGAAATAAACTTCTGTTGTTTATAAGCTACCCAGTGTTTTGTTATAGCAGCCCAAATGGACTAAGGCACTCCTGATATAAATCAAACATTGAAAATTGTAAAATAGGAAGTCCTAGCCAGAGCAATTAGGCAAGAGAAATAAATAAAAGGCATCTAAATAGGAAAAGAAGAAGTCAAACTATCTCTCTTTGCTGATGATATGATTCCATACATAGAAAACCCTAAAGACTCTGCCAACAGGCCCCGGAACTGATAAATGACTTCAGTAAAGTTTCAGGATACAAAATCAATGTACAAAAAGCAGTAACATTTCTCTTCACCAATAACATTCAAGCTGCGAGCCAAATCAAGAATGCAATTCCATTTACAATAACCACACACACACAAAATATACCTAGGAATACAACTAACCAATGAGGTGAAAGATCTCTATCGTGAGAACTACAAAACACCACTGAAAGAAATCAGATAACACAAGCAAATGGAAAGATACTTTCCATGCTGATGGATTGGAAGAATCAATATTGTTAAAAAGGCCGTACTGCTCAAAGCAATCTACAGATTCAATGCTATTCCTATCAAACTAACATCGTTTTTCACAGAACTAGAAAAAATGATTCCAAAATTCATATGGAGCTAAAAAAGAGCCCAAACAGCCAAAGCAATCCTAAGCAAAAGGAACAAAGTTGGAAGCATCACATTACCTGACCTCAAACTATACTATAAAGGTACAGTAACCAAAACAGTATGGTACTGGTACAAAAACAGACACACAGACCAATGGAATAGAATAGATAACCCAGAAATAAAGCCACACACCTATAGCCATCTGGTCTTTGACAAAGTCAACAAAAATAAGCAATAAGGAAATGACTTATTATTCAATAAACAGTGCTGGGATAACAGGCTAGCCATATGCAGAAGAATGAAACTGGACTTCTACCTTTCACCATGTACAAAAATTAACTCAAAATGGATTAAAGATTTAAATATAAGACTTCAAACTACAAGAATCCTAGAAAAAAAACTAGGAAACACCATTCTGGGCATCACCCTTAGGAAAGAATTTATGACTATGCCCTCAAAAGCAATTGCAACAAAAACAAAAATTGATAAGTGGAACCTAATTAAAATAAAGAGCTTCTGCACAGCAAAAAGAAACTATTGACAGACTAAACAGACAACCTACAGAATTGGAGAAAATATTCACAAACCAGGCATCTGACAAAGGTCTAATATTCAAAATCTATATGGAACTTAAACAACTAAACAAGCAAAAACAGATAACCCCATTAAAAGTGGACAAAAGACATGAACAGACATTTCTCAAAAGGAGACATACAAGCAGCCAACAAACATATGAAAAAAATGCTCAATATCACTAATCATCAGATAAATGCAAATCAAAACCACAATGAGATACCATCTCACACCAGTCAGAATGGCTATTATTAAAAAGTCAATAGGTAACAGATTGTGGAGGGCTGTGGAGAAAAGGAAACACTTATATGTTGTTAGTTGGAATGTAAAGGGAATGCTTACACACTGTTGGTGGGAATGTAAATTAGTTCAGCCACAGTGGAAAGCAGTTTGGAGATTTCTCCAAGAACTAAAAACAGAATTAACATTTGACCCAGCAATCCCATTACTGGATATATATGCAAAAGAAAATAAATTGTTCTACCAAAAAGACACATGCACCTTATGTTAATTGCAGCACTATTCATAATAGCAAAGACATGGAATCAACCAAGGTGCCCATCAATGATGGATTAGACAAAGAAAATGTGGTACATACACACCATGGAATACCATGCAGCCATAAAAAAGGAAGAAATCATGTCCTTTGCATCAACATGGATGCAGTTGGAGGCCATTATTCTAAGCAGAATAATATAGAAAAACAAAAACCAAATACCACATGTTCTCACTTAAAAGTGGGAACTAAACATTGGATACTCATGGACGTAAAGATAGCAGCAAAAGAAACTGGGGACTATTGTGGGGAGGGGGAAGGAGAAAAAGGGTTGAAAAACTAACTATTGGGTACTAATGCTCAGTATCTGGATGAAGGGATCATTTGTACCCCCACACTCAACATCATGTAATACATTCAGGTAACAAACCTGCACATGTACCACCTGAATCTGAAATAAAAGTTGAAATTTAAAAAAAAGAAAATTGCAAAATAATAAATACATTAAGGAAAAATGTAAAAGCCACCTTTCTGAGAAAACAACATTTCAGTGACCATTTTTCCATGTAACTCTTTCTGCATTATGTACACATAGGCATAATATATGTGTGTGTGTATGTGTGTGTGTGCATGCTCATTTATGTGTGTTTTTATACCCACACAAGATTTAAGGGGGACATTTTTAAAGGGATTGGTGATATATAATTCTCTGTATCTTAACAATATATAATGGAAATTCCTCAAGATCAGGTAGTATAGGTAATTAATTTTTAATTCTTGGATAAAATTCTACTGTAAGCATTATTATCATTCAGCTATTCTTTTACTAATAGAGTTTTGATTTGCTATCAACTTTTTGTTATTAAAAATAATGCTGCAGTACATACACACTCACACACACACACTTATATATACTGGGGCTTTTATTTCTATAGTATAGAGTCCCAGGATTGAGATTCTGGGTTGAATTGCAAGTGCATTTAAATTTTTAATAGAGATCACGAATTGCTTTTTCACATTTCTACCAGTGATATATGAAAGTGCCCTTGCCCTGACTCCCATCTCTGCTAATAATAGGTGCAGTTACTCTTTGATTTTTGCCACTCTGATGGCTATGATCATGGTAATTTTCATTTCCCTTTCTCTGCCTATTGGAGGAGATTGAACATTTTATCATACTTGCTCTTCTGCCAATTGCCTATTCATATCCCCAACCTATTTTGCTATTGGGTTGATTATCTTTATCTTATTAAATTGTGACATAGCTTTTTTTATATATAGATGCAAATTTTTATCTATCATTTGATTTATATTTTTTCCAGCTTGTTTACCTACTGATTTTGTTTTTGGTATCTCTTGCACTACAAATAATACCTTGAAGTTTTATAAAGGTTAGGTTGATCACCTACCTTTGTTTAAAATATTTCTTTAATTCTTAGGTGTACAGATAATAACCTAATTTTTTATAAAATGGTTATTTATTTATTTTTACTTTCAAGTCAAATTCATTAGGAATTTACTTCATAATTAATATAAACTAGGGGGTCCACATTTATTTTCTTCCAAGAGCATATCCAATTGTGATGAGATTATTAATTAAATTTCCCCACAATGATATAATGAAGTATCATCTTCATGAGGTATTACACAATTCTGAGATCTCTTTATTATTATTTTTTACTGATTTTTTTGGTAGTCTTGTGCCTATATTGTACTGTTTTATTATACTGGCTTTTAAGTAGTTTTAATACTGTCATTCTTTTTGTTTTTGAGACAGAGTCTCAATCTGTCACCCAGGCTGGAGTGCAATGGTGTGATCTCAGCTCACTGAAACCTCTGCCTCCTGGGTTCAAACGATTCTCCTGCCTCAGCCTCCTGAGTAGCCTGCCACCACCCTAGGCTAATTTTTGTATTTTTAATAGAGATGGGCTTTCACATGTTGGCCAGGCTAATACTATCATTCTTTATTCATCAATTTGAATATTTTATCCAATTAAAACTGCCAGAGATTCTATGGAAGTTGTACTGAATTTATATACTATTTTCAGGAGAACAGCTCTATTTATGAGAAAAAGTGTCACTTTTCAAGAACGTGGTGTAAATTTCTAATTGTTCAGATCCCATTTTTGTCCTCCAGTACGATTTTATTTTTTACATGGGTCCTATTCCTTTGTCATATAATTTATTCCTATTTTATGATTTTTGTTACTATTATGAATGGAATAGTTTCCTCATTTTCGTTTGTATGTGGGTATGGCTTATATAGAAAAAGCTAATCATACTATATCTTTATGTTGTATCTACCCAATCCATCAAATTCTTTCTTTTACTTCTATTTACTTTTTTTACTAGAGTTTCTTGATGATATCAGGTATAAAATTATATTGTCAGCAAAAAGTTTCACCTCTTTCTTTCCATATTTATGCTGTGCATATTAGGTTTATTGCATTTACTAAAATATCTAAACAATATTAAATAATAATAGTAAAAGTAGGTGTGATTTGTAAACTATATATTTGGTCTTCATCCTGTTTTCTGGCATACAACTCCTAAAATCCTTGGAATCCCCAAAGTGATAAATGTCTTTTTGTATGCTAATAAGTTGACTGGTGGCTGGCAGCCCCTAGATAGCTTCATGATGGGGGCTGGTCACCAGAAAAACCAATGGTCAATTAGAGAGTGGGGACTTTGCAACCCTGCTCCTTTGCCAAAATGCACTTCAAAACATTTTGCATTTATAACTAACATTTGGGATTTATTTAATGCAAATCTAATAGTATTCAGGATTAGCCAGTTATAATCAGACTGGTAAGATAATTTTCAGCTCTTTTTTTATATATACTTTAAGTTCTGGGTTACGTGTGCAGAACATGCAGTTTTGTTACATAGGTATACACGTGCCATAGTGGTTTGCTGCACCCATCAATCCGTCACCTACATTAGGTATTTCTCCTAATTTTATCCCTCCCCTAGCTCCCCACCCCCTATAGGTCCCTGTGTGTGATGTCCCCCTCCCTGTGTCCATGTGTTCTCATTGTTCAACTCCTACTTATGAGTGAGAACATGCGGTGTTTGATTTTCTGATCTTGTGGTAGTTTGCTGAGAATGATGGTTTCCAGCTTCATCCATGTCCCTGCAAAGGACATGAACTCCTCCTTTTTATGGCTGCATAGTATTCCATGGTGTATATGTGCCACATTTTCTTAATCCAGTCTATCATTGATGGACATTTAGGTTGGTTTCAAGTCTCTGCTATTGTGAATAGTGCTGCAATAAACAAACATGATTTACAATCCTTTGGGTATATGCCCAGTAATGGGATTGCTGGGTCAAATGCTATTTCTAGTTCTAGATCCTTGAGGAATTGCCACACTGTCTTCCACAATGGTTGAACTAATTTACACTCCCACCAACAGTGTAAAAGGGTTCCTATTTTTCTACAACCTCTCCAGCATCTGTTGTTTCCTGAATTTTTAAAGATCACCATTCTAACTGGTGTGAGATGGTATCTCATTGTGGTTTTGATTTGCATTTCTCTAACGACCAGGGATGATGAGCATTTTTTCATATGTCTGTTGGTGGCATAAATATCTTCTTTTGAGAAGTGTCTGTTCATGTTCTTTGCCCATTTTTTGATGGGGTTGTTTGCTTTTTTTTTTTTTTTTTTTTGGAAACTTGTTTAAGTTCTTTGTAGATTCTGGATATTAGCCTCTTGTCAGATGGATAGATTGCAAAAATTTTCTCCCATTCTGTAGGTTGCCTCTTCACTCTGATGATAGTTTCTTTGCTATGCAGAAGCTCTTTAGTTTAATTAGATCCCGTTTGTCAATTTCGGCTTTTGTTGCCATTGCTTTTGGTGTTTTAGACATAAAGTCTTTGCTCATGCCTATGTCCTGAATGGTATTGCCCAGATTTTCTTCTAGGATTTTTATGGTCCTAGGTCTTATGTTTAAGTCTTTGATCCATCTTGAGGTGATTTTCGTATAAGGTATAAGGAAGGGGTCCAGTTTCAGTTTTCTGCCTATGGCTAGCCAGTTTTCCCAACACCATTTGTTAAATAAGGAATCTTTTCCCCATTGCTTGTGTGTGTCAGGTTTGTCAAAGATGAGATGGTGGTAGATGTGTGGTGTTATTTCTGTTCCTTTGGCCCATATCTCTGTTTTGGTACCAGAACCATGCTGTTTTGGTTACTGTTGCCTTGTAGTAAAGTTTGAAGTCAGGTAGCATGATGCCTCCAGCTTTGTTCTTCTTACCCAGGATTGTCTTGGCTATGCAGGCTCTTTTTTAGTTCCATATGAAGTTTAAAGTAGTTTTTTCCAGTTCTGTGAAGAAAGTCAGTGGTAGCTTGATGGGGATAGCATTAAATCTATAAATTACTTTGGGCAGTAAGGCCATTTTCACAATATTGATTCTTCCTATCCATGAGCATGGAATGTTTTTCCATATGTTTGTGTCCTCTCATATTTCCTTGAGCAGTGGTTTGTAGTTCTCCTTGAAGAGGTCCTTCACATCCCTTGTAAGTTGGATTCCTAGATATTTTATTCTCTTAGTAGCAATTGTGAATGGGAGTTCACTCATGATTTGACTCTCTGTTTGTCTGTTATCGGTGTATAGGAATGCTTGTGATTTTTGCACATTGATTTTGTATCCTGAGACTTTGCTGTAGTTGCTTATCAGCTTAAGGAGATTTTAGGATGAGATGATGGGGTTTTCTAAATATACAATCATGTCATCTGCAAACAGAGACAATTTGACTTCCTCTCTTCCTATTCAAATACCTTTATTGCTTTCTCTTGCCCTGGCCAGAACTTCCAATACTATGTTGAATAGGAGTGGTGAGAGAGGGCATCCCTGTCTTGTGCCAGTTGTCAAAGGGAATGCTTCCAGTTTTTGCCCATTCAGTATGATATTGGCTGTGGGTTTGTCTTAAATAGCTCTTATTATGTTGAGATACATTCCATTAATACCTGGTTTATTGAGAGTTTTTAGCATGCAGGGCTGTTGAATTTTGTCGAAGGCCTTTCCTGCATCTGTTGAGATAATCTTGTGCTTTTTGTCATTGGTTCTGTTTACGTGATGGATTATGTTTATTGATTTGCATATGTTGAACCAGCCTTGCGTCCCAGGGATGAAGCCCACTTGATCATGGTGGATAAGCTTTTTGATGTGCTGCTGGATTTGGTTTGCCAGTATTTCATTGAGGATTTTCACACCAATGTTCATCAGGGATATTGACCTAAATTTCTCTTTTTTTGTGTGTCTCTGCCAGGCTTTGGTATCAGGATAATGCTGGACTCATAAAATGAGTTGGGGATGATTACCTCTTTTTGTATTGATCAGAATAGTTTCAGAAGAAATGCTACAATCTCCTTTTTGTACCTCTGGTGGAATTAGGCTGTGAATCCCTCTGGTCCTGGACTTGTTTTGGTTGGTAGGCTATTAATTATTGCCTCAATTTCAGAACCTGTTATTGGTCTATTCAGAGATTCAACTTCTTCCTGGTTTAGTCTTGGGAGGGTGTATGTGTCTAGGAATTTATCCATTTCTTCTAGATTTTCTAGTTTATTTGCATAGAGGTGTTTATAGTATTCTTTGATGGTAGTTTGTATTTCTGTGGGATCGGTGGTGATATCCCCTTTATCATTTTTTATTGCATCTGTTTGATTCTTTTCACTTTTCTTCTTTATTAGTCTTGCTAGTGGTCTATCAATTTTGTTGATCTTTTCAAAAAACCAGCTCCTGGATTCATTGATTTTTTTGAAGTTTTTTTTTTTTGTGTCTCTATCTCCTTCACTTCTGCTCTGATCTTAGTTATTTCCTGTCTTCTGCTAGCTTTTGAATTTGTTTGTTCTTGCTTCTCTAGTTCTTTTAATTGTGATGTTAGGGTGTCGATTTTAGGTCTCTCCTGTTTTCTCTTGTGGACACTTAGTGCTATAAATTTCCCTCTATACACTACTTTAAATGTGTCCCAGAGATTCTAGTACATTGTGTCTTTGTTCTCATTGGTTTCAAAGAACATCTTTATTTTGCCTTCATTTTGTTATTTATGCAGTAGTCATTTAGGAGCAGGTTGTTCTGTTTCCATGTAGTTGTGCGGTTTTGAGTGAGATTTTTAATCCTGAGTTCTACTTTGATTGCACTGTGGTCTGAGAGACAGTTTGTTGTGATTTCTATTCTTTTACATTTGCTGAGGAGTGTTTTACTTCCAACTATGTGGTCGATTTTAGAATAAGTGTGATGTGGTGATGAGAAGAATGCATATTCTGTTGATTTGGGGAGAAGAGTCCTATAGATGTCTCTTAGGTCCACTTGGGGCAGAGCTGAGTTCAAATCCTGGATATCCTTGTTAATTTTCTGTCTCATTGATCTAATATTGACAGTGGGGTGTTAAAGTCTCCCACTATTATTATTGTGTGGGAGTCTAAGTCTCTTTGTAGGTCTCTAAGGACTTGCTTTATGAATCTGGGTGCTCCTGTATTGGGTGCATATATATTTAGGATAGTTAGCTCTTTTTGTTGAATTGATCCCTTTACCATTATGTAATGGCCTTCTTTGTCTCTTTTGATCTTTGTTGGTTTAAAGTTTGTTTTATCAGAGACCAGGATTACAACTCCTGCTATTTTTTGCTTTCCATTTGCTTGGTAAATCTTCCTCCATCCCTTTATTTTGAGACTATGTGTGTCTTTGCATGTGAGATGGGTCTTCTGAATACAGCACACCAATGGGTCTTGACTCTTTATCTGATTTTCCAGTCTGTGTATTTTAATTGGGGCATTTAGCCCATTTATATTTAAGGTTAATATTGTTATGTGTGAATTTGATCCTGTCATTATTATGCTAGCTGGTTATTTTGCCTGTTAATTGATGCAGTTTCTTCATAGCATCGATGGTCATTATAATTTTGGCCTGTTTTTGCAGTGGCTGATACTGGTCGTTCCTTTCCATGTTTAGTGCTTCCTTCAGGAGCTCTTGTAAAGCAGGCCTGGTGGTGACAAAATCTCTCAGCATTTGCTTGTCTATAAAGGATTTTATTTCTCCTTGACTTATGAAGCTTAGTTTGGCTGGATATGAAATTATGGGTTAAAAATTCTTTTCCTTAAGAATGTTTAATATTGGCCCCAACTCTCTTCTGGCTTGTAGGGTTTCTGCAGAGAGATCCACTTAGTCTGATGGGCTTCCCTTTGTGGGTAACCCGACCTTTCTTTCTGGCTGCCCTTAACATTTTTTCCTTCATTTCAACCTTGGTGAATCTGATAATTATGTGTCTTGGAGTTGCTCTTCTCAAGGAGTATCTTTGTGGTGTTCTCTGTATTTCCTGAATTTGAATGTTGGCCTGCCTTGCTAGGTTGGGGAAGTTCTCCTGGATAATATCCTGAAGAGTGTTTTCTAACTTGGTTCTGTTCTCCCTGTCAGTTTCAGGTACACCAATCAAATGTAGATTTGGTCTTTTCACATAGTCCCATATTTCTTGGAGGCTTTGTTCGTTTCTTTTCACTCTTTTTTCTCTAATCTTGTCTTCTCACTTTATTTCATTAATTTGATCTTCAATCACTGATATCCTTTTTTCCGCTTGATTGATTTGGCTATTGAAGCTTATGTATGCTTCACGAAGTTCTTGTACTGTGGTTTTCAGCTCCATCTGGTCATTTAAGCTCTTCTCTACACTGTTTATTCTAGTTAGCTATTCATCTAACCTTTTTTCAAGGTTTTTAGCTTCCTTGCGATGGGTTAGAACATGCTCCTTTAGCTCAGATAAGTTTGTTATTCCTGACCTTCTGAAGCCTACTTGTGTCAACTTGTCAAACTCACTCTCCATCCAGTTTTGTTCCCTTGCTGGTGAAGAGTTGTGTTCCTTTGGAGGAGAAGAGGCTTTCCAGTTTTTGGAATTTTCAGCCTTTCTGCTCTGGTTTCTCCCCATCTTTGTGGTTTTATCTACCTTTGGTCTTTGATGTTGGTGGCCTACAGATGGGGTTTTGGTGTGGATGTCCTTTTTGTTGATGTTGATGCTATTCCTTTCTGTTTGTTAGTTTTCCTTCTAACAGACAGGCCCCTCAGCTGCAGGTCTGTTCGAGTTTGCTGAAGGTCCACTCCAGACCCTGTTTTCCTGGGTATCACCAGCGAAGGCTGCAGAACGACAAATATTGCTGCCTGATCCTCCCTCTGGAAGCTTCATCTCAGAGTGGCACCCAACTGTATGAGGTGTCTGTTGGCCCCTACTGGAGGTGTCTCCCAGTCAGGCTACACAGGGGTCAGGGACCCACTTGAGGAGGCAGTCTGTCCGTTATTGGAGCTCAAACGCCATGCTGGGAGAACTACTGCTCTCTTCAGAGCTGTCAGGCAGGGATGTTTAAGTCTGAAGAAGCTGTCTGCTGCCTTTTGTTCTGCTATGCCCTGCCCCCAGAGGTGGAATCTAGAGAGGCAGTAGGCCTTGCTGAGCTGTGGTGGGCTCCGCCCAGTTTGAGCTTCCTTGCCACTTTGTTTACACTGTGAGCATAGAACCACCTACTCAAGCATCAGCAATAGCGGATGCCCCTCCCCCCCGCCAAACTCCTGTGTCCCAGGTCGATCTCAGACTGCTATGCTAGCAGCAACCAAGGCTCTGTGGCCGTGGGACCCACCGAGCCAGGCATGGGAGGGGATCTCCTGGTCTGCTGGTTGCAAAGACCATGGGAAAAGCACTTGGGCAGGAGGGTACTGCTCCTCTAGGTACAGTCATTCACAGCTTCCCTTGGCTAGGAAAGGGAAATCCCCCGACCCCTTGTGCTTCCCAGGTGAGGCAATGTCCTGCCCTGCTTCAGCTCACCCTCCATGGGCTACACCCACTGTCCAACCTGTCCCAGTGAGAAGAACTAGGTACCTCAGTTGGAAATGCAGAAATCACCCTTCTTCTGCTTCGATCTCGCTGGGAGCTGTAGATAGGAGCTGTTCCTATTCGGCCATCTTGGAAGCAACTGATAATGTTCTTTTCCGATTCAGCTTCAGTTTGGTTATTAAATTATGCTAGTTTCATATGAATTGGGAAATTTTTAATGTTTACATTTATGAATTACGATTTACCAGAATTCTCTATTCTTAAAGCTAGCTAAAACTCAGGTTTGAAATTACCTGATCCTGAGGCCTCTAACACAATAGTGTATTAACTATCTATCCCAAACTTTTTGTGACAAATGATCTCTTAAAATTTTCTACTACTTAGGCCACTTTTGAGAACTTAAAATTTATAAGAGAATCCTTTGTGTATTATAGGTTTTCAAATTTATTGTCAAAGAGTTGCACGTACATTTTATTATAATATTTTTTATTTTGAGAGCTTGTTTGGAGGTTTGAGCAGGGAAACACAGCTACTCATATACCCTTAACCTAAGTCCTTCTCGATCAGGAATGGTCATCATCTTCAACTGAGCATGCAGCTTTGGGAAGGAAGCACATGGAGTGGTGAGGGAGGAATGGGACACCTGCCTAGCCAGCCTGATCAGCAGCCCTGGCAATCAGTGGGTGATGGATGTCCCAGAAAGTTCACCCTCACATCCACCTTTTTTATTTTGTATCTGTGATTATGTCTTTTTGTTCATTCCAAATGTGCAAATTTTTATACTTTTTTCATAATCACTCCTGTGATTTACATATTTATTTCATTGATCAAGAAGTAGCTTTTGAATTTAGTTCACCTTTTACTATTATTTTATTTTCTGATCATTAATTTCAGCTTTTTTCTTTATAACTTTCATTTTTAGCTTATTTCCTTGTTCAGATTTTAATTTTTTAAGAAAAGTACTACCATTTTGTAAATGTTCGTCTTCTTAAATAGCAGAGATAATTGCAACTATAAGTTTTTCTTTATCAGTCTTTCATGTCTTATGGTGTAAATGGACTCATTTTCATTACTTTCTATTTATAGAAATTTATAATATATATTTTGTCACTGCTCCACACTATTTATCTTCAGACACATAAAGTTATGGTTCTATATTCTCTTTTTGGTTGATCTCACCTACTGCTATGATTTAAGCTACCACTTTTAAGCTGATGGTTTCCAAATTTTCCAGAAGCTGCAGGCTCTGATATCTACCTTGCCTCGTGTATATAACTGGCTCAATATGCTTAAACTTGTCAACGTTTCCCCAAATCAGCAATAACTATATATTTTTCTCAATTATTTGTATCATTATCCACCTAGTCACTCAAGTTAGAAATAGAAATCATCTTTCAACTCTGCCTTGCCCCTCACACCCATATCCTACCAAACACCAAATCCTGATGACTTTACCTTCTGTATAAAGTTTATCTTCTGCTGTTGCTGCCCCAGTTTTAACCCTCATCATTTATGGTAGGTTATTTCAAAGGTGCACCTTTGATCAAGGACTTTTCCAACACAAACCCTACACAGCCTACAAGGCTCTTTATATTCCCTGCTGAAAAGAAAAGCAACTACCAACATAAATAACAGTGTGAACCATTTAATGAGTTATTCTATTAATGTGCTTTTGTATTAAAAAAAGATATGTAAAGCACTGGGTAGAGAAAATGACTAAAATTTATTCTCTATCTCCTGTGAGCCTAGTCTTGTGCTACGGTGTTATCATCTTATCTCATTTAATATTATAATATGCTTGTGGGTTGGGCAGTTAGGAATGCTTTCAGCTGCAAGTATCAGAAAATCTCACTGATGGTAGTGTAAATCATAAAGACAGTTCATTCTCTTCTGTTACAAAAGTCCAGAAGTTGGTGTTTCCAGCTCAACCATGCCATCGAAGACTCCTAAACTCTATTTTTCCTTTTGCTGTACTTAACACATTGCTTTCTCAACCTTATGCCTGTTTCTTTGTAGAAGCATGAGGGCTAATGAAGCTCTAGCTTTCACAGGGAAAAGAGAAAACAGGTGTTGCTGGTGTGCTCTCTTTCTGAGTCTGGCCCCTTGACAAGGAAGCAAAAGTTCCTCCAGAAGCCTCCAACAGGTTTCTATTTACATCTGAATGGCTAGACTAGGCCACCTGGCTCCTCCCAGTTGCATGGGAGATGAGAGAGCAAAGACTTAGGGTTTCCAGTCTCTATGGTGAATGGCAATCAGGGAGAGGGGGAATGGGAGTGGCTACCAGATGAGCCCAGGATAGAGACTTCACATCTGCGATTGTAGATGTGGTCAAAGATGCCCGAAGGGCTACTGCTGGTAATTGGTGGAACGTGGATTGGGAATTAAGTTCTGTTTCCAAAGTTAATGCTGTCTTCTCTATACCACTCAGTCTCTCCAAATACACTTTCTAAGAATAGAATTTCAGATATTTAGACATGATTTGAGTGACATTTCTTGGCACCTGCTGATTTCTCCAAAATCACACAATAATATGTTCTCAGACATTGGATAGAATTATGCTAGAATGTTCTAAAGATGAAACCACCCTCTTACTTCTTTGATGAAGCCACATGTAAACTGTGTTCCTTTTGTAAACTGAAACATTAGGGACTATACTAAACTTGTCTTAGATTGACTTTAAAGTATAGAACTTAAAAAGAAACCACATTCAAAGTATTTAAACTTGTATGGTATGCTTTCTCTGACCTTTAGATCCCCAGTTGGGAATCCTTGCCAAATTTAATCTTTTAGTTGTGAATAAGCTTTTGAACACAGTCATCCTGACCTTTGGACATGTCACCTTGCCTAATGAATAGCTTGTCACTTAATTAATAATGATGGTTAAACCTCCTCTAATATATTGGAGAAAAAAGTTTTAAATACTCACTTTACAGTTATTCATTTCAACACAGAATTCATAAGGAGGGAAGGTCTGCACATGAAACTTTATATCTTATACTCCTTTTCTCTTTGACTTAATAAATGAGAATCCACAAGGCAAAGGTTCAATGTTTTGCTGCTGTAAAAAAGATTTAAACCTTTTACTAGTTACTGTGTCACAATTGTGACCTTACAATGAGAAGATTATGACTTTGGGTCATAAGAAGTGGAGGAAGTACATATATAAACAGTAAAAACATAAATGTGTACTAATTCTGACCTCATTGGAAATCATTCTTTCCTAACAGTAATTTTCAGTTCCACCTGCTGAAACTCATTTTCTATAAAAATGAAGCCACAGGCAACTTAATAGTCAAGGTTACAATAAAAAGGGGTCTCAAAAACATGTCATTGGTGAACAATTTTTTTTTGCAAATCTCAAATCTTTTTCTTTTGAAGCTAACCAATCTTGACCATTAAAATGGACTAAAAAGACCTGCATCCACCATCAAAGACTGGATGATCAAGAACATTCATGTCACTCTCTTAGCACCATTAGGTTAAAAATTGCTATATTGTTTCCAGACTTCCTGATAGTTTTAATGATGTCTTCATTTTTCTTTTAAATGTAGACAGCCAATTTTCCTATGATGGGAGCATATTACTACTGGCGAAATAAGACATCTTGCATAGAAATGTTTGATGTCTTTGAACAAGGGACAGCCATTTCTTTACACAGTCTTCCCAAAAGCATTTGAAAGACTTGCATTTCTGCTGCTACATGAGTTTTCAGAAAAGAAAAAATGTTAGCAAAAACAATTATGTATATTTATAACAATATAGATTAGATGTATATATGTAATCTTGAGACCCTCTGTAATTTATGTTCATAGATAAAAGAAATACATCACAGAGGCAAACCCTCAACATTCTTCAAATTTAGTTTATGCTACAACAAGTGTTGCTATAGAAACATTAAATCCCCAACAGAATTCCTGGAAGTTAAAGATCTGCCTGTAGACTTGCTTCCAGATGCTGACTTGCTGGCTTGTTAAATAAAACTTGGCATTTATCATATGGGAGATTTTATCTCGAAACATACTATGAGGACTACCTGGGACATTGAGTGCCGTGCTCACAATGGGAGAAGGGTTTATATAATCAGAAGGAGTCTCAGGACTTCAGATGTAATGCCTATTAGCCTGATCATTTTTCCTCTTTCTCCATCAATATTCCCTATAAATAAGCAGCTCTAAAATAGGAAACTCCCTAAATGACCAGATGATGGAAAATCACTTTATTAATAAAAATTTTTCATCTGTGTTAAGCAGGTTAAGTCTTTCTGGATACCAGTGAGAAAATCACGTTTTCCTATAGACATTTTGCAGCTTCTCTTTAAGAGCAATTTCCCCCTGGTAATTATACAGCAGTTTGCTCTCAGAAAACAGACTGATTAATGAGGAAGCAGCTAAATGAGTTCTTTAAAAATGTCTAAAAATGTTCTTGCTTCTGCTTTTCTAATCTTCCTCAACCAAATTGACAGCTTTTTAAAAGAATCTCCTTAGTGAATGCATGACAATTACATTGGAACTCAAAGAATTACCACAAGCCTTAGTTTAAGAAGACATTTTAAATCATAAGAGTATTCATTAAAAGGCCATCTGTCAGATGTTCTCCATCACTGACATCACCCACATCTCTACCTTCTTCTCTTCCTGTTATTTTAACCTCATTTGACTTTTTTGACTGCTTTGGAAGAAAATCAGCCTTTCTTGGCCAGGTGCAGTGGCTAATGCCTGTAATTCCAGCATTTTGGGAGGCCAAGGTGAGAGGATCACTTGAGATCAGGAGTTTGAGGCTGCAGTGAGCTATAGTCACTCCACTGTACTCCTGCCTAGGCAACAGAGTGAGACTCTGTCAGAAAGAAGAAGAAGAGAAGAGGAGAGGGGAGGGGAGGGGGAGGGAGGGAGAGAGGGAGTAAGGAAGGAAGGAAGGAATGAAGGAAGGAAGGAAGGAAGGAAAAAGAAAGAGAGAGAAAGAAGGAAAGAAAGAGAGAGGGAAAGAAAGAGAGAAAGAAGGAAAGAGAGAGAGAAAGAGAGAGAAAGAAGAAAGAAAGAAAAGAAAGAAAGAGAGAAAGAAAGAAAAAGAAAAGAAAAGAATAGAGAAAGAAGAGAAGAGGCTGGGCACAGTGGCTAACACCTGTAAACCCAGCACTTTGGGAGGCCGAGGCGGGTGGATCACCTGAGGTCAGGAGTTCAAGACCAGCCTGGCCAACATGAAGAAATTCCATCTCTACTAGAAAATACAAAAATTAGCCAGGCATGGTGGCAGGCACCTGTAGTTCCAGCTACTTGGGAGGCTGAGACAGGAGAATCACTTGAACCTGGGAGATGGAGGTTGCAGTGAGCTGAGATGGCACCACTGCACTCCAGTCTAGGCAACAGAGTGAGACTCCAAGAAAGAAAGAAAGAAGGAAAGAAAGAGAGAGAGGGGAAGGAAGGAAGGAAGGAGAGAGAGAGAAAGAAAGAAAGAAGAGAAAGAAAAAGAAAGAAGAAAGATGAAAGAAAGGAGAAAGAGAAAGGAGAAAGATAAAAAGAGAGAAAGAAAGAAAGAGAGAGGGAGAGAGGGAGGGAGGAAGGAAGGAAGGAAGAGAGAGAGAGGAAAGAAAGAAAGAAAGAAAGAAAGAAAGAAAGAAAGAAAGAAAGAAAGAAAGAGAAAGAAAGAAAGAAAAGAAAGAATAAAACTTGCCTATCTCCATTGGGCCATTTGTCCTCAGGCTGTGAGCTCAGCCTTCCACTGAGATGACTTCCTGCCTTGCCAGCCAGGGCTCATTAGTCACATTTCCACATTTCCGGTTTTTTTGTTTTTTTTTTTTTTTTGAAACAGAGTCTTTCTTGTTCTGTCACCCAGGCTGGAGTGCAATGGCACGATCTTGACTCTCTGCAACATCTGCCTCCCGGGTTCAAGTGATTCTCCCTGCCTCAGCCTCTTGAGTAGCTGGGATTACAGGCGCCTGCCACCATGTTCGGCTAAATTTTTTCTTTTTTTTTTTTTTTTTTTCTTTTTGGAGATGGAGTCTCGCTCTGTCGCTCAGTCTGAAGTGCAGTGGTGCGATCTCGGCTCACTGCAACCTCTGCCTCCTGGGTTCAAGCGATTCTCCTGCCTTAGCCTCCCTAGTAGCTGAGACTACAGGCGCATGCCACCAGGCCTGGCTAATTTTTTTGTATTTTAGCAGAGATTGGGTTTCACCGTGTTTCCCAGGCTGGTCTCGAACTCCTGAGCTTAGGCAATCTGCCTGCCTTGGCCTCGCAAAGTGCTGGGAGGCGTAAGCCACTGTGCCCGGCCAATTTCCAACTCTTTTTTTTTTTTTTTTTTTGAGACAGACTCTCGCTCTGTCACCCAGGTTGGAGTGCAGTGGTGCGTTCTCCGCTCACTGCAAGCTCTGCCTCCCGGGTTCATGCCATTCTCCTGCCTCAGCCTCCCGAGTAGCTGGGACTACAGGCACCTGCCACCACGCCCGGCTAATTTTTTTTTGTATTTTTAGTAGAGACGGGGTTTCACCGTGTTAGCCAGGATGGTCTCGATCTCCTGACCTCGTGATCCACCTGCCTCGGCCTCCCAAAGTGCTGGGATTACAGGCGTGAGCCACCGTGTCCAGCCCCAATTTCCAACTTTTAATAAATGTATATAAATATAGTAGAAAGTAATTTATCTTGTGGCCCTTAAAAGGGTGGTTGGGGTAGGGGGAAGCCCACTCCTTAAGTATGAGCTGTACATAGTGACTTCCTTCCAAAGAGTACAGTATGGGAAGGAGGAACAAAAGAGTCATTTTACAGTGGAGACAGCTGATAAATATGACCTCAGCCAGGTGATCATGGCCAACATTGGCAGTCATAAATCATGTTAATAGTTTGCACCTTTGCTATGATGTGAAGAAAACTGCACTTCACCTCTGATCTTCCCCAAAATCCATAACTCAAGTCTAATCATGAAAAAAAATCAGACAAATCTCAAGGAGACATCTCATGATATATCTGACCAATATTCGATTGTCCAGATCCTTAAAAACAAAAGTCTGAGAAACTGTCACAGCCAAGAAGTGCCCAAGGAAAATTGATAATTAAATATAATGTGGTACCCTGGATGGGATCCTAGGGCAGTAGAAGGACATCATGTAAAAATTTTATTTATTTATTTATTTAGTTTTGAGACAGGGTCTCACTCTGTTGCTAAGGCTGGAGTGCAGTGGTGTGAGCACAGCTCACGGTAGCCTCAGCCTCCCAGAGTCAGGTGATCCTCCCACCTCAGCCTCCCAAGTACCTGGTAGTACAGGCACATGCCACCATGCCTGGCTAATTTTTTAAATAATTTGTAGATATAGGGTCTCCCAATGTTGCCCTGGCTGGTTTCAAACTCCTGGTCTCAAGCAATCTTCCCACCTCAGCCTCCCAAAATGTTGGGATTACAGGTCTGAGCCACCATGTCTGGCCTAAAACTTTAAAAATCTGAGTAAACTATGGACTTTAGTTAATAATAATAATGTATCAATATTAGTTTATTAATTGTAACAAATATACCATACTAATATAAGATGTTAATAATAGAGGAGACTGTGTGTGGGTGGGGGAACTGTTTAGGGCAACTCTGTACTTATCTGCTCAATTTTTATGTAAATCTAAAACTTAAAAAAGAAAACTCTATTAATAACAAAAAAGGAAGAAGTGGATGAAGGGGTTCAAAGTATTCCACCTGAAATATGCCATGCTGATATAAAGATAATTTTGAGCTAAAGGAAAGTGAGAAGCTGCAAATAACTCTCTGGTCTCCTCTTCTCTGCAAGAAACAGCAGAATTTTTAACCACCAAAGACACTCTAGACTCAGCAGCACAGAGATGGCACCAGAGGAATCTACATAGCAAACCTTGCTAAAACAATCCTTATCCGTCTCCATGAGTTTTCCAATATATTGACCTTCCCATGGTTGGCCACACCTAAAGGCCTAAACTCCTTCTCCCTTGTCACTTCTCTACAAATTTATTGCTCTTTGTTAAGATGCTATATAAGCCCCAGTTAACCATGCCTTTGAGTTACTCATTGATGTGGTTTGGCTCTGTGTCCCCACCCAAATCTCATGTCAAATTGTGATCCCCACATGTCGGGGTAGGGGCCTGGTGGGAGGTGATTGAATCATGGGGTCAGACACTCACTTCTCATGATAGTGAGTGAGTTCTCGTGAGATCTGGTTGTTTGAAAGTGTGTAGCACATCCCCCTTCACCCTCTCTGTCTCCTCCTCTGCCATAGAAAGATGTGCCTTGTTTCCCTGTCACCTTCTGCCATAATTGTAAGTTTCCTGAGGCCTCTCAGTCATGCTTCATGTTAAGTCTGTGGAACTGTGAGTCAATTAAACATCTTTTTTTCATAAATGACCCAGTCTCCAGTAGTTCTTTATAGCAATGTGAAAACAGACTAATACAAAAAACTGGTGTTAGGAGAGTGGGGCACTGCTATAAAGATACCCGAAAATGTGGAAGTGACTTTGGAACTGGGTAATGAGCACAGGTTGGAACAGTTTGGAGGGCTCAAAAAAAGACAGGAAAATGTGGGAAAGTTTGGAACTTCCTAGATACCTGTTGAATGGTTTTGACCAAAATGCTGATGGTGGTATGTAAAATGAAGTCCTGGCTGAGGTGGTCTCAGATGGAGATGAGAAATTTATTGGGAACTGGAGTAAAGGTCACTCTTCCTATGCTTTAGCAAAAAGACTGGCAGCATTTTGCCTCTTCCCTAGAGAACTGTGGAACATTGAACTTGAGAAAGATGATTTAGGGTATCTGGCAGAAGAAATTTCTAAGCAGAAAAGCATTGAAGATGTAACGTGGCTGTTTCTAAAAGTGTATACTTACATGTGTGAAGAAAGAGATGGTCTGAAATTGGAATTTATATTTAAAAGGGAAGCAGAGTATAAAAGTTTGGAAAATTTGCAGCCCAACCATGCAGTAGAAAAGAAGAACCCACTTTCTGGGGAGAAATTCAAGCTGGGTGCAGACATTTGCATAAGTAGTGAGGAACTAAATGTTAATACCCAAGACAAGGGGGAAAATATCTCCAGGGCATTTCAGAGATCTTCATGGCAGCCCCTGCCATCACAGGCCCAGAGGCCTAGGAGGAAAAAATGGTTTTGTGGGCCAGGCTCAGAGCCCTGCTGCTCTATTCAGGCTCGGGACATGGCGCCCTGCATTTCAGCTACTTCAGCTCTAGCCATGGCTACAAGGGGCCAAGGTACAGTTTGGGCCATTGCTTCAGAGGGTGCAAGCCCCAACTCTTGGTGGCTTCCATGTGGTGTTGGGCCTGTGGGTGCACAGAAGGCAAGAGTTGAGGTTTGGGGACCTCTGCCTAGATTTCAGAGGATGTATGGAAATGCCTGGATGTCCAGGCAGACATCTACTGCAGGGGTGGAGCCCTCATAGAGAACCTCTACTAGGGCAGTGCAGAGGGGAAATGTGGGGTCAGAGCCTCCACACAGAGTCCCTACTGGGAAACTGCATAGTGGGTCTGTGAGAAGAGGGCCACTATCCTCCAGACCCCAGAATGGTAGATCCACTGACAGCTTGCACTGTGCAACTGGAAAAGCCACAGGCACTCAATGCCAGCCTGTGAAAGCAGCCACAGGGGCTGTTCCCTGCAGAGCCACAGGGGCAGAGCTGCCCAAGGCCTTGGGAGCTCACCTCTTGTGTCATCGTGCCCTGGATATGAGACATGGAGTCAAAGAAGTTTTTTTTTTGGAACTTGAAGATTTGATGACTGCCCTGCTGGGTTTTGAACTTGCATGGGGCCTGTAGCCCCTTTGTTTAGGTCAATTTCTCCCTCTTGCAATGGGAGCATTTACCCAATGCCTTTACCCCCATTGTGTCTTGGAAGTAACTAACTTGTTTTTTATTTTACAGGCTCATAGGCAGAAGGAACTGGCCTTGTCTCAGATGAGACTTTGGACTTGGACTTTTGAGTTAATGCTGGAATGAATTAAGACTTTGGGGAACTGTTAGAAAGGCATGATTGGTTTTGAAGTGTGAGAAGGGCATGAGACTTGGGAGGGGCCAGGAGCAGAATGATATGGTTTGGCTCTGTGTCTCCACCCAAATCTCATGCAGAATTGTAATCCCCTGGTGTTGGGGGAGAGGCCTGCTAGGAGGTTATTGAATCATGGGGGCATACTACTTCCCCCTTGCTGTTCTTGTGATAGTGAGTGAGTTCTCATGAGATCTGGTTCTTCGAAAGTGTGTGGCACTTCCCCCTTCACTCTTTCTCCCCCTCATCCTCCACCATGGGAAGATGTACCTTGCTTCCCCTTCACCTTCTGCCATGATTGTAAGTTTCCTGATGCCTGCTAGCCATGCTTCCTGTTAAGCCTGCAGTCAATTAAACCTCTTTTCTTCATAAATTACCCAGTCTCAGGTAGTTCTTTATAGCAGTGTGAAAAAGGACTAATACACTAATCACTGAGTTTCTCCCAAGTATATGTCATGCTGCATGTGTTAATAAATTTCTGTTTGTTTTTCTCTTATTCATCTGTCTTTTGTTAGTTTAATTTGAAGGGCCTCAGTTGGAGAACCTAGGAGGGTGGAAGTAAAAGCTTTTTTCTCCCCTATGTGGGAAAGACTGAGGAACATGTGTAGCTAATTAGGTATACAAAGCTTGGTATTTGCTGCCATTGAATTTGGGAGCAAAGGTGGACCCCCATATGGGAAGGATATAAGGCACAAAGCCCCCACAGGGTAGCCGGCCTGGTTGAAGTAGCCTGGATTCAGTGAGTACAGGACCTATGCTTCCTTCATGTCCATAACTTCATGCCAAGCTCAGCATCTTCAACATGAGCACTGATATTCATCAAGTATCCACTATGGGCCTGATACTGCACTAAGCACTTTAGGTACGTTATCTCAAATGGTCTTCATCTTAGTCTGTTTACATTGTTATAAAGGCATACCTGATGCTGGGCAATTTATGAAGAAAAGAGGTTTATTTGGCTCATGATTCTGCAGGCTGTACAAGAAGCTTGGCACTAGAATCTGCTTCTGGTTAGGGCCTCAGGCTGCTCCCACTCATAGCAGAAGACAAAGGGGAGCCAGCAAGTACAGAGGATCACAAGGGAAGAAAGGAAGCAAGAGAGTGGAGATGTGCCAGGCTCCTTTTAACAACCAGTTCTCATGGGAGCTAATAGAATGAGAACTCACTCATTCCCCTCCCAGGCAGGGCATTAATCTATTCATGAGAGATCTACCCCCATGACCCAAACATCTCCCATTAACCCCCACCTCCAACACTGAAGGTCAAATTTCAACATGAGCTTTGGAAGCCTCAAACAAACTATAGCAAACTATAACCCAATTGTACACACGAGGGAAACTGAGGGAACAAAGTAGTTTACCCAAGGAAACACAGCTAGTAAATGACAGAGCCAGGACTTGAACCCAGGCAGTCTGACTTCCTAGTATCATCCTGTGTACCACCACAAGCAGATACTAAATACATACTGGCAGTATGACATGATTTTCTGCTCTTACAGGTTACATTTCAAGTTTGAATCACTGGTTTTAAACATCTGAAATTCTCAAGCTGTGTTTGGCAGACCCAGTTGATCCTTAGCTTTGGAGATTTATGGTTCTTGGATTGGCATATGGCGGAGCCACCTAAGAGTCCATGACATGTAGCAATTTATAATACTATTGAGACACGAACCAGAATCACCTTCCTGTGAGGCTGGTTTAACAGCAGTTATTTGTTTTGAGCACTCTCAGAGGTAACCCCTGCAGAAGCTGGATGGCCAGGTCCAACCTCTTTGGCTGCAGCATGTCCAGCAGCTCAGCATGCTAACAGAGGGTTACTCCTTAGTGGGAGGACTTGGGAGTGATACCAATGACAATCTTGTATGTGGATTTCTTACCTTGATGTCTAATTGGCAGCCCTACAGTATTGACTGGACATGTGATTAAATAGGGATCACTCTATTTGAACATATCACTAAATGCGTTTCCTGTATGCTTAGACAAGATTGTTTACCCAGGACAGTCCCAGCTTACAACTATTGTCCCCACATAATTATCAATAGAGTCCTCTGTCACTCTCAAAAGTGCTCCAGTTTGAACAGTGACTTGTACAGCCTCCATATTTATAACACAAACAGTTGTCTGCTACTCCCAAGCTAAAACCTCTAGAGACCACACTAACTGTGATTGTAGAATATCAGTGACAGCTGGGACTCCTGTTCCTAGAGGTTTGGTAGAGTGAGTTCATCTGGAAAAAAAAAAGGTGATTGTGAAAGAAACCATGATTTTCAGAAGTGTGATTATTCATTCATTCCAAATGGGAACTATTTTGCAACTTTCATAAATTTCAACTACATTTTATGCACTAAATGGTGAAACTGCTGCAAAAACCACACGTGTTTTAAAATAAATATACATGTGACTATCACCTGAGTTCCAAAGCCAGACAGTTGCCTTTAAGGTGTGACAGATGGCATCATCCTCTAGGAGGACAGTCAGCATGATCACATGTGATGCCACACTGAGCATCAGGGCATCAATAGCTATCCTGTTGGAACAGGGCCTGGAGCAAGAAATGCAATAGTTCAACCATAATTGTCTTGTCATTGAAAATCTTTTTGTAGTTCTCGCCCTTGACATACATCATGAACTTCTTTTCAGGTCCGATATACCTTGTCATACACTGAGTGTACAAAATGTGACAGTGCTGCCACATCACCTGTCATCATAGAACTCTTCTATAATGCTTTTACATTTCTCTCTCTCTCTTTTTTTTTTTTTTTAGATGGGGTCTCACTCTGTCACCCAGGCTGGAGTGCAGTGGCACAATCTCTGCTCACTGCAACCTCTGCCTCCCAGGTTCAAGCAATTCTCTGCCTCAGCCTCCTGAGTAGCTGGGATTACAGGCACCCACCACCAAGCCTGGCTAATTTTTGTATTTTTAATAGAGATGGGGTTTCACCATCTTGGCCAGGCTGGTCTTGAACTCTTGAGCTCGTGATCCACCCGCCTCGGCCTCCCAAAGTGCTGGGATTACAGGCGTGAGCCACCGCACCCGGCCACATTTCTCTTCTATCTATGTTGTTTTGTTGTTGTTGCCTTGTCCGTTTCCTTACCATTTGTGAGGTCAACACATTCACTGAAAAATATGGGATTTCACTTCCAAAACCTTCTAAGGTAAGTATCAGCTATTGATTCCTATTATTTTCTTTCTCTCAAGAATTCTGATTTGTTGCAAAATTTTCTCTCATGTTCACAAATTTGTAGTAACCTCCAAAAATCCAAATATGACCTTGATTCTAAGCTTCAATTAAGGCTGTTGATGAAATGTGGTCTCCTGTCTGGAAGAAGCTACTCTTAGGGACTGTAGTGAGAAATTTTAAAATATAGAACAAACCAATTACTGGAGATGGATGATGATGATGGTTGCAAAATAATGGGCACATAGTTAATGCCACTGAATTATGCACTTAAAATGGTTACAATGGGAAATTTTATGTCATGTATATTTTACCAGTGTTAAAAAAAAATAGAGAGAATACATCAGTCAGAAGCATTCGGGGACAAAATCCATGAATATGTATGCAGATGTGTGTAGATGCTACAGGGCTTGGCTGACAAAAAAAAAAGCAACCAAGAATTAGAGACGAGCAAAGCTTCCTGGAGAATGTTTGCCCATTGTTGGATGGTCTGAACATGCAGCGAACTTTCATAAGGACAGATATGGATGATGCCTTACTCACCAGAGCACACAAGTGACTGCATAAAGGCTGTCCAGGAGCTGCAAAAGACCGAAGTGGAACAGCAGCATCCTAAAAGTGAAATTGGTGGTGAACACATTTATTTGTTCATTAAATACTTATTGCACTCACTACCATATTTCATCAAATCTAATATAATACAAACTATTAAGTTAGTTATAAAGCATGTGTGTTTATTAGATGATTTTCTATTTCTTGGGTATCTAAAATACTTAGCTATTTAAAAGCTCTAACATCATCACAAGTACCTTAAGTACTGGTATGATGTAAACATACTTTATTCCCATAGATTAAAAAAAATGGTGCATAGAAGATCACAAAGACAAGAAAATAAACAGAAGCTCTGGCTACAGAACAGAGAACAACTGAAAGGGGACTCGGGGAGACCAGTGAGAAGATGGCCATTGGGCTTAGTATGAAATGATAATGGTGGTCGCTTCCATGTGCTTTGTGTTGATGCTGGAAATGAAGAGAAGATATATCTAAGAATAAGCTAGAAGAAAAAAAAAAGACAATTTTGTGGTGACACATCACAACTTAAGCTGCTATTTGCCAGATGGAAGGGAACACTTTCTCCCCTCTGCCTACATTTCTTCACCTCTTCTCCCAGAGGAGCAGAGAGGAATCTGATTGATCATGTTTCATGACAGTGATTGGGTCACACTTGTTTACTTGTGTGTTGAAAGGCCACCTGTCCAGGTGTGGAGAGGATGGAGTAAGATCACTTGGGTTTGTAGCTTGCCACTGCCATTTGCATGTCATGTGACATTGGGCAAGTTATTTAGTCTAGTGAAGCTTCTGGTTTTTCATTATAAAAAAATAAAAATAAAAATTTCTACTTCGGCCAGGCGCGGTGGCTCACACCTGTAATCCCAGCACTTTGGGAGGCCAAGGCGGAAAGATCACGAGGTCAGGAGATCGAGACCATCCTGGCTAACACGGTGAAACCCCGTCTCTAATAAAAATACAAAAAATTGGCCGGGTGTGGTTGCGGGTGCCTGTAGTCCCAGCTACTTGGGAGGCTGAGGCAGGAGAATGGCACGAACCTCGGAGGTGGAGCTTGCAGTGAGCTGAGATCACACCACTGCACTCCAGCCTGGGCGACAGAGCCAGACTTCATCTCAAATAATAATAATAATAATAATAATAATAATAGTTTCTACTTCAAAACTTAGTTGTAGATTAAATAATAGTATCTATATAGGTGCTTAGCCTAGCACCTGGCACATAGTATTCATCTAAAAAATGCTAGTTCTTGTTATTATCCCATGCCATCAGCAGACCCATCTTGCTCACTCTCTTTTATTCTGTTTCCTTATGTACCCAAGTGTGCACCTTATTTCCTATTTCATAACCCATAATTAGGATTAGGTTTAGAGAAATAGAGGCATACACCTAGCTTTCATTCTAATCAGGTTGCTCCAGCCCAGCTTTGACCAAGGCTCTCTAGCTAGAGTATCAGCAACTGTCCTTGATAAAAATGAAGTAACATTTAATTATCATTTGTTTAATTAGCACACTGCCTCTTGCCAGTATAGCTTCATTAAGAACTTTATGGGAAATATGTACACCTACTATGTACCCACAAAAATTATTAAAAATTGAAAAAAATGAACTTCATGGGATGGAGTAGAGTTAGAAGGACAAGGATTCCTAGATCTCTGGCCTAATATTATCTGTTCAACATGATTTGAACATATACTATGTGCTTGTCATTGTTCTAGGTCCTGGGATTTAGCTGAGACAAGACAGATTTTATCACTCATACTCCTTACTTGATCTTTCATATATATCTTATTATAGTCCTTGTCATATTAGGCAATAATTATTTGTTTTCTTGTCTGTCTCCCTCTGCTAAGCCATTGAGTCCTGAAGGGCAGGTACTCTAACTTCCTTCAATGTCACCTAAGAGTGGGAAAGATGTAGGTATAGAACTATCAAGGAAGAACTGGCTCTCATCCTTGCTTTTCCTGTCTTTTTCCTCCCTGTGTTGTGATCTCAGTAATTCCTTCAGGTCTGTCTTCTACATTACTGATTCTCATTTCAGCTGTGTCTAATCTGCTGTTAACTCATCCATTGAGGGTTTAATCTTAGCAATTTTGTTTTTCTATTCCAGAAATCCTATTTGAGTCTTCTTTAAATCTTCCTAGTCTTTTTTGATAGTGTCATGTAAAGAAACATGACACTATCTTTCTTTCTTGTGTTCTTGTTTCTTGTGTTTTCAATTCCATATTTTATTTTAACATTTTAAATATAATTAATTTCTATATTTTATAATGATTATCATTTCATTGCCTGATGTTCTTGAGGAAAGGATGTGGGCCACCTCCTACTTTTCGTTTCTGCTGATACTGGCTTGCTTTTATGTGTTTGCAATTTTGGATTGTGAGCACAAATTTAATTGAGCTTTATCCGTGGGTCACTTCTGAAGCTTGGATTGAAAGTTTATCTATTCAGGAAGGATTATTTTCTCCTCTGCTAAATGCCTGGGAGCATTATAAACCTGAGTTTACTTTATATTAATTTATTGCTTTGGAATTTCCAGGCCTATGCAAATAGTGCAAGTTTAAATTATGTGCTAACATGCCTTTGGTCACTAATTTTGAGGGAATATTTTTATTCATTCAGAACCTTGGCCAAGACAAACACGTTTATTTCTCATTTTCCATTATGGGACAAATTTTTCCTACCCCTGTCTTTCACTGAGTGTGTACCTTTAAGAGTTCCAGATTTCTATGGCATTCTCAATTCGTTTCCCACTTTTTGCAGGACTAAGATCTTTCAGTCCCCATAGAGTCACTGAAACCCTGTTTCTTGGTTATGAAATTGGGAAATAGCTTCCGAGCTTAAGTTTTCAGCTTAAGTTTTGGGCACTCCAGAATTTCTCCTACTTTTTTTCACTATCACCTTTCCATTTGAGAATATGTTTATGATATTTTTTCCAATTTTTCCAAGTGTGTTGTAATGAAAGGGCTTTCAAATTACCACCATATTGCAGATAATGGAGGTTAATAATGTAATCAGAGAAGTATAGAAGTTTTGTTATTGCTGCCTTTGTGGAATTTACAATCTTCTGGGCATTTATTTGGAACTATCTCTAGAAAGATACAAAGGAATATTTTCAAACAGTCAGATCCTACAGATACTGCTCAGTTGGAACAAACGTGATGAATTTCACTGCTCTTTCAATCCCAGCATTACAGGCATGAGTATTGTTACTGTCATGTGGGGTTAGGCGGATACAACACCACACCCAGCTGAACAGCAAGAATTTAGTGAAGTTCATCTGAAAGTTGGAACAAGAAAACCACCTAAGAGAAAGACTTTTGAGTAATGGAGGAGAGACTTTCAAATACCGTTTAGACCAGGATATGTTTATTTCCCAACCAAAATAGGGAAATGCTATCGAACCTTCACATCACTGGGAGGGCATCAGATAAGGAATGTTTTCCACAAAGGGGTTGCCTGACCAACTACCTCAGAATCATCTCAAAAGTTTGTTTGAAAAAGCAGATTTCTGAATTTCACTCTTGGATATTCTGATTCAGTAGTCTCAGGTGGAATCTGAAAATCTGCATTTTTAACCAGGACCCTGGTGTCTCTTACGTACACTGAGGTGGGAGAAGCTTTAATGTAGGGTATGTTTTAATTTGAAAAGAGTCTGTTGCCATAATTTTAGGGGCTCACTGAGTTATGCAGCAGGAATAAAAATGCCAAAGGAAAATCTGCTTCAGCTCATGAGATTGAGTCTCTAAGTCTCTGCTGCTTTGAGCCACTGTCGAGACAGATAGAGAGAGACAAAGACAGGCTGATAGACAGACAGAAAGCTCTCTGTAGTTAAACCAGCAGCCTTGACCCAAATACATGCCTATCTGGACTCCCATGACATCATGCTTGGATGACTGTAGAATGCAGAAGTGTCTGAAAAAGAGAGAAATAGATCCAAGACCCTAAAAGAAGAAGAGTTTCTAGAGCCAGAAAGAAACTGAAACTTCACTCCAGGCCCTCCTGGAGAGAATCTTTCACAATTGTAATTCAGGAAGGGATTGGTAATTACTGCCAGAATCACACTGTATATAAAGACATGTGTTACTTGCTGTCTATAGTATATAACATATTTTATTTAACCATTACTTAATTATATACATTTCTTCCCATATTGTGGGTTTAATTCTTATCCCTAAGTTAAGTCTTTGTAAAGCCCAAGTTAAAAGAATACCTTCTAGAAAGTTTATATAGAGACACTGGAATCACAGTCCTGCTGCTCAGAGCAGGTATGTGGTACACATGTACTAAAATGGTGACCAAACAGGGACCCCTGGGGCACTAGTAGGAAAAAACACTACCTAATATGGTGTGAGTGTGTGTGGCTTGGCAGGAGTGACCCATAATCAATAGGATTAGGCAGAGGATTTGGCTCAGAAAATATAATTGCAAGTGCAATGGTCCTTTAAGGAATGCCATTAAGGTAAAATATTTTAAAGAATACCATCCACTTGGAATAGTTTTGGGGAAAGAATTTAAAGGAATTTCAAATGAAGAACCTTGCTGTGATTGTTGCTTTAAGCACCATTTTTGGTTTACAAATTACATGCCATTTTACAGACAACCAAAGAAACATGATCCAACTGTATTATTCTTTTACCCCATGTTTTCACAGTTCCATATGGTTAACATCAGTTGGGTGGTTTCTTTAGAAACAATTAAAAATCTTGCCAGACACACAAGAAGAAACCATGTGAGCATGTTTTCTGCTTGCTGGTGACATTTTATCCCCTCCCTATCCCTTTTGTCTTTAAAGAATTACTCAGTCTGCTGGAGTAGGATCCCTTAAAGGCTGGGAAATGACAGTCCCTTCTTACCACAATCCAACTTAGGTCTTTAGGCAAACAATAATGCAGAAGGACATCTGTTTTGTTTCTGTGGCTCCCAAATGACAGTATTAGAAAATGAAGCCAGTATGAAAAATGCTCAAAATGCAGTACACCATCAAGGGAAAGGAATTGACTATAAATCAATAGAATTTTGAATAGAAATTTGAATAGAACCTCCAAATAGAACCCATTTTGGAGTTTGCATTGATAAGGATAGTCTACGTTTTGCTGCAGTAATATCTACCCCCAAATCTTAGTGGCTTATGATCACAAAGGTTCATTTATCCCTCATGCTGTCAGCTGGGGTGGGGATGAGCCCAGGTCACTGCCAAAGTCATTGCTCTGAGACTCAGGCTGAAAGAGATGGAACCATCTGGAAAGCTATCAATCGACATGGCAGAGGGGAAAAAGAAAGTGCTAGGTTTGCTGCATACACTGTCTTATTCAACCTTTCTGACATCCAATGAGATAAGTAGTAATATCCCTATGTTATAGATAAGGAAACAAGCTAAGAGTTGTTAAAGAACTTATTCAAGTACCACCTAGTGAATGGCAAAGAGAGAATTCAATTCTAGGTCTGTCTGAATGTGGCAGGCAGACTCTAAAATGGCCTGCAATAATACTGGTATTCAGGTCCTCATGTAATCTGCTCCCCTTGAGTGTTGACTGGACCCAGTAACTTGCTTGTAATGAGTAGCATATGGCAAAAGTGATGGAATGTTGCTTCTGAGATTAGGTTACGAGAGATAGTAATTTCCACCCTGCTAGCAGAATCTCTTTATTGACATGCTCCCTTGCTAGCTTTGATGAAGCAAGTTGCCAGGTTTGATGAACCTACTTGGCAAGGGACTGAGCGAAACCTTTGTCCACAGCCCTAAATGAATGGAATCCTGCCAACAACCATGTAAGTGAGCTTGGAAGCTGATCATTCCCCAGCTGAGCTTTCAGATGAGCCCCAGCCCTGTTTGACACCTGGATTGTGGCCTCGTGAGAGACTTTGAAGTAGATGACCCATCTAAGCCATGGTTAGATTTCTAACACAGAGAAGCTATGAAATAATAAATGTATGTTGTTTTAAGCCACTAAGTTTTTAGTGGTTCGTTACACAGCAATAGATAATACACTGACTACAGAGTCCATACTCTTCCCACTAAATTAGTTAGCCTCTTTTTTGCAGAAAACTTGTTCCTTATCCCACATTCTTTGTTATGGTTTGTGGCATTCTATACATCAACACTCTTAAGCCATAAGCTTGAAAGTCATCCTAGATCCCACCTCTTCTCTCATTTTCACACAAAAAGAGTTATCAAATTTTATGAACACTGGATTCTATAATCTCAAAACTCTATTGTGTCCTCTCCAATCTCTCTGTTTAAGTCAGGCCTCGGTGGTCTTTGCCTGGACTGTTTCCATAGCTCCTGTCTCCCTGCATCCAGACTTGCTCCACTCCAGTCCATTCTCACACCCATCACTGTCTCCCACATTGCTTCCAGTGTAGGTCTACACTGTATAGCATCTTAGTATGATATTGTCATCTGGTGATATTTTGCTCCAGACTCCCTGTTGCCTCCAGAAACTTCTTCCCATTCAGGCCCCAGGTTAATTGCTCCATTTACTGCTTCATGGAAAGGTTGTTGATGCAGAAACAGAAAAGTAAAATCATGAAAACCTCAGCTTTTACATATTAAGATTGGGTAAAAGCCTGGAAGGACTGAGGGCATATATTTCATGCCATGTAATTTTTGAAGGATGTATGATCAGTCGCAATGTTTTCCTCACCTGAGACTTGACCAAGGTTCTGTGAGCTGGGGCACAAGAAGGATGCAAGGAGAACATGAGACCTAGATATATGTGTCCCTGAGAAGAGGTTTTGCTTCCCGACCACATGCCCCATCCCAGTCTTGGGGAGAGGAACGACAGAAACCATAGGTGGGTTTCGGAGATCAGAGAATGGAGAAAGACCTGCACCTGGCTTCTGGGGCCAAGAGGAAAAAGAAAGTGCAGGGAAAACCTGGCAGAGTTCCCTGGTACTCTGTGAGGCTCGGCTGTAGCATTAGAGACCCAGCTAAGTGGGGCGCCTAGGCAGACAGGTGGCCATCTGAGTAGACTCTCAATGGGAGGCCAGATGAGAAGGAGGGTATATTAGTGAATGCTAGCATAGACAGGTGGGGATGAAGGACCAGCTCCTTCCCCTCTTCTGACCCTCTGTCAATACTTTAGCATGTTGGAAGCCCCCAGCTGGACACAACTAAGGGACTGGAAAAAGGTCTTTAATTAATGGAGACTTAGCATCCATTGCTGGACAGATGAGAGATCAGAAACACAGGTTTCACCCTCTCACCAAGTTTCCCTCTAAAACTCTTTCTATGCTTCCCCCACTTGAAGAGAAAGCATTTGAGAAACTAAATGTCATCCTAAAAGTTTGGTACATTGAATAGGAAAGTGATTTTTTAGTAGTAGTAGTAGTAGTATTTTGAGACAGAGTCTTGCTCTGTCACCCAGGCTGGAGTGCAGTGGCACGATCTCAGCTCACTGAAACCTCGCCTCCCGAGTTCAAGTGATTCTCCTGCCTCAGCTTCCTAAGTAGCTGGGACTACAGGCGTGTGCAACCACACCTGGTTAATTTTCGTATTTTTAGTAGAGACAGGGTTTCACCATGTTGGCCAGGCTGGTCTCGAACTCCTGACTTCAGGTAATCCACCCGCCTCAGCCTCCCAAAGTGCTGGGATTACAGGCGTGAGCCACTGCGTCTGTCCACATGATTCTTAATAACTATGAGATTACACAAGATCTCAGTAACAGAATCACCACCAAGGTTGAGCCCACACACCCTTGTCTCCTCTGGCCCTTTCCACAGTATCACTGTCTAATTTTCCATCAAGTTTTCTCTACCACATCCCTTCCCTGCCTGCTCATCCTTTGACATTGAGGACTTTCTCCATGAATTCTACTCCACTAGATCTGCAGAGTCGTGGAAAGAAGCATATCCATGAAACTATTTGTGATCACACTCTACTTGTCACTCCTATTTGGTATAACGGTCAGGAGATGAAAGGGACACTTATGGTTTCCTTCTATTTCTCTTTTTACCCCTCACTATAAATCTCTCTGTTGCCCATGCTGTGACTGGCAAGCATGATCTCCCCTGGACAGCAACCCCAACTCCTAGGCTGCCGGTGGACTTCTGTAAGAGTCTAGAATCTTAGGGAGCTGGAGTGAAATTTTCTGGATTGGGGAAGTTGAAATGACAACCTTTGGGGACTTGTATCTATTGGTGTTTGAGTGTGATTACATGTCCAAAGGCAAGGGACAGAAGAGCTTTTGGGCTTGTAAAAAATAGACAAGTAGAACAAAAACAATCCAGATAATTACTCTTTCAGAACTTAATTGACTGGGTGTGATGGCTCATGCCTGTAATCCCAGCACTTTGGGAGGCTGAGCCAGGAGGATTGCTTGAGCCCAGGAGTTTGACACCAGCCTAGACAACATAGCAAGAGTTCAACTCTACAAATAATAAAGAAGTTAGCTGGGCATGATGGGGCATGCCTGTGGTCCCAGCTACCTGGGAGACTGAGGTGGGAGAGCCTGTGGGGTCGAGGCTGCAGTGAGACATGATTGCACCACTGCACTCCAGCCTGGGCGAAAGAGCAAGACCCTGTCTCAAAAACAAAACAAAACAGAAAAACTTAATTGCCAATTCTCCTAACCCCTCCATCCAATGTAGACAGGGACTCTCCATAGAAGAAGAGAATGACAGAAACACTGATTCTTCACAACATGATCAACAAGCACAGTGAGTTTCAGTGAGACATTCAATGCTTGGTCTTTTGATCTGGTCCTAACAAATATTTAGAAATGCTTGTGCGATGATAAATCTGGGATCACAGAGGAAACCATGGAGAATAAAAAAAAAACACAGGTTTGTTGTTGTATAAATGTGCTCTGTGTGTGTGTGTGTGTGTGTGTGTGTGTGTGTGTGTGTGCTGTCCCCGTGAGCTAAGGAAATCTAACCGACATGTCAGCCTCGGGTGCAAGGTAACTTACTGTTGTTTTTGTTTCTTCCTGTCATGAAACTGATTTCCTTTTTCCTCTCCCCTCCCATCTGTTGAATCTCCTCCACTTCAAGGCAAATACAAACTTTCCTCTCCACATTCTCAACCAGTTTTCACTCATTTCTTCTAGTCTCTCTCTCTTCTTTCTCATCACTTTTGGGGGAATGAAACAATCCTTCCTCACTCCATCCCCGGCCATTAAACCATACACACTGTGCCCTGTAAGGAAGGGCACAAAAGGAGGAGGGCCTGCACGGGGCTCTTAAAAGCAAGGCCACCCCAGTATGGTCTTGGGAGGACTGCATCATCATAATCCAGGAGCTCCTTAGAAGTGCAAAATCCCAGGCCCCACCCCACACGAACTGAATCTGAATCTTTGGAAGTAGCGGGGCGAACGTCAAGTATCTGGGGTGGGCGTCAAGTATCTGGGGTGGGCGTCAAGTATCTGGGGTGGGCGCCAAGTATCTGGGTGGGTGTTTTTGCAAAGCTCTCCCAAGTTCCTTTGCATGCGAAAGTTTGAGCATCACTGCTATAAAGCTTGGGTCCTAGAACAGGGACCCTCCTCCTTTTGTACCCTTGCTTACAGGGTACAGTGTCTACGGTTTAAGAGCCTGTTACCCATCCACAGCCTAGACTCCTCCCCTTCATCTAGAATTCTAGCCAAGATGGAGTCAGTTATGTTGGAGTTTTCTCACTGTGATAATTTTGCAAAGGCAGTTTTAGTTTCCCCATATGTAAATTGACGGTACCTCACTGGGTTTTGTGATGAATAAATGAGTTGCATAGATAGAGCACAAAAAAACAGTGTGTGGAAAATTTAAAAAAACAGTCTTAGTGTTTATCTTGCTTTTATCTCCTTCAGGTTGCAAGGACAGAAATGATTTATCTCCCCCTCTGCGACATGTTGCCTCTTACAAGTCCGGAAGCAACATCCAGCTCCTCTGTTGCTTCTGTGAATGAAAATCAATTTCTAATTTAGGACACTTTTGGCATCAGTACCTTCTCATTTTCCCCTCTGTCAGGGTATTACTATGAACTAAGGATTTATATAGCAATTTTCATCTGAGGGAGCTCCATTTTTTTTTAACAGAGTGAATTTATTAAATCACCACTAACCATCATAATAGCCCTTCAGATGGGGCAGATGCATTCATTTATTGCATTTACTTATTCTGAACATCAAATTGTAGTAGCCTTCAGGAGCCTCTACTCAAGCTGGGAAGAAACACCATGGAGTTCAGGAAAACTGGAAAGACCATGCTTGTCTTTTAGGTATAAGAATTAGGGAACCCAGTTGAATGGTCCCTTTTGGGGAACAGGGAAAAGGGGTTTGTTTCAGCTTCCTCAATCTCTTTCTGGACCACAAACTCCTTCGGAATGGAACTGGTCAATTCCAAAAAGGATTGTCCCTGGAATAGAATTACAAGTCCCTGGTCCCAGTTCAATCAGTCTGGATGAGCATGATTTTGCTATTGTAACAAAGAGCACCCCAATTCTAAGTGTTTTAAAACAACAAAGGTTCATTTCCAGCTCATGCCACAGTTCCAGCATGTATTGCCAGTGTTCTCTGCCCCACGGCATCCCACTCTAGGACTCAGGCTGATGTCTCCAGACTGGCAGCCAAAGAAAGAGAACATGGAAAAATTGCAAAACAGCCCTTAAACGTTTTTGCCAAAAAAGTGACCAACCTCACCTCTGCTCATTTTTTGTTGGCCAGACCACATCTCACACCACAGAATCTGTCCCTCCCATGTGCCCAAAGTGAAGGGGAACTGGATAGATATCAGATATCGATGAACATAGTAATGTTTATCACTCTAATTAGCTTTGGCTGCTTTACTAACTTGGTTCTGATTTATTTGCTTCCCTGTTAGCATTTGGAACATGATGTAATTTCCTTCCACTTCACCTCTCTCCTAACTTGACAACATCCCTAATATTCTCTGAAATCTGTGCATGGGAACTAAGCTCCTCAGCAGTACAATTTTTTTCCCTGAAATCTAAGGCTTTCTGCAAAGAGGCACCTTCAGTGTTGTCAAGATTAAGTTTGTTTTTCCTCCTGAGTTTTCCACCTCACCCAGCCCCCACCCAGGTCTAGTTGTAAAATGTATCTGCATGTTTTAAAAGCTCATTATGTAAATGTATCAGAGTCCTTATCCATCAACAGATAATTTAAAAGACTCTATACATATTTATGAGTTCGCTTAATATGGCTTTAATGAGGAGGTTTACTAGAAATACCAAATCAAGGAGGCAAGAAGAAAAACGATCACAAAGATGAGCATGAGTTTTCAGCCGTTCTTGGTAGTTCTGAGAGCTGTCAGAACATTCAAAGAGCTGCCAGAACTGAGGCTTCCTGTTAGCCTACCGTATATGGTAAAAAGCAGCTGGGGAAAGAGGTAAGTCATGTCGCTCAATATTTCTTTGAATCTAAGGCTAAACTTTTTTGGTTTGTTTCAAACTGAAGATATTTGATGAGCCAAAGTCTCATGTTTCCACCACCTCTAGAAGCAAAGTCACTGTGGGAGATGGTCAAAAGTCTGACATAGCCCCCAGCAATGTCAAATACATTCAGAGAGAGAGTCACAACTCTAGCCCATGTGGCTCCATTGTGGTAATTAGATAGAGGTGCTTCCTAGGCGATGAGGAAAACTTGTGTCTCCCTCCAGCAGACAAAGCTCTAAAGGTACTTGGCTTGGTGAGGAGAAGGTGACAGAGAGGTAGGTACCCCTTATTCCAGGTGGATAAAGTCAGTGAATGAAGCCTAGTGCCAGGACAAGCAGCTAGGTGAGTGGGACGTGGGCTAGAATTTAGCCTTCATGTGCCCTGACAGCCAGGCACATTAGTTTAGTGCATAATCTGCATAGTGGCAGTCCTGTCAGAAACTCATGAGTTCTCACCAACAGCTGGTCAAAGTCTGTAGGAACAGAAGACTTTTCCTCATTCTACCAACTACTCTCTCTTGTTTACCCAAATGTCTGCTCAACCCCACCTCTGGGGCCTCTTAATTGCACCTCTCTTCATTATTTACACACATTTTATTGGCCAGACCTCAGTCACATGGCACCACCAAAGTCCAGAGAAAAATGGGAAGTGTTGGCTCACTGAGTGACCAGAAAGAAAAGGAAATCAGGTTTGATGATCACATAGCATTGTCATTGTCTGCCACAATTTACCTATCTGATCACCAAACATTCATTTCACTCCTTTCCCCTCATATAGAACACATGCATCCCAAATGAGACACCCTATTTTTAGGGTCTTTTGACCATGTAGATACTACAATCATCTCAAAGTCCAGGATCTCAGGGATGTTGTACAGTCCTCCCCATTGGGTCCAGATTGGCTCCCTGTGATCTGGTGACTTGTGAACTAGAAGACAAGTTATCTGCCCACCCCACCCCCTACACACTGGTGGATTAGAAAGAGGATATCCAAAATTAAAACTCCCATTCAGTCAAGGGAACCAAAAAAGAAGCTGTCTTTGCCCATAGCAATTCTGAAATCCTGGCTGTGGGGGAAGTTCCTTGATTTGACCTAATGCTGGACTCTAGGAAGCACTGCCTTGTGTGTCACTCTCCTTTGCATGTCCAAGCTGGAATGCTGACTAGTGTGTTCTCTTGGGAAGCTCCACCGCTATGGGACCCTGGTTCCTCCTGGAGCAAGTTTAGAGGTCTAAGGTTATTTTGCAAGTTCAATAGTTGAAGGCTTTTTTTTTTCTTTTAAATTCACGCTTGTCAGTTCTTGGCTTAAACATAGTACATACCCAAAGGAATATAAATCATTCTATTACAAAGATACCTGCAAGCATATGTTCATCACGGCACTATTCATGATAGCAAAGATATGGAATCAACCTAAATGCCCATTGACAACAGACTGGATAAAGAAAATGTGGTACATATACACCATGGAATACTATGCAGCCATAAAAAAGAATGATATCATGTCCTTTGCAGGGACATGGATGAAGCTGGAAGCCATTATCCTCAGCAAACAAATGCAGGAACAGAAAATCAAACACTACATGTTCTCACTTATAAGTGGGAGCTGAACAATGAGAAAACATGGACACAGGGAGGGGAACAACACTGGCGCCTGTTGGGGGTGGGGTTGGGGAGGGATAGCATTAGAAAAAATAGCTAATGCATGCTGGGCTTAATAACTAGGTGATGGGTTGATAGGTGCAGCAAACCACCATGGCACATGTGTACCTATGTAACAAACCTGCACATCCTGCACATGTACCCCAGAACTTAAAATAAAAATAAAAAATAATAAAGTGTATAGTTCAATGGCTTTTAGTGTACTCACAAATCTGTGCAACCGTCACCACAATTTATTTTAGAACATTGCTATCATCCCCTAAAAGAAACTCTATGCCCTTAGCTGTCACTCCCCAATTCCTCCTCTGTCCCCTATCCTAGCCCAAGGCAATCACAAATCTATTTCTGTCTCTGCAGATTTTCCTATTCTGGATATTACAAACAAATGGAATTATACATGTGGCCCTTTGTGACTGGTTTCTCTCACTTGGCATAATTTTTAAAGATTCATCAATATAATAGTAGCATGTATCAGTACTTTATTTCTTTTTGTGCCCAAATAATATTCCATTGTATGGATATACCACATTTTATTTTTCCATTCATTAGACAGTGTACATTTGGGTTGTTCCCACTGTTAACTATTATGAACAATGCTGCTATGAATACTCGTATACAAGGCCATGAGTGGTGGCCCATGCCTGTAATCCCAGCACTTTGGGAGGCCGAGACAGGCAGATCACTTGAGTTTAGGAGTTTGAGAAAAGCTGGGCAACATGGCAAAACCCCATCTCTACAAAAAATACAAAAATTAGCTGGGCGTGGTGGCATGTGCCTGTAGTTTCAACTACTTGGGAGGCTGAGGTAGGAGGATCACTTGAGCCCAGGAGGCAGAGGTTGCAGTGAGCCTTGATCGTGCCACTGCACTCCAGCCTGGGTAATAGAGCAAGAATTTGTCTCAAAACAAAAACAAAAACAAAAACATGTACAAGATTTTCTGTGGACATGTTTTCATTTATCTTGGCCATATGCTTATGTATGGAATTGCTGGATCATGTGGTAATCTATGCCCAACTTTTTGAGAAACTACTAGACAATTTTCCACAGTGGCTGCACCATTTTACATTCCCGCCAGCTGTGTATGAGCATTCCAATTTTTCCACATCCTCACCAACACATGTTATTACCTGTCTTTTTATTATAGCCATCTCAGTGGGTGTGCAGTGGAATCCCACTGTGGTTTTCATTTGCATTTCCCTGGTCGCTAATGCAAGCCCTTCTTATGCTCACTAAGAACTCACTATCTGACGAACTCTGGGCAAATTATTTAACTTTTCTGTGCCTCTGTTTCTTCATCTGGAAAATGATGATAATAGTATTCTCTACCTCATAGGGTTGTTGTGGTGATTAAATGGGTAATTTGTGTGACCTGTGCCTGACACAGTGCAAGTCCTCACTAGATGTTAGCTCCTGTTTATAGAAGAACAGCACTGGAAATTTGAGCCACCTGTTTCTGTGAGTTACATCTTAACCACTGACAAGACCCCAGTTCCTGATGAAAAATAGAAAGTTTCGCAGGCTTAGATTTTTAGAAACAAAATAGACACTAGTTCTGACATCCCAAGCCCATCAAAAAGTGTTTATGATACATAATGAAAGTTGAGACTTATTCCAGCACAGATTTGGATAAATGGGTACCATCTAGGCATTCCAGGGATGCACTGGCAGTGAGATTGAAAGGGAGAAAAAAATCTGATAGCTCTGGATTGAACTATTTAACAATAAATGTCTCTTCTTGAGAGTAAGCCCTCTGAAGATCAGCTTCTAATTGCCAACATCATTTTCTACCTTCTGTACAAAGTCAACCCTTCCACATAGCCTACCAAGCAGGGCTTGCTGCACATCTGCATCATGACTGTGCAAATTAGAAAAGGGCGCTTTTACAATATGAGCCAGGGTGGATGGCTTGGTGAGTTGAGCATGGGCTGAATTTTACCCACACCAGCCCGCTTGGTTGGGCACCCTTTTGCAGTGCACAACCTGAACAACCATATATGAGCAGCCCTGCTACCAAGCACTCTGCATTCCAGAGAGTAGGTAACTCTCTGTATATTAATAACTAGATAGTCCTAGTCCTGGTGAATATAAGAATCTTGGCAATCAGGAAGTTACTTGCCATAAATCAAATAATGAGTTGCCAAAATCTCCTCACTCTTCATAATCTAGAGGAAGAAACAACTATAGGAGCAATAAATGACTGATAGAGCCTTTGTCTGGCATAATGGAGATATAAGCCAACAAAACTCAGGTATACACAATTCAAGCCAAAGCCAGAATTCAATGCCGAACTCATTCATCTCCATTTCAGTACCTAATCCAGAAAGCCTGGATGCCCTTGGAATCCCGCAAGATAGAATATAGCACCAACAAAGAACTGGAGGTTTGCAGCTCAGAGCTGCAGGCAAACTGCATACCATGGGGCCAAACCATCTTCCAGCAACACATCCTGCTTCTTTAGGCACTTGACAGAGCCAACTTTAACACAGACTTTGAGAAGTGGCCCTGATGAAACCCTGGCCAACAGCCAGCCAGCCACTACCCAAAAATGTCTGCCTGAAAGCAGCTCCAGGAGGCAGGCCATGGGGAGTGGAAGTCGGGGAGAAACTGGAAGAGGCGCCAAGCAGCTGTCAGGGGAAGTGATGACACGGAGCAACACCAACTCTTATTTTCTTTTCCCCCCAGCTTCAAATGATGTGGCACAGTGGTGGCTTGCCGAGAAACTGCAGTCACAGATGGAATAGCAGTGTTCAGAAAGAAAGATGGTACATGCACAGAAAGGAAAAGCAATAGATTACAGCAGGTAGTACATAAACATGGGCACAACTCTAATAATGGTAATAATTATTTATAATAAATAAATAGACTAATAAAGTTACTAATAAATTGCTAAACCTGTACTGTGCCCTTTACTTATATTATCTCACTTGCATTAATAAGGAACCCAACAATCCTAAGAGGTGAGTGTTATTAACACAAGTTTCTTATAGGTGAGAATGCTGAAACACAAAGAGGCTAAATGACTTATCCAAGATCCCACAGCTCCCAAGTAGTGGAGACTGAATCTGGAGCCCTGTGGTCTGAATTCAAAACCCAAGCTCTTAACTACAGCCCTATCTTGTTTCTCAAAGGACTATCTATGGGTAGACATGAGGTGTAGTAACGATTGGGGTCACCTGTGAGTCTGTGAGTCACAATCACACACCCTGGGCACATTTTCCATCTGCATTACGCCATTCTTGCGTTGCTATAGAGAAATACTTGAGACTGGGTAATTTATAATGAAAAGATATTTAATTGGCTCTTTAGGCCAATTAAGCCTCTGCAGGCTTTATAGGAAGCATGATGCTGGCATCTGCTCAGCTTCTAGAGGGGCCTCGGGAAGCTTACAATTATGGTGGAAGGTGAAGAAGGAGCCGACACAACACATGGCAAAAGCAGGAGCAGGAGAGAAAGAGCGAGAGACAAATTGGATGGGGAAATGCCACACACTTTTAAATGACCAGATCTCATGAGAACTCACTATCAGGAAGACAGCATGAAGCCCTGAGGGATTCGCCTCCATGAGCCAAACACCTCCTACCAGGCCCCACCTCCAGTACTGGGAATTACAATTCAACATGAGATTTGGGAGGGAACAAATATCCAAACTCTATCACCATCCATCTATCCACAAATGAATACATACAGTTATTTAAGGAATATTTGTTGTGCTCAGCTCTTTGTATACATTGTTACATTAAATATTCCCCAAAACTCTTAAGAGTTTGGGAAATACATTAAGAATAAAACACGGTCCCTGCAAAAATGGTTGCAATAGTATCTTCCACCCCTCATGTATTTTGCAATGTGACTCTGTCAATCCTCTCATTAAGAGGTAGAATCTATTTACCCTCACCTTGAATCTGAGCTGGTGTGTGACTTGCTTTGATGAATACATTACATTAGAGGGGATATTCTGAGATTCAAAGTCCAAGGTTTAAGAGGACTGGCAGCTTTCACTTTTCTTATATCCCAGCTACCATGTATTAGTTTGACTACTCTGAGGCCACCATGCTGCAAAGAAGCCCAAGCTAGACGTGTAAAGAAGGAGTGGTCATATACATATACATATATACAGAGAGAGAGAGAGGTTTAAAGAATTAGTTCATGCAGTTATAGAGATTGGTAAGTCTAAAATCTGCAGGGTGGGCCAGCAGGCTGGAGACCCAGGGAAGAGCTGATATTGCAGTTCAAGTCCAAAGGCCATCTATTGGAGAATTCCTTCTTGTTTTGGTAAAGTCAGTCTTGTATTTGATTTGGGCCTTCAACTAATTGGGCAAGGCCCACCCATCTGATGGAGGGCAATCTGCTTTATTCAAAGTCTACTAATTTAAATGTTTATCATGTCCAAAAGTACCCTCACAGAAACACCAGGATAATGTGTGACAAAATATCTGGGCACTGTGGTCCAGGCAATTTGACACATAAAATTAACCATCTTATAGTCCAACCCAATCACTAGCATAATATATTTGAGTGACCCCTGCTGACACCATGTGGAACAGAAGAACCACCCAGCTGAGCCATGCCCAAATTCCTGGCTTATAGGATCATGAAAACTAATTAATTGTTGGTTTTGAGCTACTAAGTTTTGGGGTCATTTGTTATACAGCAACAGAAAATTGAAAACTGCCTTAATGAAGGTTACAATTTAGTGGCCTTAATCAACAGTAAGCATATAGATGTATAATTATATAATTTGATACATATTAAGAACACTTCATTGCATTTATTAAAAACCCACTAGGTAAAATTTTCCATGGTAGTGTCAGACAAGGCTATGGTGACAAGATCTTCCTTTTACAGGCTCTGACTAATTTGTAGTGGTGGCTGAGCAAACCACTGACCCTTTCTGGACCTTGGCTTCTCCATCTATAAAATGGACATGGCAGCAGACAGCCTCTCTGCCTCACAGGCTCTTATGAAAATTAAGTGGGACAAGAAACAAAAGTGCTATCAATGCTGAAAAGTCCTCTGCAAACTACGTCATAACCGAATAAATGATCCCTTGTGCCAAAAATGCAAAAATGTTTCACAATTTATTGCTTAAGCGGAAACATCTGGCTAAGGAAACTTGAAAAAGGCAGCAACCTTTCCGACCAAAGCAATTTCATCTAATAGCTGGTCTCTGGAGTCTCCCCTTCAGCTCTGATTTGTCCGTTGCTGAGAATTTCACTTTAAAATATGTGAGCCTTGCACTTTTTTTTTTTTTTTTTTGCACTTCTGCTTTCTCTATATTTTTGACAAGGTTAGAAAAGGAAAACCTTAAACATGATAAATATCCATTGTTGGGCATTCCAGCTAACGTATAGGAATTGTGTCCATAAATTTATTCACCAATGTCTTTTAATTGTAGAGCAAACTGGAGGGAACCAGAATTACATAGGAATCTTAGAAGCAACCTCAGCAGGCTACAATTAGTCTACAATGAATGAGTTTCCCACCTGGCTTACAAGACAGTGAACCCAGAAGCCAAATCCAACCACATTTTGCACCTGTTTAAAAACTTGTTAATGACTTACAGTGCCCTCTTTATAAAGACCAAGCTCCTTGGCATAGCACTGAGGTCCATTCCAGTCTGACCGTTCCTTACCTCTCCATCCCTGCTGCTCACCGCTCACCTTCTTGGGCTTCTAGTGTTAATGCAACTGTCTCATCTCTGGCCTCTGTGTATACTAATCTCCCACCTAGTACACTTTCCCGCATCCATCCTTGCCTAGCTAACTCCTTTGTCCTTCATATCTGACTTTAGATGCCCTCTCTGAGAAATCTTCCCTAAACCCCTAAGACTGGATTTCATGTTTCTTGTCTTTTACCCCTTACCACTAAGGTGGTCTTACCTCTAAGGTGTCAGATGATAATTTCCAAAAAGTTAAAGGTGTGACTCTCATGCAAATACATCAAAGTCTATGCCAAAGATTTATTTAACTCGTTAATGAGAGAACCAGCAGGATGATAAAGTTGGATTGAAGGAACCTATAAGAAGCTGAGTATATACAGAATAGTCAGTGAAAGCAAGGATGCTGAAGTAAGACTGCTGACCTAGGTACAAAACTGAATAATGTCCTAGAAGCAACACAATTATAACCCTTTGGAACTGTTTATTCCAATGGAGAGAAATCATTTACATCTCTGCCAGACAAAAATCATTTGCAACTTATCAATTTCCTACAAATTAAGATCTAACTTTTCAGGATCTAGACCATAAGAATTTGTGATAGTGAGCCAAATCAAGGATTTCAGATGACGCTTGGGCTGGCCCATTAGACAAGGCTTTAGAATGACACTGAAGGACACACAGACATCTTGCTGGGTAATTTTTAATGTGCGTGTGTGTGTGTGTGTGTGTGTGTGTGTGTGTGTGTGTGTTTACCAGTGACATCAATACTCCTTTGTAACTACCTGTTATCTTGTCTGAAATTCCCAGTAAACTGAAAGCATCTAGGGACAACAATTGTGTTTTGTTTACTCTTGTAGCCTCTGACCCTAGTTTAGTGCCTAAGATATAGTAGGCACTCAGATAGTTATTACTGAATGAGTTAAAAGACTTCTCTTTCAGCATTGAGGTCCCCCCTTCAAGGAGCCTACCAGTTTCCCACAGATCCAGATTATGAATGATGAGGATTCTAGGCATTGATTCCAGCCCAATCTTTCCCCAACTCCAGCCAAGTGTCCCCTGTGACCCGCATCCCCTCAGTCATTTCTCCTGCTTTGTTCTACTGCACAAGCCCTAATAGTCACCTGGATGATCAGGCACAGAAGGCAGCAAGAAAGAAGCATGTCTCTGTGCAAGAAGCAGGGTCTCGCTTTTCAGGGCCCCCTGCCTAGCCCCAGTCCCAGCAGATTGGCTAGAACTGAGGCCTGATGCCTGGTGCTGCCTCTGGGAGCACAAGGGCTCCTTCTGTTCCTGGATTCAACTCCTCAGGGACAGCTACTGGGGCTCCAGGCACGTTGCTCATCATTCTAACTGGCTCACAGGGCAGCCAGATTTTCTCACAGATAATGAGCCTGTATAATTTACATCAAGACTAAATTATGCATTTAACAACGTGTTGTTCAGCAGGGATAAACTGCCTGGTTTGTGAATTGCTTTTCTTCCCACAGGAGGGAGGTACAACAGAGGGAGTGGAGACGGGGTGCACTCCACACACCTTCCAGTTATGAGGGGTCTGGAAAAGTCTGGAAAGAAAGGAATTGAAATAGCGTGAGTGAGAGTGACATTACCCACTTCGTATGTTGCCATTGTCAATCCTGTAATGGTCTCGGAAAGAGCTCAGAAAGAAACAGGGAGTTGTCTGGGTTCAGACAAAAACCACAGGGAAGAGTTTCAGACTTCTTGGCTAAGTCTTAGGCTCCACTCACCCCAGGGGTGTTGGTAGAAAGTGGATTAGGACTGTGTGAAAAGGCAGCAGAGAAAGATCAGAAACACACCAACAAAGGCTCTGCGTGCTCTTAGAAGCAGGGCAGGTCACTGGAAAAGCTGGGAAGTGCATGCAGTTTGCCTTTAGAGCTCCAAGTTTGCTCTTTCTGGGCCTCCTCCCTACTCTAGGGAACCTCTTTCATGGCAAGTGCTCCCTCCAGTTCTGCCTACCCCACCCCCCAAACCCTGGGGTTCACCATTTACCCTTTTATTGTGAATTTGAAAGCTGTGTATTTTCTCTCTCTCTCTTCCAGAGACATCCACACTGAAGCTTTTCCTCTGAAAAAGGAAAATAATGTGACCAAATAATTTATCATCCATCCAAGAACATTTTTGAGTACTCTTAAAAATTACACCAGAACCACAGGAATAAACCACAGCTGCTCTGGAAGGGTCCTGGGCAAGCTGGACCTAAGAGCACCCCAGAAATGAAAGTCTTTGTTTCTTTTTAAAAAATTGTTGACATCACTGAACAGGTGAAAAGGGCTCTCTGATTCTTTCCAAAGGGGAGAGTAATGAGAAAGGATGAAAAGGAGCAGAGATGTATCAGTTAAGATGCTTTCAATTGCACATAACTGAGTAGCCAGAGATAATGGGCTTAAATTAAAGGGATTTCTTTGTCTCACATAACAGTGGTCCAGTGACAGGTGGATCAATGGCTCAACCATAGCAGGTGTATTAGTCCATTCTCATTCTGCTAATAAAGACATATGCAAGACTGGGTAATTTATAAAGGGAAAAAAGAGGTTTAATGGACTCACAGTTCCACATGGGTGGGGAGGCCTCACAATCATGGTGAAGGCAGAGGAGCAAGGACACGTCTTACATGGCAGCAGGCAAGAGAGTGTGTGCAGGAGAGCTCCCCTTTATAAAACATCTTATGAGACATATTCACTATCATGAGAACAGCATGAGAAAGACCTGCCCCCATGATTCAATTACCTCCCACCGAGTCCCTCCCACCACACGTAGGGATTATTAAAATTAGAGGTGAGATGTGGGTTGGGACACAGCCAAACCATATCATCAGGGCTTCTCAGAGACTCTCCCTCACTACTGCAAGATGGCTGCTAAGGCTGCATATATAATGTCTTGACAAATGCACATACAAAATGCTAGGAAGGAGGAGTCATGGCTTTTCCTCTTATCTATTTCCCTTATCACATGGAATATATCTTGCCCAGGCTGGGCGCAGTGGCTCACACCTGCAATCCCAGCACTTTGGGAGGCCAAGGCAGGTGGATCACGAGGTCAGGAGTTCGAGACCAGCCTGGCCAAGATAGTGAAACCCCATCTCTACTAAAAATAAATAAATTAGCTGGGCGTGGTGGCGGATGGCTGTAATCCCAGCTACTCGGGAGGCTGAGGCAGGAGAATCACCTGAACCTGGGAGGTGAAGGTTGCAGAGAGCAGAGATTGCGCCACTGCACTCCAGCCTGGGTGAGAAAGTGAGACTCCATCTCAAAAAAACAAAGGGAAAAGAATATATCTTGCCCAGAAACTCTCCAGCAGAGCTCTCCTCTGGTTTAATTGGCCAATATTGGGTCACATGACTATTGTCATAGTTGCAAGGGAGGCTATGGAATTGAGAATCTGCATTTTCTGCCTCTATGGGCAATGAACTGTGCTGGCCTGAGAAAGGGTAAGAAAATGGCTACTTGGTGAGCAACCAACAGCATCCTCCAGAAATAACCTCCCCCTAGGCCTTATACTAAATCCCACGAGTCCTGCCTAGAAAATAACATTCAACTGGGCTCCCAGTGAGAAACACAGAGTTTCAAGCAGACAATCTTCTATAAGTTAATATCCCCAATGAGATCCTGAGAAGTTAGCTATGAATCTACTCAGATGTCCCCACTGATTGCCATGGTCTTTTCAGAAATGCTTGGTCTTCATTCTGGTTCTCTGCTGCCCTTGGTTTCTAAGCCTTTATCTGGGAGTTGTTGTCCTCCTGAGTCTGACAAGAAGTCAGGGATCTCTAAGAGGGGACTGGAATATGCCAGAGGGGGTCGGGGACAGGCGAGTGCTATCTACCATCAACACTTGGGCCTCCAAAGGGTACACTTGGATGGAGCCTTGAAGTCTGACGAGGAATTTCAATCTGACCAGATTTAAAACAGATTTTAATAGACAACACTTTCTGCAAAGGCCAATGAGGAAAACAAATCATCTTGGAAAAGCATTGGCTGAATCAAGAGATGAGACCCAAGTCCTGTGCCTGTCCTCCTCCTTCCTCTCAGGAATAGCCACTGTTCCCTGGGAGCTAACTCTGAGCCAGATTTGGAGCTAAATTCATTTAATCTTCTCAGCATTTCCATGAAAGGGGTACATTGTTATCATCACTTAGCAGATGGGAAAACTGAGTTTTAGCAAATTTCAATAACTTGCCCAAGGTAACTGTTTCCTAACTCTTAAGGTGAATAAAGGGCATAGTACAGGTCTAGCAAGTTATTAGCAATTTGATTAGCAAGTTTATTATTCATAATTATCATTAATGCTATTGCTCCCAACTCCTTATAGGTCCTATGTGATTTCCTCTTTCCTCTGTCCACTCTTCCCCTTGGTCACTATGCATCAGTGATACAGGCCTTATTTCCATTTCTCCACTGTCTCAAACCCTGTTCTGCCTCAGGACCTTTGTACTTCTTTCCACTGCCTGAAATGTTCTTTACCTAGCTCCTTCCTTTCTTCAAGCCTTAACTCAAAAAGCTTTCCCTAACCACCCTAAGGTCCCCCCTTATTTTCTGTAACAGCACCCTGACTATTTCTTTTGTTGGGTTTATCATTGATATTGTCTTCTTATTTGCTTGTTCATCTCTTTCAAACTCTGCCAAAGCCTCTCTGAGGTCAATTTATTATCAGTTATCACCTTTGGTTAGAACAATGCCCAACACATAATAGGTCCTTGGTAAATTTGCTGAATACCCTTGGCCGGGTGCAGTGGCTCACTCCTGTAATCCCAGCACTTTGGGAAGCTGAGGCAGGAGGATCACTTGAAGCCAGGACTAGCCTGGGCAACATAGCAAGACCCTGTCTGTACAAAAAAATAAAATTTTTTTAAGCTGCAACCCGAATCCAAGTTTGAGTAGCTCAAAAGCCTGTAGCTATGATCACCTAACTAGGAGTTTCTTGGAACACAAATTAGAAAACCGTGATCTAATCTAACCTCTCATTTTAAAGATATGAAAATAAGGCCAAAAGGGTTTTTTTCCCCTTAAGATTATAAAGTAAATTAGTAGCTGAGTTAAAAAAAAAGAAAGAAAGAAAGAAAAAAGAACATTGGCATTGGAAACTGAAGACTCCACTTTACAAGTCAAACCGCCCTTGAAAAGCCAGTTAATATATCTAGCCTCAGTTTTCTCATTTGTAAAATATCGATAAGGCAGCCTACTTCACAAAACAATTTTGAGGCCTGCATGAAATCAGGTAGGCAAGAGGCCAGCACAGTGCCCAGTCCACAGTAAGCGCTCAGGAAAGGACAGCTTCACTTGAATCCCAGGCTAGTGTTCTTCATTTCCACCATGTTCTCACAGTGAGTGAACCCCTTCACAACATGATACATTACTCTCAACAGATCACTTTTGCACGGGCATGTTTTTGCACTCAGTTTCCTTTATTTTTTTCCTTTTTTTTTTTGAGATGGAGTCTCCCTCTGTCGCCCAGGCTGGAGTGCAGTGGCACGATCTCGGCTCACTACAAGCTCTGCCTCCCGGGTTCACGCCATTCTCCTGCCACAGTCTGCTGAGTAGCTGGTACTACAGGTGCCCACCACCACGCCCGGCTAATTTTTTGCATTTTTTAGTAGAGACGGGGTTTCACCATGTTAGCCAGGATGGTCTTGATCTCCTGACCTCATGATCTGCCCACCTCGGCCTCCCAAAGTGCTGGGATTACAGGCGTGAGCCACGGCACCTGGCCTGCACTCAGTTTCTTATGGCAGGACTACGGGAGACTCATCAAACAATACATGAGTAGAGTCCTGTCTCAGTTCGTTTCTGCTGCTATAACACAATATCCAAGACTGGGTAATTTGCAAAGAACAGAGATTTATTTTCTCACAGTCCTGGAGGCTGGGAAATCCAAGATCAAGGCACCAACACATTCAGTGTCTGCTAAGGGCTACTCTCTGCTTTCAGATGGTGCCTTATTGCTATGTCCTCGTATGGCAGAAGGCAGGACAAAAGGGATCTAGTTAGTTCCCTTGAGCTCTTTTATAAGAGTACTCATCCCATTCGTAACAGGCAGAGCCTTCATGACTTACTCATCTCCTAAAGGCCCCACCTCTTAATGTTATCACATTGGCAGTTAAGTTTCAACATATGAATTTGTTGGGGGGAGGGGAGAGGGAACACATTCAGACCACGGCAGGTCCTAACAACTTATTTGTGAATTCCTGGTTCAGAGCTCAGTGTGCAGCCCACTGTATCAAGTCCTAGACCAGCCAACGAAAGCTGCGTTGAACCTATCCTGCAGCAGAAACACTGGTGAAGAAGCCTGGAGAAACAGAGGCCTGCAGTACCCAGTAACTAACCAGGTAGAAAAGCAGCCATCTGGTGTGTCAGGACTGGGGTGAGTGGGGTGACAGAGAGTTGTGAAGGGAAAGTGGAAGTGGAGGCAGGTGACTACACCTTCAGCTGACCTGAAGTCAGCTGACGTGACTTCAGCTGATGTGATGAAATCCAGCTGGTTTCCCAGGCTGGGATGCCTTTTGCTTTCCACAATAGGAATGGCCAGTAGCTGCCAGCCCGTGGTGGAAAGAAGCAACTGGAGATTGCAAACTCTCCTCTGCTCTCTCAACAGGCAATAGGATATTGGGGTTGCCACTGCAGGTTCTAGGGTCACAAAAACACAGGTTCAAATTCTACCTCTGCCCCTTACCAACTGTGCTACATTGAACATATAACCTGAATTTCTCCCTGCCTTGGTTTCCTCCTCTATGAAATGGGAATAACAACATAGCACTGAGTTATCGAGGTTCAAAAGAAATAATACCTGGGAGGCTCCCTGCATAGTTTTTGGCATAAACCTGGCTTCAATGAGATTAGCAATTGATATCAATTTACACAGTTCTAAATAGAGAAATTTTTCAAAGTAAAAGACTGAGAGATAGGGATACACAAAGGCACACAAAGACAGGTAATTTTGCTTTCTCTGCTTGCCTTTTTGCACTTTGCAAGCAAGAAGGCAGGCAAGATTCGGCTTGTGCTCAGCTTTTATGGCCGCCTCATTTCAAAACAACCTCAGGCTACAGAGATGGAACCTGCAGCTTTCTCAGAAACCAAACTTTTCTGTTTCAGGCTGCACGAATGGAGCATGAGAACACCCTACAGCCTGTTATTTGCTGCATGTTTCTACGGGCACCAGCAAAGCACAACTTCTAGTAATGGGATCAGTAACCCAAGTGACGGAACTGAAAAGGCAAGTCTGAATTTATCTCCATCTGTCATGTTCCAGTGAACAATGAAAGCACAGTAAAGGGAAACGCTGCTTCTTGCATGTTTGTGCCAGTCCTTCCCTGCTAGGTACTATTATTAGCAGCATTAATAAATGCCTCTGACTTGCAGTAAAGGTTCAGAATGCTGGAGAGTTACAGGGCATGCCAAACACATAAACTGCCTGCCCTCAGGGCTGATGGGCACGAAGGCTATAAGATGAAGCCCAAATGGCAGAAACATTCTGACCAGGGAGGAGTGATTGCAGGTGAGGTAGGGAGATTTTTTTTCCAGGGCTGTGCTGGAAATGAAAGAGACAAGCCTTCGCGCCCACTATTTGGCTGCTCATCCTATTCTATTCTTGGGAAATCATTGGAGAGATGAGAGAAGACAAGTGACAGTCCACTTTGAATGTCACCTCTACCATCCTGGAGCCTTGGGAGAAAGCTAAAGATGTGTCCAGCCTTATGGCTAAATAAGGTTAAGCTGGGACAGAGACTGCTCATTGTTCTCCAGAGGCTATACTCTAACTTTTAGAAACACAGCTCTGAGTTAGCAGGGAACTCTTAAGACATGGGACTCCCCAGGGGTGAGCTAGAGACACCCACCCGGGACTCTGTGGCCGTAGGTGTGGTCACAGGATTGGGCTCTGGCCAACGGGTTGAGCACAGAATCGATGAGCACAACTTCCAAATCACAGTGTTTTTGGTGGTGGTGGTTGTTGTTGTTGTTGTTTTAATACAGAAACACCAAGCCTTCCATTCTTACTTTTCCCCTCCCACTGGCTGGAAAATTGGAAGAACTGAAGGAGCCACCTCAGGCCCAGGAAAAAAAACCACATTCTGAAAGTTGCACGTCTATCCAGCCAGCAACCAACCACACCAGCTCTAAACCTCTCACCTTCCTCTGCTCCATTGCATGGAATAAAAGCAAACTTCTCTCCTACTTAAGGCACTCTGTTTTGGAGTCCCTTTCTTATAGAAGCTTATCTGATACCACATTCACAGATGTGGCTTTGAACTTGAGTAAGAGAGAAGTGTCCTGTGTTTGTAAAAGGTTAAAAGTTTATCCACATTGCCTTCCTCTTGTTCCTCTCTCCGTCCCTCACCTGCTGGGCTCTAGCTGGACCGGCCACTTTTCTGTTCTTGAACTCCTTCACTTCTTCCCCACCTCAGAGTCCTTTGCCAGGAACTCTCTGTCTTGTCACTCTTCCCTTGGTTGACTCCTCACCCTCAGTTTACAAGTCACATTCTCAGAGAGACTTTCTTTGACCACCCTATATATATTCATTTTCTATGGTACATAACCAGTGACTGTAAACTTAGCAGCCGAAACACCACAAGTTTTTTTTTTTTTTTTTGAGACAGAGTCTCACCTTGTCGCCCAGGCTGGAGTGCAATGGCACAATCTCGGCTCACTGCAACCTCTGCCTCCTGGGTTCAAGTGATTCTCCTGCCTCAACCTCCCAAGTAACTGGGATTACAGGCGCACACCACCACACCTGGCTAATTTTTGTGTACCTTTAGTAGAGACAGGGTTTCACCATGTTGGTCAGGCTGGTCTTGAACTCCTGCCCTCATGATCTGCCCTCCTCGGCCTCCCAAAGTGCTGGGATTATAGGTGTGAGCCACCGTGCCAGGCCAACACCACAAATTTATTACCTCACGATTTCTGCAGTCAAAAGTATATGCCACATGTTATCTGGGTCTTCATCTCAGGATCTCACAAGCCTGCAGTCAAGGTGTCAACTGGCTGTATTCTCATCTGGAGGCTCAATGGGGAAGGGATCCACTTCCAAGTTTCCTTCTGGCTGTGTCACCAAGGTCCCTGTTCCCTTGCTGGCTGTCAGCTCCTAGAGGCCACTCTTGGCTTTTTGCCACACAGCTCCCTTCAAAGGCAGCTCACAACGATATGGCACCAATCCAATAAGATAGACTCTTATATAATGTAACCTACTCAAGGGTGACTATCTCATCATATTCATGGGCCTGCCCACATTCAAGGGGAAGGGATTGTACAGGGCAGGAAGTGGGTGGAGGGAACCAGCTCTTGGCAGCCATCTTAGAATTCAGCCTAGCACATGGGCAACGACTTCATGACTAAAACACCAAAAGCAATGGCAAAAAAAGCCAAAATAGACAAATGGGATCTAATTAAACTAAAGAGCTTCTGCATAGCAAAAGAAACTATCATCAGAATGAACAGGCAACCTACAGAATGGGAGAAAATCTTTGCAATCTACCCATCTGACAAGGGCTAATATCCAGAACCTACAAAGAACTTAAACAAATTTACAAGAAAAAAACAAATAACCCCATCAAAAAGTGGGCAAAGGATATGAACAGACACTTCTCGAAAGAAGACATTTATGCAGCCAACAGACATATGAAAAAATGCTCATCATCACTGGTCATCAGAGAAATGCAAATCAAAATCACAATGAGATACCATCTCACGCCAGTTAGAATGTCAGTCATTATAAAGTCAGGAAACAACAGATACTGGAGAGGATGTGGAGAAATAGGAACTCTTTTACACTGTTGGTGGGAGTGTAAATTAGTTCAACCATTGTGGAAGACAGTGTGGCGATTCCTCAAGGATCCAGAACTAGAAATACCATTTGACCCAGCAATCCCATTGTTGAGTATATACCCAAAGGATTATAAATCATGCTACTATAAAGACACATGCACACATATGTTTCTTGTGGCACTATTCACAATAGCAAAGACTTGGAACCAACCCAAATGTCCATCAGTGATAGACCGGATTAAGAAAATGTGGCACATATACACCATGGAATACCATGCAGCCATAAAAAAGGATGGGTTCATGTCCTTTTCAGGGACATGGATGAAGCTGGAAACCATCATTCTCAGCAAACTATCACAAGGACAGAAAACCAAACACCACATGTTCTCACTCATAGGTAGGAACTGAACAATGAACAGCTGCTCACACCAATATCCAGTCTTCACTTCTCCGCCCCCTCTCCAATGTGATCCTTGCGGTCATCCTTGATGACTCTCTCTCTTATCCCTCACATCCAATCCATCATTCAGTAGTGGCCACTTCTCACCTCCCCCAGCTCCCATCTTGCTCTCTTGCCCCTTCAATTTATTCTCTTCACAGTAGCTAGATAGGAGCTTTTAAAGCATGAACTTAGTCCCCTATTCAAAACCCTCCGGAATCCCCCTTCTCATTTGGAGGAAAATCTAGTTTTGCAAAGCCTATATGCACTTGGGCACTCCAGTCCCCACCTGTCCACCCTGAGCCTGCCCTGGCTCTCTCTATGGCAGTCTTACTGGTCTCCTTGTGGTTCTTTTTTTTTTTGAGACAGGCTCTCCCTCTGTCAGCTAGACAGGAGTGCAGTGGTGTGATCATGGCTCACTGCAACCTCTGCCTCCTAGACTCAAGCGAACCTCCTTATCTCAGCCTTCTGAGTAGCTGGGACTACAGGTGTGTACCACCATGCCTGGCTAATTTTAAGAAACAATTTTTTTTTTTGTAGATATGGGGTTTTGCTATGTTGCCCAGGCTGGTCTTGAACTCCTGGGCTCAAGCAATACTCCTGCCTCAGCCCTTGAAAAGTACTGGGATTACAGGTGTGAGCCTCTGCACCTGGCCTTCTTGTAGTTCCTTGAACACAACAAGCATCCTCTCCCCTCTGGGACACTCAGTGTTTTCCTGCCTGAAACACCCTTTCCCTCACTATCTGCTTGACTTGCACCTTCACTTCTTCCAGTCCTGTGAAATGTCACCTTACCAGTGATCCCTAACCAGCCCTTTCTCCCCTCAGCCTGCCTTCTTGTTCTCCAGTGCATATATCACCATCCTTTTTAAAACAAATTATTTGCAATTCTGTTTATTTGCATATTGTCTGCATGCCCTGTATTGGTTTGCTGGGGCTGCCATAACAAAGTACCATAGACTGTGTGGCCCAAACAACAGAATTTTATTATCTCACAGTGCTGGAGGCTAGAAGTTCAAAATTAATATGTCAATAGGGTTGGTTTCTTCTGAAGGCTGTGAAGGAAAGACCTGTTCCAGGCCTCTCTCCCTGGTTTGTATGTGTCCATCTTCTCCTTGTGTCTCTTCAGATATGAGTCATACTGGGTTAGAGCACACCCTGATGAACTCATTTTTATTTAATTACTTCTAAAGACCCTATCTTCAAATAAGGTCACCTTCTGAGGTACTGGGGGTTAGGACTTCAACATATAAATTTTGTGAGGACACAATTCAACCCACAACATTCTCCGAGAAAGAACATGAACATCATTCATCTGGTACAAAGAAAGCACTCGTTAATCTTTCTCGAATGAATCTGTCCAAATATTCACCACTTTTATGATCATCAACATTATTATCATTATCAACCAGAAAACTTTAACTGGCATTTCTATACTTCTATAGGATACTGATGATTGGTATTAATCATGGTATCATGAAATTCTGTAAAGATTCCCAGACATCATTTGACTAATTGGATAAAGATTACACAAAGGCTATAAGCTCAGTATACTTTTAATGTTGTCTATTTTGTTGTATTCTACCCAAAATAAAATTTGGTCATTCATAGATAGGATTTTATATTACTTGCCAAATATCTAGAATATTTGTTTTTACTCTAGTCTAAAAGAACTTGAGGGTTTAAGTAACATACCAAAAACAGGATTTCAATAAAATGAGAATAAAAACAGATAAACCTGGATTAAGCAAAGAAAAGCAAATGTACTTGTCATGGGAGTCACTATAATTGCTCTATTTCAGCACACACTCACATTAAAAATTGGGGGCAACACAGCAGCTGGTAAAAACAATATCTCAGCTGTAGATTTATAGCAGTCCTTCAGGAGACAGAAGATTGTGCCTTGTGTGAAACTCAAAGAAATCTCCACGTCGGGCAGCTATAGGGTACAACTGTCTGCTGCATCATTTCAATATCTTTCCCAACAGCTTCACTAAGAATTCAGAAGAATCCACGCTGTTTCTTGCATCCAGCATCATAAAAGGCAACAACATTAAAACATTAGTTCAGGTAGTTTTTGAGGTCTGTGATGCAAATTAAGAATAGCACATAGACTATGTAGTGGACTAAATAGATACCACATTCCTTAAATTCTTTCCCACAAATCTCATTGCTTTTCAGCTGGGCTTTATGCAGGAACGGGCTCTAGCACAATCGTTAAGGGAGTCCGATTCTGGCTTTTAATCCAGGTTCCTCCACCTCTGAGCTATGTGACCTAAGACAGTTACATATCTATAAAATGGGATGATTATAATGCTTATTTTGTAGGTTTGTGGATTAAAGGATTAAATTACATAATGTATGTGAAGCTTTTAACACAATGCCTGGCACGTGATAAGCACTCAGTAATGTTAGCAGTGATTCATTGTAGCGTATTTTTAGACCACAGGGGTGTGTGTGTGTGTGTGTGTGTGTGTGTGTGTGTGTGTGTATGAAACTACATAGGTGAGTGGTAGAGTTCACATTCCATTATGAAAACCAAGGTGCCCAAATGGTATGCCTGCTTAAATGGAAGGCTACACTCTGTTCACATGTTCCCATGAAAGAGGGATATAAGGGAATCTGTTCTAGTTTCACTAGAACACCCTGTTCTCTGATAGACAACAGTGTGTTAACAATATTTATAATTTCCCAAAAGTAATGTTCTCATTATGACCACCAGTTTCATTTCTTGGTATTAATTCACTCCATTAAATGGAAAACAAAGAGACTCTAATTACCCAACTCTAATTACACCACCAAAAACCTTTGTACGGACAACCCATCTGTTGTATAATCAAGCATTTGACTGGCCTTTGTCCCTGGCTTCTGGGAGGGAGACTCTAAGTTCCTGGAATTTCCCAGGTAATAGGTGTGTCTGTTATTCATATGTCTCTTGTATCACACCTGAGTGTAAGAGATGAGGTAGCTCAGGGTGGGATACGATCTCAGAAAGACCAACTATGTGATTAGAAGATTGGAGCTATGAGCCAGCTCAGTCTCTGGAGAGAAGGGGAGGGTTAGGGGTTGAGTTTAATCACATGGCCCATGATTCACTCAATCATGCCTACATAATGAAACCCCAGTAAAAACTCTGGACACTGTGGCTGGGCACAGTGGCTCATGCCTGTAATCTCAGCACTTTGGGAGGCCGAGGTGGTTGGATCACGAGGTCAGGAGATCAAGACCATCCTGGCTAACACGGTGAAACCCCATCTCTACTAAAAACACAAAAAATTAGACAGGCATGGTGGTGGGTGCCTGTAGTCCCAGCTACTCAGGAGGCTGAGGCAGGAGAATGGCGTGAACCCGGGAGGCAGAACTTGCAGTGAGCCAAGATCATGTCACTGCACTCCAGCCTGGGTGACAGAGAGAGACTCTGTCTCAAAAAAAGAGAAAAACTCTGGACACTGGACACCAAGGCTCAGTGGAGCTTGCTGGCTGCTGAACACATTGATGTGCTGTCCCCTGGCTCCATGGGGACAGGACATGGAAGCTCTGCAATCAGGGCCCTTCCAGACCTTACTTATGTGTGTCTTCTTTTGGCTGGTCCTGATGTGTACCCTATGTAATAAAACTAGAATCATAAATACAGCACTTTTCTGAGCTTTGCAAGTCATTCTAGCAAAGTGCTCAAACCAAGGGTGTTGTGGGAAGCCCCAAGATTTGTAGTTCACTGGTCAGAAGTGCAGGCAGCCTTGGTACTGAAGGAGGGGCAGTCTTTTTAGAAACCATGCCCTCAAAACCTGTGGAGTCTGATGTTAACTCCAGGTGGTTAGTGTCAGAACTGAATTTTAATAAGCCTGTTGATGTCAAAATACCATCTGAGTGCTCTTGGGGTCTTCAGAACCCCTAATCCTGGCTGTGGAATACATACCTGAGAGAGAGGAGAGGCCTCAGGATGTTTGGGGTCTCCAGAGTCCTATTTCAAAGCTGTCAACAATTCCTCTTTTCCCCAACCACCACCATCACCACCACCAGAGGGATCGCCATTGGCACATGGCAGTCAGCGCTCTCAACAGCATCACTTCCTGACCCCTTGTAGCAAGTCCTCTGTTCATGGTGAGGCAGAATTCACCAAACCCTGGGCTATCCTTCCATGAGGAGGGAACTTGAGAAAGTTTATAAGGCTGATGAGACAATTTTCATTCAGGTTATAGGTTCAAATTTATGATGATGGAATATTATTAGTATCTTTCTTATTTTTAAGACAGAGTCTCACTCTGTCACCCAGGCTGGAGTGAAGTGACACGATCTCGGCTCACTGCAACCTGTGCCTCCCAGGTTCAAGCGATTCTCTTGCCTCAGCCTCCTGAGGAGCTGGGATTACAGGCATCCACCACCATGCCTGGCTAATTTTTGTATTTTTAGTAGAGATGGGGTTTCACCATGTTGGCCAGGCTGATCTCAAACTCCTGACCTCAAGTGATCTACCCACCTCAGCCTTCCAAACTGCTGGGATTATAGGTGTGACCCACCACACCCAGCCTATTAGTATCTTACTTACAGTAAAAAAACTACAAAATAAATAGTTACTAATTGCTGCAGATTGTAGTAGTTATTTCCTTGTTCAACTGTTGCATTCCCAACAGATTTTTTCTCTCCTCTTTCTTCTCCTAACAGACTCTGCCTGTCTTCCATTGCTCAGTCATAAGAACGGGCATGAGAGTACCTGTCCAGTCAGAGTATTTGTTTTAGTTAGGGTAGGTTAATTGCTATAACAAATCAGCCACAAAGCATAAGGGCTCAAACACAATAAAAGTTTATTTTTTGCTCACATAAAGAGTTCAAAGCTATTAAGGTCAGATTGGGGAGGAAGAGGGCTTTGTTCCACATATTCATTCAGTGATCAGCTGTCTAGCAGCTCCTTCCACGCGTTTCCATGATGTCTTTGGACAATAATTTCCAGCTGGTGGAAGGGAAACATGAGGGTGAAAGACCATCTGTTTCATAATCTCCATGAGCCAGAAGTAATACATATCAATTTCATTTGTATTGCTTTGATAAGAACTAGCTAAATGGCCTCATCTAGGTGCAAGGGCAGCTCAGAAATGTAGTCCTTGCCTGGCCTTCTGCTTCCCAGAAAGATCCCTCTAATGTGGAAAAGACAGTACAAATTTTGGTAGATGGTTAGCCATCAGAAATTGAATAAAGGGTGGAACCATGACCCAAACTGAACCAATTAAAGTACATTTGTGGGACTGATACTTAAAAGATGGGAGAAAAAGAGAAATTTCCTTCCCAGCCAAGTTGCATCACTGGGAGGATGCAAATCTGGACTTCTGAGGCCACATTCTCCACCATGAGGTGAAGTGTCTACAAAGTGAAGCCAGGGAGTGGGAGATGGAGAGAGAATGAATGGGAAAGTGAGCGAGTCCTAATGGCCTCGTCTCCCAGTTCTGATCTTGGAGGGTCAGCTTCCCTTTTTGGTCCTCTGTTTATGGTGAGGCAGAATTCACCAAACCCTGGGCTATCCTTCCATTAAGAGAAAACTTGAGAAAGTTTATAAGACTGATGAGACAGTTGCACTCAGATTACAGGCTCAAACTAAGCCCACATTTATGATGATGGGATATTATTCCCAGCTACACAAGCCAATGAGTTCCTCTCTTTAAGGATCAAATTTAGTTTCCGTCACTTGCATCATTCTTTGAGCCTCAGCTATATGCCAAAAGCTACTAGGCATTTTATATAATTTCCCAAATGAATCCTTAAAACAATTATAGGTATTATTAGTTTCATTTTATAGATGAGAAAACAGAAATAAGAAGTAAGTAGAGAAACAGTCCAAAATCTAGATCTAATGGTACAGGGCAAGGATTGACAAACATTTTCTGTAAGGGGAAGAGAGTAGATATTTTAGGCTTTGTGGGCCATACGATCTCTCACAACTGCTTAACTATGCCACTATAACACAAAAGCAGCCACAGGAAATAGTATATTAATGGATGTAGCTGGGTTTCAATAAAACTTTATTTACAAATCAGGCAGCAGGCTGGATTTGACCCATAGGGCATAGTTTGCTGACCCTTGATATGATGGGGTTTGGGGAATGAACAATGCTAACCTGAAAGTCAAGACAACTATGGTTTTGTCTGTAACTAAATTTGTGATTTTGAACAAATTACTTGACACCTCAGTTGCTCTCCATTTCCTTATTCATTTCAATGCCCTCACCAGCCTTCCATTCTATCGCGTCCTTTTCAATTCCCACATGCATAATGCATAATTAATTCACAATTTAAGCTGGAGTTCAACTGAGAACTACTAATGTATTTTTATTTTAAGTTTGCCTTATCACAGAGTATATAAATCATTAATTAATCCTTTTTCTTGATGCCCCTAGTTCATGGAAGGTGTCTGTGATTCGTGTGATTTCGTCCCTCAGGTGCCCCTGGGATGGGCAGGGCCATTGGCCCCCATGCTATGTGCCGTGAGGTCAGCCATCAGTTTGTCTGGTGGCACTGCCTGTTGCCTCTGCCATCACTTCTCACTGGTGCTAATCTGCTCCCTAATGAATACTCATTTGCTTAGATCAAGGTCCAAGAATGTGTCCTTGTTCATCCCTCCTTCGAGTAAACTACAACTATGCCCATAGAGACCATTCCCTTTGACTTCAAATTCCAGGGCCTGGGGGGTTGGCATTCCTAGAAACATGATCCTGGAGGAACAGGGCATTGTTTAAATGCCTGCCTGGTTAACTTGTTTAGCCAAAAATATGACACTCAAGTCATAAGACTAATTTTACAAACTACTCTTTTCTTAAGCAATTAGGCTTCCAGAAGTCTCTGGCACATGAAAATTTTCCATGAACTCTGAAAGCCAATTAGAACAGAGGAAAACAAAAGTTGGAGACTCCATATCCTTCATCTCAGTAAGGTCATGGACGTCCCCTCAGGGCTCTCTGGAGAAAGTCCATTGTCAACATACTTGTGTACTGTCAGTGGGATCAAAAGAGCATCAAATCTTTTGGGAATATTTGGAACTAGAGATCTGAGGGTTAGAATGAGTCAAGGAAGGTGAAATGGTAAATGTTCATAGACTAGGCCTCCCTCCCTGATAAAGGGCAGATAGCAGATAGGCAACTGGTGTTTAGAAGAGGGCCAGATAGTAAATATTTTTAGGCTTTGCAATCTATATACTCTGCACACGGTCTCCGTTGCATAATTTTTCTTTTCTTTCCTTTCTTTTTTTTTTTTTTTTTTTTTTTTTTGCTTTTTAGCTTTTCTTAACAAAAAAATTAAAAATTTAAATTAGAAAAACTATTATTAGCTCAAGGGTTGTACAAAACTAGGCAAATTTGGCCCACAGGCTGTAGTTTGCTGACCATTGCAACAGGAATCCTGGCTTTGCCATCACTAGGTGTATGATGGGGGAAGGAATAACTATCCAATTTGTTTGTTTGTTTATTTGAGACAGAGTCTCACTCTATCACCCAGGCTGGAGTGCAGTGGTGTGATCTTGGTTCACTGCAATCCCTGCCTCCCAGGTTTAAGCAATTCTCCTGCCTCAGCCTCCTGAGTAGCTGAGATCACAGGTGCATGCCACCATGCCCAGCTAATTTTTGTATTTTTAGTAGAGACAGGGTTTCACCATGTTGGCCAGGCTGGTATCGAACTCCTGAACTCAAGTGATCCATCCGCCTTGGCTGGGATTACAGGCATGAGCCACCACACCCAGTCCTAGGGAATGAATAACTATGCATTCTAAGTCTCATTTTCATCATGTATAAAATGAGAATGCCACCACCTATATTGTAGGATTGTTGACTGGGATGCTGCTTCACAGCACTAGCACATAGCTCCATTCGGTCCATGAACAGTAGCTGGCACTGCTAATTTCTGAATCATCATACAGTCTCTGTTTTCATGTGGCTACTACTTTTTCTTTGTCTCTGCCTTCTCTGAAAAGGCCCTTAAATGTTAGTCTTAGGGTTTTAGGTAAGGGTTAGATTTATACACAGGTAGGCCTTGAGGAATAAGATGGTGTTATAGTTCGGATGTTCTCAAAACTTCGTGTTAAAATTTGATCTCCAGTGTTGGAGGTGGAGCCTAGTCAGGGGGGTCTTTGGGGCAGATCCCTCTTGAATGGCTTAGTGCCATCCTTGAGCTAATGAGTAAGTTCTTGCCCTATTAGTTCCCATGAAAGCTGTTTGTTAAGAGCCTGACACCCCTCGCTCTTACTCTCTCACTCTCTCTCCTCTCTCTTGTTTTTCCTCTGACCACGTGACCTTGCACACATCTCCTCCCCTTCCACTTCCACCATGAGTGGAAGCAGTCTGAGGCCCTCACCAGAAGCAGATGTCGGTGCTATGCTTCTTGTACAGCCTGCAGAACCATGAACAAATAAACCACTATTTTTTAATAAATTACCCACCCTCAGGTATTCCTTTATAGCAACACAAATGGACTAAGACAGATGCATTTAAGACTCTGCTAAAAATAAAAAATAAATTAAAAAGAGAGTAGTTCTTTAATATCTTTCCTGCCAGACTGCCAAAGGCATGAATTTCCACCTGCAAATTGCCCTTTTGCAGCACAATATTCAGTCTCCATAGTCTCCTGTTACAATACAAATCTATGACTAGAAGAGACAGGGGCCACCTGGCTGGCCTCACTAATACCACAGCACAAGGTTGCTTAGCAAATTAGCTCATCTTTGATCACATAGCCTGAAGGAAATGCCCACAATGAAGACCACACTAGCCAGAAGACAGTCTGTAGAGGAGTCACTCAAAGGCTTTACAAGAAACAAGGGCTGGAGGGAGACTCCTAGAGAGGAGGTGAGAGAAGACAAACTTTGTGATCTGATAGCCTGTGTATTTCACTGTCCTCAACCGTCTCTCTCCCGATTCCTAGGTTCTGGCACCTACTCCCTCCATTGTTGGTGCTTGAAATTTGTTTGCTCTCCTAATCCCAAGTTAGGTTAGCCACAGCCTGCCTCCATGACTTCCTCAAAATTCAGCCCATGTCCCTTGCCAACAGGGCAGCTTGCATTTCCAGAAATTCCTGTGTGCTTAAGTGAGGTGAAAGTGGATTTTACGTTAAATTGTTTGTCTTTGTGATTGTGAAATCTAACTAATGTACTGAAAAGTACATGGAGATGAACCTGCATGAAAAGAAACCCATTGAGGCCTCCTGTTCCTATGCACACTTCGTCCCCCTTCCTGGTCCTAACACCCTCTCTCCCCCCTCACAGTCACCACTGTCCTCAGCATTCTGGTGCTCATTTCCTCTGCCTTTTAAAAATAGTTTTATTTCCTCATTATGCACACCTGGACAATATGTTTAAATGTTGTCTGTTTTCGGATTTTATGAGTGGAATTGTGCAGTGTGTATTATTAGATGCCTAACCTCTTGCTCAATGTTGTCTTTAAGAAGCATACCTGTTGTGGTGTGAAACGGCACCTGTTTTGATAGCTATGTAGGATTCCACTGCTTGAACACACCCCAACTGTTTACCCATTCTACTATTGATAGACACTCGGGCTATTTCCATGTTGGGACAATTACAGTGTGGCTACGAACCTCTTAAATTGTATATACTGGTGCTGTAAGCATGCATTTCTTATAGGCCCTAGGGAATTGGGGTCATAGACATTTGTAACCAATAATCAATTGTAGCCAAGTATTACCAATTTTTTTCCAACAATTTTTTTCCTAGGCTTTTCTTGCAATTTTCAAGAAAATATTTCAATTCATATACCAAGAAGAAAGAAAGTGATTTTTTTTCCACAATAGTCTTTTCAATTTTTTTAATTTTTTTAGCCACAGTCTCACCCTGTCACCCAGGCTGGTGTGCAGTGGCACAATTACAGCTCACTGCAGTCTCAGCCTCCTGGGCTCAAGCAATCCTCCCACCTCAGTCTCCCAAGTAGCTAGGACTTGGGACAACAGGCACGTGCCACCATGCCTAGTGATATGGTTTGGATCTGTGTCCCCACCCAAATCTCATGTTGAATTGTAATCCCCATTGTTGGAGGTGGGGTCTGGTAGGAGGCAATTGGATCATAGGGGTGGAGTTCTCATGAATGGTTTAGTACCATCCCCCTTGGTACTGTATAGTGAGTGAGTTTTCAAGAGACCTGGTTGTTTAAAAATGTATATCACCTCCCCCCTTTTTCTCTCTTCCTTTTGCTCTGGCCATGTAAGACGTGCCCACTTCCCCTTTGCTGTCCATCATGACTGTAAGTTTCCTGGGGCCTCCCCAGAAGAAGATGCCACCATGCTTCCTGTATAGCCTGCAGAACCATGAGCCAATTAAACCTCTTTTATTTATAAATTACCCAGTCTCAGGTATTTCTTTGTAGCAGTTTGAGAACACACTAATACACTCAGATAATTTTTTTTAAGAGATGAGGGCTCACTATGGTGGCTGGTCTAGAATTCCTGGGTTCAAGCAATCCTCCCACCTCAGCCTCCCAAAGTACTAGGATTACAGGCATGAGCCACTACGCATGGCTTTTTTTTTCACAGTATTCTTAACCAGCTCTTATGCTTACATTGCACCACAGTACCTTTATTTCATCATTCACTCACCAAATATAGTAAGCATCTATCATATGCCTAGTACTATGCTTACAGTCATGAACAAAACAAGCAAATACCTCCAACCTTAAACAGCTAACATTCTAGTAGTGAGACAATTACAAATAAATAATACCTTTTTAAAAATACACCAGATGCAGAATATATAAAGAACTCCTACACCTTAACAACAACAAAAATCCTAATGAAAAAATGAGCAAAGACTTAGACATTTCTCCATTGAAGATATACAAATGCCAACAAGCCTATGAAAAGATGCTTCACATCACTAACCATTAGGGAAATGCAAATCAAAACCACAATGAGATACCACCTCGCATCCATTAGAATGGCCACTGCCAAAAAGAAAATAATAAGTATTGATGAGCATGTAGAGAAATTGGAACCCTTGGGCAAAGCTGGCAGAAATGTAAAATGTTACAGCCATTGTGGAAAAGAGTATGGCAGTTCCTCAAAAACTAAAAATAGAATTACCATATGATTCAGAATTCCACTTCTGGATAAATACACAGAATTGAAAGCAGGGCCTTGAGGAGACATTTGTTCACCTATGTTCACAGCAGCTTTATTCACATTAGCCAAAAAGTAGAAGCAACCCAGGTGCTCATTGATGGATGAATGCATAAACAAAATGTGTATATATACCATAGAATATTATTCAGGCTTAAAAAAAGAAGGAAATTCTGACCCATGCTACAAACTTGGGGACATTACGTGAAGTGAAATAAGCCAGTTACAAAAAGGCAAATATTGTATGATTCCACTTATATAAGTAGTCAAATTCACAGACAGAAAGTAGAATGGTGGTTGCCAGAGGTTGGTGGGGGGAGGTGAGAGCAGTGAGGTAGGGAGTAGTTGTTTAGTGGATGCAAAGTTTCAATTTTGCAAGGTCAAAGGACTTTCAGAGATGGATGGTGGTGATGGTTGCACAACAATGTGAATATACTTAATACCACTGAACTGTACACTTAAAAATGGTTACAATGGGGGTGGAGGCAGAGCAAGATGGCCAAATAGAAGCCTCCAGCAACAGTTCTCCCCTTCCCCAGAAGAACACCAAATTGAACAACTATCCACATGAGAAAACACCTTCATTAGCACCAAAAATCAGGTGAGCAATCATAGTACCTGGTTTCAACAACATATCAAGGAAAGAGGCACTAAAGAGAGTGGGAAAGACTGTCTTGAATCCCTGACATCACCCCTGCCCGATCCCTTGACAGTGGCCACCTGGTGCAGAGAGAAAATATGTGTGCTTGGGGAAGAGAAAGCACAGTGATCGTGGAACTTTTGTTGGAACTCAGGGCTGCCCTGTCACAGTGGAAAGCAACACATGGCAGAATTCAGCTGGTGTCCACAGAGGAAACATTTAGAACAGCCCTAGCCAGAGGGGAAACACTCATCCCAGCAGCTGGAATCTGATTTCTGGCTAGCCCCACCACCACAGGCTAAAAGGCTTTGGGGTCCTAAATAAACATAAGGTTGTCTAGACCACAAGGACTGCAATTCCTGGGCAAGTCCTGGTGTGGTGCTCAGCTGGTTAGACACCAACTGAGGTGGCCAAGTGAATGCTTGCATCACCTCTCTCCCAACCTCAGGCAATGCAGCTTACAGCTCTAGGAGAGGCTCCTTCCTTCTGCTTGAAGACAGGAGAAAGAAGAGTAAAGATTTTGTCTTGTAACCTGGATACCAGCTCAGCCACAGTAGACTAGGACACCAGGCAGAGTCCTGAGGCCCCCATTCCAGGCCCGAGCTCTGGTCGACATTTCCAGTCACACCCTGAGCCAGAAGGGAACCCGCTGCCTTGAAGGAAATGACCCAGTCCTGGGAGGTTCATCATCTGCTGACTAAAGAGCCCTTGAACCTTGAACAAACCTCAGTGGTACTTAGGCAGTTCTCACTGTGAACCTTGGATGAGATCCAGGGCTGTGCTGGCTTCAGGTGTGACCTAGCACATTCCCAGGTGTGGTGGCCATGGAGACAGACTCCTTCTACTTGAAGAAAGGGGAAAGAAGAGTAAAGGTAACTTTGTCTTCTGGCAATTCCACTACTGGATATTTAGCCAAAGGAAATGAAATCAGTGTGTCAAAGAGATATCTGCACTCCCATGTTTAATGCAGCATTATTCACATAGCCAAGATTTGGAAGGAACCTAAGCATCCATCAACAGACAAATGGATAAATGAAATGCAGTACCTACATACAATGGAGTACTATTCAGCCACAAAAAGAATGAGATCGTGTCATTTGCAACAACATGGATGGAACTGGAGGTCATTATGTTCAGTGAAATGAAGCCAGGCACTGAAAGACAAACTTCACATATTCTCATTCATTTGTGGAAGCTAAAAATTAATACAATTGAACTTATGAAGACAGAAAGTAGAATATTGGTTACCAGAGGCTGGATATGGCAGTAGGGGTGGCAGGGGGAAATGGGAATGGTTAATGGGTACAGGAACATAGTTTGATAGAATGAATAAGATCTAGTATTTGATAGCACAACAGTGTGAATACAGTCAACAATAATTCATTATACATTTAAAAATAACAAAATAGTATAATTTGAATATTTATAACACAAAGAAATGATAAATGTTTGAGGTCATGGATACCCCATTTACCCTGATGTAATTAATATGTATTGTATGCCTGTATCAAAATATCTCATGTACCGCATAAGTACACATACCTATTATGTACCTGCAAAAATTAAAACATAAAATTTAAAAAATGGCTAAAATGGGGGGTGGTCCAAGATGCCCGAATAGGAACAGCTCCGGTCTGTAGCTGCCAGCGTAATCAATGCAGAAGACGGGTGATTTCTGCATGTCCAACTCAGGTACCTGGTTCATCTCAATGGGACTGGTTGGACAGTGGGTGCAGCCCACGGAGGGCGAGCCAAAGCAGGGCAGGGCATCACTTCACCAGGGAAGTGCAAAGGGTCGGGGGATTTCCCTTTCCTAGCCAAGAGAAGCCGTGACAGACTACCTGGAAAAACGGGACACTCCTGCCCCAATACTGTGCTTTTCCCAAGGTTTTAGCAACTGGCAGACAAGGTGACTCTCTTCCGTGCCTGGCTTGGTAACTCCCACACCCATGGAGCCTTGCTCACTGCTAGCAGTCTGAGATCAATCTGCAAGATGGCAGCCTGGCTGGGGGAGGGGCGTCTGCCATTGCTGAGACTTGAGTAGGTAAACAGAGCGGCCCAGAAGCTGAAACTGGGCAGAGCCCACCGCAGCTTAACAAGGCCTACTGCCTCTAGACTCCACTTCTGTGGACAGGGCATAGCTAAACAAAAGGCAGCAGACAACTTCTGCAGACTTAAATGTCCCTGTCTGACAGCTCTGAAGAGAGCAGTGGTTCTCCCAGCATGGCGCTTGAGCTCCAATAACGGACAGACTGCCTCCTCAAGTGGGTCCCTGACCCCTGTGTAGCCTGACTGGGAGACACCTCCCAGTAGGGGCCAACAGACACCTCATACAGGTGGGTGCCACTCTGGGACAAAGCTTCCAGAGGAAGAATCAGGCAGCAATATTTGCTGTTCTGCAGCCTCCGCTGGTGATACCCAGGCAAACAGGGTCTGGAGTGGAACTCCCACAAACTCCAACAGACCTGCAGCTGAGGGACCTGACTGTTAGAAGGAAAACTAACAAACTGAAAGGAATAGCATCAACATCAACAAAAAGGTCATCTACACCAAAACCCCATCTGTAGGTCACCAATATCAAAGAACAAAGGTAGATAAAACCACAAAGATGGGAAGAAACCGGAACAGAAAAGCTGAAAATTCTAAAAACCAGAGTGCCTCTTCTCCTCCAAATGATCGCAGCTCCTTGCCAACAATGGAACAAAGATGGATGGACAATGACTTTGATGAGTTGACAGAAGTAGGCTTCAGAAGGTCGGTAATAACAAACGTCTCCAAGCTAAAGGAGCATGTTCTAACCCATTGCAAGGAAGCTAAAAACGTTGAAAAAGATTAGGGCTTAACTTTAACTTAAAATGCCTAACTAGAATAAACAGTGTAAAGAAGACCTTAAATCACTGGTTGGAGCTGAAAACCATAGCACGAGAACTTTGTGATGCATACACAAGCTTCAATAGCCGATTTGATCAAGTGGAAGAAAGGGTATCAGTGATTGAAGATCAAATTAATGAAATAAAGCAGGAAAACAAGGTTAGAGAAAAAAAGTAAAAAGAAACAAACAAAGCCTCCAAGAAATATGGGACTATGTGAAAAGACCAAATTTACGTTTGATTGGTGTACCTAAAAGTGATGGGGAGAATGGAACCAAGTTGGAAAACACTCTGCAGGATATTATCCAGGAGAACTTCCCCAACATAGCAAGGCAGGCCAACATTCAAATTCAGGAAATACAGAGAACACCTCAAAGATACTCTTTGAGAAAAGCAACCCCAAGACACATAATTGTGAGATTCACCAAGGTTGAAGTGAAGGAAAAAGTGTTAAGGGCAGCCAGAGAGAAATGTCGAGTTACCCACAAAGAGAAGCCCATCAGACTAACAACGGATCTCTCGGCAGAAACCCTACAAGCCAGAAGAGAGTGGGGGCCAATATTCAATATTCTTAAAGAAAAGAATTTTCAACCCAGAATTTCATATCCAGCCAAACTAAGCTTCTTAAGTGAAGGAGAAATAAAATCCTTTCAGACAAGCAAATGCTGAGAGATTTTGTCACCACCAGGCCTGCCTTATAAGGGTTCCTGAAGGAAGCACTAAACATGGGAAGAAACAACTGGTACCAGCCACTGCAAAAACATACCAAATTGTAAAGACCATCAATGCTATGAAGAAACTGCATCAATTAGTGGGTGAAATAACCAGCGAACATCATAATGACAGGATCAAATTCACACATAATGATATTAACCTTAAATGTAAATAGGCTAAATGCCCCAATTAAAAGACACAGACTGGCAAATTGGATAAAGAATCAAGACCCATCAGTGTGCTGTATTCAGGAGACCCATCTCATGTTGCAAAGATGCACATAGGCTCAAAATAAAGGGATGGAGGAAGATTTACCAAGCAAATGGAACACAAAAAAAGCGGGGGTTCCATCCTAGTCTCTGATAAAACAGACTTTAAGCCAACAAAGATCATAAGAGACAAAGAAGGCCATTATATAATGGTAAAGGGATCAATTCAACAGGAAGAGCTAACTATCCTAAATATATATGCACCCAATACAGGAGCACCCATATTCATAAAGTAAGTCCTTAGAGACCTACAAAGAGACTTAGACTGCCACACAATAATAATGGGAGACTTTAACACCCCACTGTCAATATTAGACAGATCAATGAGACAGAAGCTTAACAAGGATATCCAGGACCTGAACTCAGCTCTGCAACAGACAGACCTAATAGACATCAACAGAACTCTCCACCCCAAATCAACAGAATATACATTCTTCTCAGCACCACATTGCACTAATTCTAAAATTGACCACATAATTTGAAGCAAAGCACTCTTCAGCAAATGTAAAAGAAATCACAACAAACTGTCTCTCAGACCACAGTGCAATCAAATTAGAACTCAGGATTAAGAAACTCACTCAAAACCGCACAACTACATGGAAACTGAACAACTTGCTCCTGAATGACTACTGGGTAAGTAATGAAATGAAGGCAGAAATAAAGATGTTCTTTGAAACCAGTAAGAACAAAGACACAAGGTACCAGAATCTCTGGGAAACATTTAAAACAGTGTATACAGGGAAATTTATAGCACTAAATGCCCACAAGAGAAAGCAGGAAAGATTTAAAATCAACACCCTAACATCACAATTAAAAGAACTAGAGAAGCAAAAGCAAACAAATTCAAAAGTTAGCAGAAGGCAAGAAATAACTAAGATCAGAGCAGAACTGAAAGAGAGACACAAAAAGCCCTTCAAAAAATCAATGAATTTAGGAGCGGTTTTTTGAAAAGATCAACACAATTGATAGACCCCTAGCAAGACTAATAAAGAAGAAAAGAAAGAAGAATCAGACACAATAAAAAATGATAAAGGGGATATGACCACCGATCCCACAGAATACAAACTACCATCAGAGAATACTATAAACACTTCTATGCAAATAAACTAAAAAATCTAGAGAAATGGATAAATTCCTGGACACACACACCCTCCCAATGCTAAACCAGGAAGAAGCTGAGTCTCTGAATAGACCAATAATAGGCTCTGAAATTGAGGCAATAATTAATAGCCTAGCAACCAAAAAAAAGTCCAGGATCAGATGGATTCACAGCCGAATTGTACCAGAGGCACAAAGAGGAGCTGGTACCATTCCTTCTGAAACTATTCCAATCAATAGCAAAAGAGGGAATCCTCCCTAACTCATTTTATGAGGCCAACGTCATCCTGATACCAAAGCCTGGCAGAGACACAAGAAAAAAAGAGAATTTTAGACCAATATCCCTGATGAACATCAAGGCAAAAATCCTCAGTAAAACACCAGCAAACCGAATCCAGCAGCACATCAAAAAGCTTATCCACCATGATCAAGTTGGCTTCATCCCTGGGATGCAAGGCTGGTTCAACATATGCAAATCAATAAACGTAATCCATCACATAAACAGAACCAAAGACAAAAACCACATGATTATTTCAATAGATGCAGAAAAGGCCTTTGACAAAATTCAACAGCCCTTCATGTTAAAAACTCTCAATAAACTAGGTATTGATGGAATGTATCTCAAAATAATAAGAGCTATTTATGACAAACCCACAGCCAATATCATACGGAATGGGCAAAAACTGGAAGTATTCCCTTTGAAAATCTGCAAAAGACAAGGATGCCCTCTCTCACCACTCCTATTCAACATAGTGTTGGAAGTTCTGGCCAGGGCAATCAGGCAGGAGAAAGAAATAAAGGGTATTCAATTAGGAAAGGAGGAAGTCAAATTGTCCCTGTTTGCAGATGACATGATTGTATATTTAGAAAACCCCATAATCTCAGCCCCAAATCTCCTTAAGCTGATAAGCAACTTCAGCAAAGTCTCGGGATACAAAATCAATTTGCAAAAATCACAAGCATTGCTATACACCAATAACATACAAATAGAGAGCCAAACCATGAGTGAACTCCCACTCACAATTGCTACAAAGACAATAAAATACTTAGGAATCCAAATTACAAGGAATGTGAAGGACCTCTTCAAGGAGAACTACAAACCACTGCTCAGCGAAATAAAAGAGGACACAGACAAATGGAAGAACATTCCATGCTCATGGATAGGAAGAATCAATATCATGAAAATGACCATACTGCTCAAGGTAATTTATAGATTCAATGCCAACCCCATCAAGCTACCAATGACTTTCTTCACAGAATTGGAAAAAACTAAAGTCCATATGGAACCAAAAAAGAGCCCGCATTGCCAAGACAATCCGAAGCAAAAAGAATTAAGCTGGAGGCATCATGCTCCTGACTTCAAACTATACTACAAGGCTACAGTAACCAAAACAGCATGGTACTGGTACCAAAACAGAGAGGTAGACCAATGGAACAGAACAGAGGCCTCAGAAATACCACCACACATCTACAACCATCTGTTCTTTGACAAACCTGACAAAAACAAGAAATGAGGAAATGATTCCCTATTTAATAAATGGTGCCAGGAAAACTGGCTAGCCATACATAGAAAGCTGAAACTGGATCCCTTCCTTACACCTTACACAAAAATTAATTCAAGATGGATTAAAGACTTAAATGTTAGACCTAAAACCATAAAAACCCTAGAAGAAAACTTGGCAGTACCATTCAGGCCATAGGCATGGGCAAGGACTTCATGACTAAAACAACAAAAGCAATGGTAACAAAAGCCAAAATAGACAAATGGGATCTAATTAAACTAAAAAGCTTCTGCATGGCAAAAGAAACTACCATCAGAGTGAACAGACAACCTACAGAATGGGAGAAAATTTTTGCAATCTACCCATCTGACAAAGGGCTAATATTCAGAATCTTCAAAGAACTCAACCAAATTTACAAGAAAAAAACAAACAACCCCATCAAAATGTGGGCAAAGGATATGAACAGACACTTCTCAAAAGAAGACATCTATGCAGCCAACAGACACATGAAAAAATGCTCATCATCACTGGCCATCAGAGAAATGCAAATCAAAACCACAATGAGATATCATCTCATGCCAGTTAGAATGGCAATCATTAAAAAGTCAGGAAACAACAGATACTGGAGAGGATGTGGAGAAATAGGAACACTTTTACACTGTTGGTGGGCGTGTAAATTAGTTCAACCATTGTGGAAGACAGTGTGGCGATTCCTCAAGGATCTAGAACTAGAAATACCATTTGACCTAGCAATCCCATTGCTGAGTATATACCCAAAGGATTATAAATCATGCTGCTATAAAGACACATGCACACGTATGTTTATTGCGGCACTATTCACAATAGCAAAGACTTGGAACCAACCCAAATGTCCATCAGTGATAGACTGGATTAAGAATATGTGGCACATATACACTATGGAATACTATGCAGCCATAAAAAGGATGAGTTCATGTCCTTTTCAGGGACATGGATGAAGCTGGAAATCATCACTCTCAGCAAACTATCACAAGGACAGAAAACCAAACACTGCATGTTCTCACTCATAGTTGGGAACTGAACAATGAGATCACTTGGACAAAGGGAGGGGAACATCACACACTGGGGCCTGTTGGGGGGTGGGGGGCTGGGAGATGGATAGCATTAGGAGAAATACCTCATGTAAATGATGAGTTGATGGGTGCAGCAAACCAACATGGCACATGTATACCTATGTATCAAACCTGCATGTTGTGCGCATGTACCCTAGAACAATAAAAAAAAACTAAAATGCTAAATTTTGTTATGCACATTTTACCGTAAATTTTTTAAAACAGATATATATGCAGATATAGACATATAGTTCTATATCAGACATATGTCTATATATGTCAAATATTGACAAATAAAATGGGAAGAGTAGGGAGTGTTGGGGGGCGTAGTTGTAAATCAAGTGATTGAGAAAGGCCTCCCTAAGGAGATGTTTGAGCAAAGGCCTGGAGGAGGGAGGGAGGGAGCCATGTGGGTTTGGTGTGGCAGAGAGGGAGTGTTCTGAATAGCAGGTGTAATAAGTGCAAAGGTCCTAAGGTGGGAGTGTACCTGGGGCATCAGAAGGCTCGAGCAGAGCCAATCAGGAGACGATGAGATCAAGGAAGGAAGGAGGGTGCAGTTATAGGTGCACAAGGGCATCACAGGCCACTAGAGGTGCTTGACTTTTTTTTTTTTTTTTTTTTTTCGAGACGGAGTCTTGCTCTCTCACCCAGGCTGGAGTGCAATGGCACCATCTCAGCTCACTGCAACCTCTTCCTCCCAGGTTCAAGTGATTCTCCTGCCTCAGCCTCCCAAGTAGCTGGGATTACAGGCACTCACCGCCACACCTGGCTAATTTTTGTATTTTTACTAGAGATGGGGTTTTACCATGTTGGCCAGGCTGGTCTCTAACTCCTGACCTCAGGTGATCCGCCCGCCTTGGCCTCCCAAAGTGCTGGGATTACAGGCATGAGCCACTGCACCCAGCTGAGGCATTTGACTTTTTGCTATTGTGGGGTTTTGAACAGAGTGGTGACAAGAGCTGACCTATATTTTAACAGATTCACTCTGGTCACAGTGTGGAGAGTAGACCATGGTGCTAAAGGTGGGGGCCAGGACCCTGTAGGGGGCTACAGCACTTATCCAGGCCAGGGATGAGGGAGGAGTGGATGAGGGTGAAAGCATAGGTGGAGACTGGGTTGGATTAGGGACATACTGTGAAGCTAAAGTCAACAGGATTTGCTGAAGGATTGCATGTGGAGTGTGAGAGGAAGACAGGAGTCAAAGATTGCTACCAGGTTTGGAGCTGAGCCCAATACTCCGTGGTTTGTGTGGCAGGTTCATGTCAATAATCTTATTTCCTGCTGATCGTCAAACCCTCATAGGGTTCACAATGTCAGGGCTTGGGTTTGGGAGCTACCAAGCCTGAGTCTGGTACTCATTTGCAGGGTGGCCCAAGCCAAGCCCCTTAGCCTCTCTGGGCCTCAATTGTCCACCTGCAAAATGGACCTACTGATGTTTGATAGATTTGTTATTGTGAGGATCGTGGCACCTGCTGCATAGGGATTGTTCAATAGTGGCAGCTGTTATTATTGATGAGCACAGCTGGAATTAGAACATGGTCCTCTGTTCCCAGTTCTGTGTTCCTTTCCTGATGGCTCTTTTCTCAATTTCTAGACAGCTTCTGGTCAATTGATCATTCTTGGGAATAGCATGTCACTTTCCAACATTTTAATTATGCTTGGTCTCATTTGAGAAAAGTTTTCTTCGACCATTAGACTCTTTTCTAAGAGTCTGACAGTTCCTGAGTTGGGGTATGGTCTTGTGTGTGACTGTGGGTGTGTGGGCGGCAGTTCTTTCAATTACTTTTTCTTTTTTCTGAGACAGGGTCTCACTCTGTTGCCCAGGCTGAAGTACAGTGGTGTGATCATGGCTCACTGTAGCCTCGATCATGGCTCACTGTAGCTTTGACCTCCCAGGCTCAAGCAATTCTCCCACCTCAGCCTCCCGAGTAGCTGGGACTACAGGCACACACCTGGCTAATTTTTGTGTATTTTTTGCAGAGAGAGGGTCTCACTATTTTGCCCAGGCTGGTCTCAAACTCCTGGCCTCAAGCGATTCTCCCGCCTCGGCCTCCCAAAGTGAGGGGATTGCAGGTGTGAGCCACTGCTCCTGGCTTAAGTGATTTTATTTGGTATTGCCCCCTTTCAAGTAGGAGCCTTGTGATCCAGAGCCCCTCTTCTCACCTGGCTTAATACATCTTTTTCCCCAGACTAAACTGACTAGACCTTTTAACATTTATTAAGCACCCTCTCACTCTAGCTAAGATTTAGTTCTAGAACACTAGAATAGGGAAACTTTTCCTCTCCCCCTCCCATAATTTAGCACATAAACAATGAAATGGGAAGAAATGTTGAGCACATCACACAGTAGACCACGTGGGGCTTGAAAGAGGGGCAGGAGGGGCTGCCAGAGCACTGCACGAGGAGCCTGAACACCTGGGTCTCTACTAGCTGTCAATCACAGATCACTACCTCTCTGAACTTTAGAGTCTTTGACTACAAAATACAAATAACAGCATCTGACCCTGTACCTCATGGAGTTATTAGGAGGATCAAATTAGAGAAAGCATGGGAATTAAGGTGTCATAGGTCATGAATTACAATATTTATTAAATTCAAATGCATAAGCCATAATCCCACTCGCCTTCCACTGTGTCCCAAAGTGTGGTTCGTGGACTTCCCTCATCAGAATCACCTAAGGTTGCTTAATGAAATACTGAATTCTGGGTCCTACCTCAGCCCAAGTCTCTCCCTCCCCACCTCCCAACCAGCCAAGTGATTATTAAGCATAATAAAGTTTGGAGCTGCTGGTCCAGGAACTAAGTTTGATGGGATAAAAAAAAGAAGATAAAGGATAATTATTTAAGTGCCCATAGATTCTTGGCATTCACATAGGTGCCAACCTATAATATAAATGACTGGCCTTATCCATCATGTTTGAATATTCCCAATGGGTGGCACATTGTGTTCCATTAAAAATAGCTGGGTAAGGCCACTTGACAGAATTTTAAATAGGCAATATAAATTGTTACACACGTCCCTTCTGAAGGGACATTTTTAATGTAGAGTCTTTTGTCTAAAGATAAATTTCTAATGTTCTTTCCACCTGTCTCCTATGCCCCCAGAACACCCAGTCTTGGCTTTTCTTGGTACTTTACTAAATGCCACGAAGCTGAGGACTCACTGCTTTTCAATGCCAGCATTTCTGACCCAGGCTCCTCTCCCACAGCCAACCCATCACTAGGGCCAAATCAGCAATTGTACCTGCCGTAACAATCTGGGTGAGCGCCCAGGGGACAGCCTGTTCTGGTTGAAGCAGGACCTGAAGTTCTTACGGCACATTGACTCAGCAGGACTCAGATGCTTCCACAAGCCAGATGGGCAGTGGGGGTTTCCATATCCTCAGCCTGCAATCTCTTTAGCCCAGATAATAGGCCCACCAGCTGGTCATCCACTCCCGAAGTTTTCAGCTGGGCATTTCTCCATCCATTTAAAAGTACAGTAAGCTTTATAGATACATAGATGCTCCAGAACCATTTGGAATAAATTGAGCATGTGGCAGAGGAAGAGGGCAGGGGATTTCCAAGAACGACCAGCAGCACTTGGAGATTTGTTTCTTAAAAAACACGACTCCTTTTCTTCTCTGATCCTGTGGTCTATTGTGAAATGACCAGAGATTTCTCCCAAGGATCTTGAGAGAGAGAGAGAGAGAGACAGAGAGAGAGAGAGAGAGAGAGAACCAAGTGCTATCGGCAAAGAGGCCATACTTGGATGCCATGATCATCAGACATTTCTCTGGCCCCTAGAATGAGTTGGAACAGAGATGCGGCGTGCAAAAGCCTGAGCCTGGAGCCCGGGGTGATTTTAGAAAAGCAACACTCCCTCACCTGGGAGACACAGAAACCTTGAGAAAAGTGTGGAGCATGTGCTTGTGCTGAGGTGATCTATATATCTGGGGCCCAAGGTACCTGCATGGACAGCTAGTTAACATTCTTATTTTTGCCATTATTACTTTTGTTTTCCTAACTCCCCCGGACTCACTCTGCCCACCCCCACCAATGTTGTCTCCCCATCTGAAATGCCCTCCCTCAAAGCTCCCCTCCTCCACGCTGTCTTTCCTGACCAGAGTTCTCACTGACCTCCCGCTGCTCAGGGCGCTCCTAACAGTCATCTACCCACGTTATTCTGTGCGTATGAATCTGACATTCCCAATATGATTGTGCGTCAGGCGCCAAGCCTGGGCACCCTTCGTTATTCCACCTCACTACCCAGCCAAAGCGGGTGTCTGCTAAATGCCTGCTGACTCGTTGGCAGTGGGCTGGGACATAGAAATAATCTTTAAAAACTGAATTGGGTAATACAATAGACTTTGTGAAAAACAGATATACCTGAATGATGAGAAACAAGTTTGGCAAAACAAGACAGTAGAATTATTCCATCATTCTGCATCTAAAAAAAGTTAGAGGGAGAGAGAAAAATGAAAAGTTCCCAGTGACATCAGCTTTGGCAGTCCCTAATGGAAAGTGGCCTTGCCAGAGCCCTGCTCCCTCGCTCAATTGGGAACGCTTTTCATTAATGCTATTAACCTGGCCCCACAGTCAGAGGCACAGCCTGCTGGGCCAAATGTGCTCGGTTCCAATTGCTGAATCATCTCCATCTCTTTTGCCCTTCCTAATACCTTCAAGAACTAGGAGAAGCAAAGGAGGGCAGCAAAGAATTAGAAGAAGCACCAAGCACTATCAACATTAGCAAATCAGTACTAGGAAGTAGCTTGGCCGCTTCCTTCCATTTCCTTCCAACCCTGGGAACTCTTTCCATTAAAAACATTTCTCCACCACATCCATGTTTTAGACTTCTCACTGTATCAGCCCAAAGGAAAACTCAGCTCTCCATCCCCAACCACATACCATGAGCGATTTCCTTCTAAGGGAGGAAAGTCACCCTTTGCAGTTTACAGCTTAATTGCTTGACATCAATCAAGAAACCCTAGTAACATCCTGGGAATTCTGGGACCTTCTGAAAGCAGCCTGGAAGATCAGAAGTCTTTCCAGCTGCCCCCTAGACTCAGCATGATTAAAAGGTGCGGAAGGACCCCCAGATGGGAGATGTGGAGAAAAACACCAAGAAGGAAGTGAAAGTCAGACATAACCAAGAAGGAGGCAAATTTAATCTTCTCTGAGCTGGAAAATTAAAGCCAAGAGAATTCTATTATTAGGAACCTCTGTTCCGAAGGCTGGGTGGGGGCGGGATGCAAAAAAGGCTGCACTGCCCTCTATTGGGACCTAACAGCACTCAGCTAAGGGCTCTTCATTCATGATCTCAGTTAGTCATTGCACAACTTTTGGGAGCTATTAGTAATGGAAAAAAGACCAGAGAAATCAAGTAACTTGCTCTAGCTCATGCAACTAGGAAATGGCACAAGCAAGGATACTAAACCAGGGACAAATGGCTTTCCCAGTTTATTTTCTTGCCATTCATCTTTATAGCCAAGCTTTTCCTCCTTGGACCCAGAACATGGCATGTTGTAAGCGTTTGCCAGCAGTTCTCTCTGGCATGATGGGTCTCAAAGCTAGCTGCCTATTAGAACTACCTGGAGACATGCTCTAACCTGCCAAGTGTTCAAGCCCCACCTCCAGTGATTCTGATTTTAATTGATCTTATGTAGATCCTAGCTTAAGTAGGTTTTAAAAGTTCTCCAGGTGATTCTAACATATAGCCAGTGCTAAGAATTCCTGTTCTAGCTGCAGAAGATATAGAGGCAAAACACATGGCCCCTTCCAAACCTGGGACTTGTATTTAATAGAATTTAATACGTTTAGAGGGCTTCACTAAAGAAAAATCACTTTTGAAGGCTGTAGGCTTTCTAGTGGAATGTTAGTTCTGCTTTATGGTATGGTAGGCTGAATAATAGTCCCCCAAAGAGCTTCACGTCTCAATCCTTTGGAACCTATAAATAGATTACTTTACACAGAAAAAGAGACTTTGCAGATGTAATTACATTAAAGATCTTGAGTTGAGGAGATTATCCTAGATTATCTGGATGGCCCAGATATAATCACAAGGGTCCTTCGAAGAGAGGCAGGGGAGTCAGAGTTAGAGAAGATGTGATGATGGAAGTGGAGGTTGGAATGGTGTGAGGAAGGAATACAAAAAATGCAGTGGCCTCTAGAAGCTGAAAAAGGGAGAGGAAACATCCTCCTTTAGATCCTTCAGAAAGAACAGTCCTGCACAGGCTTGACTTTAGCCCATTGAGACTGATTTTGAACTTCTGACCTCCAGAATCATAAGAATAAATTTGCATTGTTATGAGCCACTAAATTTGTGTTATTTGTTACAGCAGCAAGGGGAACTAATACAGATGTGGTGCAGCTCGCTTCAGCCATCTGAGGCTTGGGTTCCTCACCTCTAAAATGGATACTCATACCTACTTCAATAGGACTAAATTCAATAATTATAAGGAATTCTTGTGGCTGGCACACAGTAAGTGTTCAATAAACGGCACCTACTATTACACTATTACACCTACTACTACTACAGCTACTATTACACTCATCCATAGAGGAACCTGGGATTCTCATCTCCTGAGAATCCCAGGTTCCTCATGCAGCTCTGAGTCAAAACAGGTGGGGCACAAAGTGGAAAAAATATAATAAGATGTGAGAAGAAAGAGGCTTTTAGTTGTGCCCAAATACATTTCTACAGGACAAGGGATCAAGGTGAATGGAAAATAAATTAGCAAGAGAGCAGTGGCAGCAGAATTTCTCAGCCAGCTGGCCTCTGGGGGATGTTTGCACACGCTGGTTCTGAACATGCTATCAGATTCCTGGCACTATTGGGTCCACTTCCCAGGAACTCAGCCCCTTATTGTAAGAATTCACAAAGAGAAAGAGAAAAGGAATTAGAATCATCATAATACCTAAAGGACCCAGAAATATACAAGTTCCCCTGTCCAAATACAGCTAGCCAGTCAATTTCTGAGCAGTTGGACAATTTCAGGTTCTTAAGCTCTCACAAGAATAAAACATTGTTTTCTATCTATGTAGTGTTGGTTGGATTGATAGTATTAATGGACATTCTACCATGTATGAGACTTATGACCTTAGGCAAATTACTCTGTTCTTCAGCTTCTTCACCTGTAAAACAGGGACAAGGGTAACACCTAGTTGTAGGGTTGTCATGAAGATTAAATGATTTATACATGCAAAGGGCATAGTAAAGTGCCTGGCACACAGTCAAGTGCTCGGTAAGTTAGCTATTAACATTCCCAGCAGGGTTATTTTTATTTTGGAAAAAGACATGAGGCTAGGTGAAGGAAGCCACCGACTTAGAATACTTTTCATGAAGAACAGTATTTTTGTTGTTGTTGTTGAGACAGGTTCTCACTCTGTCACCCAGGCAGGATGGGGTGCAGTCACGCAATCATAGCCCACTGCAGCCTCAAACTCCTGGGCTCAAGCAATCCTCCCACTTCAGCCTCCTGAGTAGCTGGGACTAAGACACAATCCACCACACCCAGGTAATTTTTTTATTCTTTGTACAGACAGGGTCTCACCATATTACCCAGGCTGGTCTTGAATTCATGGCCTCAACTGATCCTCCTGCCTTGGCCTCCCAAAGTTCTGAGATTACAGGTGTGATCCACCGTGCCTGGCAGAAAGACAGTAATTTTTAATGTCCTTTTATTGTTTTATGTAGTTTTGTTTTTAAAGGAGCTTCAAGAGAAAGAAGTCCAAAATAGGAGCCAGATACAGGCACGTATTCACTCAGCCAATATTTATTGACTGTCAATTATATACCAGGAACTTTTCTAGGAACTGGGGCCTAAAGATAAACAAAATCTGTTCCCTACACATAAGGAGTGTTCAGCATAATGGTGGAAAGAGAGATGGTAGATTCCTAGCACAAGACAGCAAGACACATGCTGCAATAAGAGTAGGTAGGGCATGGTGAAGAGATACATAGGAGAAAATCTGATCTGGGATAGGGGACATCAGGGAGGACTTCCTGGAGGAAGCAACATCTAAATTGGCTGAGTAGGTTTGCAGATGGATGATAAGGATGTGGAGAGTTTTAGAGGAAACCAGCTCTTCCGAAGTTTTGAGGGCAAGAGCAAGCAGTGTTTTCAGGAAACTGCAGTCAAGATGAACCCAAGGGGTGGGGCCAGGCCTGAAACGGGAGGTGAGAGATTCAGCAGGAGTTCTAAATGCCATTCAGATCACAGATCACAAAGATGGAGAACCATGATAACGAGTTTGTATTTTAGCTTGAGGACAATGAGGAGCTGTTGAAAGGCTTTAAGCAGGGCAATTTCACAATAAGATTTGAGCTTTAGAAAGATCACTCTCAGGAGAGTAGTTGAAAGACAAGATCAAAGTCAGAAAGACAAGCTGGAAAACTATTGCAATAATTCTGGTGAAAGATAAAAGAAGACAGAGTCAAGGTACTGGCAGTGGGGAATGATTAGGCATGGACAGATGTTAGAATGGCAGACCTGCAGACTCTGTGATCAGGTGAGAAAGGGAGGAAAAAAATCTCATTTCCAGGTTTCTAACTTGGATGAAAGGTGGTACCACTCACTAATTCAGGAAATCCAGGAAGCAGAAGTTTGAGAGGCAGGTAATGAGCTCAGCTTTTGACACCTTGATGTGGACACATTGAAGGCCTGTGGGGACCTTCAAGTGGACATGCGCAGTTAGCAGCTAGATATGAGCCTTGAGTTCAAGATGAAGACTTGAGATTTGAGTCATTGGCCCATAGTTCGTCTATTTGAAACCATGGGAATGGGTGAGACCACCCGGGGACAGTGAGGAGTTCAAGGTGGAGGCATGATGTCCTCTGGCAAGAATGCTGTCTAAGGAGACACAGAGATAAGACAGTAATTGGAGGGGAGCAGGAGGTAAAGGGAGATAGTGTTTTGCTGTTTTTGTGTTTTAACAAACACTTGAGATTGTTGAAATGTTGCTGATGAAGAGGAATGGGGTGGGTGGGGAAAGAAAGGATTAAAGTAGAGTCTATCTTCTTTGTTCACAGATTTTGTATTTGCAAATTTGCCTACTCACTAAAATGCATTTGTGACCCTAAAATCAATAATCACGGTGCTTTCATGGTCATTCCTGGATGGGCACCTGTTCAGAGTGTCAAAAAACTGGATCCTCCTGATACACTTGTCCCCAGCTGAGGTTAAACAAGGCAATGCTCTGCCTTCCTGTTTCAACTCTCATACTATAAATGTGTCCTTTTCGCAGAATATTTAGCGTCACATTTTTCACGTTTGTGCATTTCGTTGGTGATTTCGCTGTTTAAAATTGCCTGAAGCAAAATGCCGAAGTGCTGTCTAGTGTTCCTAAGCCCAAAAAGCTGTGCCTTATGGAGAAAATATGGGCATTCAATAAGCTTCTTTCAGGCATGAGTTAGTGCCATTGGTTGGGAGTTTAATGCTAATGAATCAAGAGTATATGGTAAATAAGGTATCTCTAGACAGAAATATGCATAAAATAGGATTATGTGCCGATCTGTTGATGAAAATGTTGTGAACAGAGCCTCACCGGAAATAACCCTGTATTTCCTCTAGGTGCAATGATCCCATATTCGCTAATTAGTGTTGGCAGTAACTTTATAAAATGCAACTACTACACATAATGAGAATCAACTGTGTAAGAGAGAGGGAGAGTCAGAGGCCCCAGAGGAGGATTTGGGTGGCGTGCTTTCAGGTAATGGAGTAGTCTGCTAGAGTCCCTGATCTTGTCATGCAATAAGTGTGCTAGACCAAAATATTCCTTTTAACTGAAGACACCACCAGGAGATAGCTTTCAGCTGGCTTTGCTCTGAACAAGCTGCCCTGGCACATGAAGTGTGGGAGGATGGGTAGGAAAGGGAAGTGAGATCAATAAGGAGACATTGAAAATAAAATACGGGTGGAGAGAGAAAGAGGGTCTCCTTTTGTTGCTCTCTCTCTACATTGCGCAATTTATAAAGTTTAATGGGGGAGCCTTTTCTGATGATTTCTTAGGGACTCACAGATTTTACATTCCTGCTTCTTCTGGTGATACCGAACTTTATTTTGATCCCTACCCAAAACTGTACAGTTTAATCTTCACTTTGCCTATGCCTTGGCTCAAAAGGAAGTTAGTTTCAGGCAATTGAGATTTGGCATTACACAGTAATCTCTTTTTTATTAACTCATCTCAGCAGCTGAAAGCATTGAAAAAACACTCCAACAATATTGTAACCAAAAAAAAACAAAAAGCCAAAAACATTGTAACCAAGTTTATATCCTGAGGGAAACACTAAGAACAACTTTCCCTCTTCATCTCCCTTTACCCTATATGAGAAAAGCAAGGCTTCTCTATTCCCAAAGTGAGTTCAAAGTAAAGGAAAACATTGCTTTGTTTTACGTAACATGCATATTTTGAAGATAGGAACAAGACTTCAGGAGAAAAACAAGTTCTCAAACACTGACCGTCCTTACTAGGCTAGGTGAAGTTACAATGAAACTCTGATGTTGGGGGGGAAACTGACACCTGTTCTATTTCCACGTCAGGTCACAAAAGGCAGTACCATCTGTTGCCAAGTATCAGAAACCTCTCTCATCCAGCCCCTGACTCCACTGATTGCTAATTTATAACTGTTTAGAGATGGCTGGGCCAAAGCTCACTTCTGTTCTATCTGAACAAAAGAGGCTCTTAGCTGACTAACAAGGTAAACAAGTTCAATTTATTTAACTAAACATACTTTTTTGCAGATTATAAATTTAACAGAGTTTGCTAACACTAGTGAAATTTTTTTTTTATTTTTTATAGTCTATTAATTAATAGACTATATTTTTGAGTAGTTTTAGGTATACAGAAAAATTAAGCAGAAAGAACAGAGTCCCATATTCCTCTTTTCCATGCACCCCACCCCCCCCCACACACCAAAATTTCCCCTGTTATTAACTCTTGCATGTCCAAATGTGGTACATTTATTAAAACTGATGAACCAATACATTATTATTATTTACAGTCCATAGTTTACATTAGGGTTCACTCTTTGTGTACAAAACATAATTTTAATATGTGTTAGAGGCACTGAAATCATAAAAGTAAAGCTACCACTTGTAGAGAAATCTCCAGGTCACAATGCTTTGTCACAAAAAAAACCCAATTTTTTCCTTTATTTCGAACTCACTTTGGGAGTAGAGAAAGCTTGCTTTTCTCAGTGTTACACGTAATGCCAATAACCACTGTCACAAACATAATATTCATCATAACAGTCCTGAAGATGGGCTGAAACTCTTACTTATAGAAAAGGAGCTGACGTTCAGAGAGGCAAGCAGCCTGCCAAAGCTCCTACAGCTGTAAAATGGCAGAGACAAGATGGGAACCCAGGTCTTCTTAGTTCTTTGCCAGTTATGTTAATGCTAATTTTTAAGAGGCCACTCTTAGCCCCATGTCTTCCTCACATTCAGATTTCTGTTTCTAAGCAGAGGATTAAGATGCACACTGCTCATGTTTCCACTGAGAAACAAACTGTGACAAGGCAAATCAGATGGCACTTGGTCAAATACATGGCTGGTTAGGGGACACAGGTATTAATTATTCTTTTGGGCTTGGACATCAAGTCTATACTTACAGCTAATTTACTTGTCTGTCTTCCCTCTAGACAGCAACTCTAGAAGAAAAAGAACTATGTCTACTTGCTTGCTATTGTCTCTTTGTTGCTTACTTACTGCCTGGGACAGAATAGCAATTAAACAGCAGTTACTAAGCATGTCGATGGAAGGATAGCTAACCCCATCGGTAAGGAGTACTAACCATACACACTGCCTCTGGAATCACTTTCTGATATCTTCCCTTTTGCTTTTCTGGTAGTTTTCCAACTACTCTTTCACATTGCCTTTTCTACTTCTATATTTTGGGCCTTATAATTTCAACCATATCCTATAATTACAAGATCATTTGAACCAACACCAAACGTCCCAATCATTTTCCTTTCCACTACATAACAAGACTCAGACAGCCTACCATTTCTCTTAAGATAATATTTACATCTTTGGTCTGCGTCCAGTACCCAGGTCCATGTGCCTGTGGATGTGTCAGTGCAAATAGCTCTTGCCTTGTCCCTTCTCATTAACATGAATGGCAAAAAGGATTTGAGAGAAGGAATATTGGGTATTCCAGGAAATCTAAGCTCTAAATCTAAGTTCTGCTTGCAGGTCTTTATGTAATGGAAACCTGTTTCGCTTTGAGTTTCTTAGCCACAAAATGGGAATAATATCATGTGTTTTTAGGACATCTCAAAAACTGTTTTTTATACATGAGCAAACAAGGAACGTTAAAATGTTTGTACATTTCATTAAGCTGTTTATTAGTATTTGTAAATATCGCATTCAAAGGCTTGAGGCAAAAGTTACAAACTGGTAACTTGAGGGACCACAATGAGTCAATAGAAGTGTTTTGTTTCTCCAGTGATGTTATTTTTAGAATTTAATCCAGTTACTAAGATGTTTCACATTGGGAGACTTCACATTAAAATTTTGGCTTCCCTTTAAAAATCTCAGGATTAGGCATCCTAAGCCCACTGATATGGTTTGGCTCTGTGTCACTACCCAAATCTCATCTCAAACTGGAATCCCCATGTGTTGAGGGAGGGAGGTGCTTGGATGAAGGGGGCGGCTTCCGCCATGCTGTTCTCATGGTAGTGAGTGAGTTCTCGTGAGATCTGATGGTTTTTAAAGTGGCAGTTTTTTCCTGCACTTGCACTTCTCCCTCCTGCCGCCATGTGAAGAAGCTGCCTGCTTCCCCTTCACTTTCTGCCATGATTGTAAGTTTCCTGAGGCCTCCCCTGCCATGTGGAACTGTGAGTCAATGAAACGTTTTTCTTTTATAAATTACCAGTCTCAGGAATTTCTTTATAGGAGTGTGAAAATGGGCTAATACACCCCCACTGCTGTTTGGCAGGAACTGACCAAAGCTGAGCAATGATCACTTCCAAGTAAAGCCATAAGAGCATTCGAGTTTGCCACAGTCTCCACCACTCCCTATTTTATCACATGTAATCTGATATAGTTTAGATGTCCCGTCCAAATCTCATGTTGGAGGTGGGGCCCACGTTGGAGGTGGGGCCTGGTGGTAGGTGTTTGAGTGTTTGGGTCATGGGGGCACATCCCTCATGGCTTGGTGCTGTCCTCACAATAGTGAGTTCTTGTGAGATCTGGTTATGCAAGTGTGTGGCACCTCCCTATCACTCCCTCTTTTGCTCTTGCTATGTGATGTGTCTGCTCCCACTTTGCCCTCTGCCATGATTGAAAGCCACCTGAGGCCACCCCAGAAGCTGTGCAGATGCCAGCACCATACTTCCTGTACAGTCTGCAGAACCATAAGTCAATTAAACCTCTTTTCTTTATCAATTACCCAATCTCAGGTATTTCTTTATATCGATGCCAAAACAGCCCAACACATAATCTTTGCCATAGTCCCTACTACTTCCTGTTTTATTACAGCCAGTCTGCTGGACTCACTTAAGTTACTGTCTGGTTCCCAGAGGCATTTGAATTTGACTACCCCTGTTTTAAAGAAGTATTACAGAGCATATAGTTGATTTATCAGTCTGCAGCTATCAGATTGATCCTGTTCACAAATAGTTCTAAAGAAGAAAATCCATAGTATTTTGCAAGCCATTCAAACACTAAACCTTTCTCTTCTATCCAGAAAATTTTCCCCTCACTATAAATAGGCCAATAAGAGCAATGTAGGCTTAGAACTAAATGGCATCTTATAGCTCATCTGGTCCAACCACCTTATATAACATTTGAGAAAACTACAGGCCTAGATTGTGAAGATGCCCAATAGCTAACAGGGACGAGAACCAGCTTCCCACTGGAAAGCTTCCTGGAACTTCTCATTCTTTCCAAATTAGGCATAGAAAATAGCTGCTTATTTTACTTTGTGAAAGCATTTTAGGCTTGGACTCAAGGGCAGGAAGTGTTTTTTTCTCTTGTTTTAGATTCTCAGGAAACTTATTTTCCTAACCTTAATTACCATGAAGATTATCTGTTGAACCCTCTATTCATTTCCTGGGGCTTCCATAACCAAGTACTACAAACCAGTTAACTTAAAACGATGGAAATTCATTCTCTCACAGTTCTGAGGGCTAGAATTCTGAAATCAAGGGGTCAGCAAGGCCATGCTCCCTTCCAAGTCTCTCAGGGAGGACCCTACTTTGTCTCCCCCTGGTTTCTGCTGGCTCCTAGCCACCTTTGGCATTCCTCAATTTGTAGTTGCATCACTCCAATCTCTGCCTTTATCTTCACATAGTCTTCTTCCTTGTGGCTCCACGTTTCTGTATCCTACTCTCTGTCTCTTATAAAGACATCAGTTGGCCAGGTGCAGTGGCTCATGCCTGTAATCCCAGCACGATGGGAGGTTGAGGCAGGTGGATCACCTGAGGTCAGGAGTTCGATACGAGCCTAGCCAACATGGTGAAACCCTGTCTCTACTAAAAATACAAAAATTAGCCAGGCATGGTAGCAAGCGCCTGTAATCCCAGCTACTTGGGAGGCTGAGGCAGGAGAATTGCTTGAACCCAGGAGGTGGATGTTGCAGTGAGCTGAGATTGCACCATTGCACTCCAGCCTGGGGGACAAGAGTGAGACTTTGTCTCAAAAAAAAAAAAAAGACGTTAGTCATTGGGTTTAGGGTCCACCCTGACCCAGTATGACCTCTGAGATGCTGAGATGGTTAATTTTATATGTCAAACTTGCCTGGGCTTACGGATGCCCAGATAACTGGTAAAATACGATTCTGTGTGTGTCTGTGAGGGTGTTTCCAGAAGGGACTAACATTTGCATTGGTGAACTGAATAAAGCAGATGGCCCTCCCCAACGTGGGTGGGCATGATCCAGCAGAACAAATTGGGGAGGAAAGGTAAATCCACTCTCCTGATTGGGCTGAGACATCCATCTTCTGCCCTAAGACATTGGCCCTTCTGGTTCTTGGGCTTTCAGATTTGGACTGAAACTTTATTAGTCCATTCTCATCTTGCTATAAAGACCTAAGACGGGGTAATTTATAAAGAAAGGAGGCTTAATTGACTGACAGTTCCACAAGCTATACAGGAAGCATAGCTGGGGAAGCCTCAGAAAACTTACAATCATGGCAGAAGGGGAAAGGGAAGCAGGCACGTCTTACACGGCCAGAGAAGGAGGAAGAGAGCAAAGCGGGAGGTGCTACACACTTTTAAACAACCAGATTGCGTGAGAATTCACTCACTATCTTGAGAACAGCAAGTGGAGAGTGTGCCTCCATCATTCAATCACCTCACACCAGGCCCTTCCTCCAACACTGGGAATTACAATTCAACATGAGATTTGGGTGGGGACACAGCCAAACCACATCAGGGACTGGCACCATTGCCCTTCATTCTCAGGTCTTCAGCTTTGGGCTGAATTACACCACCAACTTCCCTGGTTCTCTAACTTGCAGATCATGGGACTCCTTGGCCTCCATAACTGCATGAGCCAATTCCTATACTAAATCTCTTCATATATGCACGTATATATATACAGCTGGCCGTCTATGTCCATGGATTCTGCATCCATGGATTCAACCAACCACAGATCAAAAATATTTGAGAAAAAAATGCATCTGTACTGAACATGTATAGACTTTTGTTTCCTGTCCTTATTCCCTAAATAAAACAACTATTTATGTAGCATTTACATTGTATTAGGTATTATAAGTAATCCAAAGATGATTTAAAGTATACAGGAGGATGTGCATAGGGAAGATGGCAAATACTATGCCATTTTATATCAGGGACTTGAGCAACTGCAGATTTTGGTATCCAAGGGAGATCCTGGAACCAATCCCACACAGATACCAAGAGATGACTATATATATAGAATTGGTTCTGTTTCTCTAGTTTTTTGTTCCACTACACACAGATGAGTAATTGGAAAGGGAAGAGTATATTAACAGCCTTTTCAGATCATGGTGAAGATTCTGCTGTAGATTATACCAAAACTTGACAAGTTGTAGTTTCTTAAAGGAAAATTGCCAGCTGGGCACGGTGGCTCACACCTGTAATCCCAGCACTTTGGGAGGCCAAGGTGGGCAGATTACCTGAGGTCAGGAGTTTGAGACTAGCCTGACCAACATGGAGAAACCCCATCTCTACTAAAAATACAAAATTAGCTGGGTGTGGTGGCACATGGCTGTAATCCCAGCTACTCAGGAGGCTGAGGCAGGAGAATTGCTTGGAACCAGGAGGCGGATGTTGTGGTGAGCTGAGATTGTGCCATTGCACTCCAGCCTGGGCAACAAGAGGGAAACTCCCTCTCCAAAAAAAAAAAAAAAAAAAAAAAAAAGGTAAATTGCCATATGAAATCTGAAAACATCAATGAATGTTTCATACTCAATTACTTTTTCAAATTTTGTAACATTATGCACTGGTCATTTGGAAAATATTGTTTTAATGAGTTGTGCAGACCTTCCAGATGTTGACACATTTCAATATATAATATAAAAATATCACCTTCCAAAATATCACCACCAATTTCATTCTAATTTCCTTTGAAAGCTTGAATTTTATCATTGGCATCAAATATTATCTTCCTTGACACGATTAACTCATATTGTCATATTGTTTTCCTTCACTGGAAAAACTCATTTCATTTTCTGAGACCATTTCTATCAAATACCCAAACTTGAATAACTATAATTTGTCTGTCAGTTTTTATTTCAAGCAAAAATAATGTTCTGTGAAAAAAAACCAAACAGCTAATTTAGCTGGCAACTCAAACAATCGCATAAGTGCTTTTCTGCAAGACAACCATCATAGCCTATGCAGGAGAAATGCTTTATGTGGGCCAGGCGTGGTGGCTCACGCCTGTAATCCCAGCACTTTGGGAGGCCGAGGTGGGCGGATCATAAGGTCAGGAGATCGAGACCATCCTGGCCAACATGGTGAAACCCTGTCTCTACTAAAAATACAAAAATTAGCTGGGCATGGTGGTGCACACCTGTAGTCCCAGCTACTTGGGAGGCTGATGCAGGAGAATCGCCTGAACCTGGGAGGTGGAGGTCACAGTGAGCCAAGATCGCACCACTACACTCCAGCCTGGGTGACAGAGTGAGACTCCATCTCAAAAAAAAAAAAACAGAAAGAAAGAAAGAAATGCTTTATGTGTACTTTCCAAATCAAGGGTTGAGATGTAACAAAATTAACTTTTACTGCACCAAGGGCATCTCAGTAAAATGCTTTCTTGTATTCTGTGGTTGTGAGGAATACAGTGACTACAGTTTGGTGTCAGGATTTGTGCTGAGCCACCAGCAGTTTTTCCCGCCATCGCTTTTCCAACATCAGTGCAAATGACTATGCAGTAAAAAAGGCAAATAATATCTTGAAATAATTATATATGTATATTTCATTAGATATAGATATTCCCCACTGAATATATAAAATTTTGAAAATAACTTTGACCTTGAAAACTTATGAAAGTGTCTCAGGGACCCCTAGGTATCTTTACACTTGGAGAACTACTACTCCAGATGAACAGAAAGATAGGACAATGACTATCTGAAATTTAGCTCCTTTCTTTGGGAAGCAGGCTCTGCTAGCCAGGAAGAAGGAAGCAAAGAATAGCTATTTGTTAGCAAAGACTTGGAACCAACCCAAATGTCCAACAACGATAGACTGGATTAAGAAAATGTGGCACATATACACCATGGAATACTATGCAGCCATAAAAAATGATGAGTTCATGTCCTTTGTAGGGACATGGATGAAGCTGGAAACCATCATTCTCAGCAAACTATCGCAAGGACAAAAAACCAAACACCGCATGTTCTCACTCATAGGTGGGAATTGAACAATGAGAACACATGGACACAGGAAGGGGAACATCACACACTGGGGACTGTTGTGGGGTGGGGGGAGAGGGGAGGGATAGCATTAGGAGATATACCTAATGCTAAATGATGAGTTAATGGGTGCAGCACACCAACATGGCACATGTATACACATGTAACAAACCTGCAAGTTGTGCACGTGTACCCTAAAACTTGAGGTATAATAATATTAAATTTAAAAAAAAAAAAGAAGAATAGCTATTTGTTGGCTACCAACAGTACATGCCGTCACCTTTAAAGCACACTTGACACAGAGAAAGCACTCATTGATGTTCACTGTTGTTGTGTTATTATTTTGTATATGAGCAGTTGATTTTCCTTCCCACTTGCCTCTCTAGCATGCTTTTTAAAAAGCGACTAATTTATTTGATTTTCTCAAAATCTTGTGAGATGCAACAGACATTGTTTTTAGAGAAATAGGTTATGTGACCTAAGATTTCACCCAAATTAGGGGGAAAATCACAATATCACCCAGTACAATGCTCCAGGGCCCCTCACCAACCTGTGTCTCACAGGGGCCTCATATGTATCCACTGGACTCAGGAAGCATAGCTGGTGAAATCATATCAACTCAGACTCCAGAAAGCTACTTCAGACAGTTTGATCACAGAACTATGTATGAGATTCTCAGGGATTTTTTCTTCTATGGTACTATATATCCTTACCCAGTTAGCTAACAACTCAAATGAACATTCTTTAAATTCTATCCATGTTCTTATGTCACCAGAGAGCTTACATTCTATAGTATATTATTTTATGTCCCTACAGAAATGTATTCATTGAATGGTTACCACCATATATCACTGATATTATAATGTGCCCTTTTGTCATTTTAACATCTTTTAATTTAGAATGAATTTTATAGCCTATGGAAAGTCATCATGTATTTGGCAGTGTTTTCCTTTTCTTACTGATACATAAAATAATGATATATCTATTATCAACGATGTCTTCAATTCAACAAAGTATGGTATTTAAAATGTGACTCTATCCTGTTCCAGGACTGATATAAGAAATAACTACAGTCCTACATGGCTTAACAACAGGATACATTGTGAAAAAAATGCATTGTTAGGCGATTTCCTCATGTGCAAACCTCATAGAGTGTACTCACACAAATCTAGATGGTACAGCTACTACACACTTAGGCTGGCTGTAAGGCATCACCTCTTGCTCCTAGGCTGCTAACCTGTACAGCATGTTACTTTACTGAACACTGCAGGCAACTATAACACAATGGTAAGTATTTGTGCATCTGAACATATCTAATCACAGAAAGGTACAGCAAAAATATAGTTTTATAATCTTATGGGACCACCATAGCATAGGCAGTCCATCATTGACCAAAACATCGTTATGTGGTGCATGACTGTATTTAAAGACCACCTCCATGCTTTCTACAAAACTATTATGATACATCATGCATTCTCTGGTTTAATGCCCCTAAAACAAAACTGGCACAATAAATCTCTAGTTCCCTACTTTTAGCTCTTTTCTATGTCCAAGAGGGTGAGTTGCACACCATAATGGCTCCACAAATTGTTCCTGAAAATCATTGAAAATAATTTAAAATTAAGAATACAAAACCAGGCATAAACATTTGGAAGGGACTCCAGCAACTGAATGGCTCTGAGGCTTAAACTTCACTAGGCTCTAGGTGTGGCCATGTGTCTGGCCAGTGAAATGCGAACAGAAGTGTGGAGTGAGACTTATGGGAAGTCTCTTTACAGAGAGAAAAGAGGCCTCTCTTCTTTCCTTCCTCCATCCCACAATCTAGAACTCACGTGTGGTGGCCTGGGCTCCAGCAACTATATTGGACAAAGAAAATAAAGGACATAGCCCAGATGGAGGGACAGAAAGTCTAAAGGAATCTAAGACTCTGATGACTGTGAAGCTGCCTGCCAACCCCAGGCTGCTTCCCTCCCAGACCTCTTGGGTTGTGAAGGAATGAAGCATTGATTGCTCAAACCACCATCTGCGGTTTCTCTTGTTATCAGCCAAACACAGTCCACCACTGACACAGCATCATAAAGTATCTTGGTCCATACAAGAAGGGCATACGTTGCGGCAAGGATGGAGGTCATGGAATGAGCCTAAGACTGAAGGTCAGAAACTCTCTTTCTAGTCTTTGCTACTCCAGTCCTGTCTTTAGCTTGCTCCAGGAACTTAAGAAACCCACTTAAGCTGTATTTACTTTAAGTTTCCTCATTTAAAAAAAAAAAATACAACTTTCTCCCATGGAGTTATGCTAGTAAATCATATACAAATAAGAAAGGACTTTGAGATGGTGAAATCACACATCTTTGTTCTGGTTAATGGTAGCAGTGATGCACTGAGAGAGAATCTTTTCATGGTCCCGTTCCTGCTGAATGAGTTCAGATCTAGACCCCCATATCCTGGGCAGTGCCAATGTTAAAAATCAAACCATAAATAGTGGTTCATGGAGTAGGCACTTAAAAAGTCTTCAAATTATGAGGCAGTTGCAAAGAGTGATCAGTCAGTTCCCACATTCTCCAAGGATCGTGATTAGGAAAAGAATTTCCTATTTGGGTATCATCTCAGAGATGGTTCCCTAGGAACAGAGCCTATGAAATTGGTATTCTCGTGTGAACGGATTTCAGGAGAAGTATGTAAAGGAGTTAGGGAAGCAGGTGAGACAGAGGAAGAAGATAGAGATGTGAGTTCAGCTGAAGTCTAGCCTCAGCCCCATCCCACAGGGAGCTCTGGAGCGTGACCGGCACCAAGGAATTGTCCGACCTCAAGGCAAGGGGACCAGGCCTTTATAACCCTGTGCCTGCCAGTCACTGGTGCAGACCACCCCTGAGGGTGAGGGGTTCTCCCAAGCATCTCTGGCTGAGGAGGTTCCCACTGGCGGAGGACGATTCTCCAGAAAGAGCGTGCCTGAGATCAGGCAGCAGCCAGCACTCCCAGTAGCTGTGTGGTGGTGCACTAGTCTAATAAGGGGACCTGGGTGTGCATCCCCGCATCTACCACAGGAACAGAATGCTGGAGTATTTGGGGAGGAAGCTCCTGACCACTTCTCTAGAAAGTATTATTCATACCTTTCAAGACTTCCCAACCTGCTACGCTATAGACCTCTGTTTGGGGCAACAATAGGTGTGCTCTCAGTGATAAATTCTGAGCTTGTTCTTTAATAGGCAACAGGCAAGGAAAACAAGGAAAGTGTTACTGTCATTCAGGCTTGGCTTCCAGGATTTCTCCACAGCCTTGGGGATTTGAAGGTGTTGGTGAATCCTACTTTTTCTCTTCTTTGGATTCCAAACCAATGGAGAAATCATCCAGGAGGATCAAAGATCGCACGAATGGCATTCTTGCCCTGAAGGCTGGTTTTAAGACTTGTCCTGGATCCAAGACCAAAGGGAGTATCTTCTCGTTCCCCTTGATTTGAAGTTGCACCCTGGTCACAGAGCAAGCAATGGTGGGGCAGGCACTCTCAGCTGAGTGGAGGGGAGGGGGATGGGTGCCATTGGGGGCAGGCAGAAAGTGTTGAGGAGGGGGACTTCATGCCCTCTCCCCATTTTCCCAAGGAAGACTAGAAAGAAGAGCTGGAATTGCTCCTCCCATAATCTTCCTGGGGTGGAGGGCCAGGAGGGTTCCTGTAGGGATCATGTGGACTACAGCCCACAGCCCCTCCCACAGCTTCCCTCCCACAGACTGCTAAAGACAAAAAGAAAGGATGCTCTAAGTCTGGAGCTGGCTTGGAAGCCCTGGTGGACACACTAAGAAAGAAAAGCCATCCCAGACTTCTGAATCACCCACACCCACTTCACCATTCAGCTGCCCCAGATCTCCTTTTTTGCACCAAGAACCGGACTAGTTTTGTCACTCTTGGCTGAATAGCTGGAACACATCAGCACCTATTGATACAAATCACTTCTGCCGGTCTCCACCAGCCAGTGCCCAACAGCTGTTTTTCTATGTCCTTTCTCTGAAAGCATTATGCAGCCTTATGTACAGGTTGACATCGTGAAGTATTGCTTCTTCTGAATTTACTGCATTTTCTGTTCTTGGAGGTAATAGATGGCCCACTCAGCTTCCCTTCACTGCAGACACTGCTCTGTAGTCTCCATAGCTCCCAAATGCATTAGTGGATCAGGCAGGATGAGAATTACAGCATCTTGTGCTCCACCATGGCTTCCTGCTTGGTGTGGTGTTTTCCAATCTGCTGACATCTCACAAACAAATAAACATTGTAGTTACTTTTGTTTTGTTTTGAGATGGAGTCTCACTCTGTCACCCAGGCTAGAGTGCAGTTGTGCATTCTCAGCTCACTGCAACCTCTGTCTTCTGGGTTCAAGTGATTCTCCTGCCTCAGCCTCCCGAGTAGCTGGGACTACAGGCACACGCCACCATGCCCTGCTAATTTTTGTATTTTTAGTAGAGATGGGACTTCACCATGTTGGCCAGGCTGTTCTCAAACTCCTGCTCTCAAGTGATCCACCCACCTTGGCCTCCCAAAGTGCTGGGATTACAGGCGTGAGCCGCCTGGCCCATTTTAGTTACTTTTGGCTATACCAACAGGTCATATTTTTCTCTGTCTTATCTCCTCCTTGGCTCCCAAACCCCTGTGCATCATCACTGTGATGTCTGCTGTAATGAATGACATACTTCCAGTTATAAGAAGCATCACAGGAAGACAAGGAAAGGGCCCTGCCTTTAAAGCATCTTCTCCCAAGACCTCCAGGTCTTAGGATGTTGGCCCTTGCCCTGGTGGCCTTGGGTGACGGAAGAGTCAACGATTTCTAAAGGAGACTTGATTTGCAAGTTGGGTTAATCTGATCTTCTACCCCGTGTAAATGATCTCTTACTTAAAATACTTGCGCATTTTGAACTGTCTGGTTGCCGAAGCAGGGTGGAATGTTCCAGAGGAAGCCACATAACTGCAGAGGTTTAACACACGGTGGGTTCCGCCTTGTTGTGCAATGGCTATTTTCCTGACAGCCGAGGCTGCTGCCAGGAGTCAAGGAGAGCCAGATCCCACAGGAGCCAACAAGAATTGTAGGCAAATATCCTCAGGCTGAATAATAGCGATGGTATCTTGAAATTGACTCGCTTCCAAAAACTCCATCGAACAGAAGAGTATTTTGCATATATGTGATCTCTGCTTCACAGGGTTTTCTTTTGTTTTAATGGAAAAACATCTTTTCATAGGTCTATAAAACATCCCTTCAGCCCACCCAAGTTCAAGTCATCACTGTCTCTCACCTGAATTGACCTCACGTCTTCCTTCTCAGCTTTGACTTTCTGTCTTCCCTCCCACAGCTGCCAGCTTCCATCTCCTAGTGCCCAGCTTTTATCGTGTTTTTCTTCAGTTAAAACTTGTCAAAGGCTCTCCTTATTGAATTGAGTACAAGTGCCTCAGTCGTCCCAGGCCTGCCATGAAGTAGACCTGATTTACCTTCCTAAGTGTGGCTTGCTCTTCCCTCTCTCCAAATGAGAGGCACCATGCTGCCTCTCCTTGCTCCTGCATGAACAGCCCCCAGCCACTTCTACCAGAATCTTGCCATCGTTCAAGGCCAACCCTTAATGCCATCTTCTTCAGGAAGCTTACCCTGATCTTTCTAGGCAAACATACTTTCTCTGGGTGTCGTGATGTGGACGCACAATTTCCTGTTCTGCTCTATCCATTTGTGTGCTTGTCTTACTCTTCTCTTTGAGGGCCATTTCTCTGTCTGTTCATCCTGTATCTCCCACAGTATGTAGCAGTGTCCTACACTTAGTAGTTGCTCAATAAATTGTAATCAAATTAGAGTTAGAGTAGGTACTGTTATTATGCACACTGAAATACTATCTTCCTGAAATTTTCTATTCTATGTTCAGAAATTATAACACTCATTTCCAAATATGGCATCAAGATGGAAAACTTGTGCTTTTCACTGTTCAGAACAATTTCTGTTCATCAAATTTTAGAAAGCATAGAGGTCTGCAGCTGGGGACAGGAAGACAGGGCCTACCAGCTTAGAAATTCCCAAGGTTTTGGAGTTAGGTTTGAATCCCTGTTCCATCACTGACAACTTATGTGAACTTAAGCAAGTTCCTCAGTCTCACTGAACCTCAATTTCTCATCTCCAAAATGAAGACAAAACTACCTATTTTATAAGCTTTTTGTAAGAATTAAGTTAGAACATTTCTATGAAGCACCTAACTCAGTGCCCAGTAATAGTAGGTAAATCGTAGTTCTCATAATTATATTTCTCCTAGTAGTAAATCAGCTTCCATCATCATCCTTATCCTACCCATATTTTATTCAGAATGAAATATTAAAGCTTTTAATAAGTATATAGCTGACCCTTGATCAATGTGAGGGTTAGGGGCCCTGACTATCTATGCAGTCAATAGTCTGCATGTAACTTTTGACCCCTAAAGACGTAACTACTAATAATAGCTTACTCTTGACCAGAAGCCTTTTCAATAACATGAAAAGTTAATTAGCACATATTTTGTATTTGTATTTGTATTAGTCCATTTTCACACTGCTATGAAGAACTACCTGAGACTGGATAATTTATCAACTAAAGAGATTTAATTGACTCACAGTTCCACATGGCTGGGGAGGCCTCAGGAAACTTACAGTCATGATGGAAGGGGAAAGGGAAGCAAGGCATCTCTTACGTGGCAGCAGGAGAGAGAGAGAGAGAGAGAGAGAGAGAAAGTGAGGGGGAACCAGAGTGAGAAAGTGAGGGAGAGCCACCAAACACTTTTAAACCATCAGATTTCATAAGGACTCACTCACTGTCATGAGAACAGCATGGGAGAAACCGCCCCCCATGATCCAATCACTTCCCACCAGATCCCTCCCTCAACATGTGGGGATTACAATTTGAGATAAGATTTGGGTAGGAACACAGAGCCAAACCATATCAGTACAATATACTATATTCTTATAACAAAGTAAGCTAGAGAAAGAATATGTTATTAAGAAAATCAGAAGGAAGAGAAAATGCATTTACTATTCATTAAGTGGAATTGGATCATCATAAAGGTCTTCAACTTTATTGTCCTCATGTTGAGCAGGCTGAGCGGGAGGAGGAAGAGGAAGGGTTGGTCTTGCTGTCTCAGGTGTGGCAGAGGCAGACGAAAATCCATGTACAAGTGGACCCACCAATATACAGTTGACCCTTGAATAACATGGGTTTGTTAACAACTTAACAATTTGTAAGTTCAAGCCCATGTTGTTCAACAGTCAACTTATGTTGAGCACCTACTAATTCCCTGGCATGCTACTGGGGAGAAGAATGAGGGTGAGTAGACATGGGACTTCAAATATTGAATAATACAAGATTATAATCTGATTGTACGAGGATATTGGCAACAAGAACATTTACTGAACTGCCATAGACAGGTGTTCAATGTATGTTCAAAGGTAAAAGAGATCTACTTAAATCAAAGGGAGATGCAATGTACTTGTGGCAATGAGAAGCCCTTGGACAAGGCTTGTGAGCCCCACTGTCCAGGGCTCCTCTCCCAAGGCTGTCAACAGACTGATTCCAGCATTTTTGCCACCCATCTGACCACTGGAGCAGGGCTGGCTTCACAGGCCTGAGACCTGTGCAGTTTTATAAGCCCCACAAACCCCACCGCCACACTTAGAAGGCCCTTGTGGTTGGTTTAATTCTCTGCTGCTGTTGCCTTGAAATTCTTAATGATTCTCTAACATGCATCACATTTTCCGTTTGCACTGAGCCCTACAAATTATGTAACCAGTCCTGCTTTTGGAGTGTGAGAGGTGATGCTTAATTCATTTTTGTTCCCAGTGCCTGACACAGCATGTGCTCATAAATATTTTTGAAATGAATGAATGAATTTCACTTTTATAATCATACAGGTGGCAAATGCTTGTACACCCACTGTATTAGTCAGGGTTCTCCAGAGGGACAGAACTAATAGGATATGTGTATATATGAAAGGGAGTTTATTAGGGAGAATTGGCTCACACAATCACAAGGCGAAGTCCCACGATAGATCATCTACAAGCAGGGGAAGAAAGAAGCCAGTAGTGGGTCAGTCCAAGTCCAAAAGCCTCAAAAGCAGGGAAGCTGACAGTGCAGCCTTCAGTCTGTGGTCGAAGGCCCCGGCAAACCACTGGTATAAGTCCAAGAGCCCAAATGCTGAGGAACCTGGAGTCTGATGTCCAAGGGCAGGAAGCATTCAGCACTGGAGAATGATGAAAGCTAGAAGACCCAGCAAGCCAGCTTATCCCATCTTCTTCTGCCTACTTTGTTCTAGCCATGCTGGCAGGTGATCGGATGGTGCACGCCCACGTTGAGGATGGGTCTTCCTCTCCCAGTCCACTGACTCAACTGTTAATCTCCTCTGGCAACACCCTCACAGACACACCCAGAAACAACACTTTACCAGCCATCTAGGCATCCTTCAATCCAATCAAGCTGACACCTAATATTAACCATCATATTCACCTTTACCTAAAGTTTAACACTTAAAATGTACTAATGTTAGGTGCCCTGTACCTTGGACTTTGAATTTTTTGAAATAGGACTTTTGCAATTTTCTCCAAAATCCACATGTGGAGGAAATAAGGAGAACAGCCCAGCAGCTGGGTGCCTTCCTCTCCACCTCAGTTTTTAACACCTCGGTTTTACCTGTTCTTTTTATACACAGTTATAACCTAGATCCTCCTATACTCTAACACACACACACATGCATGCACCTTTTGCTGAGATTGAAACCAACTTGTACTCTCAAGTAAAACTGATAGCATACATTAAAAAGAAATTCAAGTATGATTTCTGAAAACTGGTGCAGTAACAGTAGACAAAGTGGAAAAAAATTTAAAAAGAGATTCAGATTGTTTTTATTGTTGTAACATGTATATAACATAAAATTTACCATTTTACTGGAAAAGACATTTCTTCAAAGAGGATATACAAATGGCCAGTGAGTGCATGACAAGATGCACAACATCACTAATCATTAGAGAAATGCAAACCAAAACTACAAGGAGATACCATTTCATATACACTAGGATGGCTACTATTAAAAAAACAAAAAAAAAACAAAAAAAAAAAAAACAGAAAATAACAAGTGTGGGCAAGGATGAGGACCCCAGAGAAATTGGGACCCTTGAGCACTGCTGGTAGGAATGTAAAATGATTCAACCACTGTGGAAAATGGTATGGAATTTCCACACAAAACTAAAAATAGAATTACCATATGATCAAGCAATTCTGCTTCTGAGTACATACCCCCAAAAAACTGAAAGCACGGACGTGAAGCTCATCGCAACTTTATTTACAGTAACCAAAATGTGGAAGCAACCCAGGTGCCCACAGATGGATGAATAGAAAAAATAAAATGTGAAGTATACATACAAGAATATTAGACAGCCTTAAAAAGGAAGCAAATCCTAAAGCATGCTACAATACAGATAAACCTTTGAGGACATCATGCTAAGTGAAATAAGCCAATCACAAAAAGACAAATAGTGTATGATTCCACTCCTATGAGGCACTTGGAGCAATCATTGCCTCTATCTACTCCGGGACCCTTTCATCACCCCCAGCTGAAACCTCATACCTCATATTATTATTAAACAATAACTCCCCATTCCTCTCTCCTCCACCCTGCTAACCACCATTCTACGTTCTGTCTCCATGAATTTGACCATTGTCAGTATCTCACATACGTGGAGTATTTGTCCTTTTGCATATGGCCTGTTTCACTCAGCGTAATGTCTGCAAACTCCATCATGTTATAGCATCTATCTACGTTTCATTCCTTTTTAAGGTTAAATAATATTTCATTGTATGTATATACCATATTTTGTTTATTCATTCATATCAATTGACATTTGGGTTGTTTAGATGCATGTTTTAAAGACAGGGTCACAGTATTCCCCGAGAGTTTTTAAATTTTACAATATGCAATAGAAAGTCTTTTTGATGATGGGGGTTAATTTCTCCCAGCGCCAGCAAGTCAGCTGGCCCCTCTTTCCTGAATAGCCTCGGAGGTTTTCTGTGATCACAAAAGAATGCTGTCAGGGAAAAAAAAAAAAAAAAAAAAAAAAAGCCTCTCCAGAGATAACTCTTCGGTCAAACCAGGTTTATTAAGGGATGTCTCCTGCCGGGCACGGTGGCTCATGCCTGTAATCCCAACACTTTGGGAGGCCGAGGTGGGCCGATCACTTGAGGTCAAACTTTCGAGACTAGCCTGGCCAACATGGTGAAACCCTGTCTCTACTAAAAATAAAAAAAATTAGCCAGGCGTGGTGGTAGGCGCCTGCAATCCCAGCTACTCAGGAGGCTGAGGCAGGAGAATCGCTTGAACCCAGGAGGCGGAGGTCACAGTGAGCCAAGATCGTGCCACTGCACTCCAGCCTGGATGACAGAGCAAGACTCCATCTCAAAAAACAAAAATAAAAATAAAAAAATAAAAAAGGATGTCTCTAAATGTCTGTTCAATATGGAACAAAGCCAGTGGGTGCTCCAGCCTTACGAAAAAGACACAGATGCTAAAGGCTTTCTTTCATCAACAGCCTCACACCCCCAAAGATCATTTCCACATAATGCAAACGAGCCCCAGTCAGGTCTGCCATGAAGATGACTCAGGCATGTGAAATCTCAAACCTCTCACTCTTAGGAAAAGCATATTTTAAATACTGGAGCTCCTGGTGTGTTGGGGATGGAGCTGGGACACAAGAGTTGATATAAATGTCTCAGCTTATGGCTTATCTGTTGTGGAACACGCCAACTTTACTACCATACTAGATTTATCTAAGTCAGTGAAAGCCTTCAACAAACCTCAGACTTCAGACCTTCTGACTTCAGTTAGAGCATGGAACAGCATCTTTGACAGAGTTGGAAAGAATTTATCCTTCTTTCCTATTCAGTTCATCTGTCACAAATTTGCAGAGCATGTGTGACACCGTTCCCAGACATCTTTTTGGTCACTGGGGCTAGAGAAGTGAGCGTGACAGACAAGGTTCCTTTACTCAAGGAGGTCATACACTTACAAAGAGCCAGCAAGCAAACAAACGAGATGGCTTCAGATTGTGGTAAATCCTATCAAGGACACAATCAGGGACCTGACACAGTGGCTCATGCCTGTAATTCCAAAACTTTGGGAGGCTGAGGTCAGAGGATCGCTTAAGGACTGGAGTTAGAGACCAACCTGGGCAACACAGTGAGACTCCATTTCTACAAAAAATTTAAAAATTAGCCAGGCGTGGTAGCACACACCTGTAGTCCTAGCTACTCAGGAGGCTGAGGTGTGAGGATCGTTTGAGCCAGGGAGTTCAAGGCTGCACTGAGCTATGATCATGCACTGCACTCTAACCTAGATGACAGAGTGGACCTTGTCTCTTAAAAGAAAAAGACATAATCAGGAACATGAGAGAGGGAGTGACTATGAGGCTATGTAGGTGGCAGAGCCACTGCCCACCAGGGCTTGAGGGAAGGGTGCTCTGAGGAGGTGATAGATACTTGAACTAAGGCCTAAGGTGGAGATGCACAAGCCATAGAAGGAGCTGCAGAAAGGGCCTTCCAACCAGAGGACATTGTGCATGCATAGGCATAGCTTTAGGAAGAGCTTGGCGTGTGCAAGTTGCAGAAAGAAGGCAGGCGCTACAGCCAGAGTGCGATGAGCGAGGAGCAGGTGGTGGAGGCAGGCAGGGCGGTGGGGGTTGTGGGAGGGCTTCTGGCCAGTTATGGAAAGCCACAGGAAGATGAGAAGCAGGATAACGATCTGAATGACATATTTCAAAGAGTACGCAGGCTGCAGCTGCGGGGTGGAGAATGGATTGTGTGAGTCTCCTCTTTCTCCCCCGTCTTTCCTTTGAGAATATCACAGGAAGGGCAGCAAAGCGCTCACCCTCACCTTTCCCTTACTCAGTGAGACTCTGGACTGTGGACTCTCATGATAGAGATAAACTTTTATTTTCTGTCTTGTTTAGGCCACTGTTAGGCTGAACCTCTTTTATCCTTTGACCTAATTATCAATGTCTGATCCTAGTTAATAAAGCTCTCACTTTTAGCTGCTCATAAAAGCTCAAACTCTGGGAACCACTAGTTCATACCCTCCTTGGCCTTTGGCATATTCTATTCCTCCTTTTGTCTCTAATGTTTTGCTTGCATCCTTGGCACAAAACACCCACCCAATACCTAGGAGGTGTTCCATAAACACTGAAGAGGAGGAGGAGGATGCAGCGCCTAGAGGTGTCTTGTTGTTTTCAGACCTTGTTAGTCATCAGGTGTCAGAAGAAATCTGTAATGTGGACTTCATCATGCAAAATGGCTCACGCCTTGCCGAGTGGCACTCAGCCCAGGAGTGCGAACGGGGAGAGGAGATTTCAGCCAGACCCTGACTCTTGTTACCTCACCTGGGGATGTGCAGCCTTGAATGCACTGACTCACCATCCGCTTCTGGGAGGCTATTATTTTTATCAGTTTGCAGCAGCAGGAAGTGAGAAGAGAGCTTCTAGGAGGGAAAGGATGCCTGAGATTCAGCTGAGGACTTCAGCTGGTTCCCTGTTGCAGCCTCCTCCAGAAGTCTCTGTTTTTCCTGTGTAGCGTTTATCTTAGGTATGACCAATTAACGTGTTTATTCAATATATCTTCCCTTATTAGACCATCGGCTCCACCCAAACCAGGAATCAACTCTGCCTTTTTCACCCTGGTACCTGGCACACAGAAGGTACTCAGTAAAATATCGGTTGAGAAATGAATAAATCAACCTTTTCATGAAGAGGAAAGAGATAAATAGAATCGGTTAAGCTTGACACAGGAAAACCCGTTTGTTTGTTTGTTTGTTTGTTTGTTTTTTGAGACAGAGTCTGGCTCTGTGGCCCAGGCTGGAGTGCAGTGGCACGATCTTGGCTCACTGCAAGCTCTGCTTCCCAGGTTCAAGTGATTCTCCTGTCTCAGCCTCCGAGTAGCTGGGATTACAGGCACGAGCCACCACGCCCAGCTAATTTTTGTATTTTTGGTAGAGACCGGGTTTCACCATGTTGGCCAGGCTGCTCTCGAATTCCTGACCTGAAGTGATCCGCCGGCCTCAGCCTCCCAAAGTGTTGGGATTACAGGCAAGAGCGACCGCGTCCGCCCCCCTTTGCAAGCTTTAAAGGAAATTATTTGTCTCATAGATAGGATTATTCCCTTTGTGGGTGAGCCCTGGCGAGAACCTCCGTCCTGAGCCAACTTCCTTAGCGGGATTCTCACCCTGCCAGGTAAGATCCCTCTGTTACCAGGAGCTCCATAAAATGCAAATAAGTTTCAATATTCACTTAGGAAAATAAAAATGAGCAGTAAGTCAGCTAGGAGCAAAAGGAACGGGACATTCAAAGGCTGTGCCCAATGTCAGACAGAAGTAGCTTTGTAATTCTCCCAGTGTAGGGCTGCAGGCACCTGGCGCTGGAGACCCGGCCTGGACGAGGCAGGGCTCAGGGCGCGGCTGGAGGGGCTCGCCCGGCGGGGCGCTGGAGCGGGAGAAGGGCGCCCTCTGCCGGGGGTGAGGAAGATCAGTCCGCACGCGCGGTGCCTTGGTCTTGCAGCCTGTTCGAACCTCGCGCGAGGACATCCACTTCTTCCACGGGGAAAGTAGGAGGGTGGGGGCAGAAAAACCAAACTCCTGCCAAGAAGGTGCTTTGCACGAGCATTTTGCGACCCCATCCCTTCAGCCCCGAACCTCCCCCTGGCATAAGTGAAAGGACTGTAGTCAATTGCAGATGCTGTCAGGAAGCCAGGTGCGTCCTCACTCCCCAGCCCTAAAATCCAAAGAAAGAAGAGATTGTTTGAGACGATCTGAAGAAAGGTCAGGTCCTAACAGATCCACGGGACCTTCTTTTTCACCTTCCTTGTCTTGGGTTCTGGAGCACGGGCGCTGAATCAGCTGAATGCGGCCTGGGCATCTGGAAGTGGTCCTGAGGGACACCTCGCGGTGCAGCCCCCGGGACGACCCAGGACACCCTGGACACCCTGGACACCCAGGCCGAGAGCCGGGACCCGCCCACGCCTCCTCACTGCTGCTCGAGGGTAGGCAGGAGCACGCGGACCCCGTGGGGGCTGAAGCGGGGCTCTGCTGCCCGCCCTGCGCAAGCTCCCGGCTCTGGTTGCTGGTCCACAAAATCGGGAGGCTGAATTAGCCGGTCGGGTGGCCCCCAGCCTTATAGCTTCGAATTCTGTGATCCTATTTTAGACCCAGACTTGTCCGCGAAGGGAAATGAAGAGGCGCGGAAGGCTTGGAGCGTGAACCAAAAAACAATGGGTGGGGATCGTCTAACCAGCTCCCTTCCCTAGAAGGGCGGAAACGGCTTTCGAAGCATCCGCGATTCTCTTTATTGAATCTTGAGTGACACCTAGTGGCCCATCCGCCTCACCGTCACGGCGATGCTGGTTTCACTGGGCTTTTCAGAAGGCGTGCTGGCCTGCCCATGGTTCTCGGCTAAAAGACTTTGGAGCGTAGGGTGCCGATGAAGTTTCCTGGGACCTTCCGGAAGCACTTGCTGTCCCGTCAACAGCCCTGTACCTGCGATGCATGCAATTCTAATGAAAATGCCCTTCTCGTCTGGAGGGCTTGCTTGAGCACATCCTGAGCTCTCAGGCAGCAAATATAGAGTCGGGTGCTATTCCGGGAGCTGGGCACACAAAGATGACCAACGCTTGGTTTCTGATCTCAAGAATCTCACAGCCCAGCTGGGGGGAAATGGACCAGTAGAAGAGTGTGTATTTGATGCTGTGGGGTAGAGGGGGTGGACCTAGCTCGGCCTAGAGACATCAAGAAAGTCACCCTTGAGCTGAGTTTTGAAGATTAGGCAGAATTCTAAGATGACCCCTGAAGATTCTCAGCCCATCCCCCTCGCAGTGTACACACACCTTTGCCCAGTTATTCAATCAAACAATTTAGGTGCTTCTGTGAAGAGAATTTGCAGATGTAATTAAAGTTCCCAAATTAATTGATCTTAAGATCTGGAGATGATCCTGGGTAGGCCTAACCTAGCCAGGTGAACCTTTGAAAGGGACTGGATTGTCCTGGCAGAAGAGATTTGACAAGCGGCAAGAACTCATCATTGGCAAGATTTTCTTTGCTGGCTTTACAGATGAAAGGGGCCACGTGGCAAGGAATGCAGGCTGACTCTAGGAGCTCAGAACGACCCCTGCCTGACAGCCAGCAGAGAAACCAGCCTTCAATCCTACCACTGCAAGAGCACTGAACTCTGCCAATAAGCAGGGAGTTTGGAAGGGATCCCCAAGCTGTATGAGACTTAGTCCCAGCTGACACCTTGATTTTATCTCTGTAGGACCCTGAAGAGAGGACCCAGTCATGCTGCATTCAGGCTTCTGACCTCCAGAACTATGAACTAATAAATGGGTGTTTTAAGCTGTTATGTTTGCAATGTGTTATGAAGTCATAGGAAACTGATACAGATGGTCATTTCAAAGAGGGGAACCACATGACAAATGCTCAGAGCCATAAAGAAGCAGAGAACTAAAGTCATTCAGAGAACTAAAGACATTCGGCATAGCTGGACCATGGGGAGCAAAGGAGACGGTAAGATGTACTCACGAGAACTTGGCTTTGGATCAGAGAGAATGTGCCCTTGGGCTAGTTAACTTAGCTCTCTGTGCCTCAGTTTTCCCAAAGGTAAAATGGAATCATAATTATAGTTAAAACATAGAGTTGTTATGTTAGTGGCCCATAGGCATATAGAAAGTTCAACACAGCCTTGGGATATAATAAGTGTTCCAAAAATGTTAGGTAGTAATAGCTTTAGTAATTAATCATGTAGTTAATGGACTGGAATAAGAAGAGGACAAGTCATGTGGTTTTTACAGAGTGGTCTGGGGACCATCTGCACTGGATGATTCCAGCGGTGAGCTTATTAAAAACCCACATGCCTGGATTGTACCTTGGTCTTACCAAATCAGACTCTCTGGGGGTAGAGCCTGAGAATCTGCACTTTCAAGAAGCTTCCAAAGTGATCTTTGTGATAACCACCAAGCAAGAAATAAGAAGACTTGTAAGTAGGTCACTGTAGTAGTCCAGGCAGGAGTGGCTGATAAAATCAAGCAAGGCACTGGCAATGAGAACAGGGAGCGGGTGTGGCACTCTTTGAGGCAGATGGAAACTACGGAACTGAGTAATCAGACAGGGGTGGTGGAAAGGAAGGAGGGCAGAGGATGAGCTGGAATCACCGTGGGGAGGTGAGTTCGGGGAGGATTGACTCAGATTGGGTCATGAGAGTCCAGACATCTGTGGGGTATCCAAGTGGAATGTCACATAGACAGTTAGAAAGACTAAAATGTAGGAGGTACATTGGTGCTAAAAATACAACGTTAAGTGTACATGAGTCCATGAAGTAATGGGATGATGCTGGCAGAATAGGAAGATGGTCAGGAACAGAACTTCAAATGTACCAGTTTTGGCCAGGTGCGGTGGCTCACGCCTGTAATCCCAGCACTTTGGGAGGCCCAGGCAGGCAATCATGTGAGGTCAGGAGTTAGAGACAAGCCTGGCAAACATGGTGAAACCCTGTCTCTACTAAATATACAAAAATTAGCTGGGCATGGTGGCACGTGCCTGTAATCCCAGCTACTTGGGAGGCTGAGGCAGGAGAATCACTTGAACCCAGGAAGTGAAGGTTGCGGTGAGCCAAGATCGTGCCACTGCACTCCAGCCTGAGTGACATAGTGAGACTCTGCCTCAGAAAAAAAGTACCAATTGTGGGCGCTGGGGGACCTAAGAGACTGAGAAAGAGCCACCAGAATGGTTGACTGGGTGTTGGGTGGACAGAAGTCCGAGGGGGTGGCCGTCAGCCAGCCTTGGAGCAGTTCAAATGGAAAAAGTCTGTGCACATGCCTGACACCTAGTCACCAGCAGATCAATGGTGGGCTCAGCAGGGCTCCTTTCAGTAGGATGAGGAAGGAGGGAGCCAGACTGCAGCCTGGGAATGTACAGAAGGCAAGGAAGTGGGGATTGTTCTTTAGCAATGTGGCTGTGAAAAAAGGAAAAAAATAGGGCAGGAATTAGAGATTCACACAGCCCTTCCTCTCCCATTGCATTGGTGCAAACCTACACACGTGACTGAAAAACATGGCTGAGCCGGGCAGCCATGTGGTGCCTGCTGAACCCAGATTGTGGCAGAAGTGGAGGGGATAGGTAGGGAGGGTGAGGCTCTCAGAGAAGGAAGGGGAGCCTAGGTGCTGAAGACCAGCGGTGCACCGATGTTTACAAGTGTAGGGCTGGACCACGAGGCCAAGAAGAAGCTGGGGTGGGGATGGGGTTTCTCTGTGGGGATGGAGGCATGGGGAGGATGGCGGTCAACGGGCCAAAGGATCACTGAGCTGTGTTGAGGGCCCAAATGGGGTTAGGGGATAAGAATCCAGTGTGGAGAAATGGTGCAACTTTGGGGAAATGTCCTCAATTATTCTTTGCCTCAGTTAGCTCATCTGTACTGTCTTAGTCCATTTTCTGTTGCTTATAACAGAATACCTGAAACTGGGTGATTTATAAATAGAAGGAATTTATTCTTACAGTTATGAAGGCTGAGAAGTCCAAGGTCGAGGGGCCACATTTGCTGAGGGCGTCCTTGCTGCTGGGAGCTCTCTGCAGAGTTCCAAGATGGTGCACAGCAGCACAGGGCCAGGGGGCTGAGCATGCTAGCTCAGGTCCCTCTTCCTCTTCTTATAAAGCCACCGTCCCACTCCCTGGATAACCCATTAATCCATTAACCCATATATAAATTAATCCATTCATGAAGCCCAAGCCCTCATGACCCAATCACCTCAAGGCTCCACCTCTCAATACTGCCATGCTGGGGATTCAGTTTCAACATAAGCTTGGAGGAGACAAATATTCACATCATAGTATGTGCCATGGAAATAATAGTAATGCCTCCCTAAGAACACCTTATAGAGGATTCCCTGAGATGACATTCAAGTGACCGGCACATAGTAGCATTAACAAATGACAGCTACCAAGAGGATTATGGTTACTATTTTATAAGTCAGATAATGACATGTCTCTGTTTAGAACCCCCTGGTCGCCTTCCATCTCACCCAAAGTGGAAGCCGAAGTCCTTAACTAGGACCATGTGGTCATGCACAATCTGGCCTGACACTTACCTTTCCCTTGGTTCCCTCTGCTCCAGCCACCCTGACCTCAATGCTATTCACCAAACACATTCCTCTACCAGCAACACTCTTATCCTAGTTGGCCTTGTGGGTCATTCCCTCCCTTCCTTCAGGACTTTGCTCAGTGTCACCTCCTCAGTGAGACCTTCCTTGATCTCCTCAGTTTCAATTTGAACCACCCTTGCCCCATCCCCAAGGGCTTCTTGCCCTCTTCCCTGCTTTCTTGCACTTCCCACTGTGGCCATGCTCAGGGTTTTATTTATGTGCTTTCTATTGTCTGCCGTGCCTAATTAGAATGCTTTTCTTTTGCTCACTGAAGTATCCCTAAGCCCTGCAACAGTGCAAATAGTTGGCACTCGGCAAATCTCGATCATGCACTAAAGTCTTGGCTCAAATGTCCCCTCTTTTAGAGAGCCTCACCTGCCATTCTATCTAAAGTAGCCCCCCAATCACCCCTTATCCCCTGACTGCTTTGATTTTCTTCATGGAACCATACCTGGTATTATATATTTGTCTATTCACTCATTGCTTGTCTCCCCAGCTAGATGCAGCAAGGTCTTAGTTGAATTGACTGGTACATCCCAAGTGCCTGTAATAACACCAGGTACAAACTAGGCACATGATACATATTTGCTGAATGATGGTGGTATCGTTGTTATTTACTGTTATTATTAATAGTGGTATTAGAAAGCAGAAGATAAGGAGTAGTTGATCCCTGAGAGTGGAGTAGGGCAGGGGAGGACTATCCTAAATGGATAGTGGAAGCTACAAGAAGGAACAAGAATACCTGCTGGCTACTCCCAGGCCAATCCCCTCTTAGGCACCAAAAGCATAGACTACACCACAGGCAACAACCAGGGTGTTTCTTGCTCTATAAATATTTGCAAGGTGAATGCACAGAAACTTCTTGGAACTTTTGAAGGAGCATCATTAACACCAATATCTGATCAATTTGTTCTAAGAGGTATGGGGCAGCACTCCATTATTAAATTGCAATTTAGTAGCTAAGGCAAGCTCTGGGATCATGTGCTCAAGAGAGAAGAAATGAAGCAGAGCACAGACAACAGAATCACGCTGCCTGGTTCAAATCTTAGCTTTGCCACCTATTTGAATAATGTCTCTGTGCCTCAGTTTCCTCATCTGTAAAATGAGGATGAATAATACCTCATACAGTTGCTATAAGGACACACACACACACAACAGTGCCTGGCATGTGTCAAGGACTGTGAAAGCTCTGGAATTTTTATCCTACTTGCAAGCTCGCAAGTTAGCCTGCCACATTTCATAGAAGCTGGTGGGTGACGTGAGACCCCTGGTCAGAAGCAAAGGACTTTATTACTCACAGCAACAGCTATAGCAGTAGCATCAGTATTTGTGCTAGTTCCCTGAGCTCAGTTCCTATGGAGTGACACAAAGGCATCACCGGCACATACAGTGGGCTGCATTACAGGAGGGGAACCCTGAGCTTAGAGAACCCAAATCTTTTATAATGGGCAGTCAGCATGCCTGCTCTTTGCTCCAGGAGAAGATACTATCTCTGTCTTCTAAGGCTGTTTGCTAATAAGCATCTTTGAAAAGATAACCCACAACAAAAAGTCAGTGCTCCTGCTCATAAGATGTGCAGAAGTAAGAGCGATCCGTGGAGAATTGCCTCTCAAGAGCATGTGGTAAGAACTTTATTATTACTATGGGAAAATGAACTTATACTACATAACTTTCTTCTGGTGACTTTAAAATTGATAGAAATTAGAGCAAATCAGGACATGGACTAAGGAAAAGTTACAAAGACTAATGGCAAGTCAAGGAATCCGAGTTAACATTCGGTGACTAGACTCCCAAATGCGTTTCACAAATGGGTTTCCAGAAAAACTGCTGTCAGCAATTGATTGTGATATGGGGCAAATGAGTTTGCAATTTCATGATGAATAATCTATCACTCCCTATCTTAGAAACTCAGGCATTCCATCTTTTTTGACAGGCAGCATGTATATTCTATTGCCAGGAAGGAAGGCAGTTGTCAAATTCCTAATTTTTCTCTTTGAAAAATTAACATTTAACTCAAACGTAAGATCTAGAGGAACACATAAGATCTTAATTACAAAGTGCAATCCAAGATTTGCACTAATTAATATGCTGATGAAAAATTCATTGAAATTCAGAGAAGAACCAAGAGGGAAAAAATTGGCCAGTGTTAACACTGAGTTCTATAAAATGTGTAAGTCTATCCAAATAGGCAGCTGCCTTTCTCGGATAATTATCATTTCATCATTCATGATTATTTTATTTGTAAGACTTTAGTTGCACATCCAAAACTATGCAGACAGAATATTTCCTTAAACTTTCTGATTTCTAACAGTTAAATTATACTAGTATATGAGGGACTTTTAAAGACCAGCTTAGTTACCTGAAATATGGGGGTTTTTTGTTTTTTTGTTTTTGTTTTTGTTTTTTTTTTAAGTGAGAGAAGCCATGTGCTTGATTCCTGGTTTTGGCATTCACTAACTGTGACCTCCCGCAGGTTGCTTAAGCCCTTTGAGCCTGTTCCTCCTATCCAAATGGGGACAATAATAATGCATGAGGTTGTGGTAAGGAATGGCTATTGTTGTGAATCAGTTGCATGCCTTCCTTTTAGTCTTCATCACACCAGACCTGGTACTAGATGGGGACTGAAATATAGTAACTGATTTGTTATTGATACAGCTGGGTTGATGAATAAGCTAGTAAGTACTCAGGCTGAAAACTGGGCTTCCACCCTCCCCAAGCCCCCAGGTCCTGAGACCTGGGAGGATAGAGATTGTATCTGCAGATCCACACCCAGGCAGCCTCAGGGAGGATGCCAGGCTGCCCACTGCCCCCCACCCCCGACCCCCATCCTCATCCATGAGGATTAGGAAAGAGAGCAGCCAGTGTAGTGAGAGGGTAAGGAAGGTCTCCTGGGTATCTGGAACTAGGACTGGAGAGGGGCCTCAGCTTGAGGCAGGCAGCATGGGTCCCTTTATGAGACCAGAGCTTTGCAGCGTGGAGGAGGAGGGAGAAGGGAGGGGTAAGGTTGTGTTCCCCTGGCCCCACCAGACAATCTCACCAATCTCATAACTGCTTCCACTCAATGGAGAGCGATCATGGGGGCAGATGTTCCTTCTGACTCATGAAGTTTCCATCTCCTGAGCAACTGAGTAAAAGCGCCCCTCCCAGGCCTCTCTGAGTCATCCAGCCCCCACGTGGCCAGTCCCCCACATGGCCAGCCCCCTCCACGGCCATCAGAGTCTCTTTCCAGAGTGAAAATTTAGTCAGTATCTCAGAGGATAAAGTCCAGCCAGACACATGAGGACTTCAGTGGTATGAACCCTGTTTCATTTCCCACGTCACATGCCCTTTGCCACACCACCCTGCCACTCCCAGCCCACCACTCTCAACCCCAAACAAGCCGTGCACCTGTTGTGGCCCAGCCCTCCCACCTAACATACCCTTGCCCCCTGTCCATTGGTCCACAGTACTCATCCTTCATGAACTACTTTAAACACCTCCTCTGCCTTGAACTGTCTCTGACTCTCACCTCCCAAGGCTGGTTTGCTCCTTATCTCCTGGGGGTCCCACACCTTGGTTTCTCTAAGCACGCACGCAGATGCCAGCTGTCTGGATTCAAATCCAGTACCTGTGTGACCTTAGGCAAGTTACATAAGTTCGCTGCTCAGTTTCCTTATTGGCAAAATAGGGATGACAATTGTACTGCATGGTGGTTATAAAGATTATACAAAAATACAAAAAACACTTATAAATTGTACTTGGCCCATACTAAGCACTTTATAAGCGTTGGCTGTTATAATCATTATTACTATTATTTACCAAGTTGGTGATTTTTCTACATCCTAATACCACTAGGTCTATTATTATTTCCTTTAAATCAACTTTATCAGTCTCCTGAGCAGTGTCTGTGGAATTACAGGTTGGAAGGGATAGTTATGTTTATATAATACAATTGAAAATAAAATACATAATGATTTAAATAAAACCTGATCATCTGAACTCCACGCCCGCCGTTCCTCACCATTATTTCCTCTCCAAGTACACCGGGAATAACACTGTTTTATGATGTTACTCAATCATTCATTCATCTGTCTGCAGAGATTATAAGTTGCATGAAGGCAGGCACCGAAGCTGGATTCATGTTTTACTCTGCAAACAGTTTACAAGTGCCCTAGACCAGGGGTCCCCAACCCCCAAGCCACGAACTGGTACCAGTTTGTGGCCTATTAGGATCTGGGCCACCAGCAGGCGGTGAGTGCAGGTGAGCAAGCATTACTGCCTGAGCTCCGCCTCCTGTCAGCTCAGCTGCAGCATTAGATTCTCACAAAAGCCCGAACCCTATTGTGAACTGCTGATGCGAGGGATCTAGGTTATGCGCTCCTTATGAGAATCTAATCCCTGATCCCCAAATCATCCCTCCCGACTCCCTCCCATTTGTGGAAAAACTGTCTTCCACAAAACCAGTCCCTGGTGCCAAAAAAGGTTGGGGACTGCTGCCCTAGACTCGTCACACACGCTTGATAACTGTTAGTGAAATGGATGAATGAATGCAGTTGACTGAAATGCATCAACTGATGTTCAGGAACCCAGAACATTCTACATGAAGGTCAGAAAATAATAAATTAAGAATTTCACAATAAACAAATTGTGAAATAAAATAGCAAATTAAGAACGGACGTGAGCTGCCACCTCCCTCTTCCCACCTGTACCCCGGGACAATGAGAATGGCCTCCACTCTTAATTTTCCTCTCTTCCCTTTCAACAGACTAACCTCCTGGCTTTTTGACAGCAAGTTGAAGGGGTTTTTAAGATGGAATGAATCTTGCAGTTGTAATGAATCAGAAATTGGGGGAAAACATCAGATTTTAGCAGCAGCAGAATTCTCTCACTGTTTAAAAAGCACTTGTCCCTTAGGCTTGGAGAGATTAGAAGCTAATAATTTGTATTGAAATCCAGCAAAGCTCTTCACAGAGTCCTATTGCTTGTCCCTGTCTTTTGAATGACAAGTAGGAAAATAGAGACTGATTTGAAAACCTAGGGCTATTTAACTAAAGCAGCAATAATTCTTCCATTAGAAACTAAGAAATGAGAAGGTAGGAATGGCCCAGACACCACAACAAAACAGATGTTGCTGGTGGAAGGCCACACCTTTTTCCAAATGAAACTCACCAGCCCTTCAAGTTGAGTTAGCTTTCTAACCCTCTGGACCTCAAAGTGGCAAAAATATTTTTACATGCTAGTTAAAATGCCCTCAAGCTACAGTCATTAGATTTGCTGGACAGTGGCATCATTCTGATGTTATCGGCTCTGTCTTCCCGTTTTCATGAATAATGTATAAGAAGCAGCTATTAGAAATGGATTCTTCCATGGCTGACAGTATCACCACCAGACAAGCCCCTGGATTCTCAGTCATTTCATCTGTAGCTCTAACAGATCTCCCTTCTTTTCCCTCTCACTGCTTTCTGCCTGCCTTTCATGGATGGAGACTCTTCCAAAGACTCCTTATCCCTGCTTCTCCCTCAATACTAGGAAACTGGCAGGGAGGCAAAAGGAGGAGCCCATTACCTTCCTGCCTTTTAACTGTTGCTCAGTGTCAGAGGAGGAGTGCTGGGCCTCCTGATGAAACCAAGTTCATCGTCTTGCCTCCTGGCCCTGCCAGCCTTGCTCTGGAGCCAAATGCCTGCCAAAAGATGCTTTTCCTTGGGCACAGGCAAGAGCTGGAAGGGAAGCTGTGCTGAGCCTCCTCTACCTGCTCTTTTTTTTTCTGTATCTTTCTATGTTTGCATCTATCATACCTTTACAAAGAAAACAAAGATCTTTAAGTCCCCTGCTTTCATTCATTCATTCATTCATTCATTCATTTAACATATTTTTCATTGTTTGTGAAGCTTCCATTGACAGAGGTGGGCAGTAATCAAGGATTATTGAGATAAATATAAAATGTTTTACAAAGAAGAGCAGCAATTTTGAGAGTGTCTAATAGAGGGAAGTAGCTGAGTTAGGGAAGTCAGTAAGGGGATATGAAGATTGAGCTAAAGAGCTCAAAGACAAGGAACCTAAAATCAGTGAATGGGATCCAGGCAGCAGAAACTGCATGTGCGAAGTCTCTGCAGCAGGAGTGGGTGTGGCCTATGTTAGAGAAACTGGAAGAAGACCTGGGGCCAGAGCACAGTTTGCTAACAGGATTCAGGGCTTCTCCAGCCCCTTTGACACTTGCCCACTTTTTTCTTCCTGTTACTGCCCCCTCCCATAGAGTCTGAGGACGGTGGTCTTGGCTCTCCTCCCAGCTTCTGATGGGTCCTACCCTCCCGGGCTCCTCTACTATTGCCTTTCAACTATTGCTGCTAATGATATGAACAGGAGACAGGGAAATACTGGGTAGAAGAGGATGGTTCCCAGGCAAAGGCCCCGCCCTCAAGCCTGGAGACTCACAGCCCTAAGTGGGAACAGGCATTTCTGTTTTCACACCCAAAAAGTTGCCTTTTGGCCTGCCAGATCCACCTATCCTATACCTGTATAAACCCTGAACCCCAGGCTCCAGAAGCATATGAGCAGAAGAGGAAATGAGGAGATGAGGGGACAAGTGGACAAACAGCACAACAGCACAGCAGAGAAAGAGAAAAGAGAAGGAGCATCTGAACGCCAAGAGGAGTCCAGCTGGGGGCGGTCAAAGAGGAGTTTGGCCGCTAGACCTCCAAAACTCCAAGGGAAGGCTATCTTCCCATTCCATCCCCCTTCCAGCTCCCCATCCATCCCACTAAGAGCCACCTCCACCACTCAATAAAACCCCGCATTCATCCTTCAAGTCCGTGTGTGACTTGATTCTTTCAGGACGCTGGGCAAGAGCTCTGGATATATACAGAAAGCTGTCACACTGGCCCACTGCCCTTGTGAAAAGGCAGAAGGCCCACTGAGCTGGTAAATACATAAGCTGTCTGTGAATGGCAAGGCTGAAAGAGCACAGTGTAACACGTGCCCACTTGGGCTTTGGGAGTCGCAGACACCCACCCCTAGATGCTGCCATGGGGCGGGAACCCGAAAGCACTCACTCTGGTTCCTGCACCTGACCTGTCAGGGGTTCGAGCAGCAGCGACCAAACAGGTGACCTCTGTCGCATGTCCTGCAAAGGGGATCAGGGAACTCTCCCGTTTCACTAACTTAGAACTTTCCTCTGTCTCTGTGCCCTGGTGTCAAACACAGAGCCTGCCACCGTGGGTGCCTGTAGTTCCAGCTACTTAGGAGGCTGAGGCAGGAGAATAGCGTGAACCCAGGAGGCGGAGCTTGCAGTGAGCTGAGGTTGCACCACTGCACTGCAGCCTGGGTGACAGAGCGAAACTCTGTCTCGGGGAAAAAAGAAAAGAAAAGAAAAGCACAATGCATGCAATGAGCCTCTATTGTTCCGGGTCCCAGTTGAAAACTTGAAAACATTCTGACCACTCAATATGAGAATGATTAAATAAACAATGGTACACACAATATTGGAGTGTCATATGATCATTAAAGGTAATGTTTCTTCAGACTAATGATCTTGGAAATGTCTCTTGGTGGAACATTAATTTTCAAGACAGAATACAAAATTCATCATAAAGCATGATCTAAATTGTATTTGGAAAAATGTATATGCAAATAAAAAGACTAGAAGCAAATTCAGCAAAATATTAACAGGCTATCTATTAGTGGCACTATTGCTGGTTTTTATCTCCTTTTTATACTACTCCATTTCTCCCAAAATGTGCTAACTTAATAAATAATTTAAGTGAGTTGATTTAATTGAACTAAAATTCAAGCACTTATTAAACACGAGGCATCACTAGCAATTTAATGATGGGCAGAACATAAACGTGGTCTCTGTCCTGAAAAATTGTTTTTATAGTTTTTTTTTTAAATTTTACTTTAAAAAGCAAGATAGGCCAAACATGGCGGCTCATGCCTATAATCCCAGTACTTTGGGAAGTCAAGACAGGAGGATCGCTTGAGCCCAGGAGTTTGAGACCAGCCTGGGCAATATAATGGGACCCCATCTCTACAAAAAATTTAAAAATCAGCTGATCGTAGTGGTGCACACCTGTAATTCCACCTACAGGAGCCTGAGGAAGAAGGCTCGCTTAAGCCCAGGAGGTCAAGGATGTAGTGAGTCATGGTCATGACACTGCACTCTAACCTGGGTGACAGAGCAAGACCTTGCCTCAAAAAAAAAAAAAAAAAAAGGAAGAAAGAATATTCATCATCACTCCTAGAAAACAAATTCTCTCCAGGGTAAGTGTTATCTAGCAGCGTCTTGAAGTGTCACCCACCAAGAGTACCAAGGACTGAACCTTGGTGAATGTCCATTTGTCATTTCTGCCCAAAGCAAGATGCTTGGAACAAGGACTCTTTCCTGGCAGTGACACAAAACTCCCCGCTCTACCACCCTAGAGTAGAAAGCCCCTTGTACCACTTACTTTATAAAATTCAGTCCCCACCTCCCTGCATGCTTACAGTCACTTCATTTCCAGCCCTCCTGAGGGTACATTTCCAAGGATTCTCTCCTGGGAATCAGCCTTCAAGGATTCTAGATGGAAATGCCACGTCCCCACGTGTCTGAAACTTGGCTCCACTACTTGCTGGTTCCTAACGGTACCCAAAGCAGGAGTTTGTGATTAAACCACAGACAAAGCACCAGCCTGAGCAAGCAAGAAAACAGCAGGAGCCCAAGGACTCCTGTGAGCTAAGAGTCTGATGGTTTTCATGCAAATTGTTTTTAGTAGTAGGGAGATAACAGGCAAATAAAATATGGGAGATAGGCAGAGATTTTTCTAAACCAGTGATGGGGGCGGGGGAGTTCTTTCATAAAATCCCAGTGCATCCTTAACAGTAAAGCTATAAAGTTCCCATATTTCTTATCGAGTGGAATAAAATTTGTCTCTCTCAGGGATCCTCCTGCTCCTCCTCTCCCAGCCTAGCACAATCAATGTCTCTTTCCCCTTCTCTAACGTTCCATCTTAGCCTTGACTGAAGAGTCTTTTTCAGAATGGCAATGCTTTCCAATGATGAAAAGCATATTATCAGAGGACGATTTTAAGTGGTAGACAAAATGAGCAATATTTATTCTACTAGCTGTCTATTTATTTTAATGCACTTAGAGTAAAATCTGTCTAGCACATGAAACCTATGATTTTATTATAGGCTATGTTGGCCTAAGTTTTTAAAAGGGAATTAATATAGAGCCAATAAAGAGAAAAGCATTCAGTGAATCATGATATGCATGGTAGGCAAACGCAGGAAGAAACTGTGATGTGGGGCCTACGTGCATGATATTTGGAAAATACGAGTAGGAATTCTGCAACAAATCCAACTCAGCTCCTGGGGAGGGGCCACAAAAATCAGACGGTTCATTGCCGTAACTCAGATGTAGACATTTCCATTTAATTCTGGATCATAAATAAGTCTTTACAGTTCTGAATCCTGGAACCTCCTGAAGTCTAAGATCTGAGTCTTCAAGCTGATAGACTTGGCCTTCAGTAGGGAGAGGTGTTTTGTTTTTAAAATCAGGAAATTTCACATAAAAATGCAGGTTTCTTGTTCTCTTTAAAAATTAAAGATCTGGAAAACCGGGTCTACATCTCTGAGTGGCAATAATCAGGTGACCATAAGCCACAGGAGTGGCTATTATCTGATACTAGGACCTACCCCTGCACTCCTGTGACTGGGGCTGCCTCAGAGACAAAGGCTAGAAAGGGAGTTCCTCCTTTTCTAAGATTTCTCTGCCCTTTCTCCACCTTCTCTTTCTTCTCTCTTCCCTCGCAATCCCTCCTCACCCATACACGTACACGCACACTCATAAACATGTACATACCTCCAGGAGATGAAGACAACTTCTGTCTTCCCTCACTAATTCCCATGGTTTATGTGCCTCAATGCTGGCCCAAATTCACTGGTAATTCCCATGTTGATTATTTATTGCCTTTTAGCTATTTGATTGGCAGAAGATCATATGAAATCATCTAATATGTTATTTTTGTGTAGGATGTGAGATAGGGGGAAAAATTCCATTTTCTCCCTAATTAGTAGATCATGAAGAATAGTAGAGTAGAGAGACAACAGACACATGAATTGGAGCCAGAGTATTTGAATTTGAATCCTAGTTTTCTCATTTCCTGGCTGTGTGATGATCATGGGCAAGTCATTTGACTTCTCTGCACCGTAATTTCCTCATCTGTAATACCAGGATGACAGTATCTATTGAATAGGATTGTTGTAAAGATGAAATTAGTGAACATATATAAAGTGCTAGACTAGAGCCCGGTATACAATAAGGGTTATACAAAGGTGGCCTATTATATGAGTAATGGTCTTCCATTCTATGAACTACCACTGGAATAAACTTTAACTCTGCACCTTGAAATTATTACATCAGTTGTATTCCTTTACCCAACACCATTTATTTAAGGCAAATAAGTGCCAGGCACTGCATAGGGCACTAGAAATATAAAAAATAAGAAAATGTTCTTGCTCTTCAAAGAGCTTCCTATCCCTAATGTATTTGGAATTTGAAGTTAAATTAAGAAAATAACACACAATCATGTTTAAATAAAGATTAAACTAAGCAAAAATCATATGATGATTGTTTAATACGAGTCTTAAGGAGAACAAATAATTAGAATCATTTCAGATTCAGTCCACAAAAATCAATCTTCCAAAAAGTAGGGACAAGATGAGATTTTGAAAGATACCCTCAGGGCCGGGCACAGTGGCTCACGCCTGTAATCCCAGCACTTTGGGAGACTGAAGCAGGTGGATCACTTGAGGTCAGGAGTTGGAGACCAGCCTGGCCAATATGGCGAAAACCTGTCTTTACTGAAAATACAAACATTAGCCAGGTGTGGTGGCACGTGCCTGTAGTCCCAGTTACTCTGGAGGCTGAGGCAGGAGAATCACTTGAACCTGTGAGGCGGAGGTTGCAGTGAGCCAAGATTGCACCACTGCACTCCAGCCTGGGTGACAGAGCAAGACTCCATCTCAAAAAAAAAAAAAAAAAGAAAAGAAAAGAAAAAGAAAGAAAGATATCCTTTAGTAAGAAGCAAAGTCTTGAACTTTGGACCAGAAGAATAAGGGCCAGAGGAAACTGATGGAGGCTTTCAGAAGATCACCAAGGGTCTGTGAGTTACACACACACACACACACACACACACACACACACACCATGTTTGAGGGAACACAGGCTAGTAATGGGAACCAGGAGAATCCATTCAGGGTTCAGAACAGGTAGAATCTGTTCAGTTCTTTTTGTGATTTTAAGTTTCTTGAATTCGCTCTGCTTAAGTATTCCTAGTACAACAGAGGCATACTATACTTTTGAAATTTACTTTTAAGTACTTTTGCAAAATCAGGATGATAACGATGCATCTGCCTGGTGGTCAGTTAACACACTATCAGGAATTCACATTCAAGGAGGTCAGCGAGGTCAGCTAGCATTATATCAGAGAGGGCCAACTCCAGAGGCAGTACTTTTCAATCAACAACTGATGATTTCTTAATTAGCACTCATCACTTTCTGGCCGTTGGCTTAGGGAATTTTTAATTGCATGATGCCTGCTAAGGGACAGAGAATCCTGCCTCAGAAGGTTTGCGATCTTTTATCCAGGTGGATCAGAGCACAGCAAAGGACAGAGAGCTGGAACTTCATCAGACCTACAAAACTGCTTGTTGCCTGTGTGGCTAAAGAATTTCTCTCTAGGCCGGGCACTATGGCTCACACCTGTAATCCCAAGCACTTTGGCAGGCCAAGGCAGGAAGGTCACCAGAACCCAGGAGTTCGAGACCAGCCTAGACAAGATGGTGAGCCCTCGTCTCTATTAAAAATAAATAAATAAATTAGCCAGGTGTGCTGGTAGCACATGCCTGTAGTCCCAGCTACTCAATAGGCTGAGATGGGAGGATCGCTTGAGCCCAGAAGGTCAAGGCTGCAGTGAGCCGTGATTGCACCACTGCACTTCAAGCTGGGCAACAGAGCAAGACCCTGCCTCTAAAAAAGTAAAATATATAAATAAAATAAAATTTTTTAAAAAGAATTTATGCTTACAACTAGAAGCATGGCAGAATTTGGCTTGAACCTTACCTTTTGTTCAATGAGGACATGAGGTTTAGGGGAAGAGATAACCCTCATCCCTCATGTTCTCTACTGCCTGCTGTTACCCTCCAAAAAGAACCTACGTGTAGTGCATGACCAAAGTGACCCATGTCAATTCCCAAGAAGGGGTGGGACTCCAGGCGCCAGGGCCCTGCCCATTTCTGGCCTTTGATTCTCTGGTGATTCTCTTCCCACCCAGCCCTAATGGGCAGGACCTGCAAGGCTCACAGATGTGACAGTAGCTGGCAGAGGTTGGCTGGCATCCTTAGAGAGCTGATATGTGAAGGGAAGCTCTCAATGGTCTTAATTTGGTTTTGAAATATTTTCCATTTGACCCTGGCTATTCCCAAGGTCCGGGGAAGGTCCTCACTAACCTAAGTGCCACCAGAAAGTCCTGTCCAGGGCTCCCATAGTCCAGCTTTACACAGAGAGGGACTCCCACCACTGCCTCTTGGTTCACCTCCTACTGAATCAGAGAGAGGGGTTGGGGCTGGGAGAAGTGGCAGGCTGGGAAGAAGAGTGAAACAGCCTAGCTGGCCCAGCCTCCAGGTGCACTGGCATTAGAACACTGAGAACAGACTGAAATCTGGATACATTGTGGGAAAAAATCAGCCTGTCCACCCTTAATAAGGCCTGGAGCAGTGCTGCCCAAAACAGCTTTCTAGCACCGGCAACCATGGTAGCCACTAGTCACAGGCAGCCAGTGAGCATTCAAAATGTGACTGGTAGGAAGCAGGAGATGAATTTCAAATTGCATTTCATTTTAATTTATTTACATTAAATAGCCACATGAGACTAATGGTTACTGTAGTGGACAGCACAGGCCTAGAGCCTGGCTTTTCTCCCTATTCTCTCAGGACCTTCTCTTAATTCTCAAATAGTCCGTTCTATGGCCAGCCCCCTCTTTTTCTTTCTTCCTTTTTCCTCCCTCCCTCCCTCCCTCCCTTCCTTCCTTTCCTTCCTTCCTGGTCTCATTCCGTCAACCAGGCTGGAGTACAGTGGCATGATCATAGTTCATTGCAGCCGCAGCCTGCTGAGCTCAGGTGATCTTCCCACCTCAGCCACCTGAGTAGCTAGGACTATAAGTGCATGCCACTATGCCAAGCTAATATTTTTTTAAGGGGGTGTTAAATTATTATTTATTTATTTTATTATTTTTTAAATTTTACAATTTTAATTGTTGTGGGTACATAGTAGGTGTATATATTTGTGGGGTACATAAGATGTTTTGATACAGGCATGCAATGGGAAATAAGCACATCATGCAGAAGGGGGTATCCATCCCCTCAATCATTTATTCTTTGAGTTACAAACAATCCAATTACACTCTTTACGGTGTTTTTTTTTTTTTCTTTTTGAGACAGGGTCTCACTATGGCACCCAGGCTGGAATGCAGTGGTATGATCACAGCTTATTGCAGCCTCGACCTCCCAGGTTCAAGTGATCCTCCCAGCCCAGCCTCCCAAGTAGCTGGGACCACAGGCATGCACCATCATGCCCGGCTAATTTTTTTATGATTTGTGGGGATCTCACTATGTTGCCCAGGCTGGTCTCAAACTCCTAGGCTCAAGTGAGCTGCCCACCTCCGACCTCCCAAAGTGCTAAGATTACAGGCATGAACCACCACATCTGGCCTCCAATATCTTGTTTTGACCTTAGATCCCTCTCCTTTCTTCAACTCTCTGGAATATTCTGGCTTGGGTGGTTCAAAAGAAGGAAACCAATGCTTCCCAAATGTTTCCCCATTAGAGATGGATAAAGTGTCAGGCTACCAGAAAATAGGGTCTTTAATGGCACATGGGAGTCATAGAATGCACATGCCCCATTTGGAACTAATACATCCAATGGTGCTATTCAAAGTAATCATAATAATGTGCTATACTCTGCTTGTATATGTGTATGGATACATCATCACAATGCATCCTGCATGTAAAGTGACCGGAACAACAATTAGGCTTCTCATTTTAAAAATTAGAAAACCAAAGTCAGCTTAGCTAAGAGAATCACATTGCAGATAATGATAGAGCTGGGACCAGCACCAGGTGTTCTGACTCCTAACTTCTCTTGGAATATTTGAGTCAGCCCTGATTAGAGAAGAAACATGACAGAAGAAGAGAGCAGACCATAATCACCCCCAATAGACTGGCCATGTCTCCAACAAGGCTCTTTTCTTTCAGGCCTGCAGGGAGTCATTTTGTACACAGTGCACAGCATATTATTTCCTAGCATTGTGGAAGCTGGAATGTGTTAGGGAATTTAAGCAGTATCTGTCTTCCAGAGCTCTAATGGGCCATCCTGATCGTTCTTGCATTCTAACTGTATTTGTAGGGATCTTATCAACGAATTTCCTTCTCATAGGATCTCTGCTCTTTGCACAATTCAGAGGTGTCTTCTTATTTAATACAATATACAACACCATGGTATTACTCTAATGGATGTTCTAAACTGAACAAGCCAAGCTTTTTTTTCCTTATGCTTCAGTTAAATTTGTTTTCATATCATTTTTCTGGATCCTCTGATTAAGCATGTCAGATTTTTTTAATTTTATTATTTTTCTGGATCCTCTGATTTTTTTATTTTATTATTTTTCTGGATCCTCCAATTATTTATTATTTTTCTGGATCCTCCGATTTATTTATTTATTTATTTATTATTTTTCTGGATCCTCCAATTAAGCACGTGTCAGACTAAGGGGTCCAAATTTTGGCTGTATATCTGAATTCATGGCACTTTATTTTAATGTAATTAAATTAATTAATTTTGAGACAGGGTCTCACTCTGTCGCCCAGCCTGGAGTGCAGTGGTTCACTGCAACTTCCACCTCCTGGGTTCAAGCAGTCCTCCCACCTCAGCCTCTTGAGTAGCTGGGACTACAGGCGTGGACCACCATGCCCACCCTTTTTTTTTTTTTTTTTTTCCTTGGTGGAGACAGGGTTTCATCATCTTGCCCAGGCTGGTGTCGAACTCCTGGGCTCAAGTGATCCTCCTGCCTCAGCCTCCCAAAGTGCTGGTCTCATAGGCATGAGCCACCACGCCTAGCCCTCATGGCACTTTAAAGAAAATACACATTCCAGGCTGGGTGCGGTGGCTCACGCCTGTAATCCCAGCACTTTGGGAGGCCCAGGCAGGTGATCACTTGAGGTTAGGAGTTACAGACCAGCCTGGCCAACATGGTGAAACCCCGTCTCTACTAAAAATACAAAAACTAGCCAGTTGTGGTGGTGGGCACCTGTAATCTCAGCTACTTGGGAGGCTAAGGTAGGAGAATTGCTTGAACCTGGGAAGTGGAGGTTGCAATGAATCAAGATCACGCCACTGCACTCCAGCCTGGGCGACAAGAGTGAGACTCCATCTCAAAAAAAAAAAGAAAGAAAGAAAAATACACATTCCAGGTTCTATCTCTTGAGGAGCTGGGATTGAGCCTGGGCATCCACATTTTTCAAAGTTCCCCCACATGATCTCAGTGCTAAAAACTGAGACTCATGGAATGTTGGACCAAAGAATCAAGAGACCCATATTCTGGTTCCTGACTTTCCTACACACTGGCCTCTCTGAGCCTGTTTCCCATTCTGTAAAATGGAGAGATAGGAGCCCTGTCCTACTTTTGTGAGTTTAAAGCATAAGAACTTGTGTGAAAGAATTTTGACAAGGAACTTTTGTATTTATGGTGGGAGGGATCTGGTGACCAGCAGTCAGACACCACCTGCAAACAGGCCTGCGATCTGGTCACTTGGTGACATTTCCACTGGGTTCTCGTGGTCTGCTTGCCTCCATCACACTATGCTAAAAATGGGTAGAGAGTGGGTGGAGCTCAGAATACTTTAACTCCAGTGTAATAGTGTGGGCAGCTTCCACTTAGTTAGGTACTTCTGGACAAATGGAAGCTTGTCTGCATGCAGCTATATTTATTTCCAAAATAACTGGTGAGATACCCCCACGAATTTGAGAACATTCATTTCTGTTTTACCTGTTTTGAGACCTTTAGACCATGAGATTAGAACGCCCCAGGCATGATCAGGAGGCAGAAGTACACAGGTCGTCTATTCCCAACCTCAGAGCTGATGCTCAGGGTAAATCCACAGCCATTCGATGTAGGGACGTTTTAATTTGGGAAATCAAATGCAGGAAAGATATTACCTTACTGTTCATTTCAAGCATCTCACACACACCATTAAATGCCCCAAACTAGGCTACTATTGAACCTTAACCACATACAAATTACGTATTTACCCAAATACTCTAACATGCTAACAATCCTTTCTTTTGAAACTTCCTGGTTTAACCGATCTGACAAACAGATCCTTCATTTCTGTTCGCTCTATTTTATTCATTCAGTGTATCACAAGTTGACCATAGCAAGACGAGAAATGCATTAAGGATCATGATTTTGCAAAGCATTAATAAGGATACTGGGACAAGGAAGTTAAGCTTTTGATGGCCTTGATACAACTATTTCAAACTTCTCTATTTCAAACTGACTTCTGCACAAGGGCACCACATCTAAAGGACCATCATTGATAGTAAACACAGTTAGTTTGTATATTTATTATGATAGTTTTCTGGCAGATGATAGTCATGTGTCTTATTCTAATAAATCAGCCCATGACAACAATTTTCCAACAGAAGTAAGCCAAGTGTCTTGAAGAAGGGGTGGGAGTGTGCCTTTTGTAATTCACACACAGGGGCAGTTTGGGCTACATGCAACCCAGAAAGGATTGTTAGCATGTTGGGGTATTTGGGTAAATATGTCATTTGTATGTGGTTAAGGTTCAATAGTAGCCTGGTTTGGGGCATTTAATGGTGTGTGTGAGATGCTTGAAATGAACAGTAAGGTAATATCTTTCCTGCATTTGATTTCCCAAATTAAAATGTCCCTACATCAAATGGCTGTGGATTTACCCTGTCCACTGATCTCTTCCCTGGTCATCCCTGATCTGGGGACAAGTCTTCTGTCAAAAAGGGGCTGAGTGAGCAGCAGCTGGGCTTTCCCTCTCCGCCCTCTCCAGAGCAGGCTCCTTGTGGTCTGCCAGCCACAACATAAAAGTGGAAGTAGTAGTCTGGCTTCTTCTTGGTCAGTTTAAGGTGAGGAGTTTTGTGGGGTTTTTTTGTTTTTTGTTTTTTGTTTTTTGTTTTTTTTGAGTTTTTTTTTTTTTTTTGGAGGTGGAGTCTCACTCTGTCGCCCAGGCTGGAGTGCAGTGGCGCGATCTCGGCTCACTGCATCCTCCACCTCCCGGGTTCAAGCGATTCTCATGCCTCAGCCTCAGGAGTAGCTGGGATTACAGACACCTACCTCCACACCTGGCTAATTTTTATATTTTTAGTAGAGATGTGATTTCACCATGTTGGCCAGGCTGGTCTCGAACTTCTGACCTCAAGTGATCCACCCGCCTCGGCCTCCCAAAGTGCTGGGATTACAGGCATGAGCCACCACGCCCAGCCAGAGCTATTTTTTTTTCTACATTACACTTTGAAAACAAAAAACTTCCCCTCCCCTTTCTCTCTGTCTTCCTTCCCTGAGCTCTGTTTGTGTTGTCCCTACTAATCCCAGGACATCCCCTGTGGAGCTGGAGCTCTTTCTTCATTTTTTCCTTTTCTCCACTTCAGGTCTTAACTTTAAAAACATCTGGGCTATTCCTATACCCAGCCCTGGGTGTCTGAACCTGTTCAGGGAGGTTAGGGTACTGTTGATTGCCCCAGACTCTGAGGTTTGGGCATGCACTTCCTGCCACCCTAGAAGTTTCAAAAAAAAAAAGAAGTGTTTCTTAGTAAAAGGGCAGTGAATTCTCAAATTCTATAGTTTCCCTTCCTCCACTTTCATATCTCAGCTACTATCAGAGTAACTTTACCCTACTTTCTCACCCCTGTCTCTGTAAGCCTGATGAAAATCAGGAAGTATATAGTGATGTAGGAGTGGCTGAACATTCTCTGGAGATGGGACACACAAACTTTAGGATCCTGGAAGAAGCTATCAGAGGATCCAGTGTTAAATTACAAAGTTTGGAGTAGGGTCACTTTTCTAAGTGCTGATGTGTTTTCAAAAGAGAAGTATCTTGTAGAGCAAGAGGATGCCATGCTGCCTGGAAGTGACCTTGGGTATAATGGGAACCCTGATACATTCATTTATTCCATTTGTTTACAACAGGTATACTTTTATTCATTCATTTTTTACAACAGGTACAGTTTCATTTCATTCATTAAGCATTTGGTATGTGCCAGGCAATTTGCTAGGAATCGAGGATAATCAGTAAACACAACTAGCCTTCGTGGAGTGAACAGGCTAGTGTTGGAGAATTCACTAGCTAGATAAACTATTCCTATGCAATTACACACAGTGTTAAGTGTTCTAAAGAGAAACACTGTGTGGAAAGAGGGAATAATATAGGGGACGCAACTTTCGACTGTGAGTGAGGGAAAGCATGTCTGAGCTGGGCTTTTAAGCTGAGACCTGCAGGATGAGAGGGAGCCAGCCTGCGGAAGGTTGCGCCAGGCAGCAGCAACAATCATACAAAGACTAAGACATGAAAACTCTAGAACATAAGTTTCGACCCTTCTCCTTTTTCCCAGCTCCTAAGGTTTCGCTTCATCCTGGCTTCTTTGTTATTTCCACTAGTAAAGTACGAGAAGCACTCAGCACCACACCTGGCATAACTAACACTTCTCATGTGCCAGGTGCTACTGGAAGTGTGTTATGTGCATTAACTCATTTAATCCTCATAACCACCCAAGGATGGAGGGTCTATTCATGTCCCTATTTCACAGATGAAGAAACTGCACAAGTCACTATGCAATAATGGCCACGATTATTATTGGAATTAGTAATTTCATCAATAATAGCACAGTGACAATTTTCAGACTTCTGGCAGACTTAATTTTGTTTATTTCTGACCTTTACACTGCTCATTGAGAGCCTCTTTAGTAGACTTCTTCCGTGTACTTTGCAAATTGTAAAAGCTTGTTTCTTTTAAAAAATCCATTATTAATGTTATTGGTGGAAAACTTTTTTAACACTGCTGGTCAGGCTTTATAGAAAAATCCCTTTCTGTATCCTCCCTCATCAGCAATACTTCTCCGAATTCCCTTCGATTCAGCAAAGGTTTATTAAGAACCTGCTAATTGCCTGGCATGACTCTGGAGATGCCAGCTCCAAAAATTCAAAGTCAAGGAAAAAAACCACACAAATAGCTGTAATAGAATAGGATATAGGCTCTGCTTGTCTTATAATCAAAATACAAATGCAAGTGATTGGGAAAAAGTATGATCTAGAGTCAAGGAGACAGCTACCCAGAAGGTGTTTTCTTAGACTTACTTTTTTTTTTTTTTAAATAAATATGTAAGTGGTCAAAAGCCTTTTTAATATGAAGATGTGATAGCTCCATATTTTATAATGTGTTGCCCTCATAAATTTGGTCTTAGAATTGTTCTGTTTTGTTTTTTCCAAATCCCCCGGTTTTTTCACTAATGACGACCTACTGTTTAGATGTAGATTGTTCTATTGTCGAATGAATTTTACCTTTTTTCCTTTTAATTTACAGGTATGAAAGCTAATCTTTGAAGACACACTTAATCAGCGAAATGGTGATTGTTGAAGGAGAATTGTGGCCTGATGCGCTAATTTCTAAGTTAAAAAGGAACATCATTTTCGCAACAATAAAGTAGTGATCTGCCCTTCCACGCAGTGTTAAGACACTTCCCACAACTCCTTCACCCTTCTCATTTAGGTAAGTACTAAAATAAACAGGAAAAGGGAACTGTACCTCTTATACCTATGCAACTGGCCCAGTGAATTGATTTCAAGTTTGCATTTGTGAGAAAAAAAAAAAGATGACTTCCTTATTTATATTTTAGTGGGCACAAAATTCCCCTTCCAGAGAGCCCTGTCTTTATCCCTCAGCCATTTTCAAAGAGCACTTTCATGCAAAGAGCAAACAGCTTCTCTAGGCGGAGAGTTTGAATTTCCTCTTCCTGAACCATTTCCTATATCTGAACTGCCCACATCTTATGGGGCAAGAACATCACAAGAGGATGTAAAGGATCCAGCAAGCTACTAACTCAGCAGACAACACAATAATGCCAGTCTTAGAGAACTAAGTGCTAAGGAGAGTTCATGGCAATGAATTCAATAAAGGTCTTTTCCAACCAGCAGCCTGATAGGACCCTTTCTCTCTTCTTGTTGTTGAACCTATCTATATAAGAACACATTTTTTTAAAGATGCATGATATAAATTGTGATTTAATTGCTTGAATAGGTGGGACATGACCTCCCAGAGCTGTGTGCATCAATGTCAAGAAAACACGTAGGGGCCCTAGTTCTCAACATGGTTGCCATGTGGTAGAGGGACCTCATAACAGCAGTTTCTAACCTGGTCTGTGAACTTGGATGGCAAAATAAAATGACATCTTTATTTTCTCTTACCTCTAACTGAAATTTAACATTCCCTGCAATTACAAATATAGGCAACAAACTAGAATAGTATCAGTAGCACCTGTGACTTTTTGTCACCAAGAGAAATCACACATCTTTCAAATCGCATGACAGTTGTTGCAGCTATCTTGATTTATACTTATTGTTACTTCAGATAATGATTAAGTATTAGAGATGTTACTAGTTTTTGTTATTTAAACTGTTATTAAATAACACTTTACCATGCCATATTTTAAAAATTATTTTGTAGCTGTATTTCAACATAGTTTACAGCTTTTGTAATTCTATTTATTATATTTTTATGCATTTTAAAACATTCTGAGGAAAGTCCATAGATTTCACCACACTGTCAAAGGGGTTCATGCCCCCCGCTGCCATGTTAAGTATGCCTTAGGAGACTCTCAGTATTGACCCACTGCAAGCACAGTTTCCATGCAGTGAAGGGCTCGAAAATGATCCATTTAGTGCATTTCACTGTGCCTTTCATACAGTTTTAGTTACCTCTTTTCCAATAACACATCTTATCAAAAACCTCAAATGCAGTACAATTGTAAAATATGGAATCGTTTGATCTTCAAATCGCTGGTTAAAACTGCATCAGCTTTCAGCTATTCAAGAGCTGACTATCTAAGCTGTGAATTATCAAGGTCCCCTTTTCTCCCTGGTTTCCTCTTTGGCTGTTTACCATGTGGTTCTTTTACTACTGGGTCACAGGTGCACCAACAGATAGGCAGGGCTCCCCGAGGAAATGACATTCAAATCTGACAATTTTCCTACATCACTAAGAAGTTGTGGACCGGTGGAGGTTGAAAGTGTTGATTAAATTAAGGCTTGGAATTACCTGTGGATTTTAATTACCATTCTACCACTGTCCCAGTGTCCTCTGTCTCCCCACCGCCACGCTCTCCTGTAGCTCTAATGAGACACTTATCAGATGCTATTTTTGTTTGTTAGTTATCTTTGCTCTGCATACGGTCTTCCCACAGAAACTGTGTTCTCCTTCTCTTGTGTTGCCCCTGGTGCTTGGCAGACAATAGATCCCCCATAAATAGGTGTGGCTGAACTGAATCACTGTCTATGGTACATACCCAGTGGTCCTTCATGGTTGAAGATGTCAGTGCTAACATGATGATTTTCTATATTGGATTTCTTACGTCTATTTGGATTTTATTACGCAACATTTCTTCTACAAATGCTGAACACTATGTACCAGGCATCATACTAGATATTAGAGACAAAGATGAATATAATATGAACTTCCTTCAAGGAGTTCTGAGGTCACAGGGACACTAGACAAATACATATCGCGATGGAGTGTAACAAGAGCAAGTGTAGGCATATGGACTAGGTATGTCGGTGACACCCAGAAAGGGCTGGTCATTTCTGGAGAATGAAAATGAGAGTCAGAGAAGATGCTGGAGTGGGAACCCAAAGCATGGGTTGGATTTAGGCAATGGCAAGAGGGACGGGGAGAATTCCAGCATCAGAGAACTGTGACTCTTTTAGGATGTAACAATACACAAGCATTCTTTACGTACCGGACACTCATTTCTTCCCTGCTAAGAGAACCTAGTTGTGTATCTGGGATAATCTTAAGGAAGGTAAGTTCCTCCTCCAGACTTGGGCTTATGAGCCAATCATGAGCCAATTATGGTCATTCTTTTTCTCTTCACCAGACATTGGTATAGTGTGGGCATGTGACCACATTCTGGTCAATGACGTCTAAGGGGGAAGTCTGCTCAGGGATTTCTGTTTGGGCAAAAAAAAAAGACAGAGTCTTGCTAGGAGAAAGTAGCCTTCCCCTCGTTTTGAAAACAAATACAATGTTTACAGTTGTGGCAGTTATCTTGTGACAGGAGAAAGATATTAAAAGCCTGGAGGGGCTCTTTAATAGTAACACTGAATAGCAACCAGTACTAGCAACTGGGCTCCTTCTTGTGCAAGAAAAGATTAACCTCTACTTGCCTATGTTCTAAGTAATTAGGGGTTTTTTCCCCTTATAGCTAAACACATCACAACCGATGTATACAGCTTCTGAAAACTATTTTGCACAGGTCTCCCCAGTGGGTATCAATGGGGTCACAACTAATACCCCCTGAGTTTTTCTGCCTGATTATCCCTAACTTGTATAACTCTAGGACTCAACCTCTTCCTCCTTCAATCTCTCCAGTCATTTTGGGGAGTCCCCAGGGGAATATCTTTGAGAATGTAGCTTCTTCCCTGATTCTCTCTATCCTCCCTTTGATGCAAGGAGAGTAAGAAAGCCCTTCTCTCTGACTCTGTGTTTCACTCTGCCACTAGACCCGAAGGTGAATGGGTCTAGCTCCATTCATGGAATGGGACCCCAAGATAAATGCCCTGAATGTCATCAACTTTTGGTCAGCGTATACCTTCTAGCTGCTGACTACCCCTGCTCTCTATTAAGGAATGTCTGAGGAATAGTAAGCATACTAATTTCATCTACTTTCCTTTGTGTCTTTCCATAGAAGGCTAGCATCAACCTCTTCCTTTAGACAGACCAAAACAGCAACAATCATCTGCAGGCTTATCAGCCTGTGCCAATAGATCCCCAGAGTTCAGATTAGCTGGCCCCAAGGAGCTACTCTTCATCTAGCTCAGCCCAGAGCCCAGTCACATGTGCACATGAAGGAATGGAAGACACAATATTGCAAAAATGGTCAGGCAGGGACCTTATATATCAAGCTAAGAAATATAAGCTGTATCCTCTAAGTCAGGGCTTCCCAATAAGTGTTCCATAGAGTGTTGAGATACTACCCTGCCCTCTCAGCCCTTGGGACTGCTGGGTGGAACCTGACAGAGGGAGCTCCTAGGCTGGTCACCTCTGGCAGCCAGTGCCCTTGTTTGGTGTAGGAAGGTATTGCCAAGAAGAGTGGGGCCCAATGAAGCCATGGTATAAAACAATTGGGAAACAATGGGGAGTCATTGAAGGATTTTTAACAGGAAGTAATCCCATCAGCTTTCCATATCGGAAGACAATGAAAGGGCAATGCAAAGGCTGGGTTGGAGGAGGTGGGCAATGAACCTGGGACCAGGACCACCAGTCTCACCTAAAATAGCCTAGTGATGAAATGATGAGAGGGCAAGCTAAGGAGTAGGAAAGAGAGAGGAGGGAGGATCTGGGAAATAAGAAATCTTTTTTTTTTAATTATACTTTAAGTTCTAGGGTACATGTGCACAACATGTAGGTTTGTTACATATGTATACATGTGCCATGTTGGTGTGCTGCACCCGTTAACTCGTCATTTACATTAGGTATATCTCCTAATGCTATCCCTCCTCCCTCCCCAACCCCACGACAGGCCCCGGTGTGTGATGTTCCCCACCCTGTGTCCAAGTGTTCTCATTGTTCAATTCCCACCTATGAGTGAGAACATACAATGTTTGGTTTTCTGTCCTTGTGATAGTTTGCTGAGAATGATGGTTTCCAGCTTCATCCATGTCCCTACAACTCATCCTTTTTTATGGCTTCATCCATGTCCATGAACTCATCCTTTTTATGGCTGCATAATATTCCATGATGTATATGTCCCACATTTTCTTAATCCAGTCTATCATTGATGGACATTTGGGTTGGTTCCAAGTCTTTGCTATTGTGAATAGTGCCGCAATATACATATGTGTGCATGTGTCTTTATAGCAGCATGATTTATAATCCTTTGGGTATATGCCTAGTAATGGGATGCTGGGTCAAATGGTATTTCTAGTTCTAGATCCTTGAGGGATCGCCACACTGTCTTCCACAATGGTTAAACTAGTTTACAGTCCCACCAACAGTGTAAAAGCATTCCTGTTTCTCCACATCCTCTCCAGCACCTGTTGTTTCCTGACTTTTTAATGGTCACCATTCTAACTGTTGTGAGATGGTATCTCATTGTGGTTTTGATTTGCATTTCTGTGATGGCCAGTGATGATGAGCATTTCTTTCTTGTGTCTGTTGGCTGCATAAATGTCTTCTTTTGTGAAGTGTCTGTTCATATCCTTTGCCCAATTTTTGATGGGGTTGTTTGATGGGATTTTTTCTTGTAAATTTGTTTAAGTTCTTTGTAGATTCTGGATATTAGCACTTTGTCAGATGGGTAGATTGCAAAAATATTCTCCCATTCTGTAGGTTGCCTGTTCACTCTGATGGTAGTTTCTTTTGCTGTGCAGAAGCTCTTTAGTTTAATTAGATCCCATTTGTCTATTTGGCTTTTGTTGCCATTGCTTTTGGTGTTTTATTCATGAAGTCCTTGCCCATGCCTATGTCCTGAATGGTATTGCCTAGGTTTTCTTCTATGGTTTTTATGGTTTTAGGTCTAACATATAAGTCTTTAATCCATCTTGAATTAATTTTTGTATAAGATGTAAGGAAGGGATCCAGTTTCAGCTTTCTACATATGGCTAGTCAGTTTTCCCAGCACCATTTATTAAATAGGGAATCCTTTCCCCATTTCTTGTTTTTGTCAGGTTTGTCTAAGATCAGATGGTTATAGATGTGTGCTATTATTTCTGGGGGCTCTAATCTGTTCCATTGGTCTATATCTCTGTTTTGGTACCAGTACCATGCTGTTTTGGTTACTGTAGCCTTGTAGTATAGTTTGAAGTAGTATAGTAGTGTGATGCCTCCAGCTTTCTTCTTTTGGCTTAGGATTGTCTTGGCAATGCGGGCTCTTTTTTGGTTCCATATGAACTTTAAAGTATTTTTTTCCAATTCTGTGAAGAAAGTCATTGGTAGCTTGATGGGGATGGCATTGAATCTATAAATTACCTTGGGCAGTATGGCCATTTTCACAATATTGATTCTTCCTATCCATGAGCATGGAATGTTCTTCCATTTGTTTGTGTCCTCTTTTATCTCGTTGAGCAGTGGTTTGTAGTTCTCCTTGAAGAGGTCCTTCACATCCCTTGTAAGTCAGATTCCTAGGTATTTTATTCTCTTTGAAGCAATTGTGAATGGGAGTTCACTCATGATTTGGCTCTCTGTTTGTCTGTTATTGGTGTATAGGAATGCTTGTGATTTTTGCACATTGATTTTGTATCCTGAGACTGCTGAAATTGCTTATCAGCTTAAGAAGATTTGGGGCTGAGATTATGGGGTTTTCTAAATATACAATCATGTCATCTGCAAACAGGAACAATTTGACTTCCTCCTTTCCTAATTGAATACCCTTTATTTCTTTCTCTTGCCTGATTGCCCTGGCCAGAATTTCCAACACTATGTTGAATAGGAGTGGTGAGAGAGGGCATCTCTGTCTTGTGCCAGTTTTCAAAGGGAATGCTTCCAGTTTTTGCCCATTCTGTATTATATTGGCTGTGGGTTTGTCATAAATAGCTCTTATTATTTTGAGATACGTCCCATCAATACCTAGTTTATTGAGAGTTTTTAGCATGAAGGGCAGTTGAATTTATCGAAGGCCTTTTCTGCATCTGTTGAGATAATCATGTGGTTTTTGTCTTTGGTTCTGCTTATATGACGGGTTACATTTATTGATTTGCATATGTTGAACCAGCCTTGCATCCCAGGGATGAAGCCAACTTGATCGTGGTGGATAAGCTTTTTGGTGTGCTGCTGGATTCAGTTTGCCAGTATTTTATTGAGGATTTTTGCATCAATGTTCATCAGGGATATTGGTCTAAAATTCTCTTTTTTTGTTGTGTCTTTACCAGGCTTTGGTATCAGGATGATGTTGGCCTCATAAAATGAGTTAGGGAGGATTCCCTCTTTTTCTATTGATTGGAATAGTTTCAGAAGGAATGGTACCAGCTCCTCTTTGTACCTCTGGTACAATTCGGCTGTGAATCTGTCTGGTCCTGGACTTTTTTTGGTTGGTAGACTATTAATTATTGCCTCAATTTCAGAACCTGTTATTGGTCTATTCAGAGATTCAACTTCTTCCTGGTTTAGTCTTGGGAGGGTGTAGGTGTCCAGGAATTTATCCATTTCTTCTAGATTTTCTAGTTTTTTTTTTGTATAGAGGTGTTTATAGTATTCTCTGATGGTAGTTGGTAGGAAATAAGAAATCTTATAACAAGAAATCAAGCCCATGATTCAGATCAGCAGGCTTGCTGGTTGATTAAATATAGAAGGTGAGGGAAGTATCTAGGATGACTTCCACCTTCTGGTTTGAAAACCTGGATGGGCAGTGGTGCCACCGAAGGAGACTAGGAACATGTGGAGAAAAGGTATGGAAGAAAATTGACTTGACTTGAAGTATGTATGGAATGTACAAGGGAAATGACCAGTAGGCATTTAGACATGTAGATCTAAAATTCAGGGCCTAAAGTTCAGAGATCAAGAGATCACTTTTGTGTAGATTTTTTAGAGTCATCAGCAGGTAAGTAATGATGGAAGCCCGTGGTGTGCATTGGTGATACTGACCAGGGAGAATACTACAGGAATGAGAGGATGCCAAAGACAGAAGAAGGGATTGATGTCAAAGGACCAAGAGTGAGCTGAGGACTCAGTTCTAGAGAGCCTCAACAGTCAGTCTCTCTCTCTCTCTGTGTCTCTATCTGTCTCTCTCTCTCTCTCTCTCTCTCTCATATCTCTCTCTCTCTCTCTCATATCTCTCTCTCTCTCTCTCATCACTATCTCTATCTCTTTCTCTATCTAGCTCTCTCTCCTACTTCATACTGGACTTTTCTGCTAGGCAGAGAGCAAAGTCACTGCTAGCCCCAGATTAGCCACCCCCATAAAAAATCTCTTTTCTCCCACCATCCCTATAACAATTCCTGGAAAGAACTCTGGTTGACTTTGCTAGAATCACATGACCCATGCTTAGACCAAACCTAAGGAGCACTTGGGTTGGCCAGACCCATGTCATATGCCCCCATATTGTTGGAAGGAGGGTACAGCCTCTTTATGAGAAGAACAGGGATGGTAAAACTTTCTGGGCAGATAAAAATAGTTATCAGGTCACCTACACATCAACACTTTAAAAGGTAGGAGGAGAAAGTGGAGCCAGTAAAGGAGACAGAAAGTTGGTATGTCAGAGTAGATTAACAGTTTTTCAGAGGCCAAGATCTTTGTCTTATCCTTATCTGTGTCCTTCATCCCCCCCATCTAGTATCTAGCCTTGTGCCTATAATCAACAAGTGTGTATGGAATGAATTCATAGACACTACACATGATAAGTAATGGGGATTTGTAAAAGACATGACAAAGACCAACACTCAGGAATCTAATTTGGGCAATACACAAAAGCACATTTTTTAAGTAGCTGGCCACCACTGACATAGATAATAATAGAGTCTCTAAAAAGAGCCAAACTTTTTCATGATTTGGATAAAGGCACCATATCCGTTTAAACCAAAACAGTCACAGATGAGGATTTGATTTGGGGAGTGTCTTATGGAAATTAGATGGTGTTGTTTTAAAGAGTGTTCATTTTATTTCTCTGTTCTAGGGCTGACTGTAATTTCATGCTGCATTTGCAAGCCTGCAGGCAGACACCTTAATTACTATGGATGCCAGATAGAAAGAGGAGTGCTAATCAAACCTTTATTAATTGGTGACATACTTCCAACTTTCAGAAACAGATGCTAGGGAGGAATGAATCCTTGTAAACCACAGTACCCACCAACTCCCCTCAGGTGTGGATTTTTTTTTTTCTTAAATCAAGTACCTTTTACATCCACTAGGGGGAATCCTAGCGCGCTTCAAAGTCTGCCTTTTTCTATGCTTAGAATGACATACCCATGAAAACTTGCTTGTCTATTGATGGGTGTGTCCTCTACTCTGGAGAAGCTCCGAGATCTGGCATGTTGTCATATTTTTCAAACAGAAGAGAAAATATCATTCAAGATATGTTAAAGAAAATAAATTGCTCAAATTCTCACTGGAAGAAATCCATCTTAGAGAAAATTTTCCGTGTAAACAGAAGTTTCTACCAGGAAAAAGAGGGTAATTATTTGTCAGAATCTTTACTTACCAAAAAATAGAAAACACTAAATATGTGCCTTTGCAATTTTAGAGAGCTTAATTTTAAATACCTGTTAGGCACTAGTGCGATCTTTATGCTCAGTGGAGTTCTTAAAGTATTATTGGCACTCGGTTGATAATTATTATAATTATTATAAGCTTGCCTTACATAATTACAGTATAAGACTCTCCCCTTTTCAGTATAAAGCCATGTTCAAACAAAGTTTGAAAGGTGCTGTAAATTAACAAATAATTTAAAAGCTATGTTCAGTGGATGCTCCTCCATGTTATCAATAATATTTTTTGTGGCAAGGAGTTGTTTTTCTCCTTTTATATTCTCTGTCTCTGCAGAGATAGTCAATTCATGAATTGGTAAATATGCACTGTGGAGATGCCAAGTTATGTCATTGTATGTGGGGCTGTGGGTACCTCAAAGAATGACCCTTGCCCCTAAGGAGTATAGAGCCTTTACATTACACTTCAACTGACATTTATTGAACACTGACTCCGTGTAAGGCCCAGTAATCTGCACAAAAATAACACCACTGATCTTGCTCATTGCCATAACCCCAGCCTGCAACACATGCCTAGCACATGGTAGATTCTCAGGAAGTATCTGTTAAAAGATGGAGTAAGTTAATGAACAGAAAGTTTGAGGAATAAAGGGAATATGGAGATAAACTGAATTTAAGACACCATCTCTGATCTCAAAGAAATTATATTAAGTGAAAGAGCTATAAACACAACCAATGCATAGTGTATGATGTGACTCACCAGATTTTAATGCTATCAACCTACAGATAAAGTGCTCTTCAAGTTCAGAGCAGGGAATTCATAACCAAAGGGAGGAATTGGCCCCGTTAAACAAATTCAACAGGTAAGTTTAGTTACACTGCTAGAACAGAGCCTGGCATGAAGGAGACACACTTCACTATTTTGTAATAAATGAATGGGTACTTACTGTATACAAGGCCTAGTTCCTGGGGGCACAAAGATGAGACAGCACTTAGTTTCTAGTTTTCTTTATTTTTTAAATGGGAGTTTATAGTTTAGTAGAGGCACTCTAGTACAATTTCAAGGAAGACTCCCAGGAGAAAGTAGCTTTTACACTGGACCTTAGTGGATAAGTGAGAGCTCACAAAGCTGAGAAGATGGAAAGGGTGTTTTAGGTGAAATGTACAGCAAATGCAAGGACACAGGGGCTTGAAAGAGCCTGACTCATTTAAAGAAGCATGAAAATCCCACTGCTAACAACAGGAGACAGTACCAAGGATATTCCTAGCTCTTAGCATAAGGCCCTACGTATGAAAGTCCCCTAATAAATACTTGTTGTTTTTTAACAATAATGATGGTAAGAGTCCAAAGATGAGCACAAGTTTTAAGTGCTGGACAAGTATGAAGCTGAAAGAGTTATCTGGGCTGGTAGGATCTGGGGCCAGTTTATGGGCAACATCTTTGGACTTTGTGTGCTGAGGCCACAGAACCCTCCATACAGCAGGAAGGCCCTTTCCCACCAGCCTGTTACCATGGCCTGTTTTGTTTCATCTACACAGTCTATTTAACAACAAAACCAGAGAAAAGTGCTCACAGTCACTACCTATTTCTTTGAGGTCCCTCTTTATTTTTTTCTGAGATGGAGTCTCACTCTCTCGCTCTGTCGCCCAGGCTGGAGTGCAGTGGCATAATCTCAGCTCACTACAACCTCCACATCCTGGGTTCAAGCAATTCTCCTGCCTCAGCCTCCTGAGTAGCTGGGACTACAGGTGCGTGCCACCATGCCCAGCTAATTTTTGTATTTTTAGTAGAGACGGGGGTTTCACCATGTTGGCCAGGCTGGTCTTGAACTTCTGATCTCAAGTGATCTACCTGCCTTGGCCTCCCAACGTGCTGGGATTACAGGCGTGAGCCACCGTGCCCAGCCGAGGCCCCTCTTTTCATGCCTTCATGCTAACTGCACCCCTCCTACAGGCCCTTGAGTGCCACTTCTGTGAGTCTCTCCTCAACTAGGTAAAATGTGGTTCCATTAATCATATTTTGTCTTTTGGGTTTTAGTTTTGTCACTCTCATTCACATACAACCAGCAATGTTTTTTGAATACCCTTTCATTCGCAATCAAATGATCTCATAATCCTAATACTGTTAACAACACATAGCCTGTTCACAGAGGCTGAAGGTCTAGCTGAAAAGATAGGACTTGTACCTTAAAAGATAAATAATACTGCTACCTAAAAAGATTAATAATACTACTGCCATTAGCATTCTTTGCTTTGTACTGTATCTATGACCCTTAATCAAATTTCACACACACATCCACACACATCCTTATAGTTCACAGCATTCATGGGGTACACATTCAATGGGCAGCAAATAGCATTTAGTAATAAAGCTTTAGTAATGCTTGCCTATTCTCAAAGTCTGGTTTTTTCGATGGTAAATTTCTTAAAGCAGTATACCCCAAAATTTAATATTTAATAAAGATTCTTCCCTTGCTTAAAAGGACTACTCCCAAGCACAGGGGCAGCTTTGCCATCTGCCATCCTGCTTCATATGTTCTATTTGCTTGTAACATTTATACCAACTTGTTTTCCTGATCACTTTCTCACCTCTTTGTAAGTACCTGCCACTGAATCTGCTGCTCTCCCTGGCTTTCTTGCATTTCTTGAAAACCCTTCCACTCCCTCCTCCTGTTGTTACTTTTCTGACCTATTCTTTATGCCATTTGGAAATCACAGATCTGTGTATCTTCTTCTTCTTCTTTTTTTTTTTTTTTAAGACAGTCTCACTCTGTCACCCAGGCTGGAGTGCGGTGGTATGATCTCAGCTCACTGCAACCTCTGCTTCCCAGGTTCAAGCAATTCTCCTGCCTCAGCCTCCCGAGTAGCTGGGATTACAGGCGCCCACCACCACGCCTGACTAATTTTTGTATTTTTAGTAGAGATGGGGTTTCACAATGTTGGCCAGGCTGGTCTGGAACTCCTGACCTCAGGTGATCTGCCCACCTTGGCCTCCCAAAGTGCTGGGATTACAGGCGTGAGCCACCACACCTGGGCATGTATCTTCTTGATATCCCGAGATGACTCTGAGCCGCTCATCCACCAATTACAAATGTAGACTTGATTGCAGATGTTGCCATTCCCCTGTTCCTGCTGGTTCTGATGTACCTAACACCCACATCCACTCTTAACACTAGTGGCATCCCCTCTTAACCTTCATGAAACTCAAGCCAGTAGGACCAAGAGGTAGGTAAATGAATTGTGAACATAAGGGGGTTGGCAGGATAGTGCAACAGGTGAGAAATGAAAAGGCAGAGACATCCAGTGAGAACACAGCAATGGGAAGTGAGGAAAACCTTTATGGAGGAAGAGACTATGAGAACAGAGTGTTTGCTCTGCTGTGGCTGGCTGGCCACCAGCCACCACTGCAACAGAACAACCAGGGAGGGTAACAGATTAAGTGTTATCAGCCACTAATATCATATGGTGAGAATCCATCAGCAAACCTGATGTAGAAGCCATGGACTTGGCCAGAAGAAGGGGTTCAAGGCCCTTACCGTACTGTGGGACCTTGGCTTGTCATTAAGCTCTCTGCACTTTAGTTTGCTTATCTGCAAAATGATGTGATAATACTTTTGAGGTTATTGGAAAAACTAAATGAAGAAACAGAAGTAAATCGGCTCAGTACTGAGCGGAAACATGTGCCCAAGAAATGCCAGTTAAAATGTTTTCCTAAGGATAGGGTTTGAGATGGAAAATAGGTGTGTTACAGGCTGAATTGTCACCGTCTCCCCAATTCATACGTTGAAGTCCTATCCCCCAGTAGCTTCGGATGTAACTATATTTAGAGGTAGGGTCTTTAAAGAAGTAAAATGAAGTCATTAGGGTGGACACTAATCTAATCTGACTGGTGTTCTTATAAGAGGAAATTTGGACACAGATATGTACAGAGGAAGGATCATGTGAAGATACCAAGAGAAGATGACCATCTACAAGCCAAGGAGAGAGGCCTCAGAAGAAACCAACCCTGCCAAAACCTTGATCTTGGACTTCCAGCATCCAGATCTGTGAGGAAATACACTGCCACCCAGTCTGTGATACTTTGTTATGGCAGTCCTAGCAAACTCCTAATACTAATAGTGCTCCTAACACAGCACTAGAGTCCTGATAATAATAATGGTAATCATAATAATAACGTTTTTTATTTATGGAGCGACTTCCTGTGTGCCAGGCATTGTGCTAAATGCTTTACACATATTATCTCATTTAATACGCATGAAAATCCCATGTGATGGATGCAATTTTTCCAACCCACGATGAGGATGCTGAGGGTCAGAGAGCCCAAGCCTACGTAGTTATTGAGTGGTGGGACTGGGTCTGGAACCTAGGCCTGACTGGGATCACTGCTGGCCTACAGTGTCTTTGTACAAAGAAAAAGGTGCCACTTCCTTTGGGAACACCCAGCCCCAAGCCAGGGTGCAAGGTTTGGTAAACAGAAGACAGGCTGGGTTTTAATTCCTCTTTCCTCCTTGGCTGGGTGCCCTTGTGCAAACCTAAGCCTCTCAGGGTGGCCCACACTGAGGCCCAAGCTCTTAATCATTACACCGGACTGCTCAGTGGGCCAGGGTGGCTGGGGGTAACACCATTGCCACCGTCGAGGTAGGATCAGTTGGGCACGTAAGGGACTGTGAGTGCTGGCAAGGCAAACCTTACCTCCCTCATGGCTGGGAATGAGATACGTGGGAGCCCAGGTCCATGAGTTCTGGGACCCATGTGGGTGGGCTTCCAACGGTCCTACAGGACAACGACAAATGGCCCTTGACTTAGGGCAATTCTGCTTATTTCTAATTGGCCCCAGAACAGTTCTGTGTCCAGTCCTCAGTCAGCAAGAAATCCAGTTTGCCAGGATCGTGCCCCTAGGATTACACAGCTGTCCTTTCGCCATTATCCCCATGCCTCCTCCTCCTCCCACCAAATCAAAGAGAATGAGAAATGCATCTTCGACCATTTGGCTATAACTATAAGTGTGCCTGTCCTCACAATTAAAGCTCCTGAAAGTTCCAAATTTGCTGCTTTCACGGTGGGAAAAAAAGGCCTCCGACAGCGTAAATATTTAATCACCATTAAGAATGTCCAATAAATGAGGGGAATCAGGTTTCAAATTGACTGGTTCAGATGATTAAAGTACAGAAGTCATAGCAGGGTAAAAATAAAGTACCCTCTAAAAAAGTAGCATCTTGTGGGCAGGGGCAAGATGGAAGATAGCACGTTGGGACCTCTCAAGGCCGGGCCGGGCACTGCACTCTCCAGGCAGGGCCGGGCGAGTGCGGCAACCACCGTCACTCTCCAAAGGCTTCCGTGCCCCCTGGGGCAGCTGAGCGGGGTAATGCCCTCCGTGATGGAGAGCGCGTGTCCCACAGCCGGGCCAAGACGGTGCCCAACCGCAGATAGCCCCACTCTGAGGATGACAGCAGCGAGGAGGAGCACTCGCACGACAGCATGGTCCGCGTTGGAACCAATTACCAGGCCATAATTCCGGAGTGCAAGCCTGAGAGCCTCGCACGCTACAGCAACAAGAAGCTGAAGGGGGTGCTGGTGTGGTCACCCAACCACTGTGTGTCAGATGCCAAACTTGACAAGTATATTGTGATGGCCACGGAGAAGCATGGCTACAACATTGAGCAGACGCTGGGCATGCTCTGGAATAAGCACCATGTGGAGAAGTCGCTGGCTGACCTGGCCAACTTCACCCCATTCCCTGAGGAGTGGACAGTAGAGGACAAGGTGCTGTTGGAACAGGCCTTTGGCTTCCACGACAAGTGTGGATCCAACAGACGCTGCCCGACAAGTTGATTTCCAGCCTGGTGAAATATCACTACTCTTGGAAGAAAACCCACAGCCGAACTAGCATGACGGACAGACAGGCCCGGCGGCTGAGGGGCTGCAAGGACAAAGAAGACAGTGATGAGTTCGAAGAGAGTCGAGGAGGCCTGAGTGAAGGAGAGCCCGATGCTGGACACCCGAAGAGAGAGGTACAGAGCATAAAGCAGAGGAACAGCAGCCTGCGCCAAGCCCTGGAGGGCGCCATTGATCCACTCCGCGCTCTGGAGGCCAACACTAAGTTCAACTCCTGCTGGACCACAGAGGAGCAGCTTTTGGCTGCCTAAGCCATCCGGAGGTATGGCAGACTTTGGGGCTATTGCAGAGGTGATTGGGAACAAGACTCTGACCCAGGTGAAGACCTTCTTTGTGAGCTATTGGCACTGCTTCAATCTGGAGGAGGTGCTGCAGGAATGGGAGGCTGAGCAGGATGGGGCCCGTGGAGCCACAGTCCCCGTGGAGGAGGCTAGGAGAGGGGCTCCCTTGCTAGCCCCAGCCCAAGAAGAAGATCATGAGGTCCAGATTACATCGATCTCCATGTCTGTGTCCCGATCGGTGCCCCCCTGCACCACCCCCGTTCCACCTCCCACCTCCCTGCCCTAGGTGCCCCCTGCTGCTGAGGCCACCTTTGCCCACGGCTCCCACTCTGCTCTGACAGCCACCCACAGTGCAGCAGGGCCGCTTCCTCCAGCCCTGGTTGGCCCCCAACCAGCGCCCACCACCTCTCATCCTCCCCGCTCTGGCTGCCTGTCCTGGCCCTCCGCCCCTACCCACCCTGATTGGAGCCCCCAGTGCCCTCACTCTGAATCCTGAGGTCCTCCACCAACCACAGGCTCCAGGACCTCTTTGCTGGCCATCCCCAGGCATCTCTGGTGTCACTGAGGACGGAAGGGGCTAGGGCTCTTGCCAGGTCTTTCCAAGACCCAGAGCTGCCGACAGCCCAGCCTGGACCTGTGGGTTCTGCATGTGTTCCTGGCAGCTGGGCCTGTCTCTTGGGGCCATGGCCCGGGCTCAGGGGCCTTTGAGCTGGACTGAGGGCACTTTCGCTTCCTTGCTGGGACTGGAATGGCTGCCTCCTAGTTGGCTGGGGCTTGGTCTCTGGGCCCTGCCCTTTGTGTGTCGGGGGTAGGGACCTTAGCGTGGGGGTGGGACAGGACAGTTGGGTGTGCTGGCTGTTCTCATTCCTCTTCCCTTCTTTTAGCAATCAGTCTTGGGTGAGGTGGGAAGGGAGGCTGCAGGGGGAGGTGGCAGAGGGGCCTTACAGCAGCAGAGGCTGGAAGGGAAGTTCTGTCTTCAGGGGCCAGCTGGGAAACACTAAGGAGCTGAGGGTGCCCACCAGGCCCACCTTCCAGAAGCTTGGAGAAATGTGGGTTGGGAACTTATGCAGACATGGATTTACTTTTCAACATGTTTTAAAAGTTAAAAAAGAAAAACCTTCTAAAAAAAAAAGTAGCATCTTTAGAGGGTTCCTGTCTCTACTACATAGGTTTCCTTGAGTATAAAGGAACCAAAAACATCCAAGTTATCTCTTCATTATTAGTAGGGGGCGACATAGGGTGAGGTCTGGAGATGAGGAAGTATAGCAATCTCTTAATAATCCTGCTTTGGTAATAATGAATATCAATGGAATTTCTCAACTTTATTGAAGGGACAGCTGGAGTTCAGACTTAAGGAGAAATGTCTTAAAAGGAAAAAGCGGCATGCTTGGTTTTGTATCTTGTTTGAAAATATATTTCAAACGTTCAGCAGAATTTTAGAGATCATAACCACCCTCTGCCCCCACCACCTTCTGAACCCTTAGTCCCCAGTAGTTCTGATTTACTTTTAAGATTCTTTTAGTTTTATGTTTTAACTGAAAAAAAAAAAAATCCTGCCCAGCCAGGTTTCCATCTGTCTGTATCACCGGGTTGAATTTAGTGTAGGAAAGCCTGTGCAAAGGGAATAAAAATGTAGCTTTTTTTCCATTGCCAGATTCAGGGGAACCAACCATTTGGAAACAAAGGAGTTCCATTTTGACTAGCAGCCTTTCTGCTTTCCATCAGTGGACAAAGTGAATGTACAGGTTTAAACATCATTTGGGGTCACCTCTAGATCCATGTTTGGAGGTAGATTGGTTTGTTAGTTATGATTCTGGCAGGAAACAGGTGACACATGCAAACAGATACATTAATTGAGGGACCATGGCCGAGCCATGCCAGGATGAAGGGAGACCAGCAGAGGCTAGCCACAGCGACAACCATGGAATCCCACAGGCCTGAGGAGGAGGGTGAGGGAGTGGTTACTGGGTCCACGAAAGGCTGTGGCTACAGTGTAGCTGTGAGAGAGGACAGCCCACAGGAGCTGTGGCCTTGTAGAGGGACACAGCCATGGCCAATGCATAGATCAGCAGAGAGGGAGCTGGGAGAATAAATATTCAAACTTCACCCTAGCTGTCCACCCCTAGATCTCTGGCTGGGGCTTCCCATTGGCTGAATCCAACGAGAAGCCAAAAGGCAAGGGTGATGTCCATAAATGTCAAACTTCTGGGTCTCAAGCAAAAGGGGGAGCAGTGGGGAAATGGTCTGCAGGGAGAAGAAGAGACTATTCAACACAGACGGGGAAGAAGAACTAAATAGGAAGGACTAGGGAAGGGGTGAAAGAGATTGCGGTGATGGTTTCAAGGGTGTAGACTTATCTCCAAGCACAACATGTTGTATATAATAAATAGGTATGGATTTTTGTATGACAGTCATACTTCAATGAAGGCTTTGTAAAAAAAAAAAAAATAGGGGCAGGAGAGCGAGGCAAACACTCGGTCTTCCATGAACTTTGCATTTGGGATTCTGTGCGTGGGGATGAGTGCCTGAGAGATGCTGTTTGGACTGCCATATTCCCAGGGCTTCCCCAGGATGGGTGATGAGTGGGGCTGCCCCCACCCTGGGGCCATACGCCAAACTGCCCGACCGCAAGAGCCCATGCTCAGAGCTGATATTGGTTGCTTCCTCCCGACCTTGGTGGGGCTATTTTCTAGGGAGTGGCAAGGACATAAGAATGAGAAGCCACACCAGCTTGGTGGAGAGCACTAGAGGGCTCACTGCGAAGTCCAGCAACTTTATTGTCAGCTCAGAGCATCTCCCCACCAGAATCTCAAGGAAGCGGAAGTACAAGTGGCTGTGAAGTTATCTGCGTGTTTATCTTATCTTCTGCTATTCATTTCAAGAGTTGGAGTTATTATTAATAAGAAGGCCTGGTTTCTGGCAGCTCTTCTCTTAGAATGGGTTTATGCCAAGCTGCCAGTTATCAGAGGATTCAGAGCCTAGGATTATGCTGACAGCGAGTCTCAGAGCTGTGATGGGAGGGCAAAGACACGGGAAACAACGTTGTATTAAAGAGGAATCAGCGTTTTGTGTCTAGTCCTTGATGCCCTTTTGGCTTCCTATTTCCGAAGAACAGCAAGGAAAATACAAGGAGAGACAGACTGGAATCCTGTGAATATCAGAGAAAAGCTTGATTTTCAAGAGACTGCTCAAGTTACAGAGATTCCCCAAATCTGAAGAAGTAATTAACTGATGAGTTCGCATACTTCATGCAGGGTGAACTCCAGCCGGTCTAGAAAAACACTGTGATGGTTGATGATTTACCATACTTTGCTTTCAACCAGTAATTGTCTCAGATTCTTAACCACTGATGGTTTTGGTGAATGTTTTGGAGAAAAGGCTCGAGAGAAACTTCATGACACTAAACATACTCTCTGAGAAGTGTGGTGCTAGAATGCTAAGGTGATGTCCTAGACTTCGCAGTCTCTTAAACATATCTGACATTATATTATGCTATGGCATGCTATGCTATGCTATGCTATGCTATGCTATGCTATGCTATGCTATGCTATGCTATGCTATGCTATGCTATGCTATGTTATGTCTTTTTAGGCAATAGCTCATCCCTCCCTAAAGCAGAGTGAATGCTCTTATTTAGCTTAAAGACAGTCATTGGACTTTGAGTAAAGAGTCATTTTCTTGTACGTTCCACTCCACCCTCCAGTGTACATTTGCACTCTGCTGGCGAATGACCATGAGCTATTAAATCATGACAAAGAAAAAGATGACAACTGTAATGTTGGGAGTGACCCCCAAGTCCCACCTACTGAAGGAACACCACAAGCCTTCCTCACTTTAAACCATGGCATGGGGGCACTATCACCAAGCATAAGAATGCCCAGCAATCGTCTGGGGCCATGTTGGGTGGGCAGAGAGGATGAGGCACTGAGTTCCTTCAGCCACGTCTTAACTGTGCCATGTCAGAGAGACTTTTCATGTTGATTGAACTGTGTCCAACTCATCTCTCAGCACCAATGCGAACTTATTAAACAGCTCTTCCTCTAATCTTTTTTCAACCATCTACTCATCAGCAGACTAGAAAGAAGACTGGCTCATTTCTTTTTCCTGTCAGCCACCAAAAGGGCCTGGGAGCTTTGATAAGGGCCTCGATGTGGAAGACCACATAGATATCAGCAAAACTGTGGAGGAAGAAGTGGTCTGCTTAAAACCTAAGAGGACAATACAGGTACTATTCCACCCACTGGGTGGTATTTCCAAATTCTGCACAGGGGGTTGTAGCTATGTAGATGAGGCTTAGAGAGAATTCACTGACCACCAGAACAAATATTCTCAGTTGCTTTCAATCTCTGCCAGCCAAGTCATGCTACAGACCACTGTCAGATGAAAAAAAAAAAAAAAAAGAAAGAAAATCAGAAAGAAAACTGAAGCACCAATGATAGCCATCTTGTGACTGTGACCAATTGCCTACTGAACAGTTCTTAATGTCCTGGGCCCCAGCAGGAAACCACTGAATCTATAAAGTCCTGTCCACCAGAAATGAGTCTGATTGTGGATGGCCTGGTTAACCCAGATTGCCTTCGGTGCCTGAGGGACTTGATATTTTCTCATTATGAAGACTTTCCCATCTAGTGAACGCTGCAAATAAAACTGCTCAGAATCGGTCTGAACTGCCTGTTTCCGTGGTAGCAGGCCTCTGTCTGGAGGATAAATCTGCACCATCTTCTTTTTTTTTTTTTTTTTTTTGGGTTTCAGCCAGTTGTGTTACAAGGAGTTCCGAAATGTGCTATAAGTGACACCCAACAAGATGGGCTCGGCCAGTTGGAGAGGGAAGCTTTGTCACCAAAGGGACTTGCACCCCTGGGCCAGACGGTGGTGTCCAAGAGAAAGTGATCAAAGAGATACAGAACCCGCATGCCTAAATATTTATTTCAGTTGTTCGTATTTCCCACACTTTTCAAATGTGAACTTGTGTCCTGAAGGTGGAGCTTTAGTACACAAGAAAATTGGGAAGGGGCAAACATGTTTGTACAAAATGGGGGTAGAATCAGCAAAGAATGCATTTATATGCTTCCTCGTCGCCTACGTTTTTCATGCCAAAAAGTTAGCACAGATTCTGATTTCTTTCACCGTAGGAGTCTGCATACAATTAAATGGGAGGCAAAAGAAGCCCACTCTTAAGAGTGGGGCTTATGGTCCCAGTAGAATGGCAGGGAACTGTAGCCATCAAAGCCATTTATACTTCTTGTGGGTAGTATTTTTAAGATGTTGTTTCTTTTTCAAAATGAAGCAGCAATGAACTGAGTAGTGATCAAAATGCCGCACCACAGAGTATGTTTAATCCAAATAGCTCCCAAGATGGTCTGTGACTGATTGTACCAACTCTACGGGACTTAGAGAAATGACTTGGTTACCAGTGAAGTAAAACTATCTCTGGAATGGAATTGAACTGTTGCTTCTCAGCACATAGCGACACTGCCACCGCTGGTTCACGGAGCCAGTGAAGGTCACTGAGTTCTGCATCAGTCACAGGGAAAACTGTCAAAACACCAGCGCATAAATCCCCTACTATGCTGTGGAGGGGGTCTCTGAGCTTCGGATGAGGTTTTTAAAATATTGATCTTCCCACTTCCAGAGGTGCAAAAATTCTGAAAGCATTCCAGGAGGGCAGGGAGTGGGGGAGCAAGGCCAGATATTTTGGAGCAGGTGAAACATCTGACTTGTCTTGCCTGAGATGTCCCGATTAACACCAACTGGGTACTTTAGGCCTTTCCCCTTCTTCCTCCCCTCTCCTTATGGACACTCCAACACCATCATCACAGCACAAAGGGCAACCTCATATCTCGTGGGAAGGCATTTTCTGCCTCCTGCCAGGCAAAGATAATGTTATCCAATTGCAAATGAAAGGCTTATGAATGAAAAGATGACCACTCTGACTTTAGTGTATGAGAGCCACTGCTGAAATGATAGGATCCTTGAACTTCACATCTAGAGCAGAAACTCACACTTCTCTTCTTCTCCCTCCACCTCACCCTTCTTTCCTTAAGCCTTCCAGAACTCCTGCCATATCCCTCAGCACTGGGGAGAACTTGAAGCACTGTTGGAGAAGTTTGAAACCTGCAACCTTCGGCAGGACTCAGCATGGGACAAAAGCCACCTCATTCCTTTCCCTTCCCAAAACAGCATCTCGAGCTGGGGAACTTGGAGGGAAGGAAGAAAGGGGATAGCAGCCAATTGCCCTCCCTGGGGCCTGGGGTCTGGAAATAGCCTGGGAAGGAACAGAGATCATTTCCCAACGATCCATAGAGGTCCTCAGCACCCTCCACTCCTATGCACCCCCTGGCTCATCTGCCAGACTGTAAGGGTGCTGATGGTGCCCGCAGCTGCCCCGGGAAGCTGGGAGGCATTTGTGCATCCTCTGGGAAGCCCCATTCCGAGAAATCATGAACCTATTCCCCAGTGGGCAATGATTCCCTGTGCTTCAGAAATTCTTGGCGGCTGTGGGGGCAACCCAGCTGTTATTCACCCTCTGGGTGAGGTGGTGAGACCTCAGGGGGTCCAAAGGATAAAAGTGGGTAATGATGAGACAGATGGAGAGCCTCGAGGGAAATACGGGGACTTGGGTCTAATAGTAGAAAGCAGGGCGGGGGCTGGTTGGTGCATTTAACTTGAGGAACTTTTCAGTCTCACTACAGAGAATGATCTCTGGGGGATTATGGCAATGGCCACAGGTGGCACTTAACTAGAGCCAGGTATGTAAGAGGCCCTGGGGCTAGATATGGATTCGAATCTCGGCTCTGATATCTACCAGCAGTAGAATGCCAGCACGTTCCACAACCTTTCTATAACCATTCTCCTGGACTACTAAGTAGGGATGACAATAACAGTCACTAATTAATAGGGCTGTTATGAGAATTATGAGTCTTAACCCATGTGGTGAGTTCACAAGCGCACCCGGCACGTAGTAAGTGCTCAGTAAATGTTAGCCCCGCTCATTAGGTTAGATGGTGAGCAGAACTTTCCAAGTGCTAGGCTTGAGAGCCTGGGACTCTGTTGCCAAGGGAGATTAGAGAACCTTTGCAAATATGGGCGCTCCGGCCCTGGGGATTGTCCAGAACGAGAGTGTGGCGCCTGCCTTTCTGCCACCTCACTCATCCGACCCGGGGAAACCCACACCCTGTCACAGGGGCGCCTTGGTCCCCGGAGTCTCCGGCTCGGCCATGTCTCCCGCGCGCCTCCCCGGGGCCTCCCTCTCGCCGCTCCACACCTGTCAGCCGCTCTCGCAGCAGCCCTGTGGCCCGAGCCCGGGGCCTCAGCTGCAACCCCTTCGCACCCTGGATCCTCGCTCCGCGCGCCTGGCGTATCCCCGACCCGGCTGCTGTCGTAAACAAAACCGGGCGTTGGAGCAGCACCGCGGGCGGACGGGCGCGGGAGCCCGCTCCGTGCGCCGTTAGCGCGCCCCGGGAGCCCCAGGCGAGCCAAGGGGGCGATGGTGGCGGCCGCGGCGGCCGCGGCGGGCGGCTGAGCTTTGTTATGAATAGATGAAAGAGGCCACCTACACAGTAACCCAAATTACGAGACCTCCCTCCTCCCTATCTCACCGAATCAAGAGGGGAGGGGAGATGGGCGTGGAGGGAGGGCGGGCGGGCGGGCAGGAGGCGGAGGGCGGAGGAGGAAGAGAGGATGAGGAAGGGGGCCAGTTGCATCCCACTTTCACAATGGGAAAGTGAAACGCACAAGCGCACCCAACCTCTCCAGCCCTCCCCGCCCGCCTCGCTCCTCTCCGCCCGTCCCCTCCCTTCCCCTCCGCGCCTCCCCGCGAGCGCCAGCGCTGCACACAGGAACTCTCCGGCGAAGGAGGGCGAGGAGGAAACGGTGCCGGAGCGCGCAGGGCTTGCTGCCGCCACCGCCGCTGCACAGGCTGCCGGAGCGAGCCTGCCGCGCGCCGCCCTCCCCGCTCTCCTTCCTGGGCGAGCTGCGGGGATGGGGCGGCCGCGGGAGCCCGAGCGCGCGCAGGAACCGCCGCCGCCGCCGCCCGCGTCTCCGTTGCCGCGCGCCTGAGCCGCCGTCGCCGCCGCGCGCCCTGCCCGGGGGCGGCCCCCCCAGCCCCATGGAGGTCTCCCGGAGGAAGGCGCCGCCGCGCCCCCCGCGCCCCGCAGCGCCACTGCCCCTGCTCGCCTATCTGCTGGCACTGGCGGCTCCCGGCCGGGGCGCGGACGAGCCCGTGTGGCGGTCGGAGCAAGCCATCGGAGCCATCGCGGCGAGCCAGGAGGACGGCGTGTTTGTGGCGAGCGGCAGCTGCCTGGACCAGCTGGACTACAGCCTGGAGCACAGCCTCTCGCGCCTGTACCGGGACCAAGCGGGCAACTGCACAGAGCCGGTCTCGCTGGCGCCCCCCGCGCGGCCCCGGCCCGGGAGCAGCTTCAGCAAGCTGCTGCTGCCCTACCGCGAGGGGGCGGCCGGCCTCGGGGGGCTGCTGCTCACCGGCTGGACCTTCGACCGGGGCGCCTGCGAGGTGCGGCCCCTGGGCAACCTGAGCCGCAACTCCCTGCGCAACGGCACCGAGGTGGTGTCGTGCCACCCGCAGGGCTCGACGGCCGGCGTGGTGTACCGCGCGGGCCGGAACAACCGCTGGTACCTGGCGGTGGCCGCCACCTACGTGCTGCCTGAGCCGGAGACGGCGAGCCGCTGCAACCCCGCGGCATCCGACCACGACACGGCCATCGCGCTCAAGGACACGGAGGGGCGCAGCCTGGCCACGCAGGAGCTGGGGCGCCTCAAGCTGTGCGAGGGCGCGGGCAGCCTGCACTTCGTGGACGCCTTTCTCTGGAACGGCAGCATCTACTTCCCCTACTACCCCTACAACTACACGAGCGGCGCTGCCACCGGCTGGCCCAGCATGGCGCGCATCGCGCAGAGCACCGAGGTGCTGTTCCAGGGCCAGGCATCCCTCGACTGCGGCCACGGCCACCCCGACGGCCGCCGCCTGCTCCTCTCCTCCAGCCTAGTGGAGGCCCTGGACGTCTGGGCGGGAGTGTTCAGCGCGGCCGCTGGAGAGGGCCAGGAGCGGCGCTCCCCCACCACCACGGCGCTCTGCCTCTTCAGAATGAGTGAGATCCAGGCGCGCGCCAAGAGGGTCAGCTGGGACTTCAAGACGGCCGAGAGCCACTGCGTAAGTCCTGCCCCCGGGGCGCCGCGGAGAGCGCTGCTGCCGGGGAGCCGCCGCCGCCGCCGAGGCAGAACGAGCTGGGGGCGAGCGGCGGGGCGGGGGTACAGCCGGGTGACATTTACCAGGTCTCAGGTTCACACCGCGGGCGGCCGTCCGAAGGCTCCTCTCGGACGGTCCCCGAGACCTGGAGCACGGCCTGAGGTCCCCAAAGGGAGAGTGTAAAAAGGGGGGCGGGGAGGGTTGGAGTTAGACTCAAAACTCTAGTGGCTGCATCCCATTGCCATCCTTCCCTGTCCAAACGGGGACGCTTGTTTGGGGCTGAGTCTCCTCGCGCAGCCCCTCTTTCCCATTCGCTTCTCCAGACTTCTCTGTGCCCCTTCCGTGTAGTCCCAGCAGGCGTGTGGGTCTGACCCTCTTGGTCAACAGTTAGCAACACAGTGCCCTCGGCAGAGAAGCCATTGAACCTAAAGGGCTCCCTGCCACACCCCAGCCTTTGTGGCCCCCTGTCTCCGCCCCCCACCGGCAACGCAAGTGCTGTGGTCTGAAGAGTTGCTAGCCCGCTCAGCGTGGAGAAATGCCAGCCTGCAACAGAGGCTTGCGCTGGAACCGAACCCCTGGCGTGAGCCGGTGCGAGGGGGCGGTGCCGTGGCTCTGCTCAGGGTGCGCTGTGGTCGCCAGCCGCCGGGAGAGGCTGGGCGGGAGGTGGCCTTGTGGTAAAAGCCTCATCCTAGAGGGGAGTGCAAGGGAAAGTGTTGGGGGTGCTACAGGCAGTTTCTGGGCTCCAGATTGCGAGACTAGATGGCGGGACTCAGAGTCACCACCCTGGGGCTGAACCAGGCAAGCGATACAGGTTTCCCCTGGGCTCCCAGGGCAGCCACAGCTTTTATCTTGAGATTGGCATTTCTTTGACTGGAAAATAAAGAGGCAGTTCAAGAGGGTCCAGTTGATGGGGATTATGGAGCCATTGTGCACTTCTCCGGAGGCCGTTTCCCTTCCAAGGCGGCTGGCACATCAACTCCACATATGGCTCCTGAGAGGGGAGCCTGCTGGGAGCCTCCTTTATAACTGGACAAAAATCAAAGCGCAGAAATTAACGGCTACAGGTGTTGCCATTGTTTTGGTACAAAATGAATCAGAGAGGAAGGGGAGAAGTCACTGCTTGGAAAATGTGTTGATACAGGGGCACGTTGGCTCCCAGGTATATTAATATGTGTATAGAAAGACAGCTTCCCCCACCCCCTTCTTTCTCTGCAAAGCACATCTTACCAAATATTAGCCCTATGAGCCAGGGAGAAAAAAACCAGGAGGTCTTTTGCAAGGCTTCTTAGAACGGTCACTTGCTGCTGCTTCTTTGCCTGTCAAGCTGTGTGCTGGGACACACACATTAAGGCCTTCATTTTGTTACTGGTATAATTTTTAAAAATATGTAAAAACACATATTTGCCTCCTAAATGACTTGCTGTTGCCGTACACATATAATGTAATATTTGATTCCTGTCTTTATTAGATCTTTATAATCTAACGGTTTAAGTTTGGTAAAATTATCGTTTCCTACTTCTCTGTTGAAAGACTTGAAAGTACCCCCGAAATATTACTTTGTGTCAAGCTTTAGACACACTTAGTCTCTGGGGTTAATGACAAGCCAGCTCAGAGGCCCACAGCAGGTAATGAGGGTGAAAGTCCAAGCTTTGCCATCTGACAGCTGTGTCGATGTGTGGAGCCAAAACATTTCTCTTGACTGCGTCTCTCTACCTATTGGGTCCTGGAAGACTCAGTTCCCTTCCAAACCCAGCCAGCATCTTGAATGCACTCAAAATCCACGTTTTGGCTCAATCAGGTGTTCCTGCTTGTGCCGGGATGGGGAGGGGCAGTGGCAGAGGAAGTCGCGGAGCTTCTGCGAGAGAGCTGCCCCTTGGAAATCAAGCAAAGGATAAACACATGCTGCCAAAAATCTGGAACTGGAAAAATAAATAATTAAAATGGGTCCCTCCACAGCATTTCTTGCTGCTATTTATCAAGAACTCCCAGTGTGCTCAGAGCTGTGTGTTCTGAAAGACAGGGTCTGTACCCCCTGAGCTTGTCAGCCAAGTTAAATAATATACTCTGGTTCAAACAATAGCATGTCATGGCTGCACAGGTGGGAGCTTGGAGCTTTGCATTTTTTTTTCATTTAAGTAAATTCCTTGCTGCTAGTATGCATTGAAAAGCCTTAATGGAATTGAATTTCAAGAGGAGTTTGAATGAAAAAGGGTGGTAGTTTTGATGAAAAAGCTGACAATTTTCTAACCTATTAAATAGGTAGAGAAGATACTCAATTCAACAAATATTTGTTTGATGCCTGCTAGTGTAAGCAATGCTCTGTGCTGGGTGCCACTGATTTTGCCACTGAAAGGACGATAGCAGATTGCAACCTTGTGTAATGGGGTCATGGGATCAGTGTGCCCCTGGCTGTCACTCAGAAGAATGATGTCATTTGATTGCATTTGTTCTGCATTTTATTTTCAGGTCTTGAATGTGTTTTTGAAAAGGCATGCTGAATTATAGGTGCCTAAAACAGGAGCAGGACTTGAAACACTCTAGAGGGAACCTCAATAGATTCCAACAGCAATTCCTTTAGAGCAGACACAGTAATTTTAACAGTAATCCACAGGCTGCAAGGCACAAGCGGCTGGATTTGCTTGCCTTCTTTCTCCCTCTCCTCCTAGCTGGCTCTTATTTTCCGTCTTCAATCAGCCATAGGTAGAAAAGTGACAGGACTGACTGGGTTGTATTTTCCCACTTTCTGGTTCTCTTATCTCTTGTCACTGATCCTCCTCTCCTTCAGCTTCTGCTAAGCAGTGATTTACGAGATGCTTGTGTAATGAGTGTGTACTCAGCTGTTTACACACTGGACCATTACTTTTTCTGCCTTGCCACCAACTTTGAATCCACTTTCATAACTGTAGCAGGTTAACTGCAGCTCTCAAATGTGCTAAGGCAACCGATTTCTGTAGACCCTCTCTCTAATAATCTTCTGTGATATTTGTACAGCACTTCCACATGTATTATTTCTTTTGAGCCCCGCATCAAGTCTGAGGTTGATTCTATGGGGATGATTTCATTTTCCAGATGAGGAGGCTAAAGATCCGTTAAGCAGCTTGCTCAAGATAGTTAAGTGCCAAAGCCCTCCACCTTAAATCCAGGTCTTCCAATGTCTACATCTCTACTCTTCCCACCACCCCAGGGTTTCTCGAACTTTCCCTTGAAGGTCCCCTAATTAAATTGGCAGCAAACAACCTCCCCTAGGATGTGGGGTTGAGGCTAGAGGGTAACCTCAGAAGGCAGTACATGCCTCTAATCTTGGCTTGTGTTTTAGAACTTCATGTGGTCTCTTTCCTTTTTTTCATTCTTTTTTATAACACACCTGTGCTTGGATTAGTATAAAAATGAATGTTTTTAATTATGCACAAGTTAATCAATTTGACTTCCTACCTTTCTGAACTCTCACTACCCCTGGCACACCAACGTGATACACAGAAAGTGTTTGTGTTCGAGTTTGTGGAGTCTGATTGCTCCAGACTTGTTTGGCCACCATTGTTGGGTTCTGGGGTCACTCGTGGTTTAAACATGGCAGCCACCCCTCGGTAGACATTGAGGGTAGTACGTTTTCCTGCAGTATTGGTCCACAGGACTCTAGATCATTCTAGTTTGTTCTCTAGTTCATTCTACCCTTTGTAGGGGGACATACCGCCTTCTTCCACGCCTACATAATTCTAAAGCCTGACATAATTTAACTGTCATGCAGACAACCACAGAATGCTCACATGCTGCCCAACAGAGAGCAACCCAAGGAACATGTGTGGAGAAGTGACATCCCAGTTCCACTTGGCGATGCAGCCTATTGACCTCAAAATCCGCAGTCTTCTTGTGATGTTTATTTCTCTTCCAGCTTCTGTTATGATTTTGTCAAGCCATTTTGCAGTCTATAGACTAGATGGTGATTTTACCCTCATATACACATATTATATGCAAAAATGGATTCAAAAAGGACAATTGCCATGACAGCACCCACTTAGAAAGAGGGGAAAGCAATCATAGCTACTATCTACTGAATAGTTATTATGGCCAGGTTTTGTGTGAAGCAATTTACATGCCTTATTTTCTGTTGATTCTCATTCACCATATGGGGCAAGGACTGTAGTTATCATGATGATTAGAGATGAGAAAATTAAGGCCCAGAGAGCTTCTGTTAGGTTCCATAGCTGGAAAATAGCAGAGGATTTAGAACCTGGGTGGTCCAGCTCTACGACCTGAGCTTTTAGCCACCTTACAAGTCTATATTAAGGAGCCCTACCCTATTACTATTAATAATCATGATGGTGATGATAGTAAAGACATCCAAAGCACACGGCATTTTCTATGGGTCAAGTAGTGCTTATTCTATACACATTAACTCATGAATCCAGAGAATATTGCTGTCAAGGAAATGGGATTCCCCACTTATAAATAAAGAAACCAAAGCACGAAGGGTTAAATAATTACTACATGCAATAATGTGTACATGTCCACTGCCATGGACAGTCTGTCAGCATGGACATTAGGTCCTGATGTCAACCCTAACCTGTATGGAGCAAGCTAAGCCCTTGCAACTGCTATGCTAAGACCAGCTTTTTGTGGACACAGGCATAGGATAGCAGAGAATCCTTAGTTATGAGCTGAGTTTCTAGGTTTGCATTGGTGACCACCTGAAGTTCTGACTCTGGCAGGATTGTAGTTTCTTAACTGTGAACTTCTAGACAGTGTTGGTGTTCTGATCTATACATCATCTCAAAGGGTGTTCTCTGTTGAACCCCCCATACCTAGCATAGTACCCAGTATGTAGTTGGGACTTCAGAAATATTTGTTGAATGAATAAATGAAGGATCGTAGAGAATCATGTTGGAAATGTTTTCTCTACTCAGCAGCAACACTTTCTGGGAGTCTGGTCACCTCATACTCCCTTAATCATTGTCTTTTTCTTAATGCCTGATGTGTCAGGGCCCCTTCCTTCCTTAGTTTTAGGTTACATGGTGTCCTTTACTCCTTCACCTCTTCCCAGGTACTTCCATTCATTGGAATACCAGGCTTCTGGTGTTGCCAATCTGAGAGTTACTTTTGACCATGGAAACCTAGCATGGTTGGAACTTCTATGGTGTAATTTTTGATTGCCTTTCAACTATGAGAGGAAAGGGCTTTATGCTGTAGGCAGTGGTCCTTAAAGTGTGGACTGTGGCCCAGCAGCATGAATATCACCTGGGAACTTGCTAGAAATGCACATTCTTGGACCCTACACCAGACTTACTAAATCAGAAGCTCTGGAGGTTGGGGTGGGACTGGCAATCTGTATTTTAGCAAGCTCTCAACGTGATTTGAAGTCATGCTTAGGTTTAAGAACCACTATTGTAAGATAAAACAATTTTCCTTGTGTTCCAACTGAGGCACCTAGGATAGGAACTTGTCGCATTTTTTTTCCCCTTGCATTTTACTTAGGGCCATAAAAAGTAACCAACACATTTTACCACCTGATATTCCTTATTCCCTCCTCACTGATCAAAGGCAGTACCTAGAAAGCCCTTTAAAGACTTGCCATTTTTGGGCTTAGAGTCTGAGTCTCAAAAACCTGTAAGCCATAGTTTAATTAGCTCCTTCACTCTTGCATATAACAGTTTATTTGTATTTCACTCCCAGATGTGGGGGGATGTCTAGAGTCGTCTATTGTGCTGTACGCCAGAACCAATTCCGCACACCAGACATTCTCTCCAAGGGTCCATTCTTTACAACATCAGTCCTGTTACCAATTTCTATCCTAGTCATGTACAGTTGGTTGCATGGAATAAAGATCTACTTGAGTAAGGTCAGATAAAGGGATGAGGGATATTGTGGACAGAAACACATGGAATTACATGGTAATCTAGGAATAAAAGCAATGCTGTGTTATGGTTATGTGCACAGTCACTGGAACCAGGTCAATTGGGACCAAAGCTACCAGTTACCAGTTGTGGGACTGTAGACAAATTATTCAACCTTTCTGTGCCTCAGTTTCTTATCTATAAATAGTGATCCTCTTGGTTTCATAGGATTATTGTCTGGATTCACGAGTTAATAAGTATAGAATGAATACTACTAACTACTTAACTCATAGTAAATGTTATGTCTGTGTTTACTATCATCACCATCATTACTACTAATAGTGTTAGGACGGGCTCCTTGATATGCAGTTGGAAGGTGGTTCCACATTCAAGGCAGCTTAAAGGAGCTCAGTCAGCATCAGCAAATGATGGATGCTCCTTCCTTAGTCTCCCTGTTAACATGACTTAGCCTGGCTGCTTTGCACCATCCTCCTACCAAATAACCTCCTCTGCTTCCTCAAACATCTACTCCCTCCCACCTGAGTATGCCTCAGGCCTGCCTTGATCCCCACTGTCTATCTTTTTTTTTTTTTTTCTTGAAACAGGGTCTCATTCTGTTGCCCAGGCTAGAGTGCAGTGGCACAATCTCGGCTCACTGCAACTACCTCCTCCTGGATTCAAGCGATTCTCCTGCCTCAGCCTCCTGAGTAGCTGGGACCACAGGCGGGTGCTATCACGCCCAGCTAATTGGAATAAAATCATTTCTTAAACAATATGGTTCCTGGAGGAGAGACACTGGAAACTTTCTTTCTTTTTTTTTTTTTTTTTTAAACAGAGTCTCACCCTGTCACCTAGACTGGAGTGCAGTGGCATGATCATAGCTTATTGCGGCCTCAAACTCTTGGGTTCAAGTGATCCTCCCACCTCAGCTTCCCAAGTAGCTGGGACTACAGGCACACACCACCATGCCAGGCTGATTTTTTTTATTTTTATTTTTGGTAAAGATGAGGTCTTGCTATGTTGCCCATGCTGGTCTCAATCTCCTGAGCTAAAGCAGTCCTTCCGAAGTGCTAAGATTATAGGCATAAGCCAGCACACTTGCCTCCCACTGTACATCTTAACAGCCTGTCACCTTCGGCTTTGGCTACTAACTGGCAATGACTTTCTGTATTATTTAGTCCAAGTTGCCAGGAGAGAGATAGAGTTGAGTCCAGTTCATCTTTCCCACCAGATGATGAGCCCGAGTTCAGTGTAGGGATTTGTAACCCTTGGGGCAGGTGCTGGCCCCTGGTCCGACTAGAAGAGGATCAAACATGCAATTGTCCCCAGCAGGTGCTGCAGGTGGATTCCCTTAGAACAGGATGGCGGAAGAGCCACACCAAGACCAACATCTTGATTACAGTAGCATACAGTAGTGTCAAATCTGCCTCCCTTAAAGTTTTTTGATGACCACTCCCTTCCCCAAACATGCATTGGCACACAGATGATGAAGACTGGGAAACCCCAAAGTCGACTTGGGAACAGTGTGTGGCCAGCATGGGTCTAACCTGTTCATCAAAGTGGGGCCATGGAATGGTAGGTTTTCTTATTATGTTTTTTATGAAATGTGCTTATCATTTTTCTTAGTTTTAATTTTCTATCTTGATGAAATGCTAATTTTTACATGATCACAAAAACAAATAGAACTGTGACATTCATTTTTCAGTTTCAGTAGCTGATTTTCATGTTGGTTGGATTGTCTGTTCAATAGCTACACATAGTGCTTTCCTTAGAGAAGTTACTAGGGGGATGTGGCCCTATTTCCATCCCACCACCCTGGTCAATGCTGTTATGCAGGGGTCAGCAAACTCTTTCTGTAAAGGGCCAGATCATCAATATTTTCGGCTTTGCAGGCTGCATACAGTCTCTATCACAACTGCTCAATTCTGCTGCTGTAGTGTGAACACAGCCATGGACAATACATAAATGAGCAGGTAGGGCTGTGTTCCATTAAAATGTTATGGACACCGAAATGTGAATTCCCTGTAATTTTCACTTGTCATGAGTTATTCTTTTTTTGATTCTTTTCAACCATTTTAAAATGCAAAAGCTATTCTTAGCTCATGGGCCGTTTGAAAAACAGGCAACAAGCCAGATTTGGCCCACAGGTGGTGGTTTGTTGACTCCTGCTATTATAGAAAGAATGAGAGTAAAACAAACCTTTCCCATACAGTCTGATGCTCATGGCAAGAGAGACGTGACCAAAAGCTGCCGTGGAAGTCCCAAAAAGAGGCACTACTCTCAGCCTGGGAGGATCTGGGAGGCTTCAGAGAGGTAATGCTTGAGCTGCATCTTGAAGCTGAGTGGAGAAGGCAGAGAAGGGAGTTCTAGAGAGAAGGCACAGCTTGTGCACAAGCAGGAAGTTGAGTAAGCCTGGGAGCCACAAGCAGCTCACCAGGCTGCGGAATGTCCAGAAACGAGTGTGCAGGTCCAGATGGTGAAGGGCTTAATGAGACGGGCAAAGGTGGTTGGATTTTATCCTGATGGTTGGTCCTCTAGACTTTCCAAACCTTGCCTTTAAAATAAATTATCAATCGGAAGCTCCCTATGAGAAAAAGGTTAGAAAATTATCATTAGGCAGGGAGCAGATGGCGCATGCCCATAATCCCAGCACCTTGGGTGGCCAAGACGGGTGGATCACTTGAGCCCAGGAGTTTTAAGACTAGCCTGGGCAACGTAGCAAGACCCCATCTCTACAAAAATAAAAATAAAAATCTTAGCCAGGTGTAGTGGCACATATTTGTAGTCCAACTGCTTGGGAGTCTGAGACAGGGAGATCGCTTGAGCCCGGGAGTTAAAATCCAGCCTGAACAACGTAACACGACCCTGTCTCTTGAGAAAAATTATCATTGACTTGGTTCTTTTTGTAAGACCAATTACCAAGCGCTGGGAACATGGGAGGAAGCAGGGGTTGGGAGTTTCCGGAGCCCTACAACTTGCCACACCCCATCCGGGCCTGTCCCTGAGGCATCTCCAAGGAACTTCTAGAGCAGGGTGTGAAAACCATGGCTAAGGTTGATGGAGTAAAACAGCGGGATTATAAACAGACACAATCTGAATGTGTTCTAGAAAGATTACTCAGAAGATAAAGTGGCTGCAATAAGGTTGGAGGCAAAGCACCTTATTAGAAGGACTATCATTTGTTCGAATACTTTCTTGAGCTCCTATTATGTGCCAAGCAATGTGTGGAGACATTTATATCATGGTAAATAGGGTAGACAATAAACATTTGGCAAATTAATAGTTACTTTTACATTAAGATGATAGCTAAAATTTACAGCTCACCTACTGTATATCATTATTCTAAGCACTTTACCAATATTAACTCATCTAATCCTCACTGCAACTTTACAAAATGGGCTGTATTATTACTACCATTTTAAAGATGAAGAAACGGAGGCACTTCACTAAACAGGTAATGTAGCAGAGGCATTTGGGGGTTGCAGGTGTTGGGGTAAGTTCTCTTTAAGGAGGCCGAATTGACACCAGGAAGATAAGAAAGGCCGGTTGCAGGTTTCCCTTGCAGATCTGGGAAGAGCAGTGCTGGCAGACTGGAGGGCATGTGCAAGAACTCAAAGATGGAACATCCTGGTCTTGGTGGTTGTGGAGAGCAAAATGCTAGTGTGGTTGAGGCTAGGGAGGTAGAGGAGAGAGTATGAGGGGAGGAGGCTGGAGAAGGAAGCAGCAGGCCCAGCCTGCAGGCCTCCTTGGCAATGGGAAGGAGATTAGATTTTCTTCTCCGAGCACAGGAGAGCCTTTGAAGGGAAGTGAAATGATTGGATTTGAATTCCTAAATAACGGCTGCCCTGTGGGGAATGGATGAGAGATTGGCCACAGCGGAAGAAGGAAAACCTGCAGGAGGCTCTTGCAGTAGTCCAGACAAGAAATAATGTCACCTTGGCCACGAGCAGTGGTGACAAATATGGAGAGAAACAGATGGATTTTGTTTATTGCAATCATTCAACTGAGGGACGTTGAAGAGCTGAACTGAGGTTGCAGCAATGAGGATGGAGAGGAGGGGTGAAGTGAAATAGGTTTTTAAGACGTGGAGGACCAATTAGAGGATGAGTTTAATTTTTGTTGATTTTTAGATGCCTTGGGACATACAGGAAGACAGGAAGAGTTGCTAAGTAGGGAGTTGGCAATGAAGTTAGGAGTTGGGGATCCACTCTATAAACCTTAGAGTGTGCCAGGCCCTGTGTCAGGCCCCACACATCCCTGTTTGGGCTATATGTGCACTGAGGGGAGTAGCCAGGTCTGGCTCATCTTTCTTTCCCAGGCATCTATCAGGTTGGCTAACACATGGTGAGTGAGCCCTCAGTAAGTGTTTCTAGAACTGGAAAAAAGGTACTCTTCATCTGGTGGAGAAGATAGTGATTATAGCATGGTGAGATGAGTGCGTCCAAGAGGAGTTGACACTGGGGCTCTGTTTTGAGGAAAAGTAAAAGCTGGGCAGCAACAGGGAAGTGTATTTCCTTTTGACTCCCTTCCCAATTAGCCAGGATTCCTTGTCATCCCCTGTCTCCCCGCAACCTGACTGAGGAAGCGTGTTACCTAACACACCAGCTGTTCCTGATCATCGCCCCTTGGTCTTCTCCTGAGGCTCCTTTCTCTATCATTGACCCCTTTTAAAAATTGGATTCCGAGTGCAAAGCCTTGCTTCTCTGAGGCAATAGAGGGGGGAATAGCCTAGAGCAGCTGGTGGCTGTAGGTGTAACCTAGTGTCAGCCCCCGCACTTAGCAATATGTTTCTTCATAACCCTGCAGAGCTCTTGTGCTGTAGACCTCTAATGCAGCCTGTAGACCCCCTGACAGAATAATGTTTTTTAATGCATGAAATGAAAACATTGGATTGCAAAATAGATGTAATATATTAATATATCGATCTATCAAAATGTTTTTTCAATTAAAGGTATAGTAATGTATCTTAACACATTCAATAGCAAGATATAGAGGCAGTAACTACCATAATTTCAAAGTAGAGATGAGCATAAATGATACTTTGAGATATCTGCAACAACTATCAAATAATATGAAAATATCTGATTTCTTTTGGTGACAAAGTCACAGGTTCAGTAAATACTGCTGTGGCCTGAATCCATGATTAAAGGAAATGCTAAGTTCCAGTTAGAGCTCCCTGGAATAAAGATTTTTTTTTTTCATCCAGTTTCATGGATTCCCTGAATTCTGTTCATGAACTGTGGATATCAGTGGAGCCCCACTCTAACCATTCATTTCAGTTACCAAGTGTTTCAGAAACCAATGACATGAAATGCAAAGTTTAGCATTTTATTTCAAAACTCATTTGACTGGTTTATTTTGACAATAGGGAGTTTGTTCCCATCTGTATTTTACAGATCAAGTACTTGGTCAACAGCAAGTGCTCCATAAATAATAGGTGGATGAGTGGATGGGTGGGTGGATGAGTGGATGGGTGGGTAGAGAAAGCTCAGAAAGGATAAATGACTGTCTAAACACTTACAGCTCATAAGTAATAGAGTTTGAACTTGAAACCACATATTTTTTACTCTAAATCACTTGTTCTTTCTATTCTTCCATGCTACCATCAGCTACTTTTATTTGAAAGGACACAATGATAGGGCATGTTCTTAAAAATATGCATTTGAATCATGGGAAAGGACAATCCTATTATTATTTGCTTTGGTCAGAGCACACCTAAAGTACTGTGTTTACTTCTTAGAAGCACATTTTAAGTACACTGAATCTGTTGACTGTTCATGGACTGAGATGGCGAGAGACTTAGAAATTGTCTCTTACAAGCTATCAATGAGCTATGGATGTGAAATTCAGAGAAGGCCAGTTTACATGGTAATGGGAGGTCTGGGGTGGTTTTCTATTGCTCCCCAAGGCAGAACCAAGGCCCAGTATTTACAAGGGACGAATCTTGGCTCAATTAAAGAACTCAGTAATGATTAGGCCTACTTATCAATGTATCATAATTGCCTGATGAGATATTGACTGAAAGTATTCAAACATTGACCCATGTATTTATTTATCCCTTTGATAAGCATTTATTGACAACCTACTCCATGCCAGATGCTGAGGTGGATGCTGCATTCGAAGTGTAGAATACAATACTATTGGAGATAGTCAGTCTTATAAAGATGGAGTCTACTGGGAGACAGTAAGTTTTTAAAAACAATAGTTATAATAAGTATTTTGAAGGAAATAAATGGAGTGCTGTGATTCAGAATAAAAACTGAGGTAGGAACGGGAAGAGCTATGGTCATGTGTCCACGAGTAGGTGACATTCAACTTGAAACCTGACAGATTGAAAAGAGCCAGCCTACAAGGGAGTGAAGGGGGGTGGGGCTAGAAGAAGTAGCAAGTGCAAAGGCCCTGAGGCAGAAAGATGGTAATGTGTCCAGAGTCTGAAAGAAAGTGACTGGACTTGGGGAGCAGAAGCAGAGTGCAGGAGGAGAAGAATGGCAAGGAATGGGTGTGAAGACGTCATCAGGGATCAGCTCAGGGAGAGTCTGGGGAGGCATATGGATTCAATTCTCAGCATTGTGATGGGAAGCCATTGGAGAATTTTAGTCAAGGGAGTAACAGGACCTGTTTCATGTTTTAAAAGATCACTTTGGCTACTGGACAGAGAATAAATTGAAAGTTAAAAGGGAGACACCAAGAGACTCTTGCACTAGATCGGGAGGGGAATGAATGGGCACTTGGGCTGAATAGAGCCTGTAGAGATAGAGAAGGTGAATTTGAGATTATTGGGAAATTCGACTGAGATTTTTAATGTATTGGATGTGGGGAGTGACAGAAAGAGAAGAGTTGAGGGTGATTAGTGGTGCTGTTGACCATGATGGGTAGCAGGACCAGAGGGAAGAAAAGTCTAGATAACCATTTGTCAGCACCTCTGAAACCATGTCACAGATTTCAGTGGTTCTTAACAGGGGATAATGACATTTACTTAGGGGATGTTGAGAAATGTTGGGGAGAGACTTTCACAGTAGTCAACATAATAGAGGGCACTGCTTTGTGGACAGGAGTCAGGAATGCTAGAAGTCCCGCATCACACAGGACAGCTCCCATAATGAGGAGCCATCCCATGTAGAATGCCAGTTGTTTCCTCCTGGACAAGCACTGGTGGACTGAGTCTCTTTCAATTCTGAGAACCTAGGGCCAGGTGCGGTGGCTCACACCTGTAATGCCAGCACTTTGGGAAGCTAAGGTGGGCGGATCATGAGGTCAGGAGTTCAAGACCAGCCTAGCCAACATAGTGAAACCCCATCTCTACTAAAAATACAATAATTAGCCAGGCATGGTGGCAGGCACCTGTAGCTACTCCGGAGGCTGAGGCAGGAGAATCGCTTGAACCCGGGAGTCAGAGGTTGCCGTGAGCCGAGATCGTGCCACTACACTCCAGCCTGGGCGACACAGTGAGACTCTGTCTCAAAATAATAATAATAAAAAAAAGAATCTAGGAAAATGCAGTTTCACGCTATCTGCCATTCATATACTTTTGTAAATTATTTGAGTCAGGTCGTCTTTTTATAAGTAATTGACTGAAATTAGCCATAGGGAGGAGAAGGAGGTTGTGGGGGTGGGGAAGGGACATAAAGCGGGAAGAAGGAAGGATGAATCTTGGAGAGTGGGACTTTGCTGGTGGGTTGGCCTGGGTGGCTGGGAACACTGGGGCCCGTCGAGGGAGGGGAGAGGGTAGAAGGAGGTGAAATACAAGCTTCACCACCTTGCATGCTTCCCACGGCTGTGCTGCACACCAGTGATGTTTTCTGGTCTAGAGGCTGCCCAGCTGTGTCCCTAAGCACACTTTGAACCTCTCCTTTTGGTCATTTGAGTCCCCAGTGTAAATTCTTCCTTCAGACGATCAGAGAGCTGCCATAACTTAGTCAGATCCCGGTCAACACTGTATACACTAGAATGGAGAAAAGCAACCCGAGCCTTCCTAGCTAATAAAATCACTGTCCGACTTGGGCAAATAGTTGTCCTTTCCATCTCCTTAGCTGAATAAAAGTAATCTAATTATTTTCAAACACATGATTTCATCTGGACCTCACAACAACACTGAGAGGCAGGGCATGTGGTATTATTAGGTCCATTTTACAGATACAGTCACTGAGGTTCAGGAGACTTAACTTGCTGGAATCAAGCAGTCTATAAGGCACAGAGCAGGGGCCAGAACTTGGGTGCAGGGCTCCTTCAGGGGTTTCCTAATGGCAAGTGGGCCCCTTGGGAAGTAACAGAAAATGATGAAACTGCTTCAAAACAAAGGGATCCCAAAGGGAACAGAATATAAAATTAACTGCCCAAGAAAGGCATTTTGTCATGTACAAGAAATTGATAGGTACCCAGTTGGTATTTCCTCCCACCTGGTAAGGTAAAATCAACATACAGGAATCCTTTTAGCACCTTGGGGGTAAAACACTTGACTCTTGCTTGGTGCTCAACATTGGAGGCCCCAGTTTTGTGCCCATTCCCTCCCGATGATGCCGCAAAAGCTGGAGCATGGCTGTGAGCACCCTGCCTCGATGAGCCGGGCCATCTTTCACATGGTAGGGGCAGGGCCAAGCTGTGGCTCAGCTCTAGAGGGTGCCTTTCACACCCTGGAATGCATGACTGGCACCCCCTGCAGTTGTGCAGGGCACAATGGGAGAGTATTTATTGTCCATGAAAAATCATATGAAGCAGCTGCAAAGAAGTCTAATTGTTTTCCTCATGATATGCCCATGACTCCCTGCACACACACACACACACACACACACACACACACACACACACACACGTACACACACAAACACACACACACCTCAGGAGCTTTGGTCCCAGTTTGCTATATCAGGCCCAAAGCTCTTTCTCTCTTTCAGCCCAAACATCGCTTGAGCCAAGGTAGCTTTCTCCTCCAACTGAGAAAAGTTTCCCTCTTAGAGCCGGCAAACGTGTAGGCGTGACGTTATGCTTAGACACGGCAGGAAGGAGAAGCAGAGTGACAACTCTGAGGGAACCAAGAAAGCCCAAAGGGGAGACAAGGTTTAGAGCGAAATCAAGATCGGATTTTGTCATGAAAGGCAGAACTGGCAAAAGCATCATTACAAGGCATTAACCTTGTTACACACAGACGAACAAGCAGAGGCTGGGATTCAGAAATAAATTACACATAATAAACTAGACAGAATAGGCTGAGAGCAACATTAGCGATTATGCCCTAAGGGGAGAGAAGGGCAAGATAGAAAATAGGCCCGAAAAAAAGAGAGAAAGAATAATCTCTGGACACAGGGGGCTGACTGCACTGTTTCCCCCTTCTTCTGCCTGGCTCCCTGGGTATTAACCTCACTTTTGTGAGGACGTTTCTCCGGAGCCTGTCTTTCTTTTGTTTTCATTTGCTGCAATAAGCATAAGAAAGCCATTCAAAGGGTTCCTTTTCCCATTCACAGGGACCTGTCCATTTCTGTGTGTTTCCAGCACAAAAGAATCCATTTCCATTCAGCCAGAGCAGCCCCTAGAGTTTTCATGAGGTCCAAGCCTCCTCTCCTGTTTTCTTCCAGGCTCGCTGTTGTAATAGGCTGCAAAATCCTGACTGTGGCCAGGGTCCTCCAGGCTGGTGAGAGGAACAAGCATTTGTCCACGTCCTGGTCCCTGCAGCTGGGGAAGAACTGCAGTTTAGTGTCCGCTCCAACAAGTTGTGATTGTCATTTCTTAAACAGTGACTTCCTTTTGGTTCCAAGTAGCAGAAAACGCAACCAACAGTGGCTTAAACCATGACAACTATTGTTAACTTAGTAAAATGTTTAAAAGTTGAAGGTCTGCGGCTCAGTGGTGTCTCCAGGAACATAGAATCTCTTTTCTTTCCCCTGCACCAATCTTAGCATGTTGCTTTGTATCCTTCATCTTGAATCTCATGGAAACAGAACGGTTGCCACGAGTCTATGCATGATGAGATCACACAACTGTATTCCAGAGGAGGAAGTGAGGGAAGAGGGCAAACGGGTTCTCCTCAAGAGGCTTCTGTTATCAATGAGGAAACTTATTCCCAGAAATCCTTCCAGTGGACTTCTCACATCTCCCTGCCCAGGACTGGGCCACATGACCACCCTCAGCTCTAAGGGTTAGGAAAGCCAGTGTCTGGCAATAGGGAATGGAGCTGCCATTTGGCTTGGCCCAACGATAGCTTCCACCAGGCTTGGGTTCATTGCTGTCTGAACAAAATTAGGGTTCTTCTTGGCAAAGAGAAAATAACTGCCATGGGTGTGGCAGTAACTTGTGTTTTTAAATGAAGTAATGATAGCAAGCATGGGTTATGTGTTGCTATGTGCCAAACCTGTTCTAAGCTTTACTGAGGCTTACGCACAAACTCACCCAGTCCTCATAAAAAGTCTGTGGCATAAAAAGTCTGTGCTCTTATCATCATTTCCATCATATGGAGGAGAAAACTGAGTCACAGAGAGATTAAATCACATTTACAAAATTACTTAGCTAGAAAGTGACAGAGCCAGGAGTCAAACTTAGGTGGTCTGGCTGGCTCTCTATGCTATACTGCCTTCATTAGGTAAGATGATAAAATACTTCAGGTAGCACACAGTAAGTATTAGTACATGTTAGCTGGTATTATTATTATTATTATTATTATTATTATTATTATTATTATTACTATCATCATCTCTTTTTTGTAACCACCCTGCCAATCAGACACATCAGCCTTATTAGATACTAGAAAGCTAACCCCTAACAGCATTAAATTAATTGCCCAGGTCACACAGTGAGTGAGAACCAAGCTCAAATGTAAACGAGTGCTGGGTGTTCTCTCAAGTTTGAGAATGTTGATTTAATGGCTGCACCACTTACCCATGCTACTTTTTTTTTTTTAAGGTAAGGTCTCACTTTGTTGTCCAGGCTGGAGTGCAGTGGCTCAATCATAGCTCACTGTAACCTGGAACTCCTGGACTCAAGTGATCCACCTGTCTCAGCCTCCTAAATAGGTGGGACAACAGGTGTGTGCCACACATCTGGCTGATTTTTTATCTCTGTAGAGATGGGGGTCTTGCTATGTTGCCCAGGCTGGTCTCCAACTCTTGGCCTCAAGCGATCCTCTCGCCTCAGTTACCTATACTACTGATCCCGGACTTACTTTGAAAAAAAAACTACAATTGTTGAGGACAGCCAGAAATCAGAGAAGGACACCGGGAAAGGTGAGATGGTAATTTGGGACGGATTTTTCCTTGTTCCGTTTTAGCTTTTGAGCTGCCTCTGTTTTCTTGGATCCAGTCTTTTGCAAACAGGATCTCTCATCCCACCTCAGGAAAGGCTACCCATGGTTCTTGGTGAATTAGAACAGGTACAGTATTAAGCACCTACTGTATACCAGACCTGGCTGTACACTGTCCCACCTGGTCCTTGTGGATAATCTACAGTCCACATCCATTACTTTTTCTGTGTTGTGAGATGAAGGGAATGGAGTCCTCTAGCCAGAGATAGTGGTATTAGAACATTCTGGATACCCAGGCAGAGACGATGCCCTATTCTCCGCGTTAGCCTCTCTGCAGTGTTCAAATATTTAATAAAAATAACAGGCATGGTCAGCTGATCTTACGTTTGAACAATTCTGGATTTATTTTAAAGCAAGATGTGTGGCATGGTTTTACTTATTTTTTTAATCCTAAAGGTCATCCGACTTTTCTTTTTCTGCTCATAGTCATGAGGCTTCCTTATCTAAACAGTGATCTATTGTTCCAACCTTAGACCCACAGAGAATTTTTTTCCTTAACTTCAATTTTCACAGGACAGCTCCTCATCTTCCCATATTGCATGAAAAGTATCTTTCAACAAGGGAAAAAGAAACTCTAATGAGCTTTCCCTAAATCTTCTTAAACCGAGTTCACTATAGAATATTTTATGCAAAAACATTGCCTTCTCTTAGGTTATGACATCTTTTCCTTGAAAAGTGATCAGGGCATTGGACAAATCCTGGCTAGCTTATCTTGTCCTTGCAGCGCAACCTCAACAAAGAAATATAGATGGCACTTTAAAGGCTTCAGAAATCAATTTAGTCCCATAATCCATTTAGTTTAGATGTTAATGAAACTTGGTGGGTTTAAAAATAATGAATATTTAATAAGACATAAATTGAAAGACATAAACACTGTTGGCGATAATATAATGAAGTTAATAAGTCTTAGCCTCCCCCTCCCCAAATAGGGCGATTTTAGGAGTTGCTGTGTTGCTTACTGAAGTTTGCTGGCTGCAACTTCAATGTGCCTTTAAAAACCTTAGTACAGTTGGGAACTGAGCTCTGGCAGATAAAGTGTGCTATCACACTGTGTTCAGTAGCTGCAGACGGCAACGGCTCTTCCTAGCTCCATATCTTCCAGAGATTTGTGTAACAAACTCAGTTTCCTGTCGTTGAAGGCAGGATGCAGCACGAAGCACTTCATTCCTTTTAAACAAAAAAGAAAAAGACATTTTGGTCGACACTCTCTCTGCTCTGGGTTTAAAGAGGGGCTTTATTTAATGATCAGGACCAAGCGTGTGATTACATGTGCTCAGAGCCTCAGACAATTTAAATGCCTTCAGGTTGGGAGTTAGACTTTTTGTTTTCCCCTTTAAAAGCATCAGCACCAGGGCCAGCCCTTCAACTTGGTTCCTCCTTAGCTCTGTGGCTCGATCCTACCCATCGTCCACAACTGTATCTTTACCTTTTCACCCCCTCAACTAGCTACCCTGTCTTTAGGCTTCCTGTGGTCCCTTTTGGTAAATCTAGAATCCCTCCTTTCTGCCATCACACCCAACAGGATCGTCCGTGTCACATCTTGGGAAATGTTTGTGTTTAACCTCACAGAAGCCAACGCCTAGCTAAAATGAATTGGCGGCAGGATTTTGAAAACAGCCAAGTATAAGATAGTCTGCCTCCCAATTCAGCGGTGGGCTGTCTCTTGGCACTAAAGTGGAATTCAGCTTCTTATATCAGCTGAGGGGTGTTAGATAGATGGCCAGCTCGCTTTGGCACTCAATACCTGTTCATACATAGTAAACAGGGGTTTTCTTTGGTTGGGCAGGTATGGTGATTTTGCAAGGTAATGAAAGGTTGCTCCCGGGGAATCTAGTCTAAGAGAATATATGTGGGGCCCAGAAGTGAGATCCTGCCTAGGAGGGCATGAGTGACATTTCATCAGTATAATGAGAACTATTGTTGTTAAAAATTATTATTATTTTTTTGTGCGTTTGTGTGCATGTTCAGAAAGAAGGGGATCAACCTGAAAGAGTCCAACCAATCGCATCATCTACCTTGATCCATTCCGACCTGACATCCGTTTATGGCACCGTGGTAATGAACAGGACTGTTTTATTCTTGGGGACTGGAGATGGCCAGTTACTTAAGGTTGGTTTTCTGTGCCTTCTTCAAATGTCTATTTTAATGGTGATATTTTGTACTTTAAAAAAACATTTTTTTAATGCTTCTGGGTTATACATGAGACCAAACCAAGAACTTCATGAACTCCTTAAAGACCCCCAGAAATGGCCTGGAAGAAAATCTGGAATTCTGTATGTAAGAATGCCCCGTAGCCATGTAATGAAGTATCAGCTACCTTGCTGCCCAGGAGTGCACCAAGATGTTTTTCCTTCCTTACTCATAAGCCAGCTGGGTGAGGTAAATGGAGGTCTGGTCCCTACCCCAACCCTGACTCACCTTCCCAAGACATGTAACCTTTTAGTTCTAGCTCCTTTATCATGGAAATGTACAAAGCACCTGATTTCTCACAACTTGAAAGAGATGAGAGATTATAGGGCTTGAAAAGAAGAAAAAACAGGTGTTCTTTCCCTCCAGCCCACTTACCACCCACAGAGGGGGTTTGTTTTTTGCCCTTTGTACCCACACACACCACAGAGAGGTTAGAGATCTAAAATCCTTTGAGACTCCTCTTGACTTTTATCTCAGAGGACTATTTCTTCTCCACTGTGTGGACACACCCCGGTCAAGTGCAGGTTTTTATTCACTTAGGAGAGGGGAAGAGGGGAGGAGGAGAAAATAAAATCAGAGATACCAAATGACTTGTCTGAAGTTATCTAGCGTTCATCTTATCAATGTCATCAGCAAGCATTTATTGAAGACCTTCTGTGGTCTCCAACAACATTCCTGGTCAGGAACTGCACCATTTCTATGACTAAAGACTGAGATTCCTTGGCTTCTCTGCAGCCATCCATTTACTCTCAGCTCAGATTTTTAATCGAGTAATGGTAGATCTGTTTCCCTCAACTGATCTCCCACAGATAACTCGCTGTGTGACTTTAGGTGAATTGCTTAACCTCTCTGAGCCTTCATTTCCTTACCAGTAAAATACAGTTCTACTAGACAACCCAGAAAAACGCTTTCCTCTTCTGAAAGTCTCTAATTCTGTCTTCTGCACACGTATTCCCCACCATCCCCATCCCCAAGCCAAACCTATTTACTTGCTCCTGTTTGATCCTGTTTCCAAATATGATCCTGTTTCCACACTTGCTCACACTGTACCTCCAGCCTGAAATGCTTTTTTCTTTTTTCTCTTATTTACGGCACCTTATGTGTCTATGCTGTGGCTCAGCTCAAACCCCACCTCCTCTTTGATGACATCTAGGCCTGGAGTGACCTTGCTCTCCTCTCATTTCCTGAAATACTCATGATCTATGTCATTCTTGTGGCTCATTCCAAATGTCTTGCCTGGAGACCTCACCTTTTCACTGGTGTCTGTCTTGCCTTCCCAACTTGATTTTAAGCCTCATGAGAAGGGGGCCATGAATTCCCACAGCCTAATACAGTGCTGAGTGCCTGGTAGGCATTTGATTTAATCTGTTTTCTTTGGAGGAAACCCAGTAACATATGGGAGGGAGTTTGTTTGTATACACATTCTTTTAAAATATACATTGATCATCTTTCCTGTTGTGTTAGCTTTATTTCCTGGGGAAGGGTAAATACCCATCCATCATTCTACACAAGTCACTGGGTGACGTCTGTAGCTCCACCAACCTGGTCAGGCTTATTGGACCCATTTGCCTGGCGGGAGTTTCCATCAAGCCTTTCTGGGCCTCCTCACCAATTATCTCTTCAGATTTGGGATGTTTTTGATGAGTGTTTTGACAAGAACACTGTTTCCCCAAAGCCGAGCCAACCAAACCGCTACATGGTGAATTGGAGGTGAAGGAACACTCGTCTATAAATAGTTCCCCATGGGATGGCCTGGTTTTGCCTGTCCTGTGTGTTCACCCAGCAGCCTGCATGCCGCTGGCCAGCTTTTAGCGATGTTGTGGCAACCAGGGAGTGGACCAAGCTGCAGCTTCATGCTGCTGAGGAGGCCGCAGCCGACCGAAGTCTCGCTCTCCTCAGGATCTGTATGGGGTACCCATTCAGAAGCCACCTGTGTGGCCTCGTTGTTTTTTTCAAGGTTTGAATAACAAAGGCAGCTTTTTGTTGTTTGTTTTGTGACTGCTAACATTTACACAGTGCTTCCTAGATGCCAAGGGACTCTATATCTTCTACCGAATTCAGTCCTCTCCATGACACAATGGGGCAGGCCTACTATTCCCATTTTACAGATGAGGGAATCGAGGCCCAGAGAAATGGGATGATTGTTGTTCAAGGTCACACAGGGGCAGAGCAGGGATTTGAACCTGGAATGACTTCAGAGACTGCACTAAGATCCCCTATGCTGCACTGACTTTGCAACCTCTGCCGCACACATTGGTACTACTCTCTGAGGATTCCGGGGGCACATGGGAGACATGCAGATAGGGTTCCATGCCGTGGCTGGGGACACATGCTCCTGGGGTGAGTCAGCCTTCCTAGAGGCTCAGGAAAGAGTCCCAGCTTGAGAATAAGGCGGACCATCTGACTGAGGAAATACCTCACTGGCGTGGTAACTTCTTGGGAATTAACACCCACCCCCCAAGCCCCCAATAAGAGAGAAGTTCTCTCACTCAGGAGAAGGGTGTGAGGGATGAACTTGAGCTGACTTGCCCCACCAGGCTCCCTAGGGCAGCTCAGTAATGCCCAAGCCTCTCCCCTGTATCCTGTGTACAGATTCTTGGATGTAGCCCCTGAATTTACCCAGAATCCTGAAGACCCAGGATCGTGTGGATGATTTGGAAACTACCGATAATCCTCAAATCCCTTTATTCAGAAGCTTTCAGCTTCTCCCTTGCCAAGGCTTGTCACCAGAACTGTTAGAAAGGATGAACACTGATAGACACAAGCTTGGCTCCTTAAGCCACAGCGTGGGGGAACTAATGAGCGGCAAAAAACAAAACTCAACCCAACGCAGACAGTAGGAGGAGGAGAAGAAAGAGGGCTTGGATCAGCCACAGCCTGACTCATCAGTTTCTGAGTGATCATGAGTTGACGGCATTTTGACATGTGCCAGGCACTGTTGTGTATACCTTGTTGAATGAGAGTCAGGAAACAGCAATTGGGGCCCAACTGCTGTTTTTTACCACCACCAGTAAAAACCTGACTTCTTAAATCTCTGCAAATCCTGTGAGTTTTAATATAATTTGGTGCAATTTTAAGCCTCATGTTATTTAAATAATTTTTCCTTATTGTAAAGGTAATATATGCTCATGTAAAAAGTTGCAGAGTCGTCGGGGGTGAGAGGACAACAAAGAAAAAATTACCCCTAATCATGTCATGCAGAAGCAACTGCTGTCAGCATTTTGGATTCTCTATTTATGTAGTTGAGGTCAGGTTTTGCATCCTTTTCTTCAGTTAGTGAGGGAAAATGCTTACATTAAAATGTTATTGCAAACCCTTTGTAAAAAGTATTTTTAAATAACTATATCATATTCTATTATTTGGGTACATTATTTTGAACTTAAGCTAAGATACTGGATCACTTTTAAAGTATCTTTAAAGACATGCATTTTCCAAGGAAGACGGCATTACCTCCAAAGGTAAGATTTCACTGATAATCTGTGAAGAAACTAAAGGCTACAGTATGCCAGTACCTTTACTGTCCTCCTTCTCTTGCCTATAGACCTAAGTCCCTTTATAAGATTTTGGGGAAATAGAAGGAATTTAGAGCTCAAAGGGTCCTTTGAGAGCATCTAATCTGCTCTTTTATTTTATCGGTGTACCGTCCCATGGTCGTGAGGTGAGTTATGTCTAGTCACCCCCGCAGTTATTTCCCCATCCTGCTTCTTTTCGGAACATGATTGCATGCCGGGTTTTTTTCAGTCGTCAGCATCTCCACTGAGATCAGCTGAAAAGTATGGTCACACTGAACTCAGCTTTGGGGAATTCACACTGCACGTGTTGCACAATGTATGCATTTCTGTAAACACACACCGAGTCTTTCTCCAGATTATAGTACAGCCTATCATGTGGTTTGGATTCCTTTGAGCTGACTCTGTTGCCCATAGAAAATTGTCCTTATTTCAAAGGCAGAATTGCATATTTTGAGCTTTTCCAGGTGGTAAAGTAAGTAATAACAGAATATGCATGAAATTTGAAATTTGTAACTTTATGCATGCCCATTAACCTTCGTGTAAGCATAAAAGATAAGAAGGCAATGGGCAAGGAAGAATAATCGCTAACATTTCTGAGCTCTTCCTGTGTGCTGGGCATTAGAACCAGCATCTGCACGGGTTAACTGGTTTAATCCTTACCAGTCAATACTCTCACCATCCCCACTTTATAAATGAAAAAACCTGAGGCCTCGAGAGGTTAGGTATCTTTTTCAAGGTGCTCTGAACCAAAATAATCTGTCCCAGAGCCCGAGCTTCTATCCCCCAACTAAACTGCATTAACTCTTACAGAGCTTAGTAGAGTTTGAGAGCTGGTTTTTGTTATATTTCTTTCTAATACTGGGGTATAAGGGTTGATACCAAGATGCAGATGTTTGAGGTTTCATAAGAAGGGGCCGAGAACCCTGTGGTTTAGTTTGTTCCTATTTGGGGATGGCTTCCTGGCAACCCAGCTGAGTGCAGAGCCCGCTCCTCTCTGAGCTGCGCGTAGTCCACGGGGGTCTCTGAATCTCCTTTGGGGCCCCAGCTTTACCCCAGTGGGCTCCTTTGTAGGAAAGGTAGGAATTCTGTATTCAAGTTGCTGTTTTGAATGGTGTCAGCAGTAAAGACTAGTGTCTCCCCGACCTCCCAGGGACTGCAGTAGGGTTCAGGATACAGGAAGCTATATCACATAGCTCTATCCTGTCCCCATATCCAGTCTTGAGGTATTTCCTATGTGCTTGGGCTCAGACTGGTTACCTATGTGGCCCTCTACTCCCACTTAATGGCTTTCTTTTGTTTATTTTTTTTTCTTTTTTGAGCCAAGGTCTGGCTCTGTTGCCCAGGCTGGAGTGCAGTGGTGCAGTCTCGGCTCACTACAACCTCTGTCTCCCAGGCTTAAGCGATCCTCCCACCTCAGCCTCTTGAGTAGCTGGGACTACAGACCTGTGCCCCCACACCTGGCTAATTTTTTTGTATGGACAGGGTTTTGCCATGTTGCCCAGGCTGGTCTCAAACTCCTAGGCTCAAGAGATCCTCCCACCTCGGCCTTCCAAAGAGCTGGGATTACAGGCATGAGCCACTGCACACGGCGCCACTCAGGGATTTCGTTTATTCAAATCACAGCAAAATTAAACCGGTTCCAAAAAGTTCTGTCTGAATTCAAACAGAAGCAAAAACTCTGTACTGCCTAAAGAGTCTGCCTTGACTCTGGTTATTGAAGTTTTTGAATGAATGTCAGAGAAAAAAATCTTTTGTAAAGGCAAGCTGTACTATATACCCAGAAGATGTTCAAATAAGGAATAGGAGAACTTGGGGAACCTAGAACAGGACCTGGGACCGGAAGTGGTGGTGGTGGTGGGGATGACTGAGCTAACAGACCAAAAAGTTAAAACAGGAGGAAGTGTCAAAACTTGGAAGTGGGTTCATTGGTTGGCTGTTTAGGATGTCATGTGAAGCCTGCTTCAAGTTCTCCCCACCTCATTAATTGCAATTTATGAGTTTGCAGGGACTCCCCAGTTTGAAACTTTTAGTCCCATATAATCCACAAATCTAGAACCTGTGGTTCAGACTGTATGCTTCTCTTACTACCTACACTGCAATAAGTAGATTGGAAACAAAAGAGAAATTTGCCTTGATCTTTATATTTCATCTTTGTTACTCCTAACTACTGAGGCACATTAAATACTTACCTTGCTTTCTCCTGTGTGTGCATGTGTGTGTGTGTGCACGCATGCACAGGCATGCACGTGTGTGTATATGTATGCAGGCATGCACGTGCATATGTGTGTGTGAGCTTGTGTGTGTGTATGTGTGGTTTAAGTCTCCTTCCCAGCATTTCTCAGAAACTGCTTATGGAAAAAAATAATAATAAATGAAAGGGTTGGCTTGTTTGCCCTTCAACTGGTTAGCCCCACAGAGTGAGGCATAGGAAATTAAATTTGGCATAAAATATTATAGCTTTTTGAACACCCGTGGCTTTTCCATCTCATGGTAATCGTAAAGAAAAAAAAATAGTTTTTTGTTTAATTTTTCTCCCCCCTCATTTTCCTCACCATGATATCCTTCCTGTGGGTGATCTTGAACCTGTCTTACAATTGTATGGTGTTGAAATCTCCACTCAGTTAATTTCAGCAGTGTAGTTGGGAGTTTTATATGCAACAAAAATCCCAAGGCTCGTTAATAGTCTACCATGAGGCTTCAGGAAGACATCAACAGAAACAATATGTTGACACGAACTGAAATTCTCCATCAGAGAAAATTTGTTTTCTACACAGGCTTCAGCTGGAAAAAGCTGAAGAGCCCTATAAAATCTTGAATGCTAATAGCGTCGTTTTTCATTTAATAAATATCTACTGGGCACCTTGTATGTGCCAGGCACTGTTCTGGGTGCTGAATATACAAAGGTGAACAAAACAGACAATGCCCTTGCTCTGCTGGTGGGAAGAAAAAGACAGAAAACAAGTAAATGGATTAATCAGCGATAAAGACACTTCAGATAGTGCTATGAAGAAAATACAGTGATGGGTAGAGAGTGACAGAGGTGTTCAGCGGAGAAGTGATCAGGGAAGGCTTCTCAGAGGAGGTGATGTTGGAGACTTGAAAGATAAAGGAGTATACAAGCATACACATGGAGAAGGTTCAGATTGACTTCAGATTAGATCTATATTAAGGTCGTATCCTGGAAGATAAAAATCCACATCGTGCCCAAGGATTGTGTGTGTGAATTGGATGAGATTTCTCTTATGCAAAATTCAACCCGTTTTGGGTTTTTGTGACTCATTGTTACTTCCTGCATTGCTTCACTGATCATGTTCTTTTTCCGAGGCTGCCCACCTAAACTGAGCTGAGGAAGGAACGTTTCCCTTGCTCCAGTCTTGCTGGCTTTTGTCTGTGTGTTGATATTCTCCTGAAGTTTGCAATTAGAAAGTCCAAGTGTTCCATTAGTGCCTGTGGGCTGGGGCTCGGGCTAGGTGAGAGATGATATGAACACTGACCTGTCCTTTAGTCATCTGAGAGAGATGAGACTCCAGGGGCCACGGAAGCAGAAATCCCTCACCCCTCTGTGTAGCACATTTGGGACCTTTGTGGTGAAAACTAAAACTTCCTCTTGTCCTGTCCTCAGGATTATGGAGAGCATTGTTTGCATAATCTAGCAAAAAGAAAAACAATTTGACTCACTCACCCTCAAGGATTTTTAAATTTAAATGTTATATATTTATTTTTAAGGTAATACAATGATATTGTTTAAAACTCAAAAGAACCAAGAAAATATTCCGTGAAAGGCACCTGGTCTTGACTTCCAAGGCAACCAATGATAGTAGTTTCATGGGTATCTTTCCAGAGATAGTTTATATCTGTCTACAGGCAAAAGAGTGAAGATATTCTTCCTCCCTTTTGTTGAAACATAAAACACAGTAAACATATATGTTATATATGTAAAAATACCTGTATATGTAAATATGTCTATATTTATAGATATATGTACATATTTCATATAACTTTAAATATAACACAAAGAGCTTTCTAATTATTTTTATAGCTAAATAGTATTTCCTTGTTTGTACTATAGTTTACTTAACCAGTTCCCTATTGCTGGAGATTTAAGTTGTTTTAATCTTTTCTTTATAACATACAATGCTACAATGAATATATGTCATTTCATATATATGTGTGTGTGTGTGTGTGTGTGTGTATATATATATGTGTATATATATATGTGTGTGTGTATATATGTGTGTGTGTGTATATATATGTGTGTGTGTGTATATATATATGTATATATATATATACGTATATATATGTATATATATATACGTATATATATATGTGTGTGTATATATATACATATATATATATATATATATATGTATATATATATGAGGGGCTGCAGGGTCCAAGGGTATGTCCTTTGTAATTTTGATAGATGATGCCAAATTACCTTCTAGAGAGGTCTGGCTTCCACCACTGAGGAAACATACTAATTTAAACCCAGCATCTATGGCTATCAGGACAAGCTTCAGTGCAAGCCACGCTAAGTAGCTTTTTCAGGAAACTGATTGGTAAATCCTGGGCCACAGAACTTTTTGATAACTTGTAAAAAAAGAAAGAAAGAAAAACAAAGAAAGAAAGAGAGAGAGAGGGAGAAAGAAAGAAAGAGAGAGAAAGAAAAAGAAAGAGAGAGAGGTAAGGAAGGAAAGGAAAGGAGAAAGGAAGGGAGAGGAGAGGAGAGGAGAAAGGAAAGGAAAAGCTTCCTTGCCACAATTCAGAGTTCTAGAGAGAATATTGATGCTTCATTTCCAAGGTACCAAGTAAATAAATCAATGTTGCACCCAACTAGATCTTGCTGACCATCTGTATCAATGATGCTCCAAGAGTAAATAAAATAAGCCCCCAATAAAAACTGCAGTGCAGCTCCTAATTTACGTAAAATGGATGAGTGGTGGTGTAAAGTATGTTTTTACTTTGTTATTTTAAAGCAAACCCCACAGACATGATGTCGTTTCACCTCAACATATTTCGTTATGCATCTCTCAAAACCTACAGTTGTTTTCTTAAATAATAGTAACCATAATGCCATGATCACAGCTAATAAAATTATCAGTCATTCTTTAGGATCACTTACTATCCAGTCTGTGTAACTAAGTATTCCCAATTGATTCAAAAAGGTATTTTAAATGGTTTTGTTCAAATTGGTATCTGCACAAAGTCCTCAAACCAAATTTGGTTGTTCTATTATCTAGAGCAGTCTCCTCCCTTACTTTTATTCCCTGCCACTGACTTAACTGAAAAAACCAGGTATTTTGCCCTATAGAATGTCTCTTATCATGTGTTTGGCTTTTTGCTTCCTTGTGGTGTCATTTAGCTTGTTCCTCTACTCCTGCTTCCTAGTGCTAAATGGAAGTTAGTGCTAAAGACTTGACTAGATTCAGTTTCAACTTTATTGGCAAGAATACATTATGGGTGGTGCTGCCCAATGATGCTTTTGCCATGATGAATTCCTGAAGAGATACCAGGGCAGCAGCTTCTCTTCTCTTGACCCTTCCTTGATAATATTTCTATCAGTGTTTGTTTAAAAAAAACAAAAACTGGCTTCCTGTTTCTCTTTCCCTATACAACTGCTTTCCAGAACCAGATCAACTGAATCTGAGCTGATTAATACAGCTAATGAATTAGAGACGGCAAATCCTGGCAAGCCCATACCTTGGTCAGTGCCTGTCCCTTGGCTCCACTTACAGGATTCTGTAGAGCAGTGTTGGCCAAGAGAACTTTCTGTAGTGATAGAAATGTTCTACATCTGTACTCTCCAGTATGGTAGCCAGTCACCTTAGGTAGCTAGTGAACACTTGAAATGTTGCTAGTGTTTTTAATTAAATGTAAATTTTTAATTAAATTTAAATAGCCATTATGTGGCTAGCGGCTGTCATATTTGATAGTGCAGCTATAAAGTCGTTTTAAAATGACTTGAGACACACACCTTTCCCACCTCCCTTAGGACCTAACTGCTTCTGTTTTAAAAAGAGCTTTTAAGAAGTCATATTTCATATGTTTGGTTAGTGAGATTGACTTTTACAAAGCTGCTGCTGAATTTGATGAGCAGTCCAAGGGCTTCAAGTGAGCCACTATTTGCACCAAATCCACCTGGGCTTGGCCCAAGCAGATGATGGAAGGAAGTCACTGATCGCAGGGCAAAGCTAGACTCGGGCCCAGGTCCTGGAAAGGAGAAGTGAATGCGGGAAGTTGCTCTGTGCAAAATTGATAAGAAGCCTTTGGCTAAACAGCAAATCCCTAACTGCCATCAGGATATGTGGGAACAGGCATATTATTGATTAGTAGATGTGTGAAGTAGACTTTGTCCAAAAAGAATCTCAGGTGCCAAATTTTTCTTTTGAAACCATGCGCCCAATGTGGCTGATGTCTACAGTGGTAGAGATATGAATACAGATAATCTATCTGGATGTGTTCAAACTGACAAAATGTTGAACACCTTCACTTTTCAAAGTAGTGGGTACAAATTGTGTTAGGTACAAAGAAGATTAAAGGTTAGGTACAAAGGTGATTAAGACATGGTCCCAGGCCAGGCACGGTGGCTCACGCCTGTAATCCCACCACTTTGGGAGGCAGAGGCGAGCGGATCACCTCAGGTCAGGAGTTCAAGACCAGCCTGGCCAACATGGTGAAACCCCGTCTCTACTAAAAATACAAAAATTAGCTGGGTGTGGTGGCGCATGTCTGTAGTCCCAGCTATTCAGGAGGCTGAGGCAAGAGAATGGCTTGAACCTGGGAAGCAGAGGTTGCAGTGAGCCAAGATCGCACCACTGCACTCCAGTCTGGGCGACTGAGTAAGACTCCATCTCAAAAAAAAAAAAAAAAAAAAATGACATGGTCCCTGCGCAAAAGGAGCTTGCAATCTAGTAACAGATTATTATCTATTGACTATTGATTATGTGCTAAGCATCTTTCATAGTTCTTATTTGATCCTTACAAAACTGTAATAAGGAAGGCACTATTAGCCCCATTTTAGAGATGAGGAAATTGAGGCCTAGGGAGATTAAGTTACCAGTTCAAAGTAGTGCAGCTACTTAAAGGATGGAGGCAGGATGCAAACTCAAGCTTAAGCCACCATTATACTTCTCTAGCACTATAGGATTCGAGTCTCCCGATGGCTCTTCATACCCACACTTCAAACCCTGCCTTCTTACCATCTCCTCTTGCTCCTTGACCCAAAGCCCTGCCATGGCCTCCTCTCTCTCATCTACAGTAAAAGGCAGGCTGTTTACACAGGCCCACAAGACCCTTGATTATCATTCCCCTGTTATCTTACTATCTTACTGTTCACTCCTCTACCTCTCTCCACTGAAGCCACCCTGGCCTCCTCCCATTTTAGTTTCTTTGCACTGACAGGGCTGCTTTTAAGAACATGTTTCATTCAAGTATGAAAATAACTCATCTCCTGCAAGTCTAAATAAATATCACCTTTTCAGTGACACCTACCCTGAACATATATTCTCTTAACCCCTGACCCCACTATATTTTATAATTTACTTTTTTCTTATTAATAGTCTGCTGTTACTCACCCCACCATACACACACAGGAATGTAAGTTCTATGAGGTCAGGAGCTCTCCCTTCCCCATTTTGTTCACTGCCATTTTTCAAACACCCAGAACAGTGCTGGGTACATAATGGGTGTTGGGTAGATGTTTGTTGACTGAAGATGGATGAAGCTCAGGTGTGTCCAATTTCAAAACCACTGAGTACTGAGTCACACTTGCGTATATTTTATATGTGAACACAAACCTACTTGTCTGTATCTGCCAAGTTAATCTGGGTCACTTCTAACTGTATGATGATCAGAGTATCCTGTGCAAATACATGTGGGAGCTACTTCCTTTAATTTCCAGTCTCTCTTGAGACAGCACTAATGAAGCTGTCACTTGTGGCTTCCTATAGGGCCAGACATGGTCAGAAATTGTGGTCAGCCAGCTTCCACATATGAGGATACTACCCCAGCCCTGAAGAGCGGCTTTTTTTGTTTGTTCATTTTTGGTAACTTTGCCTTTACAAAAGAAGAAATATTATGCTTGTTATTACCAGCCTTGTTGAGGACTGAGATGTGGGAGGATGATTAAGGAGCATGGTACCTTAGGCAGTATTTGTAGTGAGTGAAAAAGGATGTAGCTTTATGATTAAGCTACAATTTTTGCCACCCTGCTATTCAAAGTGTTGAATAGAGGCCGGAAGTGGTGGCTCACACCTGTTACCCCAGCACTTTGGGAGGCTGAGGCGGGTGGATCACGAGGTCAGGAGATCAAAACCATCCTGGCCAACGTAGTGAAACCCCATCTCTACTAAAAAAAATTAGCTGGGTGTGGTGCATCTATAGTCCCAGCTACTTGGGAGGCTGAGGCAGTGGAATTGCTTGAACCTGGGAGGCGGAGGTTGCAGTGAGCCAAGATCATGCCAATGCATTCCAGCCTGGCGACAGAGCGAGATTCCGTCTCAAAAAAAAAAAAAAGTATTAAATAGAAATCATGTTTCTCTTTTTGAAAAAAAAAAATAGGTTATTCTTGGTGAGAATTTGACTTCAAATTGTCCAGAGGTTATCTATGAAATTAAAGAAGAGACACCTGTTTTCTACAAACTCGTTCCTGATCCTGTGAAGAATATCTACATTTATCTAACAGCTGGGAAAGAGGTAGGTAGAAATACTAGTTATTGCTTCTGATTTATGAATAAAAATGGTTTAATTGATGTCATTATCTAGTAGCAAAGCTTTTACTTTGAACTACAGAGTTTAAGCAGTGCCCCAGGCTTTGAGGAGACCCGCAGTGGTTCACAGGCACGGAATTAAAAACCTTACTGACTGTCAGTAAGTAAGCAAGAAATATTATCTATTTAGACAATTTTATTATTGGCTATATTTCCAGTGCCAAGTTTTTCAGAGGAGGGTGTGCTTGGAAATGGGCGCATAATCAGCAAGGTAACTGAATTTACACATTTATTGTGTGGGCACTGAACGGTTAGATGCATTTATGAATATACCCAATGGGACTGGCTTTGGAATTTGGGGTTAATATCAGGCCACAGTCTCATACACATTCATGAACCAGGAAATATATGGTACTCCCCCTCCCCCTCTTCATTTATCTTGCTGTTTTGGCTTTTCTTTTGCTTCTGCTTACTGAAATAAAAGTAATATATTTTTATATTTTCTTCATCTTTACCAAGTGCTGTCACCAAGGGAAGGGGAAAAGAAACTAATTGTTAATGAGTCTCTACTATGCATTAGTCACTATTCTTTGCATGATCTCTGTCTAGGTGCATAGAATTGTGTACATATACATACACACAAGTGTAGAAAACAGTGTTAATGAAATGTGTTACTGACCGGGCATAGTGGCTCATGCCTGTCACCCCAGCACTTTGGGAGGCTGAGGCAGGAGGATCACTTGAGGCCAGGAGTTTAAGGCTGCAGTGAGCCATGATCAAACCACTGTACCCTAGCCTGGGTGATGGAGCAAGACCCTGTCTCAAAAAAAAAAAAAAAAAAAAAAAAAAGGCTGGGCATGGTGGCTCACACCTATAATCCTAGCACTCTGGGAAGCCAAGGCAGGGATCACCTGAGTTCAGACGTTCAAGACCAGCCTGGGCAACATGATGAAACCCCATCTCCACTAAAAATACAAACAATTAGCTGGGCGTGGTGGTGCATGCCTGTAATCCCAGCTACTTGGGAGGCTGAAGAACAAGAATCGCTTGAAACCAGGAGGTGGAGTTTGCAGTGAGCTGACATCACACCACTGCACCCCAGCCTGGGCAACAGAGTGAGACTCTGTCTCAAAAAAGAAAAAAAAAAGAAAGAAGAAGAAAAAGAAATGTGTTATTAATTTAATAAAAATAAATGTGTTATTAATTTATTTTATGTGAAGAATCTAAGACTTGGAGAGGTTAAATAACTTGTTCAAGAATATCTGTATCTATCTATCTATCTATCTATCTATCTATCTATCTATCTATCTATCATCTATCTATCTATCTATAGGTTAGCCTTTGCAGGGCTGTGACAAAAACTCAACCCTGATTCTAAAGCCTCTGATAAATGATATTAAATCCAAAATTTGTGAAAACTGGACATTCCCTGGCTCAGTGGTTTTGACCTATGACCGTTTGAACATGGAAAGTGCAAAGAAGATAATTGAGACTTACATAATTATATAATGGATGTAACAGATACTCTCAGCCCAACCCTGGTTTTCCATTCTTTTCCTTTCAGTCATTCTAAGGAAAATAGCAATGACAGCAATCTACATGTGCTTTTTGAGTCACAGATAAGATGTGCAAGCAATTTGTAGTTTCTGGTATTCTTATAAAGACGATACTGTTCTTTGCACATTGAAAAGTCAGTTATATCAAAATGACCACACTGAGATGGCCACATCTTCCCACAGAGCTTGTAAACCAGTCCTTCACCATATAGAATCTCCTATGCCAATTTGCTTCACCATGCAGACACTTTGTATTATGTTTCTTCCCTGGGGATCCCATCTTTGAAAGACTTTTGTCTACCCAACAAACTGCACATATTAAGTAACAGTTCCCATTCCCAGGGTTTATTTATCAAGGGCGTCTCAAAACTGCCGGTCAGAGTACTGACTGTGTTCCCACATGGAGCTGATAAAATTCCAACCCAAAGCAAAGAAACTTGATATCTTCCTTAATCCATGCGTGTTTTTCCATTCAGCTGTCTGAAATATTGCAAATAGCTCATAAGCCCCCATTACTTCCTTCATGGATAGTAATGGAACCCCAGAACTCAGGACCCCAGGCTGGGAACCATTATGAAAAGCCACCAGTAGTTGATGGGTTCCCACTTTCTAGAAAGCAAAAAGTTCTAGCCTCTGATCATTCAAAGCCTGAAGTCCTGGGAAGAGTTTTTGACTGGGCATCAAAGCTGGTTAGCCCTGCATTCTTCACTGAGGATTACTGCTAGAGATCCTACTGTTTGAACTCTGGCTGAGCAAATATAACGCCTAAAGAGACAAAGTCCAAGGAAGGCTCTTGGGGAGATAAGAACAGCCAAACTAATAAGCTATGGGATATCCATAAAATGGTATGATACGGGGCCGCTAAAAATAATCATATGGAGATGTAGGCATTGATATGGAATAGTCACTACGGTCTGTTATTAAATTAGAGGGCAGGTCTAATGTAGTATTTTTAGTGTCCTCTCTCTCTCTCTCTTTTTTTTTTTTATGGAGTCTTGCTCTGTCACCCAGCCTGGAGTGCAGTGGCGCAATCTCAGCTCACTGCAACCTCCGCCTCCACAGGTTCAAGCAGTTCTCCTGTCTCAGCCTCCCTAGTAGCTGGGACTACAGTCACACGCTACCATGCCCGGCTAATTTTTGTATTTTTTTTTTTTTAATAGAGACGGGGTTTCACCATACTGGTCAGGCTGGTCTCAAACTCCTGACCTCAGGTGATCCACCCACCTCAGCCTCCCAAAGTGCTGGGATTATAGGCGTGAGCCACCTCGCCTGGCCCTCTCTCATTTTTTTTTGAAACAGAGTCTCACTGTCGCCCAGGCTGGAGTGCAGTGGTGTGATCTTGGCTCACTGCAACCTCCACCTCCTGAGTTCAAGAGATTCTCCTGCCTCAGCCTCCTGACTAGCTGGGATTACAGACGCCCACCACTATGCCCAGCTAAATTTTGTATTTTTAGTAGAGACAGAGTTGGCCAGACTGGTCTCCAACTCCAGGCCTGAAGTGATCTGTCCACCTCAGCCTCCCAAAGTGCTGGGATTACAGGTGTGAGCCACCACGGCCAGCCAGTGTCCTCCCTCTTATACAGAGTTATATTTGTGTGTTTAAATAGACTGAGTAATAGTTCTCAGAGAATGTTCTGGAGACCCATATTCCACAGAATGCTCTGAGCAAAAGTGGTCCCAGAACCAGCTGTTACTTACTATACCCCTCCTGGAATACTGTGAGGCTCAGCATAGTCAAAGGCTCCGAGAAGCCCTGTGCTAAGGAAACCCGTTTTGCTTTTTCAGTCTGAGGTTTTATGTTTGCTGGATCATGGAGCCCTTTTCTTGCATAATAGCAGTAACCAATACTTATTGAACATTTAGTACCTGTCAGACAATAGTTCATAATAACCCCATGAAGTCGTGATCCATTTTACAGATGAGGAAACAAGGTTAGAGAGATTGCATGACACTTATTAAAATCCATCAGTGTTACAGAGGCATTTGTGAACTACAAGGAAATACCTCTATTCTGGTTAATTCCGGCTCAGGATCACGGGCTGCCAGCTGCATCTGTCAGCAGTGTTGGGGACTATGAAATGGAAGGGCGTGGTTATCCTCCATGAAGTCAACTTGGAACTGAAGGATCCAGCTCAGGATAGTCCTTGTTTTCCTCACAAAATAGAGAAAAATAGAGAGGTCCCTTCTAGAACTCCTTATTTCTCTAACCTGCTAAAGAAGTTATTTATACTATCTAGCATGTACAACTTCCTGGCATAATGAGTTCCACAAGTTCCCTTACTACCTGCTGTGTGGTTTTGCCTGCAGAAAGTGCTCTGTGTGATGCTCAGTTACTCCCTGCCTCTCACCGCCCTACTTGCAGGCTCTGACTGGCTGCCTAGATGTCTGGGTCTGCCCAGCTGGGGTGCCCTCTTTGTGGGCTGCTGTTTCCTGACAATGGCAAGAGGCAGCTCTAGGGATGGGGAAATGATTTGACTACTCCCCCTGTTTCTTTTATTTTCAACTCCACTGGAGGGGTGTGAGCAAAACAAGCCAGGAGCTGAGGTGACGGCGCTGCCCCTGGCAGGGGTGTGGGAGGGCCTCGTCCCTGGTCCTCCTCGTTTCCACATTGAGTGCCAAACTCCTGCTGACACTCCTGGGGCAGAGCCTTTGTTATTCCCTAATACTCATTTCCAAAATGCCATTGGCCACATATGGACTGTCTCTGTATGAAAACCAGGCAACCTGATTCCATGATCCGTATGGAAATCATCATTAGCAGATCGGAAACCCAACTGGGTGTCAGACTCACCTGAGAGAGAGCTCTTAAAATACAGATTCCTGGCCAGACACAGTGGTGCACGCCTGCAACCTCAGCACTTTTGGGAGGAGTGCTTTGAGCCCAGAAGTTCAAAACCAGCCTGGGCAACGTAGTGAGACCCTGTGTCTTTAAGAAAAAAATCTTTTAAATGAAAAAATACAACTTCCTAGGCTCTGCCCCCAGACTTAGCGAGAGTCTCTGCGGCAGAGGCCTGGGAATACGCACTGTCAAAAGCTCCCCAGGTGATTGTGATACAATGACTTCATGTCCTAGATCTTGAGACCCACTGCCCAGTGCCAGTATGGAGGTGTTGAGTTCAAGTTGATAAATAGGCTCTTTTTGGCCCTTCATTAGATAAGGTGTTGTAGTTTTCCTGCTGTTGCTTATAATTCCATCTGAACCATTGTCCTCTTTCCTTTTAGGTGAGGAGAATTCGTGTTGCAAACTGCAATAAACATAAATCCTGTTCGGAGTGTTTAACAGCCACAGACCCTCACTGCGGTTGGTGCCATTCGCTACAAAGGTATCTCCTGAATTCTTTCTCACCAACTCGCATTTTTGAAAAAGTGTCATGCGGCAGAACACTTGTTGCCCTACTTTAACGATCCATTCCAGTGACCTGAGGGAACTGATCTCTTCCTCGACTAAAATCTTGTTGTGCAATCCTAATGAATTCTCGAAGGTGTTTCCAGCGGCGTCCGTGCTATGCAATCACTGGACCCGGGAGCTCCCCAGTCTCGGGGCGGGAGGGGCAGGTGTGCAGCCTTCAGGAGAACGGGAGAGAGCAGGCAGGTTTGGCTTTTACTTTCTCCAGAGTTCGCCAAGACTCAAGAGAGAGGCAAAAGGGCCCCCCCTCCGAGAAGATAAAAGAATAGAGATGTCTGAAAATTTTTCAGCTGAATCCCCATCATGTATGTCATGTATTCTGTTCGCTCCGCAGAAGCCTCGTTATTGATGGCGCCGTCTCCTAATGCGCCGCGCAGCTGTGGGCCTGATGTACAATCTCAGTCTCCGGGCAGAATCTGCCCAGCCTGGTCTGGAATGACGATGCTCACGACCCATCTAGGCTCAGGGGCGACTCGGAGCGGCTTCCCCGCCATGGCAGTTTCCTAGCGTCGCTGGGCCCGGCCTGGTTGGATTCGCCGTCGCCATGGCAACCCAGTACTGGGGCTCTTGCTGGAGAAGCAAAGGAGGAGAGAGCCTTCGCTGCAGCTCAGGCAGGAAAGAGAGAGAGAGAGAGAGAAAAAAAAACCCATAACAGTGTCTGTCAGTTTGGTGCTTTCAGTTTTTAAAGGTGAAAAGGATAAGAAAGAGCAGAGCAGGTGGAGAGATGCTGAAGGCTGAACCAGGGGACAGTTTGGGTTTAGAAAAGAGCAGGAGGAAGAGAATTGGTGACTGAAGGGGGAGACAGCCAAGAGAAATGAAGGGAGAGGGGGAAATGCAATACAAGCAAGAGGTTTAGGAAACAAATCAAAAATACGGGGATGGAATTAATTAAGAGTTCACGGGGGAAGGCGCAATCCGAGCTGCAGCAAGAGGAATAATTGCCCCTGCCATTTGCTACGCTTCCTTACCGGGCTGTTTCCGTCAGAGTCACTGGCAGACAAACGAAGCAAGGGCCAGAAAAATGCTCATGAATAATTCACTGATCACGAACGGGATTTGTTTGTTGCACACTCAGTGAGCAGTCTTGCCATAATCTTTTAGATCCATTCATTTATGTAGCATCCCTGTCTGTATTTGTAGAGCTGTGTACAGGAGTCAATTCGATAATGGTGGCGATGATGGTGGTGATTAAATAGCCACATGGAGCTAGCGGCTAACGTATTAACAAGCTCAGCTCTGGAGCTTTTGGGAGATCTCCAAGCTGGTGATATGAATTTGGGAGTTGGTAGTATTTTAGATGGTACTTAGAGAAGCCTTAAGACCAGACGAAGGAGTGAGTGTTGATTGAGGAGAGAAGTTTGAGAACTGGGCCTTGAGGGGCTGTGGTGTTTAGGGGTTGGGGAGAAGGAGGGGAAACAGAACAAGAAATAAGGAGGGAGCAGTCAGAAGGGGAAGAGGAAAAACTGGAGAGGGTGGTCTCCTGGAAGCCAAGGAAAGAAAGGAGGAGGAAGTGATCCACTGGGTCAGATTCAGCTGAGAGGTCAAGCAGGAGAAGAAAAGAATGGATCCTTTGCACTTAGCAGGTGACAATGGGTGACTGCTGGGAATGCCATGGTTAGGAGTGGCGCTAAATCCACAAGAGACAATGGGAAAATAAGACCTTAAGAAGGGACAGCTTAGAGAAGCTTTACTGAGAAAGGCAGCTGAAAAAAATGAAGCAGACACTGAAAGCGAAAGTAGAGTCCAAAGAATTTTGTCTTTTTGTCCTTTTTTTTTTTTTTTTTGAGATGGACTCTGGCTTTGTCTCCCAGGCTGGGGTGCAGTGGCATGATCTTGGCTCACTGCAACCTCCACCTCCCAGGTTCAAGCCGATTCTCCTGCCGCAGCCTCCCGAGTAGCTGGGATTACCGGTACGTGCCACCATGCCCGACTAATTTTTGTATTTTTAGTAGAGATGGGGTTTCACCATGTTGGCCAGGTTGGTCTCGAACTCCTGACCTCAGGTGATCCGCCTGCCTCAGCCTCCCAAATTGCCAGGATTACAGCCGTGAGCCACCACGCCCAGCCAGTTTTGTCTTTTTAAGATGCATGAAATAACAGTGCATGTCTGCACTGTTGGGAAAATTCCAGAAGAGAAGGAGAAATGGATGATACAGGAGAGAGAAGGGTTGTGGAGTGTTCAGTCTTTCAGCAGGTGGAAGAAAATATGACTTGGTGTGCCAGTAGGGAGGCCAGCCTCAGACAGGAGCACTGGCCCCTCACCCTCAGTGGTAGGAGGGAAGGTAGGGACTCTGGGCCCAAGCATGGGGAGGTGGCAGAGGCCTGTGTGGTGTCTTCTCCTATTGCTCACATTATTTTCAGTGGCCTACGGCCATTGAGAATGAGGTGAGGGAGGAAGCACTGGAGGTTTGAGGAGAAAAGAGAGAGAAGGAGTGGACTGGAAGACTAGGAGGGAGAATAGAATAGGGAAATATCGAGCGGTTGCCAGGAAGCATTAGGGCCCACTTGAGGTTGATGGTCCTGTGTTTGAAGTGAGAGCTGTAAGCATGGTTTTGTCTTTCTCAAGCTGCGTTCAGCTTTGGTGGTATAGCTGTAGACTCAGAAAAAGTTAGCTTTAGCCAGTTTGGGGGCTTTGCCGGAAAATACATCAAGAAAGGAGAGAGTGGCCAGGGAGCTGAGGGAGCATGTAAGGAATGGATGATGATATCGATATGGATGTTGATTCATATAATGATGGCACTTGGGCTCTAAGGAGGGAAATAAGGACCTGATAGGGGTAGGGATGTGAAAAGGTGGCAGGGTCTGTGTTGGAAGTTCAAGTTGAGTTTAAAGATTGTTAGGGGCAGGCGCGGTGACTCACACCTATATTCCCAGCTTTTTGGGAGGCCAAAGTGGGTGGATCACTTGAGCCCAAGAGTTTGAGACCAGCCTGGGCAACATGGCAAAGACCCCATCTCTACAAAAAATATGAACATTAGCTGAGTGTGGTGGTATGTGCTTCTGGTCCCAGCTACTCGGGAGGTTAAGGTGGGAGGCTTGCTTGAGTCCCAGAGGTAGAAGTTGCAGTGAGCTGAGATCACACCTCTACTTTCCAGCTTGGATGACAAAGTGAGACCCTGTCTCAAAAAAAAAAAAAATTGTTGGAACTAGAGAATTGGAAAGGGGAATTATTGGACTGTGGGGGCTTGATATTGAGGTCATGGAGGGATGGAGTTATTGGCAATGACAGGGTCTGCCATATGATTGTCAAGATCATTGGCAGAGAGGTGTCAAGGAACTGAGGTGGTTACCAGAGTACTAAATGGCTCCATCATCTGTGTGGAAATCGCAGTCACCAAGAGAGTGAGGAGCTACATATTCAAGGAACGAAGGGAAGTGGCCAGGGCTGGGGTGGTCTGTAATGATCACAATGAGGAGGGACCTGGGGTGGTTTGAGCTGACAGCATGGGCTTTGAAGCTGGGGAGGAAGTGTTGGAAAGAGAGAAGAAGGATCTTCCAGAAGAGGCTGCAAGACACAAATAGGACAGCTAGATGAGGGAGAGGAAGCAGCCAGGCCTTGAGAGGGGCCTGGGGAAGCTGTGGCCTCGAAGGAGAGCTGGTTTCAGTAATATTGAGAAGGGGAAAGGAACAATCAGAGAAGAGGTTGAAGACATGGGGGCTTCTGTTGATAACTGGCTGTGAGTTATAGTCTTTTGTTTGTTTTGAGACAGGGTCTCATCCTGTCACCCAGGCTGGAGTGCAGTGGTGCAATTACAGCTCACTAAAGCCTAGACCTCCCCAGGCTCAGGTGATCCTTCCACTGCAGTCTCCCAAGTAGTGGGGACCACAGGTGTGCACCACCATGCCCAGGTTTTTTTTGTATTTTGTAGAGACGGGGTTTCACCATGTTGCCCAGGCTGGTCTTGAACTCCTGGGCTCAAGCAATCCTCCTTCCTGGGCCTCCCAAAGTGTTAGAATTAGAGACGTGGGCCACCACACCTGGCCAAAAGCCTGCTTCTGCTCTTGCTCCCTCACCCCTATCCCAGTGCGCTCCAAGAAGAGTGATTCATTTAAAATCCAAATCAGATTATGTCACTCCCCAGCTTAATACCCTCCCCTGGCTTTCCATCTTAGAACTCAGTCTGACTCCCTTGCTGCCAGGGCCTGCATACCAGGCTTTCCGTGATCTGGCCTTTCACCACTTCTCTGACCTCTCATGCCATTCTCTCCTTTGTTTACTTAACCCCAGACATCCTGATTTAAGACTATGCTAAGCATGTTCCTGCCCCAGGGCCTTTGCATGTGCTGTTTCCTCAGTCTAGTACATTCTTCCCCACATCTTTCTATGGCAGACTCTTTCTTGACGGTCTGGTCCTAGAGCACACATCTCTCTGCACCTGCCTACCCAGTCTTCAGTAGCCTCCCCTTACTCACAGTGACATTACTGTTTTATTTTCTTCATGGCCCATCACTATTAGGAATGACCTTACTTCTCTACCTCTCTTTATTGAAATGTGCTCAGAAAAACATAAGTTAAATGAATGAGATAGGCTGAGTGATTGGTCGACTCTGCCAATAGCAGGTTAAGACTTGTGCCTTAAATCTTATAAGACATTCTGAAGTCATGGAGCGATGGCCCTTCACAGCCATGTCAGAAACCACTTGGTTTCAGACAGCCTGGGTTCTGGCCTACAATGAAATGAAACTAAGTCTCATATCTGTGACTCATATGAAGCTCCCAGTACCATTCAAAATTAGGAATTCTAAAGGGGGATGTTTTCTTATAATGGTAGAGCATCCCACTGTGTTTATTTTAAATGTCATGGATTTATTTAGAAAAATAATTTATTTTCTCTGTTGAGAAGGTTGAGTTTTCTTGCATACATGTCTAGAAAGTGGAATGGTGGGGAGAGGCAAGAAAACTATCTTCACTTCCTTTTGATCAGATGTTAAGAATAGGCATCCAGACTGGGCATGGTGGCTCACGCCTGTAATCCCAGCACTTTGGGAGGCTGAGGTAGGTGGATCACCTGAGATCAAGAGTTCAACACCAGCCTGGCCAACATGGTGAAACCCTGTCTCTACTAAAAATACAAAAATTAGCCAGGTGTGGTGGTGCATGCCTGTAATCCCAGCAACACGGGAGGCTGAGGCAGTAGAATCACTTGAACCCAGGAGACGGAGGTTGCAGTGAGCCAAGATCCAGCCTGGGTGACAGAGTGAAACTCCATCTCAAAAAAAAAAAGGGAATAGGCATCTAGTATAAGTAGATAAAAAGCAATTAGATAAACAATGAGCTCTAAAAAGTCTAGTATTTTATTGTTGGAACCTCAGATCCAACCTGTGCTGAATTTGTCTGTGTGGGTGGAAAGTGAATTTTTGCAGGCTGAATATCTTGGGTTTGGAAGCAGTTTCTCAGTTTCTCCCATATTGCAAAGCATAGCACATGTGTTCAGTTATGGATTTCCACAAAACTGGCAATCCCGAACCAATGAATGGGTGAGGTTCCAAAAGTTCATTTGCAAGTTTGTTTGGCATGCAGAATGCATTTTCCCATAGAAACAATGTCATAAATTAAGGATTGATTCCCAAGCCAGCCCATAAAATCCAAAATTATTTAATTTCAACAAATATTTATTGAACACCTAGTGAGAGCCTAATCTGGGGCATGAGATAGCTAGGTAGTATTGAGAGAAATCGGATGCCATTCTTGGCTTTAAGGAACTCGCATGCTAGCTGGGAAGGCAGACTTATCAATGGCCAACATTCATTCATTCAATCCTACATCCAATCACAAATATTTTTTAAGCACAACAATGTGCTAAGTCCTATGCTCAGTGCTCAGGATACAGTTCTTTCTTGTCTCTATAGAGCTTGCAATCTAATGGGGGATATAATGTGTATCAGTTAGGTTTCTGATCTAGTAATGCTGTATAACAAACAACCCCCAAATCCTTAGTGGTCTAAAAGAGCAAACATTTATTTACATTTGTTTTTCATGCTCATGGGTCAGCCTGTCAGCTATGGGAAGAAGGGTGGGGTCAATGTCAAGCTGAAGGTTGAGTTCAGGTCTGTTTCCCATGTTTCTCATTCTGTACATGCTCTTCTTAAGGCACATAGAAGTAGCATGAGAGACCAAGCTAAACTAGACAACATGTTCTAAGCCCTGGCTGACATCATGCTGACTAATATTCCATTGATAAAGCAAGCTGCATGGCCAAGCCCAATATCCATGGAGTAGGGAAATATATTCCACCTACTCTAGTGGAAGATTCTGCAAAGTGACCTGGCAAAAATGTAGTGTGGGTGTGTCATTCTAGTACAGGATGGATTGAAGAATTGGGAGCAATAATCCACTCTTATCAATAAGTAAAGGAGATAAATGAATAGAGTGTCATAAGAGCTAGCATGGGGGAAGTTTAGGGTTTCATGGGGGCACATAAAATTATCTAACCCAAACTTAACAGGTCAAGGAAGGCTTCCTGGAGGAAGGGATATCTAATCTGAACCTGAAGGGTAGGGGGATATCAGCTAGGTAAAGATGAGGCAGGGGAAGCTGGTGTAGGGACCAGGCTGTACAAAGGCCAGGAGAGCTTGGCCTGAAGCTCAGTGTGGACGAGCTTCACATTAAAGAATTTGAATTTTGTTGGAAGGACCTTGGGGAGCCATTGCAGGGCTTTAATTAAAAGTGCGACCAGATCAGGTGAGTGTTTTAGAACGAGAACTCTGGGGTGCAAGGTGGACCGGAGGGGACTGAGAAGAGCTGGCAGATCAGTTAGCAGGTGGCTGTAAACCAGTAAGAGACCAGGGACTGAATTAGAATGATAGTAGTGGTGAGGGAAGGAAGTGGGTGGATTAGAGAGCTATTTAGAAGATAGAATTGACAGGGCTTAGTGATTAATTAGATTCCCCTTTGAGTCTGACACACTAAAAATAGGGCCATAAAATGAAAAATAAAATCTCAAGGTGGCCACTGTTTTTCTGGAAGATGTATCCTTTCTCCTTTGATCTCAGTCTTCATGAAGAAAACAAACAAGTGATACCCACATGTACACTTGATTCTTCCTGTGTCCCAGGCACTGGGCTAGGCACCAGGTTAGACCCCAAAAGATGGGCACCTGAGTCAAATGTGGGAGGGCTTCTGAGAGACACCAGCGCTGAGTCTCAGAGTGTGCAGTGGGGTGAGTTATTGCATTGAAGCTGGTGTTGAGATTACAGCGGAAGGAGTGCAGGCATCTGGCTGGGGTGACCAGATGGACAGAGGTGTCGGTTACTGAGTAGGGAGTGTAGAAGGAGTGGCCTGTTTGGGCTGCATGGGAAACGCGGGGGGTGGACTTCCACACTGGCAACATGGGCAGGACAGCCTATGAGGACAGAGGAAAGGTCCTGTGTTTGTCTGTTTTTGCACTGCTATAATGAAATACCTGAGACTGGGTAATTTATAAAGAAAAGAGGTTAGTTGGCTCATGGTTCTGCTGGCTGTACAGGAAGCACGATACTGGCATCTGCTCAGCTTCTGGGGAGGCCTCAGGAAACTTACAATCATGGCAGAAGGTGAAGGGAAAGCAGGGCACGTCTTACATGGCTGGAACAGGAGGAAAGGGGGGTTGGGGAGGTGCCACACACTTTTAAACAACCAGATCTCAAGAGAACTCACCATCACGAAAACAGCACTGAGGAAATGGTGCTAAACCATTCATGAAGGACCCACCCCCATGATCCAATCACCTTTCACCAGGCCCCACCTCCAACACTGAGGATTACAATTGAACATGAGATTTGGGTGGAGACACAGATCCAAACGATATCAGGTCCCAAATGCATTTTGCTTTGGATAGAATCTGGGCTTTGTGTGACCTGCCAGTTTCTTATCTCTGCCACTTCTCCTCTTCTATAAAGTGGCATTTATAATTGGCCAGGTATTGCAAAAAAGTGCTGGGATTACAGGCACATAATCCTGGGATTACAGGCACTTTGGGAGGCCGAGTTGGGTGAATCACTTGAGCCCAGGAGTTCAAGACCAGCCTGGGCAACATGGTGAAACCCTGTCTCTACAAAAAATACAAAAATTAGCTGGGTGTGGTGGCGCATGCCTGTGGTCCCAGCTACTCTGGAGGCTGAGGTGGAAGGATCATTTGAACATAGGAGGTTGAGGCTTCAGTGAGCCGTGATTGTACCACTGCACTCCAGCCTTGGTGACAGAACGAGACCTTGTCTCAATAATAATAGTAATAGTACCTGCCTCAGAGGTTTGCTGAGAGAATTAAATTCCATAACGTACATCATTGTAGGCCCAGTGCCTGGCTCCTGGTAGGCAACGAAGTTGTGTCAACTGTCATTTGGTGGAAGCCCAAGGAGGCAGTCATTACTTGTCCCTGAGGTTGGGAAAGGCTTCAACGAGGAGGTGGCCTTAAAATTGGCCTTGAAGCCTGGGTAGACCTTCACCAGGGGAAGAGTGGTCGGGAGGCATTTCAGGCAGAAGAATCAGCGCAGTGAGAGGTCTGTGGAGAGACTGGCAGATGGAGTTCTATGCACTGGCTGTAGAAGGAAGGAAGTGGGTGGAGATGCTGGGTGGGCTCTCAGGGTGGACCTTACTAGCGGGTGCTGGGAACTCATGACAGGGTTTTAAGCAGAGGCCTTCCAGCGCCATATTTGTGTTTTAAAAAGATTATCCCACTGGCAGTGTGGAAGATGAACCACGTTAATCCAAGTCTCTCCCGGCCTCCCACCCCACCCTTCCTGGGTCACTTTCCTCTGGTGTGTTTTGTAAAGAGAGAGTTTATGTCACATCTCGTCCTGAGTCAGTTACTTGGTGGCTATTCTCCGAATTCATGTACCTCCCCACTGGGAGAGGTAGTACGTCTCCCAGTGCATCCATGGGGCCCCACTTGCTCTGGTTTTAGTGCCATGATGGAATCAGGGCTGGGTCCTCTTCAGAAAATGGGCCCTACAGGAAAGAGCACACTTGCATTCACCCTCCCAACACTTCGTGCTCCACCCTGCACTGGGTACACACAGGTGGAGGCAAGGCCCCCAGGCATGCTGCTTATAAGGTATCTGTATGCGTCCTTCAATTATCTGTACAAATTTCACATTCACTCCATATTTTTCTACATGTTTCTTCCATGTTGACAGTTGGAAGACCTTCAAGCAGCCCCTGGTGGCTGTTTTTAGGTCTTCAGCTGCAGTTAGGCTGTTCCACGCATGAGATCGTGAAAGAGATCATTTCTCGCTCGGTCTAACAGCAGGGCCCTGTGGTCAGTCTTCCTATCAGACTTTCTGAAGGGTTGGGAATAACAGAAGGGTATTTTTAACACATGAGAGAAAACTGCCATCTGAATGCTAAACATATTTGTCCCCAACACCCCAGAGTAACAAATGAAAAGAATTACATGAGTTGCTTGTGGACACGTCCCAGCTCCTTTTTTTATCTTGCTCTCCTGTCTTGAGGGTTCTTCTCCAAGTGACACTCCTTCCTCAAGCCCCCCAGGCCTATCATTAACCTGCTGGGATCCTTCCCACCAGGACTGTGATTGCCCTGAAACTTGACCAGTATAATCCATGGTGCACAGTAATTTATGGCCATATTCTTCAGTAGCCTGAGTTAGTCTGTTCTGTCATCATGAGAGGTGAGCTACATACAGCAGAGAGGGCCCGATAGGGCTTAGATGTTTTGTCTCCTCCAAATCTCGTGTTGAAATGTGACCTCCAGTACTGGAGGTGGGCCTGCTGGGAGGGGTCGGGTCATGGGAACGGATCCCTCATGAATGGCTTGGTGCTGTCCTTGGCAATAGTGAGCGAGTTCTCACTCTGAGTTCACAGGAGATCTGGTTGTTTAAGAGAGTGTGGCACCTGCCCCCTCACAGTCTTGCTCCCACCCTAGCCGTGTGACACACCTGTTCTCCCTTCGCTTCCAGCATGATTGGAAGCTTCCTGAGCCCCTCACCAGGAGCAGACACTACCCATGCTTCCTGTACAGCCTGTAAAATCATGAGCCAATTAAACCCCTTTTCTTTATAAATTATCCAGTCTCAGGTATTTCTTCATAGCTATGCAAAAAATGGACTAACACAGGGTCACAGAAGGCTTTGCAGTAGAAAAGTCCAGATGGATGTGACTGTTCCTCATTCAGAAGGCGGCTGCAGTGCCCCTTCCACAGGGAGCCTGCCTCGAGTCCAGGCCTGGCCAGGAGACAGTGTGCATGGGTAGAGAAGAATATGCTTATCATACATTAGACACTACCTTGCACGTTCTGTGCCATGTTCCATTTAGTCCTCCTGGTACCCCATGAAGAAAGCACTATTACAATCCCCACTTCTTAGAGAACAGCCTTAGCTTATGTATAGTTTCCCACAGCTGCAGAAACAAATTCCCACAAACTTGGCAGCTTAAAACAACATGCACTTGTGATCTTACAGTTCTGGAGGTCACAAGCCTGCAGTGGGTTTCACTGGGCTGAAACCAAAGCATTGACAGGGCTGTGCTCCTTCTGGAGGCCCTTCTTTGCCTTTTCCAGCTTTTGGAAGCAGCCAGCATTCCTTGGCTCATGGTCCCTTCCTGCATCTTCAAAACCAACAGTGTGGCATCATCAGATTACATTGGGCCCACCCAGATAATCCAAAATAATCTGCCCATTTTAAGATCCTCCACTTACTCACATCTGCAGAGTCCCCTTTGCCATGTCCTATGGTTTGAATGTATCCCCCAAAGTTCATGTATTGGACACTTAATCCCCAGTGCAACAGTTTTGAGAGGTGGAACCTTTCGGACGTGATTAGGTCATGAGGACTCTGTCCTCATGAATGGATTAATGACATTATCACAGGAGTGGGTTAGTTATTGCAGGAGTGGGTTACTTATCACAGGAGTAGGTTCCTGATAAAATGATACATTAGGCCCCTTTCTCTCTCTCTCTCTCTCTCTCTGTCTCTCTCTCCCTCGTGCTTTCTTGCCCTTCCACCATGGAATGATGCAGCAAGAAGGCCCTCACCAGATGCAGGCCCCTTGACCCTGGACTGCCCAGTCTCTAGAACTGTAAAAAATAAATTTATTTTCTTTATAAATTTCCCAGTTAGTAGTATTCTGTAATAGCAACACAAAATGGACTGAGACACCATGTAAGGTGACACAGTCACACATTCCAGGGATTAGGACCTGGACATCTTTGGGGGCCATTATTCTGCCTACTACTGGTTGTACAAGTAATGGATTCAACTCTGGGCTTAGCTCTAGCTCCTAAGCCATTAGAGCAAAACAAAGAGACACAGGCAAGGGACATTATCCCTCATGGCAGTGGGTGGAGAGGGGAGAGCCTGGAGCAAATGGCCCTAATGGAGCATTTGTGATAACTGCTATGTATAAGAAAGACACGGCACTCAGGGCCCACCTGAGTCAGAGAAAACCCTCCATCTTGAAAGCTTAGGCAACCATGCATTCATTTAACAGGTATTTACTGAGTACCTGATATGTGTCAGTCACTGTCCTAAGCACTGGGATTCTAAGCACTAGCAGTGAGTAACACAGGTCAAAATCCCTCCACACGTATGTTCATTGCAGCACTATTCACATTAGCAAAGACATGGAATCAACCCAAATGCCCATCCATGATAGACTGGATAAAGAAAATGTGGTACATATGTGCCATGGAATGAAAAGGAATGAGCAGCCATGAAAAGGAATGAGATCATGTCCTTTTGGGGATGTGGATGGAGCTGGAAGCCATTATCCTCAGCAAACTAACGCAGGAACAGAAAACCAAATACCGCATGTTCTCACTTATAGGTGGGAGGTGAACAATGAGAACACATGGACACAGGGAGGGGACAACACACATAGGCTCAGCTAATGCAAGCTGAGCTTAATACCTAGTTGATGAGTTGATAGGTGCAGCAAACCACCCTGGCACACATTTGCCTATGTAACAAACCTACACATCCTGCACATGTACCCTGGAACTTAAAATGAAAATAAAAATTGAAAAAAAAATCCCTGCCCTCATGGAGTTCCCTCTAGTGAGGTGTTTTAGTTTCCCAAGGCTGCCATAACAAATTACTACCAACACAAATTTATCGTCTCCCAGTTCTGGAGGCCAGAAGTCTGAAATCAAGGTGTCAGCAGAGCCGGGCTCCCTCTGGAGGCTATAGGGGCAAATCCTTCCTCACCTCTCCCAGCTCCGGGTGACTCCTGGTGTTTCTTGGCTTGGGGTAGGATAACCATCTCTGCCTTGGTCTTCACATGACCTTCTTCTGTGTGTCCAAATCTCCCTCTCCTTTCTCCTAGAAAATTCCCATTCACTGGGACACCCTAAATCCAGGATGATTTCATCTCGACGTCCTTAACTCTTTACATCTACAAAGACCCTATTTCTACATAAGGTCACGTTCTGAGGTTCTGATGGGCACGAATTTGGGGGAACACTCTTTAACGCACAACATGAGGGAAGATGGACAGTGTGAAAATAAATGAGGAAAGAGAGAACATGTCACAGAGTAAACAGGGCTGTGAAGGAAAATAAAGCAGAAAAAGGAAATGGGGAGCGCTAGTTGGAGGCAGGGGGCGCTAAATTTAAACGGGAGCCCTGGAAGGCCTCAGTGAGAAGGGGCATCTGAGCCAAGACCCAAAGGGACCCACTCAGTTTTGGGGCTATCCGCCTTCATGGGCTATTGCACTATTGAGTGGAATGGCCGACAATTTGAGACAGAAGAGCCTTCCTCCTTTCCTTCCAATCCGGGATGTGTCCTTGTGCAGATCTCAAGCTTGACGTCTGTGCGGTGACACTTCTTTATGGTCCAGTGAGGCTCTAATGACAGCAATAATGATAATGGAATTGGGGATGGCCCCTCCTTCTCGTGTGAGGACCCCATTGTGCCGACTAATTGTGTAGAAGCAAGTAGGACAACTGTCTGTGGGGTGGAAGCGGTGGGGAGCAAAGAGGAATATGTCCTTTGGGCCTCAGGGAATTACTGAATTACCGTTGTGTGGGCTGAGTCCATGCATCTGGGTTACTGTGAATGCTGGAAGGGATTTGGGGGGCTTTCCAACACCAGAAGGGGTCTGGGGGTCAACCTGTGTCCTGTGGGTTCTCTACCTCCTTTTTCAGCTGTGAGAGGAGCTATGAGTTCTATGTATTTCAAAGCAGAAGGCAAAGGGGATAGCAGTGCTAAGGGGCACCTCTCCACCCTTGGTGTCCCAGACAGTTGGCACTGGGAAAGTGCTCGCCATGCTCAGAAGCCAGGCTTTTTTGTTTGTTTGTTTGTTTGGTTGGTTGGTTTTTTTAGATGGAGTCTCATTCTGTTGTCAGGCTGGAGTGCAATGGCACAATCTCGGCTCACTGCAACCTCCACCTCCCAGGTCCAAATGATTCTTCTGCCTCAGCCTCCTGAGAAGCTGGGACTGACTACAGGCGCGTGCCACCATGCTCGCCTAATTTTTGTATTTTTAGTAGAGATGGGGTTTCACCATGTTGGCCAGTATGGTCTCTATCTCTTGACCTCGTGATCCCCCTACCTTGGCCTCCCAAACTGCTGGGATTACAGGCGTGAGCCACCATGCCCAGCCAGGTTTGTTTTTTGTTTAGTGGAGCTAGTAACTGACGTTCTCGGACCTCAGCCTCCGTGCTACTTACCTGCACCATCTCTAATGGATGCTCTCTGACTTCCAACAAGCACCATTAAGAACATCCCTTTTAGTAAATATATGTTGTAATGGAATAGATTTTTTTGAAATGACCTTATCTCAGGCAGCATGCACTTTCATAAGAATGTATTGATTGGCCTTTAAATATTCCTCAAATGTTTTCACTTGTCTCTGTGACCTAATATTTGTCCTGTTCCCAGCATCTCCTCCATATCCAAACACAATGTTCAGGTCTTCATTCGAAGCCTTCCTGCCAGTCTTTTGTTTTTTGCTTTTTAAACATTTTGATGCTTTTATTCTGCTATATGGAGGGTGCACTGTTTCTGATAGGCCAAATGTGGGATTTGATATTGCTTTCAGGAGGATCGGGTTTTAATATCATTGCCACCTGTTTAGTGGTGGAGAAACTGAGGCCCACAGAGGCTAAGGAATGTGGCCCCCAGTTACACAGGGAGTATATGGGAGAGCAGCTTTGAACCCAGACCCTTCTGACTCAAGAGGTGTCATTTTCCCATTTTTATTTCCATGCTGCTGTTTTTTTAAATGGCTCCCCTAAATTATTTAGTTCATGGTTTGCATTTGGAAATAAACACCAACTTTTAGTACACTCATTGCCCACAAAAGAACCACATGGAGCAAAGGCCACAAACCCATTTTGTGTGAGTGTTTCAGTCTGCAAATGTGTTTTTTATGTGCTAAATAGCTCAAAGTTTCAAGACAAAGGCTGTTTTTCCACCACGCCAGTGAACAGGCCAACCTAGTGAACAAAAATCAATGAAATGACTTCTGCTGGTATCACTGAAACACAGACAAGAATTTAGCCATTTTAAAATTTCCTTGTTAATCCAATTCAGCTACCTTTTGTTGAATCCCAGCCATGGGCCAAGTCCTGTACTAGGCCCTGGGGGAAACAAAGATGAATGAGGGTCTACTCTGATGAAGTTCACAGGTGAGTGTGGGAATAATTTCAATACACTGTGTAAAATGCTCTAATAGCTGGTACTCAAGGTATGAAAGGACTCCAAAGAACCCTTTAATATTTAGGAGGAAACAGAGCTGTGATTAAGAATCCCCCAAGAAGCCTCGAATTGTGTCTGCCTCCTTACATAGAAAAGGCATGTTGGGCATTGAGCTGGTGTGTGAGCAATGCCAAAGGGCATCTGGTCAACCTCATTGCCCAAATCCCTTTCTCATCACTACCATTTTGTCTTTGGCTTATGTCATCCATTTTTTTGCCTAAATTTTCTGTTCCATTTTCCCATATAATATAATAATAATAATGAATATTTATTGAGGCATAATTGTAAACTCTTAGAACAGATGTACATTTTTCTCCCAACTTCATCAGGTGAAAACTATTATTTGCATTTCTGCAGATGGAGAGCCTGAAACACAGAGAGGGCACATGTCTTGCTTGAGGTCACCAGCTTGCAAATGGCACAACCACTATCCTCCTTCCTTCACTAAGTTCTAGCCAAGCTGGTCTATTTCATCAGTTCCTTGCAGAGACCATGCTTTAAGTGCACTCAGATACTTTGCACATGCTGTTCCTTCTGCCTGGACTGCTCTTCCCACTACTTTTTTTTTTTTTTTTTTTTTTTTTTTTTTTTTTTTTTGAGACAGAGTCTTGCTCTGTCACCCAGGCTGGAGTGCAGTGGCATGATCTCGACTCACTGCAGGCTCTGCCTCCAGTTCAAGCAATTCTCGTGCCTCAGCTTCCCGAGTAGCTGGGATTACAGGAATGCACCACCTCGCCCAGCTAATTTTTTGTATTTTTATTAGAGACAGGGTTTCACCAGGTTGGCCAGGATGGTCTTGAGCTCCTGGCCTCAAGTGATCTGGCCTCCCAAAGTGCTGGGATTACAGGCATAAGCCACTAGCACTGGCCTCTTCCTACTACTCTTGACCCGACTACATGGTTCTCACCCTTGAATGCTTAGCTGAAATGCCATCTTTCTTCACTAGCCTGTCTAAAGTGGGTTCCTTTCTACTATATCTTTGGTTTCTGCAGAAGACGTACCTCAATTTGAAATTATTTTAAATGATTGTCTGTTTATTTGGTTTTTGTCTATGTGCTTCTCTGGACTGTAAGCTCAATAAGAGAAGGAACTTAACTGGCTTATCCATGGAAGTGTCTGCAGTTCCTAGTGGAGTGTTTGGCATCTGATGGGCTCTCAGTTAATATTTGTAGAATGAATGCCAGGTATGGTCTTAGGCCCTGAGGGTGCAAAGGTGAATAAGGTGGGCCTTTCCCTTTGGGGGATTTACAGTGTAGCTGGAGAGACAGGCAGGCAATCAGCAACTAATGCAGTATGCTGTGTAGAGTAGGAGCATGTGTAAATGTCATGGAGACACAGAGGAGGGAGTGACTGCTTTGCCTGGAGTCTGAGCAAACATCATAGAGGAAGACACTGAAATAGCCCTTGAACAAGGAATGTGATTTCACCAAGTGTTGCAGGCCCAGGCACGTTCAGGGCAGTGAGGATGGCACACGCTCGGGAGGGCCTGGCCTGTTTGCCCTGTATGTGTTTATCAAATGCCTGCTCTCCACGAGGCACTATGGAATAGATACCAGGGATGGGTGTTTTTAGGAGCTTGCAGTCTAGAGAGATAGACTCATCAACCAAACTTACCTGGGGATGAGTTTGAAGAGGAAGGCAGGGGCCAGATCACAGTGTTGGGGTCAGAGATGGGCATGGAAACATGTATTGCAGACTGAGGTGCTGAAAGGCATGTAGACAGGAGAGTCTGGTATGGGAGAAAGGGTGTCATGAGAGATTTTTAAGCAGGGAGTAACATCATCAGCTCTGTGCGTAAGAGTAACCCAGATGTTGATGTGGAGGTTGATGAGAGGAACAGGAAGTGGGAAGCGGGAGACCTCATTTGGCTGCTGCAGGAACCCAGGTGAGAGGTGGGGGGTAAGCATGGGTTGTAGAGGATGCTTAGAATTCGTTTGGGTACAAGAGTTACCCAAACTAGCCAAAGTAGGCACAAAGTTTTGTAATTTGATCCGCCGTGAGGATTATTGCTCATTAAACCAGACCAGGTAGTGGTTCCCAACATGTGTGACTAGAATTTCTCATCCCTCAGAACATCCTTCAACAAAAAAGCTGGAAGATGGTACATCATTCATTCTTGTCTCAGAAAGTTACAAAGCACAGTGGCATCTACAAGGCTCTGAGAAGTCCTGCAGCAGAGAGACTTGTTTAATTTTATTTAACTAGTGTTTCCCAAGCTTCTTGGCAATAGAACCCTACTTTAATATTAACACCAAAACAAATCCAGGAACACAGTTTGAAAAATGCTGAGAAATTGAGTAAAACTTGTATTTTCCTATATGTTCATGTCTTGGAAGAATCTACTTGCTATTATGCTGGCATTTGTGATGTCGCTGCCCTGGAAGCCTTCAAAATTTTTGAGCAATTAGGTGTAGTAGTAAGAGATAGATGCCAGTGCCAGACACCATGCTAACTAACCTCTCTGCACCTCCGTTTCTCAACCTCTGACATGGAGGTGGTAACAATAACACCTACTTCATGGGCTGGTTGTGAGGATTACTGTGTTAATTCCCAGAAGTCCCCAGAAACAGTGCCTGGCCTATGGGCACTAGGAAGGTGCGATGGTTTGAAAATGTCACCTAAAAAGCGTGTGTTGGGAATTTAATCCCCAATGCAACTCTGTTGAAAGGTGGGACCTAGTGAGAGGTGTTTAGGTCATGAGGGCTCTGCCTTTGTGAATGGATTAATGCCAATCATAGAAGGGCTTCAGGCTGCAAATTCAGTCTCTTTCTCTTGTTCACATGCGCATGCCCTCGCTCTCTCTTGCTCTTCCACCTCCTGCCATGGGATGATTCAGCAATAAGGCCCTCGCCAGATGCAGGCCCCTCGACCTTGGACTCTCCAGCCTCCAGAACTGTAAAAAATAAATTTCTTGTCTTTATAAATTACCCAGTCTGTGGTATTCTATTATAGCAACACAAAACAGACTAAGACAGATGGGCTCAGTCACTATTAGCTATTCTGAGAGGCAATATAGGTAGCTGATGAGACCACAGGCTTTGAGGCTACACTGCCTGACTTAGTAGGTCAGCTCCTCTGCTTACTATCCCTGTGACCTTAGGAAAGCAATATGGAACCAGCTATGCCTCAGTTTCCCACATCTGTGAAGCAGGGACAATTATTGCAGCTACTTAGAGGTTTGTTGTGAATAATAAATGAATCAAATCATGTGAAAAGACATCGCCTGGCATGTTAGATGTTTTTGCTTAAAAAAAATCTTTTAATTGTCTCTGTTATTAGCATAATTTTATCATGTAGACTGACTTTCAGCTTCAGTGATGAAGATCCAATTTTTGAGCTTTCCCAGCAAGTTATTTTGGTCTTATGTTTTGGCATTCCCCTCTTAAAGAGTCTGGAGGCCTTTCATTTGAAGTTTAGTTTGTCACAGACTTCCTATTCTCGTCCATTCAGTAGACTTTGGTTTCCTCATCTCATGGACTGGCAATTGTAAAGAAAGTCCCCCGATTCTGGAGACCACCTCGCCCCTCCACTGGGCTCTGTGCCTTCCCTAAAAATGCAGACATCTGTTTCAAATCACTTAGCAAAAGACCTTGGGTTGCTCTTATAGCAAAGCCCTCCCCCAGCATGGATGCAGTCTCTTGTTTCCTGGGAGAGAGAGAAGCTGGATTGTTTCCTTGTTAAAAGTTTTCTGATATTATATCAGTGTAGAATCTTTGGAACAGTTCACACTAACCCCCACATTCAAGCCACTTACCTGATATGTAGTTATCAGATTCCTTCAGGGACTGTCTGCTCTTGGTGAACAATTAGATTAGAGGATGCTGATGAAATTTGAGTGGCAGGAAGTAGAAGTTACATTTCTGAGTTCAGAGTTTCTATTTCAAGGTTGAGTAAGTGGTAAATTTTTACTGCAAGATTCTAGCCTAACAGAGTTGGCTTCTCAAGGTCCCCCAGCCCGGCCCATGGGTATTTCACCTGCTTGGAAACTTCAGCTCCTTTTCAGAGGTGGGCCTCCCTGTTCTTTATGTTGGCATGAAAACAATTAATAATTTAAGCCATGCCCATTAAAAAAATAGAAATGCTGTATAAATACAATACTGTAATAATAAATTTAAAAGTCGATCCAGCTGGGCGCTGTTCCCACACTACCAGCTGAGCAGAAACACAAATAAGTAAAGAAGAAAACTGCTATATAATGCAAATGGCTGCAATCTCATTGTTTTCTGCTATTGTTTATTGCAAATATATAGTAGTAAAGTTACATTATGGATAAGTAGGTTTTGTGGGCTAACCTGGAAACCTAATCACTGTTTATAACATTATTTCTATGGGGGAAAAATGCATTTTATATTAGAAACAGATGGTTTGCAAGAAAACCTTTTTGGGAGTAGAATGGATTTCTAAGTCCAGGGCCGCCTGAAATTTTAACCTCTTGCTAGTTGTGTGGTTGTGTTGTATTCACAGCTAGTGATAGAGGAAAATTAGAGGCCTCTCAGAATGCCCACTTCTGTGTTCTCCCCCAAATCCTTGCTAACCGCTTCATCCTACAGTCTCTGCCTTACCTTCTGTCTTCTCTGTTTCTGGGGTCCCCATCCCTGTGTCCTCATCCTGGCCCAGCTCCACCCTGCAACCACTGGTTGAGGTCCCAGGAAGCCAGGAGGAACTATGAATGTCCTCTATTAAGTGGTGGTTAGGATCTATAGGAAGGCATGAAGCCAGGGGGCCAAGTTTGTGGGCTCTGAAATCAGACTTCTGCCACTTGGCAGCTATGTGGCCTTGATATGTTACTGTACTTCTCTGAGCTTCTGTTTCATCCGTAAAGAGTGAGGTTGTTGTGAGAACTAACTGCAAACACTCCCATCAGTGCCTGGCACACAGTAATGTTTCCTCCATGCCAGTCTGTGGTGGGGTAATTATTCAGGGATATTATGGGTTACACATATTTCTATGAACCCAGGAAGCAAACCCACTGTATATAAAGACTTTCTAAGTTTTCAAACAGTGAACTTAGAAACAAGTGTCTGGGACCTTCCTGTTTATGACTTGGGGCCGGAGTAGGTTTGGAACTTTTTTTTTTTTTAAATCTGTTGGGGGTGAGGGAGGGGGCGGTTACATACTTATATAGTTGAATGCCAATATCAAACTCTAGTATTATCTCGAATACATTAAGCTCTACAGCAGATTTTATAGCAAACTAACAAGAACAGCTTTCTTAAATAGTTTCATTGACTGAATTGTTTCTACATACAGTGTTTTTCACATAAGGGAAGTCTTTTTAAATTAACTTTTTGGTTTGGGGGATTTTTTTTTTTTTCCTTCAGGCAATCTTTTCTTTGCATTTGGGCAGGTTCTGTATTCTAATTTGCAAATAGGCTTGTGTCTGCCTGCAGGCTTTATCATGAAAGTATTAGCTCTAAGTGGAAATAAGGACTAGAAAAATAAAATACTGACTGGGAGTCTGAGGACTTTGGGATAGATCCTCAGTAGAGGATGGAGCAAAAGTAATAGTAAGTCAAGAAAGCAAATATATCTCTACCAGTTTCCCTAGAATATGTCCATTCTTATCCAAATCCAATTTTCCTCCTATTCTTGGCCTGAAGAAATTGAAATGAAGCCATTAAGATATCAGCCTATCTGAGAGTGCATCACTGAAGAATCAGCCTCACTAAGAGTCCTGTGTGACAATGAGATTTTAATTTAATTAGGGCAGTGGCTCAAGTGTTTATGCACTTGACCGTTGCTCTTGTTGATACGCAGGAATTAGAGTGATAGCTTTCAAAAGGAATTATTTCAGAGTAACTAGCTTTGTTTACTAAAATATGGGAGCTATAAGATCTGCTCTGTAAGAAATGTAAATGTATGAGTAATATGCTGTCATGAAGATTTTATAATCTGCAGTATTTGAGAAGTAATAAGATACTGTTGTTGGCTGGCCATCTGGTTATACATACTTGGTGTCATGGTTTGCTTTTTATTTTTTCATTTTTTATTTGTACTGGTGAGAGGCAAAGAATAGGAGTTCAGAGGTGGTGGGTTGTTTTTTTATATATATATAAAAACAAGGAATTTATGTTTAGTTGCTTAACATGGTTAGATTTTGTTTTTGCCTTATGCAGAATAAAAAATGAAAGGTTCATTTTATACTTTCTTTTCCCTTTTTTTTTCAAAAAGTAAAATGGAAACCTCACCCCCAATTTGTCCCCAGATTTAAACTTTTTGCTTGTTTTAAAAATAGTCTCTTTGGCATGAGGAGGAGTCAGACATGAATTAAAACTCTAGAAAGAAAAATCAGCAACAGAAAAGACCTATAGAGATTTCATATTTCATCCTTTCATTCAAAAATATTTATTGAAACCCTAGTATTTGCATATCATGCTGCCAGACACTGAGGGATTTGCTAAAGAAATATTAAAGACCTTCTCCCTTCTTTGAGGAGCTTAGAGCTTACTTGGGGAGAACTGAGATAGACTTATGAAATAGTTAAGTTGTAATTCGAGGCAGCATATGATTAAATACCGAAATATGTACTTCTGACAAGAAATGCTATAGGAGTTCAGAAAAGGGAGTGATAACTCAGTGGCACTACTGTTTTCTGCCTACAAATTGGCAAATTGTAGCACTATTTGTATGAAATATTTTACACTTGTTTTTTTGGCAGCCTTAGGCTTTGACTCCCAGGCAGCATTAAGAGCCAACAAAAATATTTGTACTCCAGTCTCTTCGGAATTGGCTTATTTTTTTTTTTCTTATAGGCAGAGGAAGTGCCTTACACAAACCGGAGTGCCCATGAGAGGCAGGGAGTTTTTGACAGTCATGATCTATTTCAGATACAACCGAAAGAACCAGCTTCGTCATTCTGTTTTTCAATCCAGCAGTGCTTGTCTCTCCGTTGCAAACTCTCTCTGACATTGACAGGCGGTTTAATTTGAACTTAATGTCTTTGACGGATGAGCTAGCCATCAAGGGTCAGATAAATTTATGGCTTTGGAGAATTGCCGATGAAAATCCCCATGGTTATAATGTTGGAGAAGAAACTGACACAGATGTAGTGGGAGGTGGAACACAGATGTGCTTATTGGGAGCAGGGTTCCCCAAATGTCAGAAGCCGGTGACATGCTAAAGGTATTGTGCTTGGGGATGACGTTTAGTGAAACTCACTGACTTCCTGTTCTATTTTTGCCATATTCAAATTAACACAGAGCTCAAAGATGAAGCCATGAGGCCTAAATTCTTAAGAATTGAAAGAGAGAGAGAGTAGAGAAAGGAGAAAAAATAAAACCTTTAGGAAGCCAAATACACTGTTTGGGCCCATCCATTCCTCATTCCGCTCGGATCCCCTCCGGGACTCCCCGTAGCTGAATGTGGTCATCATTTGGTTGCTTTTCAATCTCATGATTCATGTGTTTTCAGTTTCTTTTAAAAATTCACCATCACTGGTTTACCACCCCTGCATTTTAATCTTCAGCCTTGAGGAGGTGTAGTACTAGAAATATTTCGTTCTTTCCTTGATGCTATTCAATGGAATATCTGTGGAGTCCAACACCCTTTGGCGATAACGTGCTGTTGGTATTTGTTCTTCTTGCCAGGTTGGTGCCCCGTCTGGTGAGGCAAGGGTTCCCAAGTTAGTGTGACCTAGAGTGACTGACACATCAAGCAAGCCAGTGATCTCACCACTCAGCTTCTGAGCATCTCTTTATCAAAGTAGTTGGCCCTGGCCACAGCTTAAGACTTATCTGGGTCAGCCTCTGAGCTGGCTGACTTGGGAAAATGGCCCTGGAAAAATGTTTCACCTATATCTTTTGATATAATTTGGTATCTGTCTAAATAAATGGTATGTAGCAGATGGTTATGGAATGTCTTATCAAATTCTTAGGCAGACTCTGCCCTTGAAATTTTTCTATTTAATTATCATACTGCAAAGCACAAAATAGTAACTTTGTTATTATTTTTAAACAAAATCAAGTTACACAATAGGTTGATATTCTGAGAATGAATAGCAAACCTAAAATTTATACAATATGTGAACTCTTCCTTGAGCTGTTCTTTGCTAGGCATTTCTAAAAGGGAGCTCCCTATTTCAGAATCCATGGGAGGATGTGTTTCAGATATATTTGGCGATGTCATCTTGAGAGATGGCTCAGGAGTCGAAGTTCACCATGTTGTCTACATTTGTTCTTTGCTCCTAGACATGATGGAAAAAAATGCTCTGCTGTTTTCTTGTTGCTTTTCATGGTTTTAGCATCATGTTCCTATTCTCGCTCAAATCAATAATCCACTGTACAAGGTCTGGCATTTTGTACTGAAGCCAAGTATAAGAAAGTTTTAACTAATGCACGTATGGGGTCGCTGTTTTAACTAACACACGTATGGGGTCGCTGTTTTGTTGCCTCGTTTTTTTAGGTGCACTTTTCAAGGAGATTGTGTACATTCAGAGAACTTAGAAAACTGGCTGGATATTTCGTCTGGAGCAAAAAAGTGCCCTAAAATTCAGATAATTCGAAGCAGTAAAGAAAAGGTAAGAGGAAAGATTTTAATTTGTCCTCGTTGTATTGTCTCATTTTGCACAGCGGATGCTAAATTTCTTCTGTGTGTAAAATATCCATTAGCAATCAAACATGCTTAGTGATAGCACTCCATTCATTTAGCACTCATTAACGAATATTGAGTGCCCACCAGATGCCATCCACTCTGCAAGGTGCTGGGGATACAGCGGTAACCAAGTCACATCATGGGCCTGCTCTCATGGAGTTTGTCGTCTTGTGGAGCTGAAGATGACCCTCAATGGTTGAACTGGAAGAAAAGTTGGACTTCTAATGTTGTAGAAATACATATTGCTTTTGAAAATAAAGAAAAAAGAGGTTCAGATTCATGGTCAACGAGATACCTTAAAGGTGGCTTAATTGCAGAATTTTGTTTAGTGTAATGGTCCCTTATCCTAATGTGTTGAGGCTTCCCCAGTAACCATCTTATGAACATAGCTTCCAACAGTCTTGGTAGCGATGGAGAGAAGACCAACATGGGCAGTGACCATTGCAAGTGAGGTCCTTTGGAAAGCCAGTGGACCCTTGCTATGGCAGCACCACTCTTGACAACACATCAGTCCTGTCATTGGATGAGAGAAGGGAGCAAGGAGCATATTTAAGCATTTTCAAATGCACACGCCAACCGTGCCCTACGGAAAAAGGGAATTCCTGCCTTGCAGTCTCAGTGGTGCTATAAGGAGGCATTTTCTCCCTAATGACGGCTCTTGTGTTATGAATAATTGTACAGAGTCCTCTGTTATGAATAACTGTACAGCAGCCAGCTGACCTGTCTGTTGAGCTCACTGTGTTCTGTTTGAATGCCATATTAACAAGGAAATGGGCCACTTTCTCTTTTCCCTTACACTTTGCCATTTCAGAGAAATAGCAAGAACTTTACCACTTACGATGATTTAACATTTAATAAAGGAGAGCCAAAGTATTTAATGAGTGATAAATAATAAAATAATCAAGCTTCTAAGTTGTAACTGATCAGAACGAACAGATTTAAAGTTATTTGGCTGTTGTCACTTTCTGTTGTCTTCCTGGAGAAAAAAAATAATAATAATAACTTTCATACAAACTTCTACCAGTCCTGAATCAGAGTGAATAGATTTGGTGGAAAAGATTCTTAGGCATCTAAACATAGGTATATCCAAATTCTAATTTCTCTCATCAGTCTGAAAAATAGCCAAATTTGGCGCTAATAGAGAATAGTAGAAAGTAGAATACCATAATCCTTGAATATACCCAGGACTCTGATAAGTGGTTAAAATTCTGGAAGATTTTTTTTCTTATGTTATTTATAAAAATTTAAGGATAATACTTCAGCTAAATGTAGTGGGAGGAAGTAGCTTGTTCATTAAATTAAAAGTGCTGCTTATACAACTTCCGTACCTAGCTAGGGGCTCACTATTACAAATTAATCACTGTTTATATCTGGTCTGGTACATTTCAAAACTGCTTACCACCCAAACGACCACTGGTGTTTTCTTCCTCGCCCTAAGTCCCACTGTGGTTTACCCTAATCTTCCCAGAGACTTCCCACACAGCCACTGCCTCACTCTCTCCAGCTCACCACCACTCTCAAAGAAGATAAGAAGTTCGTAATTTGACTAAAGCTATCCTTTGAAACCAACTTCGGACTAATTATTTTAATAGTGTTGATAAGCCATCTGATTCTATCTCTTGATCACATTATTTCAAAATATTTCCTACCCTATTGCCACCTTTGGCTTACCTGAAAATCTCAGGTCTTTGTTTAAATAAACCTGACCCTGACCTATGGAGACGGCAGTCTAGGGTTGTGTTCAGTTCCACCTATTAGCTCTATTCAAAGGCTATTTGCTACCTGCCTATCATATGCCTAGTAACATTCTAGTCACTTTGTAGGCAGAGAAAAACCTCCATATAATAAGAACCTCTGTTCACAGAAGCTTTATTTCTTTCCACAAAACAATTAAAAGATAGTACATCCTCATACTCACTATGGGATCAGCATTAAAAAGAAATAATCAGAGCAATTCCAGTTGTCCTGGAGGGATTTCTGTGAGGTTTTGTTGAGTAAAAACAGCAAGATGCATAAAAGTGTTCCTAGCATGATCTTATATTGATCAAAAAATGCCCCTGTATATGTTTATGTATATATGTCTCTATATGATTATTTGAGCATGGGCAAAAATATAGAAGAATTCAAACAAGGTTGTAAACATGGGCTCCCCTGGTGGAATGACTGATGTGGTGGAGAAGGAAAGCAGAGATATGTAATAAAAATAGAAAAGACGGCCGGGCGCGGTGGCTCACGCCTGTAATCCCAGCACGTTGGGAGGCCGAGGCGGGCGGATCACGAGGTCAGGAGATCGAGACCACCCCGGCTAAAACGGTGAAACCCCGTCTCTACTAAAAATACAAAAAATTAGCCGGGCGTGGTGGCGGGCGCCTGTAGTCCCAGCTACTTGGGAGGCTGAGGCAGGAGAATGGCGTGAACCCGGGAGGCGGAGCTTGCAGTGAGCCGAGATCCCGCCACTGCTCTCCAGCCTGGGCGACAGAGCGAGACTCCGTCTCAAAAAAAAAAAAAAAAAAAAAAAAATAGAAAAGACACAGAAATAAAATTATTATTGTTATTATTTATTATACTTTAAGTTCTAGGGTACATGTGCACAACGTGCAGTTTTGTTACATAGGTATACATGTGCCATGTTGGTTTGCTGCACCCATCAGCTCGTCATTTACATTAGGTATTTCTCCTAATGTTATCCCTCCCCCAGCCCCCCACCCCCCGGCAGGCCCCGGTGTGTGATGTTCCCCGCCCTGTGACCAAGTGATCTCATTGTTCAGTTCCCACCTGTGAGTGAGAACATGTGGTGTTTGGTTTTCTGTCTTTGTGATAGTTTGCTGAGAATGATGGTTTCCAGTTTCATCCATGTCCCTGCAAAGGACATGAACTCATCTTTTTTATGGCTGCATAGTATTCCATGGTGTATAGGTGCCACATTTTCTTTTCTTTTCTTTTCTTTTTTTTTTTTTTTGAGATGGAGTCTCGCTCTGTCGCCCAGGCTGGAGTGCAGTGGCACGATCTTGGCTCACTGCAAGCTCCGCCTCCCAGGTTCATGCCATTCTCCTGCCTCAGCCTCCCAAGTAGCTGGGACTACAGGCGCCCACCACTACACCCGGCTAATTTTTTGTATTTTTAGTAGAGATGGGGTTTCACCGTGTTGGCCAAGATGGTCTCAATCTCCTGACCTCGTGATCTGCCCGCCTTGGCCTCCCAAAGTGCTGGGATTACAGGCGTGAGCCACCGTGCCCGGCCTACGTGCCACATTTCCTTAATCCAGTCTATCATGGATGGACATTTGGGTTGGTTCCAAGTCTTTGCTATGGTGAATAGTGCTGCAATATACTTACATGTGCATGTGTCTTTATAGTAGCATGATTTATAATCCTTTGGGTATATATCCAGTAATGGGATTTGCTGGGTCAAATGATATTTCTAGTTCTAGATCCTTGAGGGATTGCCACACTGTCTTCCACAATGGTTGAACTAGTTTACACTCCCACCAACAGTGTAAAAGTGTTCCTGTTTCTCCACATCCTCTTCAGCATCTGTTTTTTCCTGACTTTTTAATGATCGCCATTCTAACTGGTGTGAGATGGTATCTCATTGTGGTTTTGATTTGCATTTCTTTAATGACCAGTGATGATGAGCATTTTTGCTTATGTCTGTTGGCTGCATAAATGTCTTCTTTTGAGAAGTGCCTGTTCATATCCTTTGCCTACTTTTTGATGGGGTCGTTTGCTTTTTCTTGTAAATGTGTTTGAGTTCTTTGTAGATTCTGGATATTAGCCCTTTGTCAGCTGGGTAGATTGCAAAAATTTTCTCCCGTTCTGTAGGTTGCCTGTTCACTCTGATGGTAGTTTCTTTTGCCGTGCAGAAGCTCTTTAGTTTAATTAGATCCCATTTGTCTGTTTTGGCTTTTGTTGCCATTGCTTTTGGTGTTTTAGACATGAAGTCTTTGCCCATGCCTATGTCCTGAATGGTATTGCCTAGGTTTTCTTCTAGGGTTTTTATGGTTTTAGGTCTAACATTTAAGTCTTTAATCCATCTTGAATTAATTTTTTGTATCAGGTGTAAGGAAGGGATCCAGTTTCCGCTTTCTACATTTTTTTTTTTTTTTTGAGATGGAGTCTTGCTCTGTCACCCAGGCTGGAGTGCAGTGGCACGTTCTAGGCTCACTGCAACCTCCACCTCCCAGGTTCAAGCGATTCTCCTGCCTCAGCCTCCCAAATAGCTAGGATTACAGGCACATGCCACCACGCCCGGCTAATTGGAATAAAAGTATTCCTTAAACAATATGGTTCCTAGAGGAGAGACACTAGAAACTTTTTTTTTTTTTTTGACAGGGTCTCCCTCTGTCATCTAGGCTGGAGTGCAGAGACGTGATCATAATTTACTGCAGCCTCGAACCCCTGGGCTCAAAGGATCCTCCCACCTCAGCCTCCCAAGTAGCTGGGACTACAGGTGTGAACCACCACACCCAGCTAATTTTTAAAAATTTTTTATAGAGATAAGGTCTCCCTATGTTGCCCAGGCTGGTCTCAAACCCCTGGGCTCAAGTGATCCTCCCACCTCAGCCTCTCAAAGTGCTGGCATTATAGGCATAAGTGACCATGCCCATCCTAGAAACATTCTTTTACAAATCAGAACTAAAACAAGGAATTCCACCATCGCTAATACTGTTGACATTATTTGTAAAGCCCTGTCCACTGCAGTAATTCAAGAAACAAGTAATACAAATTATTATTTGAATTAAATATAAAAAACATTACTTACTCATCTTAAGTGGCTGCATATCTGCAGAATCTAAATATGTTAGCTTTAAAAATTATTCAAATGAATTAACGTTAAATGAAGTGCTGAATGTTCAATAAATATTTAAATATCAATAACCTTACTACATGTTAAATAAAACAAACTTTTAACTTCATGAATAAAAAGTCCTATTCATAAAAACAACAGAACTACTCAGCCATAAACTTAAAGAGCAAGGTACATATCCTGCATTAAAACCATTTTTACTAAGAGATATGTGTTGGAGTCAGCTACCAAAAATAGTAATTTTGCTTTGAACAACTTAGCTTAAGCCGTTCTTTGTAATAGTAGTTAGATAGCAGAGCAGTGGTGTATTAAGGCTATTTTTTTTTTTTGAGACAAAGTTTCACTCTTGTTGCCCAGGCTGGAGTGCTGTGGCGCGATCATGGTTCACTGCAACCTCTGCCTCCCGGGTTCAAGCGATTCTCCTGCCTCAGCCTCCCGAGTAGCTGGGATTACAGGTGCCCACCACCAAGCCTGGCTAATTTTTTATATTTTAAGTAGAGACGGAGTTTCACCATGTTGGCCAGGCTGGTCTTGAACTCCTGAACTCAGGTGATCTGCCCGCCTCGGCCTCCCAAAGTGCTGGGATTACAGGCGTGAGCCACCGTGCCCAGCCTTAAGGCTATTTATAATTTATCATAGCAAAACCTTATTAATTAAAAACATAAGCATAAAGAAAAATAAAAACAAAAATACACCAAGTATTTTCTTAGAATATATGGAAAACATCTTGAACATATTCAGGCATGTTCTACATTTCTTGGTGAGAAGATATCATAAAAATGTCACTTCTTCCTCACCTATTTTTCTTGATTTCATGTAATTCCAATGATTTTTGAGTTAGTGTTTATTTAAAATTAATATAAAATTCATCTGGAATATCATGAGCTGATCAAGAATATCCAAAACATATTTTGGAAAAAAAAAAGAAGTCAATTTAGGCAAGACCACTCCCATTAGATTGCAAACATAGATGATAGATAGATAGATAGATAGATAGATAGATAGATATCAAAAATAATTTAATCCATGATTCTGGTTTAAAAATAGGAATATAGATTCATAGAATATAGTGGAAAGCTCAGAAATAGATGTAAAAATTTTAAAGAACAGATATCATAAAATAAGAGGAAACAAAAATTATTTCATAAAATGTGTGAGATAACTGGCTTATACTATGGAAACGTAATTTCATATTTTACATTAAATATAAAAATAAAATTTAGACTAATTAAGAAATTGATATGTAAAGCAAAGTCACAGAAGAACCAACAGAAAATGAAGTTGAACATAATTTGAAAGTATGATCATTTATTTTACCTCTGAAGCAATATAGTATGTAATAACAAAAGAAAAATATTCATATACATGATTTCCTTTTACAAAAAATAAGAGTTAACTTGGCCAGGCATGGTGGCTCATGCCTGTAATCCCAGCAGTTTGGGGACTGAGGCGGGCAGATCACCTGAAGGTCAGGAGTTTGAGACCAGCCTGGCCAACCTGGTGAAACACTGTCTCTACTACAAATACAAAAAAATTAGCCAGGCGTGGTGGCAGGTGTCTGTAATCCCAGCTACTCGGGAGGCTGAGGCAGGAGAATCGCTTAAATCTGGGAGGTGAAGGTTGCAGTGAACCAAGATCGTGCCATTGCGCTCTAGCCTGGCTGACAAGAGCAAAACTGTGTCTCAAAAAAAAAAAAGAGTTAACTAAAGCACACACTTCAGGAAAATATTTGCCACTAACAAAATATTCATCATAATGTAATAACACTAAGAAAAATTAAAAAGAAAAACATCAATACACCAAAAAGTAAGTGGGCCAAAACACATATATTCTCACAAGAGGAGATTCAGAAAGTAGATATAAATATGGAAATATGTTCAACCTCACTAGTTTTCAAATAAATACAAATTAAAGCGATAATAAGCTATGCTAACACCCAGTGTTGGTGATGCCAATTAGCACAACCTTTTTGGAAAGCAATTTGGCAGCATGTTTCAAAAGTCATAAATATATTCATTCCGTTTGAAGCATTAATTTCAGCCTTAGAATCCTGAGGAAATAACTTGAAAGAAGAAAATCCCTAGGCATGAAGATGCTCTTGCCGTAGCATTTATAGAATTAGAAACCTGGAAATAATGAAACTGTTTAGCAATAACGAATGATTCAGTAAAATAAGATATGTCGATCTGATAAGAGTGTTGTGCAGCAAGCAATTCTTTGGCCTTGTGAATGTTGCGGGCTAATTGACACCCCAGCTCCCTCTGCATCCCACCTGCCCTTTAAGTCTTCACTCCCTCTTTATCCAGCTTGATTCACGAAAAAGCCATCAGCCTGGTAAGGAGTCCTATACTGGGTTTCTTAGGACGAAGCTTCAGCTTTTTAACTGTACTCGCCTGGACCCCAAGTTACGCAAAAATACCTTCACCTCACTGGCTCCTCTCTCCTTCCACTGCACCTGAAAAAAACATGCTGTCTCCTCTTTTCAGGTCCACTCCAACCTGGTTTCTGCCCCAGTGTTCCCCTGAACCTGTTCTTGCTAAGGTCACTAGTGAACTCCATGCAGCCATTCCAGCGGACACTGTAAGGTCCTCATCTAACTTGGCTGTTAGCCAGCATTCTTGAAACTGTCTTTTCCATTGCTTTCCATGGCACGCCCACTCCATGCTCTCCTCCTTCTCTGTGGCCAGGCCTCAATTCCCTTGCTGGGCCTTGCTGGTCCCTTCCCTCCCTGTCTCTAAATATTGGAGCCATTTAAGGCCCAGTTTTGGCTCTTCCTCTCTTCTTACTCTACATTTCGTCTGTAGACAATCTTATTCACTTCCATGGCTTTATAAATCATCTGTATGTTCATGTCTCCTTTATCCCCACCCCAGATTGATCCTCTGAGCTCCAGGCCCATACCCAACTTGACACATTTGCTTGAGTATCACACAAGTATCTTGAACTACATACACCTAAAGCTGAAGTCTTGAATCTTCTACCCATCTGCCTCTCCATCAGTATGCCCCATCTCCATGTATGGTACCTCCATCCATCCCATTTGCTCACCAGCATCCTCCATATCCACATCCCCCACTTCCAGTCCTGCCCCATGCCACTTCTAAGGGGTACCTTGACTGCCTCGTTCTTTCCCTTTTCATTGTACCATCTTAGCTCAGTCATTTCTTGATGATTCCTTGATACCATGTGACCTTCCAGTTTTATTCTGGTGGAATGTTCTATACTTCTACTAGTCTATAAGCTCTTTGAGGGCAAGGACCATAGCTGTTTGGTTCACTGGTATATTCAGTACATTGTGCAGCACTTGGCACATGTTGCAAGCTTGATGAACATTTATGGAATAAATAAATGGAATAATTATAGTTATGTAAAAGCTACATATGTGAGAACTAGAAGGAAATGTGGAAACTTTAAAAGAGTTGGTGAAAATGTGATTTTTAAAAATTCTGATACTCTTGTTATAACGTTTGAGTGTGAATTCAATTTAAGACATATATGTATACAAGATAAGATGTGTGGTGCGGATATAAATGCTGCGTTGAAGATTGAGCATGAATGAGAGTTCAGGCATTTGTTGAAGATGAGTTAGTGGGAATGGTTTGGGATCTTTCACTGTGCTCAGAATTCCCTAAAGATAATTGAACTCCAGTCCAGGTGAAGTGGACTGAAAGAACTTGCCTTCTTCCAGCATGATAATATGGCCAGAACTTTTTGAAAATGGGAAGATAGGGGTGACCTCCGGGGACTAGATTAGACTTAGCAAGCTTATCAAAGAACCAGGGAGACAGCAGAGTCTTAGGTGGCAGTGCCTAAGTCTGGGAGGAAGTGAGAAGTATAACAGAAGACAGAGAGCTGCCAGGTTGTCTAGACTATGGCTCTTCATAGGGGGTGATAAGGTTACCACTTCCTGCACTCCCAGGTTCCTTTTACTTAGCGCTCATTCCCATCAGATCCCATCATGCGCCTGATGCAAAAGGAGTCCACTGTTGGCATGTTAATTCCTATAATTTCCCTTCTGAACAGGACACCTGGCTGCCTTGTTCCTTTGGACCATTTCCTTGGGAAAAAGTTACTTTGGGGACATTTCAAGATTGTCTTTTTGTGTCCCTACTATACACACACACACACACACGTACAGGCACACAGATGTATCCCTGTACACATACAAACATACACACACAAAAACACTCCCTCCACCCAATTTTGATCATATGTTTGACCACAAGCAAAACCTTAACTAATTCTAAAGCACATTTCACAGGCCACCTTCTTTAATCATTATCTAACAATATTAGCAATAAGGAATAGTTGACAAATGTATCTTCACACCTAGGATCATCAAGGCACGCTGTCTTAAATGAACCCCAGATCAAAGAGAAACAGATGAAAAAAGTCATGTGTTTGGATGGGAATAATTAATATCATAAAGACAGAAATTTTTCTAACATTAAGGCATATATTTAATACAATTTCATTTAGACTCAGTCCCCTCAACCCCTTTGGATAAAATGAATATAGATGAATAATGCTCAGGAAATGGTAAGAAAATTATGAAAATAGAGATAAAGCAGGAGAGATTTGCCTTATCAGATGCTAAATATATTTAAAATTACAGGAGTAAAAACTTAATGGCATTGGAATAGAAGTAGATCAATAGATTATTAGAGCAGAGCAGAGTTCAGAAATAGATTCCAGATAAATGGAAATTTAATATAGGACAAAATGATATTTCAGTTCAGTGGGAAAAGGAGGTTTGTTTTTGTTTAATAAATGGCTGTGACATAATTGATTAACCATCTGGATAAAGTTGGACCCTTATCTCACACTGTATATAAAAATAAATTCCAGATGGATTAAAGATATAAGCTTAAAAAATAAAGCAATAAAGATGTTGGAACAATTTTATATTTGTCCATAAGCTAGAGTTTGGGAAGCACTTTATAGCCGAGACAAGAAACCCTGTATTTGATTACTCAAAAGCACATTGTGTAAGGGTAAAAGATGCCACAAGCAAAAGTTACAAGACAAACAATAGATTAGGAGAAAAATATGTGTCAGAAATATGACAGATAAAGATTAATATCTACACCATACAGAGAGCTCTTGAAAATTGATAAGAAAAATATACACACAAAGCAGAAAAATGGTCAAAGAATAAGAATATGCTCTTTACAGAAGAGCAAACCAAATAGCCAACAAAACATCTATTCTTTTATATTTTTATTTATTTATTTATTTATTTATTTATTTATTTATTTATTTATGGAGGCAGTGTCTTGCTCTGTCACCCAGAAACATCTATTCTTTACATCAGCTCTTCTGAGAAATTCTCCCTCCTGTGGCAGGTCAAAGGGTGAGATCATATGAGGCTCTATGATGGATGGAAATGAGGCAAAAATCATCATTTTTTCCCCATATCTTCCCCGCACAGACTACAGTGACTATGGTGGGAAGCTTCTCTCCAAGACACTCAAAGTGCATGGTGAAGAATGTGGACTCTAGCAGGGAGCTCTGCCAGAATAAAAGTCAGCCCAACCGGACCTGCACCTGTAGCATCCCAACCAGAGCAACCTACAAAGGTATGTGGATTCTTCTGGGTTATTTTTGTTATAAAATCAAAAAAACAAGGGAACCTCCTGAGTTTAGTTTGCCCAAGGAATATGAATAGTTCCCCCTCTGTAGACTCACTCCCTCACTACCCCCTGGTTCCCACTTTTGCTCTGGGTCCTCCTCACCTCTGGTTTACCTCATTCATTTACTCCAAGACCCCACTATCAGATATGCCTGGACAATGACAAGAGAAGGGCAAGTTGGATAGGAGAGTGCAGAAAAGCCAGATAGCACTGGGCCGACTACCCAAATGGTTTAGATAATTCAGAGATCTGAAAAGCAAGAAATGCCCTGGGTGAGATGAGAAATTTTAACAACCAATGTTCCATCAGTTTGAGTTCATTGCATTCATACATCCATCCAGGAAGTATTTACTGAACATCTACTATATGTGAGGCACTATGCTAGGTACTAGGGATACAGTGACTCCCCCTTGCCCCTAAAAAAAAGACTGTACACTGGGATAGAGAGAAGTAAGTAGCTCATTACAATGCAGTGTGTAAATACAGGGAACATAGAGTACCATGAGAAGCACATGAAAAATGTACCTTACCAGACATGGTGGAGGGGGAAGGGGTAAGGAAAGCTTCCTGGAGGAAGTGATGTCCAGACAAGGTGAGGGTAGAGTTGAGCCAGACAAAGACGATGGGGATGGGTATTTCAGACAGAGACCAACCTGCATGATGGCCAGGAGACAAAAAGCTTTATTTGAAGAACCAGAAGAGCTTCTACATGGCCAAGGCACATGGGGTAGGGGAAGGTGGAAAGGGGAGACGGAGGGAAGATAGATACCAAAGGAGGCAGCCAGGGGACCATGAAGGGCCTTGTGAACCGTGAATCCTGCGAGCTGTGATGAAACACTGAAAGGTTTAAGCCGGAGGCTGGCAGCACAATCAGATTTTTATTACAGAAAGGTTCCATTGTGCATTGTCTGTCTTTCCTGCTGGAATGTAAGCCCCATGGAGGCAGGGACTTGGAGAAGACATCTTCACTGCTGTGCTTAGAACAGTATCTGGCACAACGTAGGCATTCACAATCAATAAATGTTTCTTGAATGAATGAATGGCTTGAAGGTGGAGAATGGACCAAAGAAGGGAAAGACTGAAAGACTGAGTTCCAACAGATCACTTGGAGGGGTCCAAGTGAGAGAGAAAGTGAAAGCGGAAAGCTACTGGAGGGTCCAGGTGAGAGGGAAAGTGAGAGCTGGAGGAGAAGCCAAGGGGGATGGAGAGAAGTGGATTCAATAGATGGTCAGTAGGTACGGTGGGCAGACTGAGGACTCCTGAGTCTCTTCGAATGAGAAAGACTAGAAGTAGAGTTGAGTTCATGGAGTAGGTCTCCAGGACTGAGTGATGATCATTAATGGAGCTGAGTGGGTTTTATGGTGAGAGCTGGAGTTACCCAATATCTTAGTCCATTCTGGCTGCTATAACAAAATACCTTAGACTGGATAATTTATAAACAATAGAAATGTATTGCTTACAGCCCTGGTGACTGGGGAGTCCAAGGTCAAGGCTCCAGCAGATTCAGTGTCTGGTAATGGCTTGGCCTCTGACTTCGCAGATGGTGCCTTGTTGCTGTATTCTCACATACAGAAGGGGCAGGGGAGCTCTCTTAAGCCTCTTCTATAAGGACACTAATCACATTCATGAGGGTGCAGCCCTCATGATTTAATCACTTCACAAAGGCCCCGTGGCTTAATACTATCACATTGGGTATTAGATTCCAACTTATGAATTTAGGGGAGACATAAATATTCTGACCATAGCACCCAATTGATCCTAAATCCTTCAAAAGGCAATTTAATGCACCAGGCCAGAGAAGTGAGCTTAAAAATGCTCTCAGCCACTGGGTGGTGGCTGTTTGGGTCTGATTGCTTGGAAAATCACCTCAATTTTCCACTTTACTTTGTCCACACTGTGCAGCCTTTGTGATGCATTTCTGGTTAATTTTGTTCATTAAAACGCAGACCTTGCTCACCTATAAAATATGCCTCTAAAGTATTTGAGATCACCTTGTAAAGCTAGTTGGTTGCTTTTAGCGCCTCCATCCGTTGCACCCAACCCTTCACCTGCCGTTTTCTGAATATCTTACATATTCTGAACGGGCAAACAAATTTGCTTCCCAGCCTCTTGTACTCAGCCAGCCGGTGACCATTGCCAAGCCTTTATCCATGGCCTTCTTTAAACCTAGAATGGCTTCCCCCTTTCACAAAATCCTGTCTCCCTTTCTGCTTTGAAACATTGGAGAAAAGTCACCTCTTCCACATGCCCTTGCCAGATTCTGCTCTGACTTTCTCAGCCATTCTAACACCCCTTTGGTCCTCCATGCACACCCCTATCTTGGCACCCAGGTTACCAGAGGGAACTGAAACCACTCATATGGTTGTTTCCTTGACTGTGCTGTCATCACCTAAATTATTTTACCTCTTCCAGAATAACTGTAAATGCTTTCCTAGAAGAAATCATGAATATTCATTTCCTTGTGATATTTCCAAATAGAGTTTTGTGCCTATTTGGTGCTTGAAAAAAAGTATGACTTTTGCAGTCTTCATCACCGGACACTTATAGATTCCACTGGAGTGTATTTTCACTGGGAGTCCCTCTGAGCTGACTGTCCCTGTGTTCATTCTACTCACATGTATCAAGTGTCTGTTCAGAGGCTTTTGCAGAGAGGTCATGCCAGCCCTCCAAGCCTCTTTGTCTTGAGAACAGAAGATGATCATTTCACACACACCCTCTGTACGTGAACCGAATTTTATGTGGAATTCTGACTTTCAGAGGGAGTGTTATTGCTGTGGAGAAGGACCTTAAAGTAAGGGTTTTTAGACTTTGGGAACCACACACTAATAAAATTTCAATGAGAAAATTAGGGTTGCCAACGGAGTCAAGCCAGCTTCTTATTTTGTCAAGACTTAGATTTAAAAAGCACCCTCTCGGCCAGGCATGGTGGCACACGCCTGTAATCCCAGCACTTTGGGAGGCTGAGGCGGGCAGATCACTTGAGGTCAGGAGTTCAAGACCAGCCTAGCCAACATGGTGAAACCCCGTCTCAACTAAAATAAATAAATAAACAAACAAATAAATAGTACCACCTCCTATTCCTATTAATTCACCAAAGGAAAAAGATATTAATACCTTGTTATTAGCACTGGTCCGTGGACAGAAGGGGATTTGAAAGGTGCTATTCTGTGTTGTGGCCCCAAACCTGGGCTCTATACAATTGTTCCATGGGGAGCAATGCAACCACAGGTTCCTGGGTCCACCCCAGGCTTGCTAAATCAGAATATTTAGGGGCATGGCCCTGGGATCTATAGCTTTGTAAATTTCTCAGGTGATTCTGATAGAGAACTGGGTTTGGGAATCACTACCTTGGATAGAGCATATATGTTTAAAGAGATACAGGAAATACTACATTTCTCTAATGCTGATTTAGTAGTTTTGAAATCCTTGTTATTTTGTTCTTTTGGGGTTTTCTAACCAATGAGTAGGTTTTCAAAGGCAAATAAGAAAACCTTTATCACAGATTTGGTGACAGTTGACCCCAAGAAGATCGTGGAACCCAGCCCATGGAAACTACACTTTAGAGTATGTTAGGTAAATATTTGCAGCGTGGATTTTTCTGAAGGTGCAGGATTTCTAATGCTCCGGTTTTCATGTTCTAGGCACTTCTTGCTCGGTGACTTGTTTTGTTCTTATGCCTTGGCCAATTAAAAGCTGAGATAGTGATCCCTAGGAGAGTATGAGATGTAAATGAGCTGTAAAATGGCTTCTTCCTAGTGATTATTCATGGGAGGCTTGGAACTCGAGGTGGGTTCAGTCTGTTTGGAGGCTTGAGCTGTGCACTTCGGCTGCCTGATGCGAATGGCCTATGGGGAAGGAACCACATACTGATTGAAATGTTAGCAAACAGCTGGCACGCTCCTGCCCACTATGCAGAGGAAGCAAAAATATTTATCTTTTTTTGCATTTACAGCTATGCTTGACTATAGCAGGACTCCACCGTAAATGACATTTTCCCCCCTTCCCTCCAGATGTTTCAGTTGTCAACGTGATGTTCTCCTTCGGTTCTTGGAATTTATCAGACAGATTCAACTTTACCAACTGCTCATCATTAAAAGAGTAAGATTTTATTTGAAATTTGAATATTCTCTCGTTGATCTTAATTTACTTATTTGTTTGACTCCTCGATTTCCTAAAGAACTCTTTTGTGAGACAGAACTTTCCAAAATGCCTTTTGAAGCATGGTGTAATGGGAGATAGGAGAGCCACCGAGCTAATAAGCTCCGCTCGCACATTCTAGCCCTGACTAGTAAGCTGGCGCTGCGAGGGAGAGAAATCCCCTGTGCTTAAGTGTTCATACCCACAGGGAAATATGTCTTCCCAGGACCGAGAGGCAGCCTTGAAGTAAGTAAAGAAGAAGGGACAAGCCAGGTGTGGTGGCTCACATCTGGAATCCCAGCACTTTAGGAGGCTGAGGTGGGCAGATCGCTTGAGCCCAGGAGAGTTTGAGACCAGCCTGGGCAATATAGTGAGACGCCATCGCTACAAAAAAACACAAAAGTTAGCCAAGCATGGTGGTATGTGCCTGTAGTCCCAGCTACTTGGGAGGCTGAGGTGGGAGGATCACCTGAGCCTAGGAGATGGAGGTTGCAGTGAGCCGGGATGGCGCCCCGCATTCCAGTCTGAGTGACAGAGTGAGATTGTCTCAACAAAAAGAAGGAGCGCTGCTAGGTTCTCTTCTGATTGGAATGGCTTCGGGAATTTGGGCGGAACGAGAAGCCTTGAGTGTAGGGGTAAAAAGTCTTACTTGAGAAGGACAAGGTGAAGTCCCTTTCACCAAAAGAACATGTTCCTGCTGCCCCCCTTTTCACCATCTTTGGCCTCTTTGAGCTACATAGGCCCCTGAGTTAGTGCCAAACCTCACTCCTTGCTTCTAAAGCAGCAAGAGGACAGAGGAAATATGTTTCTCAGATGCCTGACTTGCCAATTGGAAGTTGGGATGGAGGCCTGCAGGGCACCTTGGGAGGCTGCATGAGTAGCAGTGCTGTAGATCACTGCATAGTTTGATTGACCAGTTATGTGAGCACCAAATGGGAGTTTCTTTTGTCCTGGCCTGGGAACCATGGTTTCTATGGGGAAAATGAATTTGAACTTGAAGCTGAGCTAGGAGGCTGCTCTTGAATGATTAGAACAGGAGCCCCTGGGCCTCATCTCTTCCACTGAGGCACTTTGAAAAAGATGACACAAGGCCCAGTTCAATTATTGCTAAGAAACAGAATGGATTTAAGGAGAAAAAAATACAAAAATTGCTACAGAAAGCCTCAGAAGTTCATGAAAATAGGAAAAAAGGGTGTGAATTAAATAGAATTATATAGCTCAAAGACAGTTGAAAGAACGTAGCTCCCCCGATGCCCACTTTAAGGCCAGATGAAAGGAACCGACTAGCCCCAGGTCCCACAACTTGGTAATTAAGAACCAGACCTCAGACCTAGGTCCCCCAGGGAGGGTGAGCGCCCTTTCCATAGGTAACTGCTTCCTGTTAGGAAAGCACTTAGTACAGTAATCACACCCTGGGGGTAGAAGAAGCGAGCAAATCACAAACCCGTGTCTAGCTCACTTAGGTGGCCGGATCCACGCAAAAGCCAGTGTGTCCTCTCCTTCCACGGAAACTGCAGTTTCTGTAGATCAGAATCTCAGAATGTTTCCTCATTTCTTGGAGAAGGTATAAAACAAACTGGGTCCCCCGGCCCTGTGCTAGCACCCCTTGCTAGAGCTAAGGCTTCCTCTGGCCTCCCTTGGCCCTGTTTCCAGATCAACCCTGATTTCCCTTTTTAACATTCCTTCTCATAAGTGCTTTTCAAGTCCTCCACAGTTTACCCAATCATGATAGGTGATTTGATTAGTAGAAACACAATTCTTCCTTAATTTGATTATAAAGCAAACACAGGCACCTCGTTGCCTCTGCTTGCCAGCTAACACTTTCTGTCTCACATCTTCCAGGCAGTTGGCAGTGTGACTGCTGGAGTGAGTGAGGGCTTCCTGATTTTGGAAGGCAGAGTGGGTAGAGGCGGGGAGAGAGAGAGATCCATCTCCAGAGGGACTTACCTGAGGGTAGACAAATAGCAGAACTGGATTCAGAAACAGATTCATTGGGTTCCTATTATCTACAGACCAGCAGGTGACCCAGCTTCAGGTTTCCATGGCAACACCCCTGCAGGTGCCATTCCGGCCCATCAACCTGAGGGCTTCCAAGAGCAGGGCACAAAGCCTCACAGGAATGTCTGTCCAGGGATTTTTTTTTTTTTTTGCCTTCTTTTAAATGCTTGCATGCCACATCACAGAGGGAAATTCTAGGATGTGAACATTGTCCTAAAACGCAGGAATTAAGTCAGTTTTCTGTGTTGCTAGATGCCCAGCATGCGTAGAAACTGGCTGCGCGTGGTGTAAAAGTGCAAGAAGGTGTATCCACCCCTTCACAGCTTGCGACCCTTCTGATTATGAGAGAAACCAGGTAAAGTGACATTTTTGGTATTGTAAGTCTTAACCGCCGGGCATGGTGGCTCACGCCTGCAATCCCAGCATTTTGGGAGGTCGAGGCGGGTGGATCAATTGAGGTCAGGAGTTCGAGACCAGCCTGACCAACATGGCAAAACCCTGCCTCTACTAAAAATACAAAGTTAGTGGGGTGTGGTGGCGCATGCCTGTAATCCCAGCTACTCGGGAGGCTGAGGCAGGAGAATCACTTGAACCCGGGAGGCGGAGGTTGCAGTGAGCCGAGATCGCGCCACTGCACTCCCAGCCTGGGTGACAGAGTGAGACTCCGTCTCAAAAAAAAAAGGTTTAACCAAAAATAAATGTTTGTGACTGCCTGGTCCTACCTTCTCTTTTATGTTTGTTGCACACTTTGAATTTACCACCCATCTGGATGTTGAAGGGATGTTCTCCATTCCAGGAACAGTGTCCAGTGGCTGTCGAGAAGACATCAGGAGGAGGAAGACCCAAGGAGAACAAGGGGAACAGAACCAACCAGGCTTTACAGGTCAGACCCTATTTTTGTGTGGTTGAGGGGAAAACCTGTCTTTGAATGACCATGACCACAACTCATACTACTTTGGGTTCCTTAAAAAAATTCTCTATTTTACTTTCTACCAAAATTCCCTTTTGTGTCTTTGGTTTTTTAACCAAGTTTCACTTAATTAGCGCAATACATCAATGGCTGGACACTCACATAAAATAAATTAAAACTCTGTAATTATGAAAAATGATGTTGCTCTGGTCGAAATAAAATTGTAAAGGTGACTTTGCGGCTCACTGGTGAAGAGCTGGAAGGAAGTTTAGCATTCCATCTGAGGGATTTCAACTTGCACTTTATATAATTGCGTTTCTGGGGGTTATGTGTGTGGATGGGGGTCTGTGCAAAGTGTGCAAACTAACCTCGATTCCGTTGTTTTTTTTCAACTTTGTAGGGACGTCTAACCAGTAGTGAACACTGCTAAACCAGAATTGTTATAGAATGTGTATTTCTCTCGCCTTCTCACAAGCAGTTATTAATCCATGAACTTTCCTTGGAAATGCCCGTTATTTTCTTCATAGTAAATTACATAAGCCCCCACGTCAGTCATGTTTGAAAAGAGGGGACATGTCAACGTAAACATTTCTGGGCGGAACACATGTGGCTGTGCTTACAACTTCACTCAGTCAACAAAAGTTCATTGAGCATCTATATGTGGTAAAACACAAAAAGAGGATAAGTCCTGCCCTCGCTAACCTTGGAGTCTAGCAGAAATAGACAAATTAAAAATGACAGCTCTGGGGAGAAAAGGGCTCCATTTTCCATTTCTCTAATCTGTGGTTTTGACTTCTCCACTTGCTGCTTACCTAAGGTCAAGTGCAAAGGTAAATAAGTAGCATATTTTGAATCATTACTGAAAAGTTTATAGTAACTTCAGGTGAATTAACAACCAGGCAGAGGGAATATGAATCAAATGGATATGAAGTTAATTAAAGGCATTAGAAAAGCTTGATGCTCAGGTATCTCCAGACTTTAGCAGTCTCTGAGGTCTTGTTAAGTAATGGGCTCCTTTTCTCATCCCATTGGTTTGGAAAACTAAGACACAGCGACAAGGACTTGGATCAGGAAGACAGTGGCTTTGTGGCTTTTTCTTTTTAATTAAACTTTGTTGTTGTTCCAGGGTTTGTTTGTTTGTTTTTTCGTTTTGATAAAATACACAAACAAAATTTACCATTTTTATTGCTTTTAAGTGTACAGTTAGTTGAGGTAAGTACATTCACATCATTGCACAACCTATCTCCAGAACTCTTTTCATCTTGCAAAACTGAAACTCTATGCTCGTTAAATAATAACTCTTCATCTCTCCTTCCCCCCAGCCCTTGGAAACCGCCATTCTAATTTTTTGTCTCTATGAATTTGACTACTCTAGGTACCTCATGTAATTGAATTTGTCTATTTGTGCTGGCGTCTTTCACTTAGCATGATGTCCTCAAGGTTCATCTGTGTGGTCGCATGGGTCAGAATTCCCTTCTTTTCTAAGGTTGACTAATATTCCAGTGTATGTATATACCATATTTTGTTTATCCATTCATCCATGGATTAACGCTTGGGTCGCTTCCACATTTTAGCTATGATGAATAATGCTACTAGGAACGTGGGTGTGCTGCTATTTCTTCGAGACCCTGCTCTCAGTTCTTTTCGGTATATGCCCAGAAGCAGAATTACTGGATTGTATTGTAATTCTCTTTTTGGTTTTTTGAAGAACCATTGTACCGTTTTCCATAGCAACGATACCATTTTGCATTCCCACCAACAGTGCACAAGGGTTCCAGTTTCACCCCATCCTCACCAATACTTGTTATTTTCGATTTTGTTTGATAGTAGCCATCCTAATATGGGTCAGGTGGTATCTCATTGTGGTTTTGATTTGCATTTCCTTGATGATTAATGATGTTGAGCATCTTTGTGTATGCTTGCTGGCCATTTGTATATCTTCTCTGGAGAAATGTCTAATCAAGTCCTTTGCCCATTTTTAAAATTGGGTTATTTTTGTTGTTGTTGAGTTGTAGGAGTTCTTTATGTATTCTGGGTATCAACCCCCTATCAGATATATCATTTGCAAATATTTTCTACCATTCCATAGGTTTCCTTTTCATTCCGTTGACTGTGTCCTGTAATACACAGAGTTTTTAATTTTGATGAAGTCCAGTTCATTTATTTTTTCTTTTATTGCCCATGCTTTTGGTGTCAGATCCAATAAATCATTGCCAAATTCAATGTCATGAAACTTTCTTTCTGCATTTATTTGTAAAGGTCTGTAGCACTTATATTTTGGCCTCTGATTCATTCTCAGTTCATTTTTATATATGGCATAAGAAATGGGTCTAACTTCATTCTTTTGCATGTGGATATCCAGTTTTCCCAACATCATTTGTTGAAAAAAATGTCCTTTCCCCCATTGAATGGTCTTGGCACCCTCGTTGAAAATCATTTCACCATATTTGTGAGAGTGTATTTCTGGGTGTTCTTTTCTATTCTATTGGTCTATGCCTGTCTTTATGGCAGTAACGCACTGTTTGATTACTGTAGCTTTGTAAAGTAAATTTTGAAATCAGGAAATGTGAATTCTTCAACTTTGTTCTTCTTTTTCAAGATTGTTTTAGAAAATAATAAACTTTTAATTTTGAGATAATTGTAGATTCACATGTACTTGTGAGACAATAATACTTAATATCTTTTACCCAGTTTCCTTCAATAGTACTATCCTGCAAAACTATAGCAAAACATCACAGTCAGGATATTGACGTTGACAGCAGTCAAGACACAGAACAGCTCTATCATCACAAGGCTCCCCAGGTTGCCCTTTCACAGTCGCATCCATTTCCCTCCTCCCTCCCATTCTCCATCTCTGATGCCTGGCAACCACTGACCTCAGCTCCATTTCTATAATTTTATCATTTCAATAATTTTATATAAACGGAATCATCCAGATGTACCCTTTGGGGGACTGGCTCTTTTAACTCAACATAATTCTCTGGAAATTCTTCCAAGTTCTTTTATGTATCAATAATTCATTCCTTTTTATCGCTGAGTCGTGGTCCAGGCAGCGGCTTTTTAAACTTCTTTAATTTTAAAGATAAATATCATAAAGTCACTACCTCCTGGTTTCCTGCAGTGTATCTCTCTGCACCCTTTGAACTGTGTGGTTAAAAGGACTGGGGTCACCACAAGAGAAGAAGAAGGCTGAAAATAAACAAAAGCCCAGATCTGTTTTTAGTGCTTCTCTGTGGATTACCCCTCTAAGTGTGGAGAAAGACATTTTGTTGATACTGACATGTTTTCTTTAAATATGTGACTCAGAGCAGAATCTCTCTTTTGTTTGATAGGGAATGGAGTGTTATTTGTCACAGGAGGGATTTCTCGTGCTCTGTCAAACACTGCTGTCTTTCATTATCAGGTGGAATGTGTAACATTCTGGTTTCCACTTTGGGCCTTCATGTTGGCCTTGAACAAAGCACCCAATGTCTTTGTGATTCTGTTTCTACCAGAGAAGTCACTCACAGCTTTGCTTCAATGCATCTGCCCACACCACATATGTACTGAGTACTTCCTGTGTGCTAGGCACTAGGAATGGAGCAGGTACTGTCCTAGGCGTCTAGGATCCTGAACTTGAGTTGATTCTTTCTAGAGGCATTTATTGCACACCTATTAGATGCAAGTATACCGACCTCCACAGATTCCATGAGGAGGATTCAGATGAATCAGGCACATCTCTGGCCATCAGTCTCAAGAATCTTATCCATGAGTACATGAGTAAAAATACAAGATTTTAAAAATATTAATATGAAGGTACAAGAAAGTACACAGAGAGCCTCTCTGTGCCCGGGGCTTTGTCTTAGTCCTTCCTGTTTGCTTAAACCCAGTGCCTTGAAGTTGAAAACACTTAATCAGTGTGGTTGGTTAAGTCTTTGATTGATGGATGGATTGATTGCTGGAGATGGCATTTCAGCCCACCTTTGAGGACGAGAAGCATCCAGACACATGAATGCGGGTATTTGAAGCAGAGGAACCAGCATATGCACAGTGTAGGGGTAGGAGCCAGAAGATTCCAGGACACACGCTAGAGGAAACCCTAAGTAGGCACAGAGGATGCAGGAAATTATGAGACACAAGGTTGAAATGACCCTGGAGCCTGCATATATAGGGCCTCACATACCAGTCCTGTGAGTGCTCGCTTTATTCTTCAGTGGCAATGGAATGCCATTCAAGGTATCTTATTTTATTTTTTTAGTGTATGAGTTTGCTAATCCAAGGATCTGGTACTTATGAGGTAGGGTCCTGGTTCAGTCCCTACTAGGCCAGTAGCCCTCACACTGTTTCATGACCCCAAGACCTACTCCTGTATCCTGACCCTGAAACGTATAGCGTCATCTGCCAAGGGGGCTGAGTTACAGAAAAGTGTGACCACAATAGAGAAATGAGCTCAAAAATCTATGTATGACCTTGGAGGAGGAGTATTTCAAGCTATAAAGGCCAGTGTCTGACCGTCTGTCTGTTTCTTTCCACATATCTAGTAGTTGAAACCTTGTCAGGGACCGTTGGCCCTTTTACCCTGCCCTGACCACTTCTCCTTCCATTTCTTAACATTCTCATATCTGGTGCCTTCACTCACTGAGACCAGAGATAGTTCCCCTCTCTTTTGTGCATTCAAGGAGAGATTGTGAAGATTTATGATATGATGTCATTCTAATATTTGTTATTACCCTCAATATGCTTATCACTATAGGGCAGAAATAAAGCATACAAAGTCATATCCCCTGGCAATTTACATTCAAATGGTTCTTTCTCTTCCTTGCACCTCCTCTTCTCTTCCTCCATCACTTCTTCCCCCCTCCGAGATGGAGTTTCACTCTTGTTGCCCAGGGTGGAGTGCAGTGGCACAATCTCGGCTCACTGCAACCTCTGCCTCCCCAGTTCAAGTGATTCTCCTGCCTTGGCCTCCCAAGTAGCTGGGATTACAGGCACCCGCCACCATGCCCAGCTAATTTTTTCCAATTTTTAGTAGAGACAGGGTTTCACCATGTTGGCCAGGATGGTCTCGAACTCCTGACCTCAAGTGATCTGCCTGCTTCAGCCTCCCAAAGTGCTGGGATTACAGGCATGAGCCACCGCACCCGGCCCCTCCATCACTTTTGAATATGCATTTTTGATCTCTCACAGGCAATCCAGATGAATGCTTTTGGGGACCTTGCCTTCAAGAGTGAAATTAAATTTCACATATACCTTGCTGAGTAGCTTCTATGGGCCTAGCATAGAGCCGGGTACTGTAGAATTAACTTACAATCATTCATTTATTCATTCATTCAAAATTTGTTTGCTGAGCAACTACTATGTGCTAGACAGGCAGGCAAAGTGTGTGACTGCATGGAGCTTACATGGTAGAACTTATAATATTTTGGAGGAAATAAGATTCATTTTCATGAAGCAGTTGCATGTGCACAAGAGAAAAAGATACAAGAGAGAATGCCAGAATGTACTCAAATGAACAGTGGTAGCTAAGATTCGCTGAGCCTGTGCCATGCCCTGAGCTCAGAGTATCTAAGCCTCACAATGGACCTATTTTCCCCATTTTATAGATAAGGAAATTTTAGCTCAGAGAGAGCAAATGGTAGGTAAGAAATATGAATCCAGGCAATCTGACTCAACAGAGTTTTAACCATTACCCTACATTGTATGCCCTAAATTGAATATAAACATTGGTTAAACCATACTACTGATGATATTAATAAAAGTCAGTCTGGAAAGGACTCTAATATTGGCTTCTCTTGGCATTAGACTGTCAAAGCCTGCCCCCGATCCATGCCACACATGTAGGGTGGGAGCAAGACCTCCAACCTGGCCAGGATGTGGGAGGAGTGTATTAACCTCAAAGACATGGGAGAAAGGGGTGGGGCAGGGTGTGGTCCGAGGGAAGGAGTCAGACCCAGACACGGCTGGGCATCTGCTCCAAGACAGGGAGAGCAGAATAGGCTTAGTGAGGCAACTGAGGCCCTGGGGAGAGGGGAGCAGCAAGAATCTCATGCATGAGTCGAATCTTGGCCAAAGGGTGGACTTTGAGGGGCTGGGTTTAAATTAGAATCAGGGCCCTCCACTGGCTGGGAAGAGCTGCCCTCCCTGGCCCTGGAGTTTTGGTCACCCAGTCCAGGTCTGGGGAGCCACACTCAGAAGGCTCAAATGCCAAGAGGAATAGCAGGTTGTTCGGAGGGTGGGCTTGGCAGCCAAGTCAGCCTCCTTTTAGAGTCTGCAGCTCAGAGAAGTGAGTCTTGATCTCTTCGCACAGGGCATTGGTCTGTCACCTTCTATCTGGAAGTCTCAAGCTCTGTGTCCAGAGGCACTGCTCACTATTGGCATTTCCAGGGCCAACTGAAATCACATCTCAAGTTCCCTGGAGCCTGTACCGAGGGGCCCCCGTGAAAAGGCATTTGTCCCAGGGGCTAAGCATCAAATGGATAACCATTTTGTTCCATTTCACACTCTAATTTTTCTTGAGTGGACCTGTATTTTGCTATTTTCTTTCCATATCTCACCTCCTTTTACTCTTTCCCATTTCCACGGCTGGTTACCACTCTTACCAATTTATACATTTCATTAATATATTAGTTCTATCCTCTTCTCAGTCATTAATAAAGATGTTAAATAATCCTGAACCGAATACTCACTCCTGTAGGGCCCTACAGGACTCTTTCCTTTAATTAGTTGTGCTACCTTTCATCTATCTAATGTCCTTCGGTTTCAGATTTCCAGCTGGTTTTGAATCCATGTGACTTTTTATCTAGTCCTGTTTGAACTAATTTCATGAGTGAAAATCCGAGAGATGTTTTACTGAGTGTTGATTCAGGTCCAGGCCTACAGAGAGTTTGCTATATTCAGATTTTTTTTTAACAGATTAATAGAGTACAATTTGGCCTTAATAAACTGAGCCCTCCTAATGCACCTCTTTCCAATATTCTTTTCAATCATAGCAGTATTTTCTCCATTAATGTCATGGTAATTTGAATTGTGTTGACGTCAGACTTCACAAAAGGTACTCTTACTGTCAGAAGTAATCCTCTTAGACCTTTTGAAAGATAACTATTTCTTAGTGGTTGTGCTATTTCCAATATCCTATAATGACTTAGTTAAAAATAAAAAATAAAAAGGATCGGGTATTCTATAAATCTCCTAATTAACCAGCTTCTAATGTGCTTTCTTATACAAAACAGGGACTGAAAGCCAGAGCTCATAGTAGTTTATTAAATAAGTTCAAATTGTGCAGCCATTTAAAAATAACCCTGAAGTCTTTAAAACGTAACCTACAGGAAGCACACTATTCTGAGGTTAATTGCTGGACAACATAGGGCTGTGACGGTTATAGTCAACGGTATTTTGATTTGAATACATAGAAATCCTTGGACATAGAGTGAGGGAGGAATCCCACGATAGGGCTCTAAGAATTTGTCTCTTTGTATTGAGCTCAATTATGTTTTACAATTAACTCCCTCTAAAATGCATAAGCTTATAGGGCTGGCTACTATATGCCAGGTTTTATGAATTAACTCTTGATGAAAATACAAAAATTGATCTAAAATATTGAATGTGTAGAACCTTTATGGGGAAATGATTCTTTGCTCTTTTGTCTGTACTGGATTTTTCAAAATCTTTATTGGTAAAAAGAAAGAATGTATTTCTAAGAATTGTTGCAACCATACAGGGCAGCCATGGAGCTGACTCTACATTTTGTTTTAAAAATGTTGTTTTATACCTGCACTATTTATTTAGGAGGGTCCTCTTGGTAGCTCTTTAACCCATTTATTAAGATTAGAAGAGGTTCCACCAGCAAACAAAAGACAACTAATCTGAGTCTGTTTAAAAGCAGACTGAAGCACCCACTTTCACAAGACAGGCCAGGGCTGGATTCCATCCTAGATGGCCAAGAGAACCCTCTCTAAACAATAGGGGTTTAAAATGTTTTTGAAGTAGCAAGGCGGTCTCCACTCAGGGAAATAAAAAGTTAATAAGATGATGTGGCAAGTCCTCTGATGGTGTTCGTAGAGCCATTTAAGGAGCAAAATATAACTTCCTTAAAAAATCTTTTTTACATTAGTTGTAAGGCTCTCTTTATCCTCTGCAGAGAATGGAGAAGAAGCATTTACTTGGCATGTTTGAAAATTTTGCTTGAGCAGACATCAACAGTATAAATATAAGAAGCAGGAAGGACTATCTAGAAAGAAAAGAAACCTGGGAATCATAGTTGACTTGGATGTAAACGTGAGTCTGCAATGAGGTTTACATAAAAAAAGAAAAAAAATTCTATCTTGCTCCCCTAAGAAGACAGTGGACTCCTCTAGAGCAGAGGTCGGCAAATGTTTTCTACAAAGAGCCAAGACAGTAAATATTTTAGGCTTTGCGGGCCGTATGGTCTCTGCTGCAGCTACTCCACTCGACTGCTGCAGTGCAACAGCAGCCAGAGACACTACCCAGACGAATATTTATGGGTGCTGAAATTTGAATTTCATGTGTTTTTATATGTCATGAAATATTATTCTTCTTTTGACATTTTGTCATGGCCCATACAAAAGCAGGTAGCGGGCAGGATCTGGCCCACAGACTATAGTTTGCCAACTCCTGATCTAGTGCACACATAGATCATGTGTCCCCCACAATATCTGGCCTAAGGACCCTGTAGGTGCTCAATAAACACTTGTTCTCTTAGCTGTCACCACGTAAGAGCGAAGAGTAAGCCTTTTGCTATATAACACACACTTGACATTTGCAAGAGATTTATCTTGAAGGCTTTGCTAATCCCCCCATTCCAAGTACCACTCTAGCAGATAATTTCCCCCATAAAATGCAGTCAAGTATAACAGAATAATTAAAGTGACCCTTTCAGGCCCTTAGTGATTCTATTAATACAGGGCTAACGTCCTTCACAAAGTGATTAAAATAAATTCTGCTACCAAAATCAATTCTGTGTCATGTTACATCATTGCTGTGATGACATTAACAATGAATTTACCTCAATCTGCAAAACCAGTCCAAAGCGCTGATGAGTGATGGGGACGACTGTGCCGTGTAGCACCTGTGTGTGCTGGGGAGCAGAATGAGAAAATGTCTGTTTGAGCAGGATGGGCAGCCCCTGTAGCCCAGCAATGCCACCCCAATGAGTGTTCCATGTACAAAGGAGCAGAGGATACTCAATTGCTTCAAGAAGCAGGTGTTAGGCAGGTGTTGGACATCACGGAGTTCTCCCAGTGGCTCAGGGGCTTCTTCCTGGACTCGGTCCTCCAAGTGGATGCACTCAGCATTTAGAATTTCACCAAACGTCATGTGATTAAGCATCTCTGGACTTTGGGGTCATTTTCAAATATCAAGACTGAGTATATTCTGCGATGGTAGAGGATATAGGGGAAAAAAGAGTGTGAGTATGATGTTCACTCTTGCTGAAGTTCTGCTGGACTTTATATTGGGTAGAATCTTAGAATCTTATGTCCTGTTTTGGTCACCGTATTATAGAAGAATACAGACTTGCTGAAAATGGTCTACAAAAGAACAGTGAAATTATCAGAATGATAGACAGTAGCATCTGTAACATAAAAGTGAAAGAACTCAGGATTGTTTTATCTTGAAAAGGGAAAATGATTCTTGCTATCAAATAAAGGGCTTTTTTTTTAAAGGGAGAATTTGATTAGATATCACAAATGGAGAAGTAAGGTGGCATTCACCTATATGGTATGAAGCTAGGTAGCAAGGGACTCCAAGGGACATGTTCTTGACCTTAGGCCTGATAAAGTCTATTGAAACTGGGTAGCAAGAAGGAGGTTGTGGTATCTACAAACCTTGGTTGGCCACAGTGGTTTAGACATCCAACTACTTGATAGTAGGTGACTGAACAGGTTGATTTCTTGAGGTTTTTCCCCCTGCAGTATCCTCCTGGATTCAAATAGCCTCACTGTAACAAAAATATGACTGCTTTCTTGGGAACTGAATTTATCTGGAATGACATTTATTTCAACTTAACGATGAGTCTGTCATTGGCCTACGGTCAATGGACTCTCTTTCTTTTCCTTGATTTTGCTTACATTGTGAGCCTCCAGAGGCTGTAAGGCAGTAAACATTTTCAAAACTCTAGTGATACCTCACTCTTCAGACAGAATATCAGACTTTTCAACTGTATTTTCAACTGTCTTGTGAGACAAAGACTAATTGGTTTGACCTCATGCTGTCACATGTTGAGAGACATGAATCTGCAGCCCTCTTCCTTGAATTCATTGATTTCATTAAACACTGTCTGCTTGTGTTCGCAAAATGTTGTAATTTCCCAGTGATTTCTTCGAACTGCAGCGTATAAACAGATTTTTTTGGAGCGATGCCATTTCTTAGCTTTGATCTCCTGTTTTAATCTTTTCTTTCCAATAGGTCTTCTACATTAAGTCCATTGAGCCACAGAAAGTATCGACATTAGGGAAAAGCAACGTGATAGTAACGGGAGCAAACTTTACCCGGGCATCGAACATCACAATGATCCTGAAAGGAACCAGTACCTGTGATAAGGATGTGTGAGTCGAAATACTAATAATTTATCCTCGGTAACGTAACGCTCAAACCTGTGCCAAAGGAATATCAGTGTGATTATAACCTTAATATAGTCAAATTATTGCCATGCCCCAAAGCAGGCCAATTAGTCAGAGTATTTGACATAATATAATTCCAACACGTAAAATAATTTTCACAACAGATCTGAAGTTCATTGTGAGAGAATCTGTTCTGTGTTATTCCCCAAAAATCTCAGTATATAGTCATTTCAGGATGTTGCCTGTTTGGGGTCTTGATTCATTTTCAGTAACAAAATCAAGTATATGGAGTAGCAAACATCATTCTTTAGGTGATGCACTTGGAAAAATAGTTGAGTACCTTGAAATTTGATGAGGAATTTTTTGGAGCAGCTCTTCCAGTGTGCCACCCAAAGTTGAAAAAACAAAACCTCTTGGATCCATTTTATGTGGACATTTTATTCTTTGTAGCCTTCTCTTTACTGGTTTGGTTTCAGCCTCCAAAAATTAAATTACTACTACATATAATGGTAGTAAAAAAGAACACCCCAACATAAATATCTGGTCAATGTATCTCTTGAACATTATTATTTCTGTCACTTCTTTCCCAAACTCATCACATCGGTGAAACTTGGAGAAAGACTTTTCAATTTCTACCGATGTCCTTGTGCAAATGGTTACTCCCCCTTCGAAAAAAAAAAAGTGATGTGATAACTGCAGTTATTAAATAACACAACAGATTATTTGAGTTTTCTGCTTGTTAACTCATATAAGTTTGGGCTAATTTGAAGTAAAAGATGTTACAGTCTACATAGAGTATAATACTAAGCTTATTTTCATCATGGAAATGCATTTAAGACAATCTGCTGAAGCGTGATGTTTTGATTTTTAACTACTAAAACAGATTTGTACAGCATTCTAATCTGCTATGCTTATTTACTGAATTTTCTTCTTTAATTCATTTTCTGCACATCACTGCCATGCCCTTCCCCTCATAGCAGTAAATTTGGAATATCTGTGATCTTGATGAGAAAAGCTGCTCATTGGTGGCTTGCCTGTGTTCTGCTATTTGCCAGAATTATCAAGCACACATTAGAGGCTGTATCTATGCAACATAGGTTTTTTTGTGCTGTTTATCCTGGCTAAATACCTTATTGCAAAAATCTTTCATTTTATGTAGCGAAATCTGTGAAGTTAGACACCTGTGTATTCACTGAAAGGCAATCAACTTCATGGAAAATAAGTAGTTTTTCGGAGCATTACCCTGTTTCTGACTCTTTATGTTCTCATTTTAATTCCGAATGTGTCTTGAGATACTGCAGTTATTAAATTAAATGACTAGGAGACCTTTCTGCATGTCGCATTTCAGTAACCACATCTGTGTGGTGAAGCCAAGTTCACAAGCAGTCAACATAATACTCAGTTAATCCTATACCTGAGCCCAGGCTGTAATCCCAAGCTCTTTTAATATGGTACTTTTAAAATGGGTAATTATTTTAAAGAGAAAAATACTAGTAGTGGAATGACCTACATTTTCACCTCTCTTCTTCTGAAATTTATAAACAAGTTTGAATTTTAATGTTCAACCACTTTATGATAAATTTCCTAGAGCTTTGCTCTGAATATAAACCTGAAAATGTGCGTCTGAGGTGGCGTAAGTACAAACTGACTCAGATGTTTTTGAATTTGCCTTATCCTAAAGGGTTAGTGATAGCATTAAAGTTAATCATCATGCACATGGCCTTTAAGTAGTAATAACAGATTCTCATGTAGCACGGTTATACTGAGCATTATTCAGACACAACCCAGGCTTAATGATTTGTGCTTTAGAGGATCATTGTAGACACACAGAGGAAGCTGCAGGTGACAGCGGGAATGTCGGAGAAAGCTTCGCTCTGACTCTGAAAGGGCGCCAAGCATCAGCTGTTGGACATCAGGAGCACCCTGGACAGCCCCAGCTAAGTCCCAGCCTGGATACTCCTTAGGGAGCATGTTGGCCCCAATGCTGATTGATTCTGAGATGCCTGGGCTCTTGGTTTAGGCCCCCTTTGAACAGCAGAATTTCCATCTCTGTCTGGTGCTGTGTTTTACCCTCTCAGTGCTTGACTAGGGCTTTTTTTCTTAAGCTTTTTATTATGGAAACTCAAACATAATACAAGAGAGATGAGTGTAATGAACCTCTCTGTAGCCATTCCCGGTTTCAAAGCCTATCAACATTTTGCCAATCTTGCTTCATCTATCTTATCTGGGATTTTTGGGGGGGCATGATAAGAACCAAACACCATATCCTTCACTGCTAAATACTTCAGTACCTCTCTAACAGATAAGCCATAGTGCCATTATGATACTCAACAGAATTATCCACAATTCTTAACATAATGTAACCCCCAGTTCATGTTCTGCTTTCTATTAGTACTTCTTCAGGGCAATGGTTACACCTCCTTCCTTTCCCACTTCTAAGGGCAATGCAAATAAGAAAGATAAAAATGTACTAAAGAAAGAGGAACCCAACCCCTAATAATACCAACTTGGGTCACTGGCCCCTCATGAGTCAGTAGTTGCCTGCAGCTGTTCTGCTCCTTCATGAAGTGTTGTAGTTCAAGTGAAATTCATTTGCTGTCACCTTGGGTAATCAACTGTGCTAAGTGTCTGTGTCATGTGAGAGTTCTTTTTCTACTCTTTTCTAGGATACAGGTTAGCCATGTGCTAAATGACACCCACATGAAATTCTCTCTTCCATCAAGCCGGAAAGAAATGAAGGATGTGTGTATCCAGTTTGATGGTGGGAACTGCTCTTCTGTGGGATCCTTATCCTACATTGCTCTGCCACATTGTTCCCTTATATTTCCTGCTACCACCTGGATCAGGTACTTTCTAGATTCATAATCTTTTTCTCATTGTGGTTAAAGGTCATATGCCCAAAGATCATTGATTTTATTCAAGTAAATTCAGAAACAGTGGTCATTCCAAATTCCTCTCACCGAGTTCTCCTTAGGATTTACTCCTAGAAAAATGCATACCTGACAAGACATTTGCTTCCCATGCTCATCGTGAATGCTATGAGCACACCTTTTTCCCTTCACCATGGCTGCTGAGAAACTCACAGCTGAAATGTTTGCCTAGGTTTTTGATATAGATATATGACACTCTTTACTATGTGTCCCTCCTGCTTGTGATAAAAGGCTTCTTTCTTACCTCTTTCATTTTATAGACTTTAGATACTTTAAGCTGTTTTGAATTCTTTGGGGGAAATATTGGGAGCTATCAAAATGAAAAGCAGAATCAACCTTTTCAAGATGTTCCCTAAGGGGGAGATGGAAACCCCAAAATAAACTCTCCCAGATAAATCCAATATGTTAAGAAAAACATTTATCTCCCTAGTTGAATTTTTAAATTTATTACTATTATGTATTTTTTGCATTTTCATGGGTACATAATACTTGTACATGTTTATGGGACACGTGATGTTTTTTCTATGATCATACAGTGAATATGTAATCATCAAATCAGGGTAATTGGAGTATCCATCACCTCAAGCACTTATCATTTCTTTCTGTTAGGAACATTCCAATTCCACTCTTCTAGCTATTTTTAAATATGCAATAAATTATTGTGAGTTATAGACACCCTACTATGCTACTGAACACTAGATCTTATTCTATCTCATTGTATTTTTGTAGCCATTAACCAAACCCTCTTTATCCCTCTCTGGCCCCGCCACACCACCCTTCCCAGCCTCTGATACCCATAATTCTACTCTCTATCTCCATTAGACCAACTTTCTCAGCTCCCACATATGGGTGAGAACCTGCAATATTTGTCTTTCTGTGCCTGGCTTATTTCACTTAACATAATGTCCTGCAGTTCCATCTGTGTTGTTGCAAATGACAGGATCTCATTCTTTTTTGTATGCTGAATAATACTCCATTGTGTATAGGTACCACATTTTCTTTATCCTCTAATCTGTTGATGGACACTTAGGTTGAGTCCCTATCTTGGTTATTGTGAAGAATGCTGTAATAAAGATTCCTCCTAGTTGAATTTAAATTCACTTTCATAATATTTTTATTCCTAAATCTCTTTAGGACTAAAATCCTAACGATATTTTCTTTGCCTGACACAGTACGAAGCTAATTTTCAAAGTACTCTCTAGGTAAACCTACAGACAAAAAGCTTTGTTAAAAAAAAAAAAGAAGAAGAAGAAGAAGAAAAGGAGGGGAAGAGAAAGAGGAAAAAAAGTAGAGAAGAAAAAAATCACTTTTAATATTCTTATTTAAGATCAAGTGAGAGGTGGCTATATTAGTTTGCTAGGGTGGACATAAAGTGCCACAGCGTTTGTGGCTTAAACAACAGAAATTTCTTTCTCCCCGGTTCTGGAGGCTGAAATCATGGTGTTGGTAAGATTGGTTTCTCCTGAGGCCCTTACACCTTGGCTTGTAGATGGTCATCTTCTCTCTATGTCTTCACGTGGTCTTCCCTCTGTATCTCTGTCCTAATCTCCCCAATTTTTTTTTTTTTTTTTTTTTTTTTTGTGACAGTCTCACTCTGTCACCCAGGCTGGAGTGCAGTGGCGCAATCTTGGCTCACTGCAACCTCCGCCTCCCAGATTCAAGTGATTCTCCTGCCTCAGCCTCTCTAGTAGCTGGGATAATCTCCCCTTTTTATAAGGACATCGGTCATGTTGGATTAGGGCCCACCCCAATGACTTCGTTTAACCTTCCTTACCTCTTTAACCACCCACGTCTCTAAATACAGTCCCATTCTGAGGCACTGGGAGTTAGGGCTTCAACATACATTTTATGGGGACACATTTTTTGGGGACACAGTTCAGTCCATAATAGTAAGATAAGGAGAACTGAAATTTCAAAACCAAGGCTCTAGCATGACATCCCCCACTCTAGGACCAATTCCATTCTCCATATAAAAGGAGACATTGATGTGGCATGCCCCATGTGCCTGGTGTGTTCATCTATTGACTAGGTTAATCCTCACAACAAATTTATGAGATCTGCTATGGCTTGTCCCTTTTGCAAATGAGGGAACTGGGGGAGGAAAAGGGTTCAAACAACTCACCCCAGCCTCCCAGACAGCTGGTACTAGGAGGTTGGGCTCTGAGCCACAGCAGTATCCTGCTTTGCTATAAAGTAAGAGGCTCCCTACTGTTCTGTCACCTGCGACATTCTGAGCCTGTGTGTCTTGGCTGCTCCTTGGTCACTGTGCCTTGAGCAAGAATGTGGCTCTAAATGCTGGCCATCGGGAGATCACGCTTGGCTCGGTTTTCTGGTAATGGCTACAGACTGGCATGAGGCCAACTCAGCCCTTCCCCATTGTGGCTGGAGGATTCAGAGATCAGTGTCTTCTCTCTGCCCTACACAAATTGGGTTGCTCAGGCCCACCTCCTGGTCTTGTCATCAGGGGCTCAGCTGGCTGTTGGACCTGACGTACCCAGGCTCTTGTCCCCTAGAATGAGTGTCTGGTGACCTACGTGAACAGGGGTGCAAGGGCAGACAGAGCTGTGGACAGCTGTTTCTTTCACACCCAGTGACCGCTTTGCTTATATGCACTGAGAAACGTGAAGTTATTTGGCCTGGTTTTAGAGAGATGGAATGCAGCTGTTATTTATACGGCGTACCAAATAGGAATTTACACTTTGCATGTCATCTGTAATTCTACCTTGCCCAAAGTGTTTCCTGTCTCTCTAAATAACATACCATTGGTAGGTTAGGAGTTTGATTTTGAAAATTCTTAGATTGAAGTCTCTTTATATAGATTAAACAGTAATCAAACAAAATTCTGTTTAGTGAAACCTTTTCAAGGTACAGCTCCTGATCTGATTATATGTGGCGATATGACACAAACAAAATTCAAATTCCATCAAAGAATCTGGGCATTTTCCTAGAATTAAAATAGGATCTGACCTGAATTTTTATATTTATGCATCTTGAAACCCATGAATTTGTGGCTGGTATCCTGAAAAGATTCCCAAAATTGTCCTGTATTTGAAATTAAAATTCATTAATTTGCTCTCAAACATAATTGGGTTTAATATTAAACATGAATAAATTGATAGCTTTGTTCATAAATGCAAAATGCCTGTGTGTTAGCTATGAAACCCTTATTGTTGCTTTTATTCCTTGCAGTGGTGGTCAAAATATAACCATGATGGGCAGAAATTTTGATGTAATTGACAACTTAATCATTTCACATGAATTAAAAGGAAACATAAATGTAAGTCTCCAGCTGCTTTGTAATAATAGTTGTTTTCAAGGATGGTTCTATTTTCATCACACTATGCTATGTTGGGGGTATTTTTTGTTTCTGTGACTTTGGTGTTATAAACTTTTACCTATGCTATCATATATTCTATCCATGCTAGAATGGAAATAATAAGACCTTATCCTTGTAGCTGAGTATTTCTAGTTGCAGCAATGAGGAAAGAGAAATGAACTTGGTACGATAAGACCTGACATTTTCTTTTTATGTGATTTGTGGCAAGTCACCCTAATGAGGCAATGCTTATGAATATGTGTGAAAATGCTCCGTGAATGGTTAAGGTGTGATATAAAGAATTGCATTTCTGTGAAGAGTAGGTGGTATTGTTCCCATTGCACAGAGAGAGTTGGGTTCACAGAGGTTAGATGACTTGCCAAGGTCCCAGAAATCTTGTCATGTGCTTCTCCTTCTCTTCGACCCAATTTGTTCCCTACCATCTGATGTCACCTTCTCTTACCTTTCGTCTCCCCACAGGAGAAATGGTAGGAGGGGTCTGGTTTCCACCTTTGCCCGATTCTCCCACTGGTGCCTCCAGATGGGGATCCTCTAGAGCAGGGGTGTCAACCTTTTGGCTTCCTGTGGCCACATTGGAAGAAGAATTGTCTTGGGCCACACATAAGATACACCAACACTAACGATAGCTAATGAGCTAAAAAATGGTTTGTGCATAATTTCCGTGATATCCACCACCACAGATAAGCAAAAAAGTCCTCACATTCAAAAGGCTGGACACGGCTGCTCTAGATGGAAGCTTCTGATGCCAAGAGGGGAGATGAGGGATTTCACATACAAGTCAGGCCTCCAAGTGTACTTGCACACACTTCTAAATATCCTTCCCCATTCTTTCTTCCCCTTTTTCCCTCTCCTTGATGAGATATGTGAGGTGGCTGCCTCTCTGGGGCCCTGCCTGACCACTTCCTGCCAAGGCTGACACACTCCCTCCTCAGGAGCAGTGTGGGTTCAGACCCAAATTCCGGGGGCCGCCTGATAGGCCGTCCTTACAGCCTTGTGGTGCACACATTCACCTGCTGACACAGTTCAGAGCCACTTCCAAGCCTCACACTGTATCTGACTCCAGGCCTCATCTCCATGGTGTGAACACCTCCAGTTGAATGGCTCGTATAGTTTGACCCTCTGAGCAGAGGCATTACCTGAGTTTGTCACGGACTTGCTCTCCCTCCTACTTGCTGTTCCCAAATCAAGTTGAATTTTTTGAGCACCTACTGCAGGCAAAACATTTTGCTGGGTGCAGGGACAAAAGATAAGTGAGATAGTCATATTGCCTTCATGGAGGCAGGCAGCAAATCTACATTGGGATTGAAAGTTGAGGCTGGGTGTGGTGGCTCACGATTATAATCCCAGCACTTTGGGAGGCCAAGGCGGGAAGACTGCTTGAGGCCAGGAGTTCGAGACCAGCCTAGGCAACATAGTGAGACCCCCATCTCTATAAAATAAAAATTAAAAAAGTTGACAGCACAGAGTATCATCAGGTTCTAGGTCCTCTGGTTCCCTAACTGTTCAGAAACCCTGTGAGTCCAAGAAGACACCATTTCTTTTCACATTAAAGAGAAATTAAACATGCATGGGATTAAGTACGCCTGCAGTATGGAGTGGGGTGGGTGGAAGCAGGGAGGTGAGTTCAGGTACAGAGGACAGAGTCCTCGCAGGCCCGTGCTGGGAACATCACTCAATCCTGCTTAGTGGGAACCTAGAGGGTGGGTCTGGAATGACCAAGAGCGATAGCTGTAAAACTGAGCTGGGGCCACAAAAAGCAGCGTCAGACTGAAAACTTTGCCCTTAATTCTGTAGGCAGCAGGGAGCCACTGAAGATCTCTGAGCAGGAAGTGACATAGGTCTAGGTACACTGGACTCACACTGGACCGAGACAATTAGTGACAATGAAAGCAGTCAGAAGGTTACCAATGGGAAAAGAGACTATGCAGAAAGCAGTAGACTAGGGAAAGGGGAGGATTCTGACCCAAAAGGCTTCGGTGTCCTGTCTTGAGTCCTGGGAAACCACGAGAAAAGAAGAGAGTGTCCAACCCCCAGCAGGGGCCAGCTCCTGAAGTGCTTGTTGCCGCTGAATCACTCTTTGTTGGGGAACCTCCTGCAGGGCGGTTATTATTTTGGCAATGGTGCACAGCTGAGTTTGGAGAGGCAGGAACTGAAGAAAGGCTGGGAGCCCAGTGAGGATGCTCATGCCAGTGCAGGTGTGTCTGAGACGTCCACAGTCTCTCTGGGCTGACAGTAGCTCCCTTTGGGCTGTGGTTAGCAGAGCAGGTCTCAAGTGCTGGGGCATCGTGAAGCTAGAGATGACCAGCTTGTCTTTATAGCAGTATCGTTGAAGGGAGAGTGGGGGTGACATCATGGGAGTGAGAGCACAGAGGAGGAAGAAAAGAGCACCTAGGACTGGTGGCAAAGCTTCATTTTAAGGAATGACAGACAGTAGGATGGGCCGTGAAGGTGGCCGAGAAGGTGCTCAGAAACCAGTGAAAAAGAGTAAATCGCATGGCGCGAGTTTGTCACGAGTATGGAACTGTAGAGTCTTGAGGATAATAGGGTTGGGTGATCCTCTCACCTGCAATCCTTCTAGAAGGCATCTTCAGTAAAAAGCCAGCCTGCTAGGAGTTAAGGCTGCTGAGGCAGTAGAGACAGTGGTTTTCATCCTGAGGACAGAAATGTGAGCAGGAGATTCAGGGCTATAGTTTGGAAAGATGTGAAGGGAAAGGAAGGTTGTGCTTGTCCAAATCTCAGCTCTTTACATCATATTTTCCCACCAATTGCCTCTTCCTATTGTCTTTTTTATGCTCTAGTATCAGGGGGTGGCGGGGGTGGGGGAAAAATAGTTTTTCCCACCTGATAAATTTCTTTTTATGAGTTATAATTGCTTTTCTGTAGAATGTTTGCCATCCTCCCCTAACCCACCAGCCTCCTCTGCCTGTCCTTCTGTACACCTAAACAGGACAATATATTTATGTTATGTATTTACTAACTTTTTAAATTTTATTTTTTATATATATAGAGAGAGACAGGGTCTCACTGTGTTACCCAGGCTGATCTCCAACTCCCGGGCTCACGTAACCCTCCTCCCTCCGTTTCCCACAGCGCTGGGATTACAGGCGTGAGCCACTACGCCCAGCCTATTTATGTGTTGTTGTTTTTTTTTAATCCTGTAAATCAGGCCACCTTTTTTGCATTGTTTTCAGTTTTCATGCTCTTCATTTCATGGGAGATGCATTGTTCCTTTTACTTTTGTTTTCTCCTGTTTTCTGTTATGCCTGAAAACCCTTGTCCTCCTTGTGTCTAGTGACTTCTGCTAAGGCCCTGCAGGAGGTTCCCCCAACAAAGGGTGATTCAGCTGCAACAAGCGCTTCAGGAGCTGGCCCTTGCTGAGAGTTGGACACTTTTCTTTTCTCGTGGTTTCCCAGGGCTCAGACAGGCTGACCCCAAGGACACCTAAGCCCCTTGGGTCAGAATCTTCCCCTTTCCCTAGCCTACTGCTTTCAGCCTAGTCTCTTTTCCCATGGCATAACCTTCCAGCTGCTTTCATTGTCACTCATGATATTAATCATAATATTAACTAGCATGTTTTGAGTGCTTACTGTGTGCCGGGCCCTGATCTAAGCATGTATAATCTCAGTTAACGTAGCCCTCATTTAATGTAATGTAGGGTGAAGTCAATCCTGTGAGGGAGGTAGTTTTGCTGTCTCCATATTACACATGAGAAAACAGAAGCACCAAGAAGTTAAGTTGCTCAGGTCACTTAGCTCTTAGAGATCACAGCTGGGATTCGTTAACAAAGTTACTAAAACATTCTTTTCTTTTTGTCCAGGTCTCTGAATATTGTGTGGCGACTTACTGCGGGTTTTTAGCCCCCAGTTTAAAGAGTTCAAAAGTGCGCACGAATGTCACTGTGAAGCTGAGAGTACAAGACACCTACTTGGATTGTGGAACCCTGCAGTATCGGGAGGACCCCAGATTCACGGGGTATCGGGTGGAATCCGAGGTGGACACAGAACTGGAAGTGAAAATTCAAGTATGTTTCTTTTCTTTCTGGGTGGGATGTCACCCCGACCCCTTGACTGGAAAGGTGTGTTTATGCTCGTGAGTTTCTACATGTGCTCTGATTTCTCCATCTTCATTTTGTTCTTTACAGAAAGAAAATGACAACTTCAACATTTCCAAAAAAGACATTGAAATTACTCTCTTCCATGGGGAAAATGGGCAATTAAATTGCAGTTTTGAAAATATTACTAGAAATCAAGATCTTACCACCATCCTTTGCAAAATTAAAGGCATCAAGACTGCAAGCACCATTGCCAACTCTTCTAAGAAAGTTCGGGTAAGTGACCTGGCAGTCCCACCTGCTGTCTTTACCTGATTTTTGTGATAATTCCTTGGCTAAACCAGAGGCCAGAATGGAATCTTTCATGGATCTTCAGATCCTCACTTTAAATAGAAGATAAACAAAGCTGGTACTGCGAGCCCAAGCAAAATAGCTCCAAAATAGCTGGCTGAATCCATCCCTGTGCCTGTTCGAACGTCAAAGCGTTGGACACACCATTGTCTATAATCCTAATGAGTCTTGATAGCTTTTGTTCTAGCCACACATTTATACAGTAGGATCGGCAAGCAAAATCTCTAGACCCATTGACAAATGAGCTGTCACTCTTTTCTCAAATGCGGAGGTGACATGTCTTAGCAGAAACCCAAAACAAACAAGGGCCTCTTCAGCACACTCTGGGTAGCATTAGAATCAGATGGAGACCAGATAATCTCTGGGTCATGGGCTGCTTCCTTCACCATGAAGTCATACTTTCTGCGATTAATCTTTTCCCAGATATGTTTGGGGGACGGATCACTGCTATATTTATATCCCATAATAAAGATGTGAGACCACTGAGAAGGGAAACACATTAGAAGTCACCCTTTATAGTATTCATGCCGTATGAGGCTCTGTACAGCCTATATAAATTCTTCTTGATCTATCATCATAAATAATTGGATAAAAGACAATGCAAAAGAACTTCAGACTGGAAGGCAACAACAAAAATGTGTTCATGTCCCACTGGCACCAGTTAATAGCTCTGTGGCCTTAGGTAAATCACTTGAGTTTCCTGAGCCTCTCTTAGTCCATCTGTATGATAAATGGGGTTAATAATAAGTTTTATTTGTTTTTTTAGACAGAGTCTCACTTTGTTACCCAGGCAGGAGTACAGTGGCACGATCTTGGCTTACAGCAACCTCCGCTTCCCAGTTTTAAGCAATTCTCATGCCTCAGTCACCCAAGTAGCTGGGATTACAGGTGCGCACCACCACACCTGGCTAGTTTTTTCTATTTTTAGTAGAGACGGAGTTTCACTGTGTTGGGCTGGCTGGTCCCAAACTCCTTGCCTCAAGTGATCTGCCTGCCTCGGCCTCCCAAAGTGCTGGCATTACAGGTGTGAGCTACCGCGCCCAGCCAATAGTAAGTTTTAAGTCAGGAATAACAACTAGGCTGGGAGAGACAACTCAAGCCTATAATGCCAGCACTTTGGGAAGCCAAAGCAGGAGGATCACTTGAGCCTCTAGAAGTCTGGGCAACACAGTAAGACCCTGTCTCAAAAAAAAATAAGGAACAACAACTCAACTCACCAGTGTTCCCACCTTTCCTGTTAGTTGAGAAGAGCAAATGCTAACATTCTTCATCATTCATGACATAGCTCCTGAGAGCCTACGCTGTGATGGGGACAGACAGAGAATAAAACAGACAAAAACATCTGCCTTTATGGAGGTTCCCTAAAGAGACACAGCGTGAAGAATATAAATAAAAATTGTGTTACTTGGTGGCAGTTGCTATGGAGAAAAAAAGCACCAGTGTGGGGGGGTGGGGGGGTGGGAACAGGAGCAGGTAGGGGGGCCATGCTGCAGGTTTTGCAACGGTGGGCAGAAGAGGCCTGCTTGTGAAAGTGACATCTGTATAAGGAGGAGTGGGAACAAGCCATGGGCTATCTGGGGTAGAACGTTCTAGGCAGAGGGAGCAGAGGGAGCAGAGGTCCTGAGGCAGGAGGCTGCCTGGCATGTTTGAAGAGCAGCAAGGAGGCCAGTGTGACTGGAGTGGAGGGAGCAGAGCAGAGGCTTCTGAGGTTAGAGAGTTCATGGAGACAACAGGAGATGATTAGAACCTTGTGGACCATGGCAAGGGCTTGGCTTGTGGGCTGCAGAAGGCATGGGAGAGTTTTGAGGAGGGCGCCATGAGCTGACTTATTCAGATGACGTCATGAATTTAGTCAGGACAGCCTACCAAGAGGCACTCCCAACATCCCATTTCAGAGATGAGGAAAAAGAGGACTGGATGTGCATACCTAATTCAGGGTTCCATAGCTGAGAAACAGAGCAGGTGGCAGAGCTGGTATGGAGAGCTTCAGCTATCCGGGTCCAAATCCATCCTCCAGCTACTGTGCTCAGATGCCTCCACGGGGGCAGCATGAGTCCAAGGATGGAAACACGCCTTAATACTTGTATGTACATCAGTGAAATAATTAAGCTTCATGTAGAGTTTTTCCCTTGACAAGTTTCACAAAATATAACCCAAAAAAATGCTAAAACTGGAAAAATCCCTCAGGGATGATCTGATCAGCACTGCCAATCTGGTTTTTGCCACAGAATGTTTTATTCAAAATAGGATGCCAGGTACAGTGGCTCACACCTGTAATCCCAGCAGTTTGAGAGGCTGAGGTGGGAGGATCGCTTGAGTTCAGGAGTTCGAGACCAGACTGGGCAACATAGTGAGACCCCGTCTCTACAAAAAATTTAAAAATTAGCCAGGTGTGGTGGTGTGTACCGTAGCCCCAGCTACTTGGGAGGCTGAGGTGGGAGGATCACTTGAGCCCATGATGAGTTCAAGGCTACAGTGGGCTATGATCACACCACTGCACTCCAACCTGGGCAACAGAGCAAGACTTTGTCTCTAAAACAAAAACAAAATAAGCCTGCCTGTAAAAATGATAAAAATTGAGTTTCTTCCTTAGAATAAAGGGCAGGCAGGGGCTTCTTGCCTACAGGTTACTACTGCCTCTTTATTGCCCTCACTCCTGCAACTTAAAACCCCCAGAGCAAAGAGGGCCAAAATTAAGACTCTGAGGGTCTAGTCCAGCATGTGTCAACTGACATTTCAGGAAACTGAGGCACAGTGAATATTCTGGATTTGCCCAAGGACACATAGCTAATCTGCCACAGAAATGAGAGTTGAACTCAGATATCCTACCCAGCTCACTGCTTCTTTTTGTATTGTGAAGCCATTTTAGGGGGGAAATTATGTAAATAAATACAGTCCCCAACTCAATTGGGTCTAATGACATTCTTTGTCCCATCAGGTCAAGCTGGGAAACCTGGAGCTCTACGTCGAGCAGGAGTCAGTTCCTTCCACATGGTATTTTCTGATTGTGCTCCCTGTCTTGCTAGTGATTGTCATTTTTGGTAAGTGCCCTGTTTAATTTTGTCAGAGAAATTATTCCCTGGGGCCTCTCGCCGGGCAGGCAGACTTTCAGCTTTCAGGGGCTGTTTGCTTCAATTAAGTATAAATGGGTGAAAGCCCAAATCAAAACTTTGAGAAACGAATAATAGGTACACGCTGAGGGCTTTCTAAACATTTCTTTTGGCCAGGCGTGGTGGCTGATGCCTATAATCCCAGCACTTTGGGACACTGAGGCGGGCGGATCGCCTTGAGGTCAGGAGTTCAAGACCAGCCTGGCCAACATGGCAAAACCCCGTCTCTACTAAAAATACAAAAATTAGCCGGGCGTGATGGCAGGTGCCTGTAATCCCAGCTACTCAGGAGACTGAGGTAGGAAGAATTGCTTGAACCCGGGAGGCGGAGGTTGCAGTGAGCCGAGATCACACCACTGCACTCCAGCCTGGGTGACAGAGCAAGACTCCATCTCAAAAACAAACAAACAAAAAACAAAATTTTTTTTTAAAGGATGCTTCATTAATAGAAGGCTGGATTACACAGATGGTATCTTGGGATTTGAGGGATATAATCTACTTTGCTTCTCCATTCCTTCAAATTGTGGTGACAAATGTTCATTTATGTAATTCCCCAAGAACTTCTCTGGGATTTTGGGCTCCCAGGACTTGGTTATTTCATCTTGACCACCCCCCACCACCCATCACCCCAGCCTCATTTCAGTCTTGATTTTCTGGGCAGAACCACACTTTAGAAGTGTGGTCATGCCTGGGCACAGTGGCACACACCTGTAGTTCCAACACTTTGGGAGGCCAAGGAGGGAGGACGGCATAAGTCCAGGAGTTTGAGGTTACAGTGAGTTATGATCGTGCCACTGCATGCCAGCCTGGACAACAGAATGAGGCCCTGTGTCTAAAAAGTAAATGATTTTTTTTAATAGAAGTGTGATCTATGTCATCTCTTAAAGTGGTCCCGGGCCCATCCACACACAGTGAGCCCATGGTGGTTGCTCATTGGCCAAATCTGGTCCACCAATATATTTTGTTTTGCCGTGTAGCATTGTCTAAAACTATTAAGTAGCTTATAACATTTAAAAATTAGTGATTCACATTTGGAAACGTCTCTTGAAAATGTGAAAGATTTGGATCATTGGATCCCAAATTTCCATAGCATCAGTTTATTAGAGCTGAGTAGCAGCTACGCCCTAGAGAGAGGGAATGTGCTCCCTAGGTTTTGACCACAGTCGCCACCACTCCATATTGTCTCCACCTAGGCCATTTAACTCATCTATGTACCTGATATCTGTAGCCATTTCGTTTGTGACTCTGGTTCTGAGCTGCTTGTCATTTGAAGTCTATTTTCTCTCATCCTTCTTTGAAAAAGGAACTCTTATCCACCAACAAATAGCACTTTGGCTGGGCCCGGTGGCTCATGCCTGTAATCCCAGCACTTTGGGAGGCTGAGGCGGGTGGATCACGAGGTCAGCAGATCGAGACCATCCTGACCAACATGGTGAAACCCTGTCTCTACTAAAAATACAAAAATTAGCTGAGTGTGGTGGCACGTGCCTGTAATCCCAGCTACTCAGGAGGCTGAGGCAGGAAAATCATTTGAACCCGGGAGCTGGAGGTTGCAGTGAGCCGAGATCGTGCCACTGCACTCCCGCCTGGCCACAGAACAAGACTCCGTCTCAGAAAAAAAAAAAAAAAAAAAAAAAAAAAGCACTTTGTATTTCCTGATTTAACATAGGTATTGACTTTCTGAAATTTGACAGCTAGTACAGGCAGTTGCCAGTGTCTCCTTCTATACACTCATTTATTCACTCATTCATCCCTGCATCTATTTACCTTATGTTCATTGAGCACCTGTTATGTTGCTGATAACTGTGCAAGTCTCTGGAGCTAGAAAAAAATGAGCCTTTGCGTGCATGAGCCAGTGTTGCTCAAACTGAGGCCTGAGGAACAGTGGTCCCAAGTGACTGTCCTGGAAAAAGGGGTTCCATGGTCAAGTAAGTTTGGGAATCACTACATCATACTCCACCCTTTCTTAGACATGCACAATGCATGTTATTAAGACTGTTGACTTTATGAAGTAGTCCAGTGAAGAGCCATATTTGTTTCCTCCAGCATTATTGGTAGCAGAGCCCGTCTATTATGTAATTTCTTTTTTTTTTTTGAGAAAGGGTCTCACTTTTTTGCCCAGGCTGAGTGCAGTGGCACGATCACGGCTCACTGCAGCCTTGACCTCCTGGGCTCAAGTGGTCCTCCCACCTCGGCCTCCCAAGTAGCTGGGACTCCAGGCATGCACCATCGCACCCATCTAATTTTCTATTTTTTTGTAGAGACAGAAAAATATCTTTCTCTGTTGCCCAGGCTGATCTCAAACCCCTAGCCTCAAGGCATGCTCCCACCTCAGCCTCTCAAAGAGCTGGAATTACAGACGTAAGCCCCCGCACCTGGCTGTAATTTCTATAAGGAGGAGAAGCTTCCTAGAATAACAGTGGTTGATTGTTGAATACCTATACTTTTTTAAACAATACATTCTTAATGCTTTTTGTGAGTTACTTCTTATAATCCTCCCAGCATCACAGTGAGATAGGCACTCTTACAGAGAAGGCAGCCAGGCACAGAGATGCTGAGGAACTTAACCCAGGTCACATAGCTAGTAAATGGCAGAGCAAGGACATGAACCCAAGCACCAAACTGGGTTGGTTTATGGCCTCTGCAGCACAGTTAGAAGCAATATGGAGGTATGGGAGTTCCTTGTGGCTCGCTCATCATGTCACCCCATTAGCTCTATGCAGGTTTGGCCCATGTAGCCAACTGTGGATCTGCGGTTCCTTTCTACGTTTGCAGCACAACTTTATTTCTCCAGGGATGCTTACAAACATTCAAAAACAATGGAACAATGCAAGTGGCTGCAGCTGTGGGGAAGAAACTTGGCTTGTTTCATTACGTTTCAGCCAACTGGGATCTTTGGTTACAAGTGAAGGTTATTTGATTTAGCTTTCACTTGTAAAATGAGTAAGGTTTTGGTTTTTTTCTGCTGCATTTTGGCATCTTCCTCTTCAGAGTGACCCCTCACTGGGAAATTTTCTTATAAGATCCAGCTTTTTAATGCTATTTTCTAGTTTCATTCTAGCTCCTGCTCTCTGTCCCTATCTGTTTTGTTTTTGTTTTTGTTTTTAAGAACTGTAAAGATTGCTATTTGTTTTCATTTTTGGTTTTTGAGTTACCATGTCCCTCTGATGCAGCATCTCTGTCTCTTAGCGGCCGTGGGGGTGACCAGGCACAAATCGAAGGAGCTGAGTCGCAAACAGAGTCAACAACTAGAATTGCTGGAAAGCGAGCTCCGGAAAGAGATACGTGACGGTAGGCTCCAAAATTGTGTTTGTAGAAAAACAAGCCTTTTATATTTATACTTTTATTTTTTTACCCTTACATAGAGATGGCCACAGTAATGAGAACTGTTTGTATAATAGAAGGCAACGGAAGGGCAGGGCCTGGGCCTGGCTTTGTGTTTTATTTCAGCTCTTCTCTGCAGCCAACCAAGTCATTATCTATTGTTTCTTCTTTAATGAAAACCAAGGTCATACTCTGTGTTAGACAAAACAGCAGAAGATCCTATCCATTGTTTGTTGAGTTAAAATATTGCTCTTGGGATTCTGTTTTGCAGGCTTTGCTGAGCTGCAGATGGATAAATTGGATGTGGTTGATAGTTTTGGAACTGTTCCCTTCCTTGACTACAAACATTTTGCTCTGAGAACTTTCTTCCCTGAGGTAAAAGAGCATTGATCATATTCCGAAGGTTGAGTCTTGAATAATAATGAAGGTGCTTGTTGCTGTTGTCAAAACGAGTGTTTGCTTCCAAGGCAGCTATAATGTGCTTGGTACAAAAATAATGGCTTAAGTTTGAGCAGAGCAGGGAGGAGGGTAATTATTAATTGCATTGATTAGGGTATAAAACAGTGATGGGTCACTGGTGATTATTCTTTGCCCAGTAACAAAAACCTAGGAGGGACAGAAGCTCAGAGTGATGATTTTTGCTTTCTTTTACTCTCAATGTAGAACTGAATGTGTAGCTGGGAAGTGAGCTAGTTTATTTAAAAATCAATAAATTGTGAGCTAGCCAATTTGTTGTGTTTATCTGCATGACTTACATTGCAGTGACTAGATTATTCACTATTACTTCTCAATTGGAAAGGAAAAATACTACTGGTCAAAAGGGAGGAAAGTAGACATGGATGGAATTGGAGTTGAAAACAGGCATTTTTAGCCATGTAGAGTTCTTATGGTTCTCTTTGGTAGTTTTTCTTTAGCTGGTCAGTTTGTATTGTCCTCATTTAGTAGACGTAGATGCACGAACTGATTAATTCATTTGTTCTAGGGCTCTGAGGAGTCGTCTACTTAACCTTTTGGGTTGCTGGTCTTACCTATGTTCTCACGCCTCCATTTTCTCACCCACTCACTCAGCCTTCTCCATTTACCCTCCCAAGTCTTTGGCGAGGTACACTCATCCTGCGTATCATCACTGCCATGTCCTGATACCCCAGCTCTGCCATATTGCCCTTCTTTTTTGCGGTATGATGACCACATAGAGGCCCAACCTCTTAAACACATCAATACCAATGATCACATTTCAATCTAGACTTCTAAGCAACGGCTGAAATCTCTCCAGGCCAAAGGAGAGTTTGTATCACCTTACCAGAAGCTTCTCCGGAACAATTGGCCAGAAGCCTAGAGTTCAGAAACCCAGACACATGCAGTAAGCAATTTCCAGTTTCTCTATAATTTAGAAGAGGACACCATGATATGTAATGCGGGGTCTGGAGGTTGGAATGCCTCCATAAAACACCTGCCATATTTTTTGGTCCAAGCCTTAGTGTTATAAATCAAGAAGGCTGTAAATAAGACTTCAGCTTTTTGTGCTGGTGAAGTTTGTTTCCTTTAACTTATCCTCCAAGAGTACCGAGGCACCGAGATCTACCATTTGCCACCTCATCCATTTCTATGGCAGAACACCGCCTGGGGAAAGGAATTCGATTCCCCGAATCAGGATGACTGTGTGGGGCTTCTGCAAAGGTTGCATCACGAGTCCTATTTCTGAGCTATCTGAGATCCCCATTAAGAATTTAAAAGCAATAAAATAACGGAGATTTTTGACTATCAACATGAATGCTGTGTGGGCTTTTACAGTTAATGATTGCCCTTGAGTGCTGAATAATCTGTGGCCTGAAAAAAGAAATGTTCTTATCTTCTAAATTTGGTAATCAAGAACAAGATAGAGTAATGAATGTAAAGGAACACTGTTGCAAGTTGAGTGTTTCCAAAAAAAAAAAAAAAAAAAAGATCCCAGGAACAATGCTACCTTATTTTAGGAGAAGAGAGATAGTTGCAAAGGAGGCAAACTGATTTAACTCAGTGTTGTGTATAATCTTGAAAAACAACTGGGAAAGTCATAAAAATTGAAGTCAGAAGTTGTTTAAAGGAGAGAACCCAGGAAAAAACATGCATAAATTTGTCAGAACCCTTTCAAGAAGACCTAAGTCAAAACTGATTTTATAATAATTAAGAAAAGATAGAACAGGGAAACAGATCGTAAGAAGACAATGCCACTTAAATGCATTCCAGGCTGCAGATAAGTCCTGGTATTAATTAGGCTCTTTATGGATTGATCAGAAGCCGAATCCTCTAGGCCTGGAGGTTGGGGGCTGTGGGGGTAGGATTTGGGTGTTCAGCACCTACAAAAAAGCAACAGGCAAAATCCAGAGGAGATTGTAGGTTCTCAAAGGAGGCCAGGGTTCTTTGCTCTGCCTGTCGGTTTTGGCTTTTAAAGCCTTGCTTTTTATTTTATTGACTCTTCTTTGCTTTGCATAAAGTAGGAGAAGAAATAAGGGTAGGCAGAGGATCTAAGCTGAAGAAAAGGGAAATTTGAATGAAAGGAGGAAGCAGCCTTAAAACTCAGAGAGCCACGGGTCCAGGCGCGGTGGCTCAAGCCTGTAATCCCAGCACTTTGGGAGGCCGAGGCGGGTGGATCACTTGAGGTCAGGAGTTAGGGACCAGCCTGGCCAACATGGTGAAACCCCGTCTGTACTAAAAATACACAATTAGCCAGGCATGGTGGCGTGCACCTGTAATCCCAGCTACTCGGGAGGCTGAGGCAGAGAATTGCTTGAACCCGAGATCAAGACCATCCTGGCTAACACAGTGAAACCCCGTCTCTACTAAAAATACAAAAAAATTAGCCAGGCATGGTGGCGGGCGCCTGTAGTCCCAGCTACTCGGGAGGCTGAGGCAGGAGAATGGTGTGAACCTGGGAGGCGGAGCTTGCAGTGAGCCGAGATAGCGCCACACTGCACTCCAGCCTGGGCGACAGAGCGAGACTCTGTCTCAAAAAAAATAATAAATAAATAAAAAGAATTGCTTGAACCTGGGAGGCGGAGGTTGCAGTGAGCCGAGATCACGCCACTGCACTCCAGCCTGGGCGACAGAGGGAGATTCCGTCTCAAAAAAAAATAAAGAATTGCTTGAACCCGGGAGGCAGAGGTTGCCGTGAGCCGAGATCGCGCCACTGCACTCCTGCCCGGGCGACAGAGCAAGACTCCGTCTCAAAAAAACAAAACAAACAAAAAAACACACAGAGAGAACCAGGGCGGCACTTCCGTATTTACGATTAAGAATCAACCTGTTTCTCCTGTCTATTTACATGAAGTTGGTTCAGCAGAAAAATATTAAGAACCAGAAAATGCAAACCTAGGGTCTGGGGGTTTTTTTGGTTTGTTTTTTTGGGGCTTTTTTGCTTTTTACTAGGGGAGGATATGGCCAAAATAGTTTCAGGTCTTTTGCTTGGGCTTGCAGATTTGAAACTATGAAGCAAAATTCTCTACAGAAGAAATTTACTTCACAAGATATAAAATTAGCTCAAAGTTTCTATTATTATCAAAAAAGAAGAAAAACTTGAATGTTTTGAGTTTAGAGTCTCATTCTGTGGACTTAAAGTATTGCTTAACATACTTTTAAAGTTTAACCATTGATTTTTAATAAGATTGATGATACACTATAAACCCTTTTTATATTCCAGAGCTACCTAGCATTTAGAAACCAGTGGGGTGATAGCATTGTGGTCTAGTTTGCTATAAATTAGGAATAAAACCAGTAATGATAACTGACACAGGGCACTTACTCTGCACCCATTTTATTTTCACACTAAACCTCTGAGGTGGGAACCATTACTGTCCCCATTTCAGAGATGAGGCAAGTCAGACACAGAGAGGTTAGGTAACACATCCCACGTCATGTGACCAGTATGTGATTAAAACCAGGACTGGAACCCAAGTAGTTTGGTCCAGATTCTATGCTTTTAACTACCCCCTGTCTTTCAATATCATTGTGTATTGAAACAGTAGATGCTACTTAGGTAAGACTTGTAAAACTTAACAACGTAATTTAGTCTTTATCTTTAGAAGGTAAATTGCTTGAAGAGGGGTCTGATATTTGCATAATCTTCATCAATGACCCCTTCTTTAACTCTTAAATCACTTCTTCTAAAACGTGGGATGATACCTTCATCTACCAAACCTGGAACTAATGCCATGATAATTATTATTCTTAGAGGCTTTCGGAATTCAGTGGCGTTTCTTGAAAGCTGAATAATTATTTATTATGTATTAGAGAATACGCAGCCACCATAAACCCAGGGGCGCTTCAGATTAGCAAATAGTGTCTCTACTTTATTAAAACGGACTTGGGTATTATAACAAAAATACACTCTTCATTTCCTTTGGATGTTATGAATAATAAAAGTGTCTCCTTCCTCTCAGTCAGGTGGCTTCACCCACATCTTCACTGAAGATATGCATGTAAGTCTCTACGTTTTCATTTTTAGCCCAGTGACTGCCTGATGTTCATAGTGTTATCATCATCACTATCATCTCTATTATTATTACTTTGAATTTTTATTGTGGGTTTTTTTTGGATCATGAATTCAATATTGAATAATTCATTGTCTTGGAAAACCCATTGTGGGTCTACTTTCTAACTTTAAACTTATATATGATTTTGTATTATACTATATATTTTTTTCTTTTTATCAGAACAGAGACGCCAACGACAAGAATGAAAGTCTCACAGCTTTGGATGCCCTAATCTGTAATAAAAGCTTTCTTGTTACTGTCATCCACACCCTTGAAAAGCAGAAGAACTTTTCTGTGAAGGACAGGTATTAGTCCATTCTTTGATGTTTTAAAAGCCTTTAAGAAAAAATCAGGCCGGGCATGGTGGCTCATGGCTGTAATCCCAGCATTTTGGGAGGCCAAGGCAGGCAATCACTTGAGGCCAGGAGTTCAAGACCAGCCTGACCAACACAGCAAAACCTTGTCTCTACAAAAAAAAAAAAAAAGAGAGAGAAATCAAACCTGAGTCCCATATTTTATTTCCAAACCACTATCTGAACTTGGTATCTTGAGAACATGCACTTTTCCAAAGGCTATTTGATTGGGAGTTTATGCAGCCTTCTCTCCATTTTAGATCATACCACCCCAACACAATTTTTTTGTTGTTGTTGTTGGAGTCTCACTCTGTGGCCCAGGCTGAAGTGTGTGATCATAGGTCACTGCAGCCTCATCCTCCTGGGCTCAAGCTACCCTCCTGCCTCAGCCTCCCCAAGTAGCTGGAACTACAGGTGCATGCCACCACACCCAGCTAATGTTTTGTTGTTGTTGTAGTAGAGATGGGGTCTTGCTATATTGCCCAGGCTGGTCTCAAACTCCTGACCTCAGGTGATCTGCCTGCTTTAGACTCCTAAAGTGCTGGGATTATAGGCGTGAACCACCATGCCCGGCCCATAAATTCTTAATAAAAAAAGCAGAAGTGTTAATTTTTATTTTTAAAACATCCCGAAACTTTGGAAGACTCACATCTTGTTACCACTCTAGTTTAAATGCTGAAAACACAGAAAATGTTCTAGAGATAGAAGTGGTTAGAATCTAAACATTAAAAAAAAAAAAAAAAAAGCTCCCAACCCAACAGGCCAGCTCCCTGCCCTGCCAGTGAGCTTCCATGGAAACTCCCATGGGTGTCCAGCTAGGCCTGCAGCCAATGGTTCACCCAGCTCTCTTTTTCAACAGGTGTCTGTTTGCCTCCTTCCTAACCATTGCACTGCAAACCAAGCTGGTCTACCTGACCAGCATCCTAGAGGTGCTGACCAGGGACTTGATGGAACAGTGTAGTAACATGCAGCCGAAACTCATGCTGAGACGCACGGAGTCCGTCGTCGAAAAACTCCTCACAAACTGGATGTCCGTCTGCCTTTCTGGATTTCTCCGGGTAAGTGTCACATCCCTCAGCAATGTCAGAGGTAAGACAATAGGCAGTTATTTTTAGCGGACTCTGATGCCTTTGCCAGGATAAATCCTGAATGCTCGATGGTGTCAGCACTTAACCATGTTTCGTCTTGGTCCTGACCCAGAACAGAGAGAGGGAAAGTAAACATTGTTTTTGCTGCAACTGGCCTATGCAAATGTAATTCATTTAGAATTTCGTCAGGTGAGACTTTTCAGGTGAGTTTACCTTCTCACGTCAATTCACACCCAGAGCCCAGTCAGCCCATTTAAGAAAATGTACTGAGAAAAGGGAATATTTCAAACACCAGAGAACAAACTGTTTCAGGCCCTCTGAAGCATTGTAGAAATACCCGTTGCCTACCAATATGCTGTAAGCTAATTGCAGTCAATTCCTACCAGTCATTCCGCATTAAAGCAGCTCTCCAAAGAGCTGCCTCCCCCTGGAGTTTGCTTTGTTGGAGTTACTGTGTGCATGTGGTTGTCACTAATTGAACTTTAAAATCTTTTCAAATGCAAACTTTCTATAGATTCCAGTGGAGAAGAGGGTGGGCCCTAAAGTCTGCTACTTGATCTGAATCTAGACTTCACCACTTACTTGGTTTTATAAACTAGAGAATTGGAAGAAGATTTTAGGACTATTTTGAAGTACAGATGAGAAAACATAGGCAATTGCTTAGCCCTAAGGAAGCCTCCATAAATGTTGGCCGTTACGATTATAAAATATTAATGTGAAAATAAGGGTGTCCTGTTGAACTCGATCTTCACCCAGCCCTCTGAGGCCCCTGGTACAGAAGATTCTTATCCTTTAATTTTACCAGCCATCCAGATTTCAGCAAAACTGCATAATTGTGTATTTGTAGCTAGTTCCGAAATCTAATTAAACTTTGAATAAGATACACTGCTATGCCACAGGTTTTAACAGTGCTACTTAAGTTTAGATCCAACAGCAGTGCTTTAAATAGACTGTGCTTAGTTTAATGTTTAATGCAATCTTACAAGTAGATGCACAACAATTTTTTTTTTAATTTCTCACCAACCCCTCCCTCTCCCTAAGGCAATACCCATTTATTAAGATTAATGAAATCTGCCTTCTTTTCTGTTTACTTGGTATAAATCATCGGAGGCTTTGGGGAGATGTTGAGCCAGTTATTTCTGGGACGAATATTTTTTTGTTTCCCACTGTCTTTGCTTTAGCCACAACAGCTGCTAGATGGAGGCACCAGGACTCTCACCCAGTTCCCTGGTCTTGGTCTTCAAAGGCCAACTCCTGCCCCACCACAGTCTCACTGGATCAGAAGCTCCGGAAGTGGAGCCCAGTAATCCATGATTTTCACAAGTCCCTGGGATAGTAGAGAGAGCACCACACTAGGGGTCTTGGTTAGAAGCAGCAGGTCTGGGCTCTGGAACCATCTCAGCCCCGGTCAGCTGTGTGTCCCTGGGCATGGCTTTTTCCATCTGGGCATCTGTTTTCAATCCACCAAATGACAGGCGTGTGTGGGCGTTGCCTTTAAATCCCTTTCCAGCTCTTTCTACTGGATCTTGTGATTCTTAACTCTGAGCTTTCAAGGGCTGCTCTTGGGCATTAGAGGGGTGAGATGTTCAGAAAATCTGGGCTGCGAGCCCAAACAGCCTCCTTGAGCAAAGCATTCTGGGTCAAGACTTCACAGTGCTGATTCAAGAGCGTCTCGAGCACTCTGAGTGGTGAGGGGGCGGCTCGGCTCGCCAGGAGGAAGTGGCATCCAGCCAGTCGGCGATACTTTCACTTTCAGTGGAATAATTCCCGCTGGTGCAGGGGTCTGATGTCCCTCCACCAGGTGCTCAAGGGGGTCTGGGACACCGACAGCCCTAGTCCTCCTGTCCTACCCCACAGACGTTTAGTGGGTGACAGTAGCTCCGTGACCGCCAGGTAACTTTCCCTTCCAAGACACCAAGGATTTGTGGGTAAAATAATAATACCATTTATTGAATGTGCCAGACAGCATGCTAAGAGCTTTACCTATCTTTTCTCATTTCATCCCCTTAAGGGTCCTGTGAGCTAAGTGTCTTCATGACCATTTTGTATATGGGGGAACTGGAACACAGAAGAGCTGTGACTCTCCCCAGATCTCACTGCTACTGTGGGACAGCACCAGGGTCCGAGAGCTCTTAGCCACCGCCCTGTGCCCTGAAAAGATGGAATCTGCCCTGGTCTGTTAAAGTGTCGAAGCCTGGCCCCTGGGGGAGGGGAATCACGTACGCAGCGGCTGTGGCTCGCCTAAAAGTTGTGTTTAGTGGTGACAGAGAAACCTCATGGCCCTGTGATTCCCCAAATCAGCCACACATCAGAATCCTCCTCCCCCACCGCCTCCCCGCCCCCGGCCCCGGGAAGGTAATGAAAACTACAGATACCCAGGCCTCATTCTTCAGAGAGATGGCAGCTCTGTAGGTCTAGAGTGGAGCTCAGGCATCTGAATGCTTAACAAGAGCCCGCAAGGGATTCTGGTGATTAGCCAGGGTTAGACCCAGGAGCATGGGCAGAGTGTAGGGCCAGATGTTACTTAGCTCAGTCTAGCTACTCTCCAGAAAGTTCTGGAGAATTCCTGACCACAGGCCTCCTGAGTCAAGACCTGTCCCTTCACACAGCCCCCGAGAGCCCACCTGGCCCCCTGACTCCAACCCCTGCGGGAGTACACAGCCCCTATCCAAGGGTTCTCAGCCTCCCTTCTGATCTGTGCTGGAGGAAAAGAGGTTCTAAGTTTTGTGGTCAGGGCATTACTTGGGGTGGGGGAGGTGGGCGGTGGAGGGAAAGAGAAGAGAAGGGTGAGGTTGTAAACCACTAAATAAAGGAAGTTTCTCATGAGAATTAAATGTCATGCACTAGTCCTGCTGCCCTCCCTACCTTGGAAATTTCTGAACTTCCACTTCTGCCCTGCACTGAAGAGGAGACTCAAGGAGGTATCACAGCAGGGATAGAAGCTGCAGGGTGGCAGGAGGTGGCAAGAGGAAGCCCGGGGACTGGGGAGGGCAGATATTCCTGCAGCAAGTATAAAGGAAGGGACAGGGTTGGGGTGGGATGCTGAGAGACTTAAGATGTCTTAGGTAACTTGCCTGCGCAAGGGAAAGCAGGTGAGACCCAGTGGAATCCTCCTTTCCCAGCTGGACGTATCGCTTGTCAAGCTTGACTCTTAACTGGCGCTTCGAGCCCCAGCCACGTGGCTGGCCTTTCGTCATCACTAAGGCACTTTGACTTCCCAGCCACGGTTCTTCCTCCACCACAGAGGCCTAATGTCCATTGATTACGGAAGGTTCGTTATTTAGCAAATACTCTACAGCTGACCCAGGGCTAAGTGCCTTGGGAGGATGCCGTGGAAACAGAACACACCGCCTCCCACTTGAGGTGCTCAGAGTCCTTTGGAATGCAGACATCCGTGTCTGCGAATGTGAGCCATTTCCATCACAGCAGGGGAGGCAGCCCCACCCCCAGCCAGGAAAAATGCATGTGGCTTAAATTTGTAGAAAGAGCCAATCGGGATGGGCCGAGTGTTTGGAGAAAAACCTTAGAGGAAATGGAATTGGCTCTGGTTCAGGGAAGAAGATGGAGTCCCTCTGGCCCAGCACCGGAAAACATGTCCAGGTGGGACTGTGCAGTGTGTGTCTGGGAACTGCCCGGGCCGGGCCTGGCCTGGCCCATGGAGAGGAGATAAGGCTGCAAACTGTTGAACGGCAGGCTGCTTCCTTCGAGAAGTGCTGTTAACACCAAAAAACATTGTATTTGGCAAATGTATAAAATGTTCTTACATTTATCCTTGTTACTAAGGATACTTGTGCATTTTTTTAAATGTCGTTTATTTCTGGCTTGCTAAAGGGTGATTAAATACGAATGTAAACAAAGGTACACTCTCCACATCTAACTGTTCCTAGGCATTAACCCACTGATGAGCATTAGTCTGCCATATGTAAGTTTAAACATAAAATAACAAGGTATACTGTGGGTACTGCACGTCGCTGTGAATGTGCACGCGTGCGCGTGTGCAGATGTGCATTCGCGATGGAGAGAGGAGGCGGTTTTCTGAGTTTTGCATCCAATCCCAAGTGGAGCAACGTGTATTTTCTTGGGCGTTTCATGTTGAGTGTTAGAAAACCCTGTCTCCTGCCTTACTGCTGTAAACAGAAACTTTAATTCTTTGGAAAGTACAGTGGATTCCACAGAAAGCTAACTGTCACTTTTGTGTCTTTTCCAAGGAGACTGTCGGAGAGCCCTTCTATTTGCTGGTGACGACTCTGAACCAGAAAATTAACAAGGGTCCCGTGGATGTAATCACTTGCAAAGCCCTGTACACACTTAATGAAGACTGGCTGTTGTGGCAGGTTCCGGAATTCAGTACTGTGGTATGTTTTCAATAAAGCTCCCAGCCAGACTCCCAAATAAATCTGGCGGGGAATTAGAGGGTGAGGTGGGTCATTTACAATGAAACGGTATCATCTCTACTGCGGGAGGCCCTGTGTGTTTAGTTAATTAAAAACAGTAGTTGATAAAACTGTTAACACGTGTTCACATAATAGATTTTAATTACTGAGATTGGGGGAGAAAATATTGTAATGATGCCTGGGGTACTCATCAATTTCCAAAGATTTTAATATCAGGATTGCTTATAACTTTCAGTGTCGTCAAAGGAAATGCAAAGTACTCCCTATTCAGCACTTATAATTGCAATCAGAATTTCTCAAATGGCTCTGCTCTGGGAAGACAATGTGTGAAGATATATTTCAATCAAATTGAGGCCGTCTTATTTTAGAATGATAACACAAGACAAATTCCACCACGTTCCCCATGCAACGTGACGCCCTTTATTTTCATGGATTAGTTACAAATGTTTGGTGTCATGCACTTAATGTACTGTGATCTCATAGATATTTTTAGAGGAACGCTGTAAATCACTACAGGAAGATGATTGCCTAGCTGCTGGAGGGTTTCACCCGCTTGAGAACTTCTTTCTAATTCATCCCCACCGCACCCACCCCATGCTCTTCCTAAAGAAAGAAAGAAAGCCCAGTTTGGGGCACATTTGGGAATTTCAGAGAGGGAGCCAAGCAGGGAAGGTAACTTTAGAATTAGGAATTTTCTATGCTTTTCTGTTAGTAGAGACTTGGAGAAGAGATTGCTGTGTTTTGGTTTGATCTTTAGCTTTATGAAGATTCTGGGCTTCTTCACGATCTCGTTAGTGGAGGAGGAAAAGATTACAGTGGGGTTTGGGAATTGCTCATTAAGAGAGCTGAGTCTTCTGTGGCTTTGCTCTGGATGGTGGGGACTGCAGTGTCATCTGGGAAGAATTCATTCCCTAATTGGAGAAGGCACCACTTTGCCGTGGAGCGTGTTATGGTTATGTCCTCTGGTGGGAGAATAGTCCGTAGGTCAGCTGTTTCAAGTTTTCTGCCACTGCCAGATGCGGCTCACTTCTCCATCAAAGATGGCACCATGCACAGCTGCCATCCGAGAGCGGGAAGCTGAGCTGAAAGTCAACACTTCTCAGCGTTCTGAATTGTATCAATACACCCATCCACATCTGAGAGGCCGGAGAGTGGGCTGCATTGGTTCTCAAACTTGAGCATCTAGCAGAATCGCCCAGAAAGCTCACTAAACACCAGTCGCTAGGCAGCATGCTGGAGTTTCCGATGCAGTAAATCCAGGCTGTGGCCTGAGAATTCACTTCCCTAACCAGCTTCCTGATGCTGCGGGTGCTGCTTAACAACTGTTGGTAGAGTGGTTAACAGCATGGACTCTGGGGCCAGACATTTTGGAATCCTGCCTCTGCCACTGGTTAGCTGTGTAATGTTGGGCAAGTTTCTAAACCTCTCTATGCCTCATTCTCCTCACATGTGAAATGGAAATGATGGTCATGGTTCCTACCCATCTCATGAGGTGTTTTGAGGATTAAGAGTCAGTATTATAAAAAGCACTTAGAACATTGCCAGGCATGTGAGTGCTACCTAAAACTTTATTCCATTTGATCCAGATCTCATTGAACCCTTGTTTAAAATGCAGGTGCAAATATACCAGTGCCCGGGCTTTCCCTCGGGACTGACTGAATCAGAATCTCTGGGGAGGGAGCCCAGGCGTGGATGTATTTTGTAAACCTTCCAGATATCTCTGATGTGTGTTCAGCCTGGACACCACTGGGTATCTTGGAGAACAAGAGACAAACTTTGCACAGGGCCTGTTGACTCACCTTTCGCTGATCCTGGGCTTGTTATTCCTAACCTAGAAGATGTTCATGCCTTTACTTTAAGACGTTTTAGAAGCCCCAAAGGTCTCCAAAGAGAAATATTTGCAAATGATTATAGTCGGGAATCCTCCAGCATTTCAGTCATGAGACAACACCGGACCCAAACAGGAAAGACAGGAAAGGAGAAGATGGGTTGGAATCAGGAAGAGGTCAGATGTCTGAGGCAACTTTTGAGGTTTTGAAGCCTTTTTAATGCTTTACATCTGAACGTGTTTTCTCCCTTTCATTTCGAAACATTATTTATTTCACAGTCAATTAAGACCATGTGTTTCTGATTTGTTAACACTCGACTCATCATCATAATGTTACTTGATGCTGAAGGAATTCATGTCGACTCTTGAAATTTTTTTTTCTTTATAGCCCCTGGGGAAAAGGGTAATGGAAAATCATGATTTCAGAAATCCACATAAATCTTCCTTTTCAAATTCAGATTTGCCGGTACATAAGATTTGAGCCTTGAAAAGGAATGGGCCACTTGTTTTTAGGGGCCTTGCCTTTAAAAATGATTGTTAGTGCCTCTTATGGGGCCTGGCCCAGCCCCCCTTTCATGGTTGGCAGTTGTACGAGAAGCTGCAGAGAAGGCACATGATCCGTTCTATGCTTGTGTGACAAACTGTTAGCAGAAGGTCAATATAAAAAATTTAAGTTTTTCATTTCCTTTCAGGCATTTCCCCCAGCCTGAACCACCATATTTCTAATTTTCTTTCTTCCTCCCTTCCCTCCTCCCCTTCTTTTTCACTTCCCCCACCTACCCCTCCCAAGCATGTACACCCAGCCATTTTAGGACTTGATTTCCCAAATTTGCCTGAGGTGGTTTATGTAATTGAAAACCAAGGTGCGGTGAACAAACTGATTCTGTGTGTCCTTGTGTGCTGGGGAGGTGGGAGGTTGGGGGCAGATTCTTTCAAGGAAAGGAAAGTCGGAAATCAAGAGCATCCTCACGAACCACTTGAAATGACAGAACCTGGTGCCAAGGCAGGGACACGTTTGGAAAAAAGGCCCCCACACTCGTGTTCAGCTAAATGCTCAGAAGCACAGCACCTCATATAGCAATCTAAAAGTTAGCTTTCACACCTCTCAGATGAGGATGTGTTCTCCCTGAGGTGTGGGGGATTTTCTAGAACATAAAGGCATCTTGCCAATTTCTTATACATGAAATCATGACACTAACAAAGAGGCCCTGGGAAGTAATGTTCTCTTCTTGCATATTGAGAAGAAAATTCCTCTGTCTTGCCAAAAATCCAAGCAAAGTCCCCTAGAGCCATACTTCCTCCAGGACCATAAGAAACCATCCTTCTCTATCAAGCATTCCAGGCTGGTGTTTAATGAGGCAACAGTGAGACAGAATGCCCTGATATCTGCATCCTCCCTAATGTCAGCACCAGGGGTAGGGCTGTGCACACACAGGACTTTAGTCTTTCCTTAATATCTAGGAATTCAGATCAGACAGCTGGAAGAGAATAAGACCTTTTTTTTTTTTTTTTTTTTTTTTAATTTAAGGAATACCACTCTAGTGCAGGCTGGAGTGCAGTGGCGCAGTCTTGGCTCACTGCAACCTCCGCCTCTGGGGTTCAAGCGATTCTCCTGCCTCAGCCTCCCAAATACCTGGGATTATAGGCACCTGCCATCATGCCAGGCTAATGCTTGTATTTTTAGTAGAAACGGGTTTTCGCCGTGTTGGCTAGCCTGGTCTTGAACTCCTGGCCTCAAGTGATCCACCTGCCTTGTCCTCCCGAAGTGCTGGGATTACAGGTGTGAGCAACTGCATCCGGCCGATAATAAGACCTATTGCTCTGCTGGGTTTTTTTCCCCTTTGCAAAATTTTGAACATGTTTGATTTTGTTGATGGAGTATCTCAGACTCACTCAGCTTACGTTTTGTCAAGAGTGGAACTTTGGAGGAGTTAGTGAAAGTTTGAGGATTTCACATGGGAGAAGGGACATTTGCTTCACTTTCAGGAAGAGATGAGAAAAACCAATAACTCGTAGCAAGCGTGCTGAATTAGCAAGAGAAGGTTGACTTGTAATCAAAGTTAAGTGTGAAATGGTTTTTTGAACTCTTAGAAAACGAGCTTGCCAATCTGCTGTATCTGAGAGAGAGCATCTTGGCACCCTGGAAAACTGTTCCGACAAAAATATTATTGCCTTCATTCTCCTATCTATAAGAAAGTTTTCAAGATTATTAGAAATTCTTGAAAAAGCACAAGTACATGCCTGCAGAAATATTAATGCCTCCAATTTGATTTATTGAAGGTTTATGCCAGCCTACCCCAGTCTGTCTCTTTCTCTAGCAGTTACCATTTTGGGACAATTACGTTTAATAAAATATCTCATATACAACAGAGCCCTAGGTGTCTCCACCAGGAGTTTCTTACTAGTATACTTCCTTTAACAGTGCTCTGCCTACCAGTGCTGGCTGCTTCTGTTCCATTTAGTTTGTCCTTGCAGAAGATCCATTAGCCCCGTAATTAAACAACCCACTGTCCCGATTAAGTCATTCTCTGTTACTTCAATTACATTCCATTGTTCATTAAATCCTGATGTTTGCACTTCAGCAATCTTGTTTTTAATACTCCTACCATTTGTGGAGAAACAGTGAAGTTAATTAACAATTCTTGAGCTTTTTATTTTTCTCTCTACCATAGTGCAAATCATTTCCATTATGACTTGCAATAGTACTGAAACCATTACTAACTTCATAGTTAGTGTTCTGAGCTTCCTGATCAAAGAGTGAAACCACTTTTTACAATCATTTTAGGTAAGTCATTCCCTCGTTGATGGCAAGTCATGGAAAATGAAAAATTAACATGTAATGGGTGCTTTAAATGACTTTCCTCTTCATACACTTTCTTCTCATGCCTGTAATCTTGGAATTAGAAAATAATTTAGTTATCTAAATATAAAAGTATTTACTTTTTTTCTTTATAGCTCAAATGTGACTCTATTATGTTATTGTTAGGATCATTATTTATATTTGTACCCCTCAGAGAATGGTAAATTTTATCACAAGTCATGGCGGAGATAGAAAGCATTTTCCAGATTTGTCTTGTTGCTATTGTCAAAGTTAGCATTCCATTTGAAGGTACTGTTATCTAGAGCAGGGACCAGCAAACAACAGCCTGTGGGCCAAATGTGGCCCCTCTGCCTATTTTTATAAAGTTCTATTGGAACACCTGTTCATTTCCTTATTGTCTATAGCTGCTTTCCTGCTACAGTGCAGAGTGGAGTAGTTGTCACAGAGATCATATGAGTTTTAAGTCTTAAATACTTTCTGGCCCTTTGCAGAAAGTTTGTTGGCCTTTAATCTAGAGCTTGACATAGTAGAGAATAGGAACCAGAATCCTCCCTCCCACAAACCCACAAACAGGTTGGCCTCTTTCCTCCCCTTCTGGGACACAGCAATGGAAATGCCTTGCCACTATTTACAAGTCTGAAACTCATGGGGCTCTTTGCCAACACACAACACCCACCCCCACCCCCAACCCTGCACCCGCAAATACTGTGAATACTAAAATCAGTTATCTTGGGCTAAATCAGACAGCTCTTCATACTTGATTCTAGGATGGACAAAACGTTAGCAAATGCTAGCAAGTATAGAAAAATTGGTGAGAGAAACCTAAATTTGAGAAAATTATCTCCATTACTTTTTTTTTTTTTTAAATGGAAAAAGGCTCTCGTTACCCTGTCCTCCACCCCTTACTCTTCTGTTAGAGTAGCAGATCCCTTGATCCAGGAAGCTGTGATTTATGGATCTTTGTGGGGAAAGGAAAAGGGGAGCAGAGTGAAGAGGGGAGGCTGGATGGGCAAGCGCAGCTCAAAGGGGAACGTCAGGCAGAATGTCCCAGGGCTGCTGACTCTGGCTTGGAAAGAAGCTTAGATCAGAAGTTTCCCTCAGACTTGCACTTCTAACTGGCCTCATGCTGCTTCTACGGAACTTCTGAAACTGAATTTTCTTTCTTGTTTCTTCTCTCTTTAATTCAGGTTGGTATAAGAACTAGGCTTTTCTCTTGACTTTCATTCGGCCCTGAAATAAAATTAGAAATATATTTTATAGGTTTTATTTAATGAAAGCAATTATTGCTCCAAGGCCTTTTATGATAAAGTTGCCAGTTTGTAATAAATTATCTTACAGTTACTTTCTAGGCATTATAAGGTATCACAGAAAGGAGGCAGCAACGTTCCTGCTTTTATTAGCCAAGAATATGGTTGAGGAGACAGTGAGGTAGCCAGATCATCTTCCCATGTGGGAAAAGACCTGTTCCCCTGCCCTTGATTCATCCTGCCAGCCCCCTGCAGCCTTATCCTCTCTGCCTCCTCAATACCCAAAACCACCAAATCATGTGACGGGACGATGGGTAAAACCGGTAGTGAAAGGGGAATGCAGTTACATGTTCCCAGGCCGTGTGCAGAAGAGGTGGGGTTTGGAGTCTGATAGTCTTGGGTTTGAATCTGGGCTCAGCCACTTTACTCTGGGCAAGTCTCTCAACCTCTCAAAACCTGTTTCCTCTTCTGTAAACAGGCAATGACCAAAACCTGCCCTCGCATATTTGTGGTGAGGTCAGAAAATAATACATGTACCACGTCTAGCCATCTTTCCTGGTGTGAAGTAGGTGCTCATTCTTTTTTGATTCAGTTTTCCTTGTCTGAGGTGTGCTTTTCTCTTGTCTCCTGTAAGCTTCACTAAGCAGAAAGTGTCCCGTCAGTATTCTTTTTGGTTGGTTATTTATTGATGATGTGGGATGTGGGGGAGTTGATTAGCTGATTCCATCATCATGAAAAGCATTTCTTGGGTGCCTGTGTGCTTATGTTCTTGTTAAAAATGTTACATATGACCGCTGTGATGGGGTGTTTACAACCTGTGGCAGACAGTATCCCATTGGGCAGATGTGAACAGGAGACGACCGTGATAACCTGTGAGAGGCTGATGGCTGACATGCTACAAAGGGGCCAGGCCTTTCCAGCCTGGCCCTCTTCCCGGGCCTTCTGGACCATACATTTTCCAATAGTCTTTTCTTTCTCATAACCCTCCTTGGTAATAGGCATCATTCCCAAATCAATCAGGATGCAGTTCAGTTGTACAGAACAGAGACCCAAGATGTCTGTGGCTTCAGCAACAGAGAAGCTGAGTTCTCTCCCTGGTGGCATTCTGGGTGGGCAGTGCAGGGCTGGTAGAGCAGCTGCTCCTCTCTTGTCCTCATATTCTAAGTGTCTGCTCACCCCAGCCTCATTCCCCATCCCAGCCAGCAGGATGTAAGCAGGGCTGTAGAAAGGAGGGCAGATGGTCACCAGCCATCTTTTAAGGAAGTGCCACATAACATATCCACTTAATGTCATCGGCCAGGACTTAGTCATAACCAGAACATGTCCTGACTCTGAGCTGCGAAGCCAAGAGGCCAGCTCTGGGTCACCATCTCCCAGTGCCTCCTGGCCCTGCCATCCTAGTCACAAGATGGCTGCCACCGCTCCAAGCACTACTCTCCCTTTTGTTCGGATCGAAGACTTCCCACTGGGCATGGTGGCTCACACCTGTAATCCCAGCACTTTGGAGGCCAAGGTGGGAGGATCATTTGAGCCCACTGAATCTGGAGCATACTGGCCACACCTGGCAGCAGCAGAGGCTGGGAAATGTCACCTTTATTCTGGGTGAACAGAAGCTCTGTAAAAATGTCCTTGGGTGGCACCGGAGGCACAGGGTGCTCCAGATTCAGTGGGTTCTGTGGGGTTCAATATCAAGCTGGGGTGAGGAGGTCAAGCCTCCTCTACCAGATCGCCTATGTCCAGCCTGTCTCCTGGGAGGGCATTCATTGAGGCCTTCAAGCAGAGGGGAACTGCCCTTGGGAGGCTCATCACCTTGGCTGGCCTCTTCGCTTCGCAGCCCAGAGTCAGGACACGTCCTAGTTATGACTCCCACCGGCTCCATGATTTTGGACATGCTTCTAAATCTCTCTGGTCTCGGTTTCCTCATCCATTAAATGAGGCTAATAATGGCACCTACTTCATAGAGCAGTTGTGAGGATTGAATGAACCTATAATTGCATTCCCAGTACGTGATAAGCACTCAATAAATGCTGGTCCTTATTATTACAAATCTAGAACCATATTCTTTTCTTTACCATATTTTTTTCCTATGAATAGTACAGGGACTCTCTTTCAGGTGGCAGGAGGTGGTTTTGGGAGGCAGGCCTGGGCTACAAGTCCTCCACCCATACTTCCACCCAAAGAAGGTGGGATTTTTTTCTGTAGACTTCCTGACCTGATAGCCTGAGTGAGTGATTGAAGCTTCCTGCTCACCAGTCTAATTAGAGACTGGAAGCCAAGTGTCTCCATGGTCTAGGGGCCTCCCTCATGAACTACAGCTCTTTGCGACCCAATTCAAATGCTGCCTCCTCCATGCAGCCTTCCTTGATTTCTCTGTTTGAAAACCCCCTGCCGACCTAAAAGAGGTACCTCTCTAAATCCCTAAAATGCTCCGTCTGTACCTCCCACATTCTACCTGGCATTAGAATGTGTTGTATATGCCCCACAGTTCTTCTACTAGTCTGCTAGTACTTCCCAAGCAGGATGAGTACAGGTTCTGATTTGTATCACCTACAGTGCCCTGCACACAATAGGTGCAAAGTAAATGGTCATCAATAGACGAATCTACCTCAGCATCCACAAAATGAGCTCTGGCAGTTTGGCACATGCAGCTATAAGTAAGAGAAAATTGAACTAAGGATGCCTGAAATAGTAAGAGCATGACTTGCCTCTTAGAGCAGAAAGTCTGGAGGGAAGGAGCTCCAAGCCGGTCCCTACATTCCGTGGTGTCAGAGCTCTGCGTCACCATCTCCCAGTACCTCCTGGCCCTGCCATCCTAGTCACAAGATGGCTGCCACCGCTCCAAGCGCTACTCCCCCTTTTGTTTGGATAGAAGACTTCCAACAGGGTGTGGTGGCTCACACCTGTAATCCCAGCACTTTGGGAAGCCAAGGTGGGAGGATCACTTGAGCTCAGGAGTTCAAGACTAGCCTGGGCAACACAGCAAGACCCTGTCTCTAAAAAAAAAAAAAAAAAAAAAAAAAAAAAAAATTTAGCCAAGCATGGCAGTGTGCACCTGTAGTCTCTGCTATGTGGGAGGCTGAGGTGGGAGGATTGCCTGAGCCTGGGAGGTCGAGGCTGCAGTAAGCCATGATCACTGCACTTCAGCCTGGGCAACAGAGTGAGACCCTGTCTATTAAAAAAGAAAGAAAGAAAACCCTTGGTTTTATGTGTTGGCCAGAGCTGGGTTACATGACCAGTCCCTGGTGAAAGAGAAGGGAGTTGCTGCTGATCATGCCTCCCAACCCAGGCTGGACCCACTGCTGTGCAGACCTGGCCTTTGTTAGCAGAGGAGGGATGGCTGCTGGTTGGACGACAAACCAGATCTGCCACCGCAGCTTACTGACACTTTCCTGCCAAGGAAATAGGAAGAGGCAGGGCAGTCCCTCTAAACAGAGGGCAGATTTCTGGGGAAGGGACCAGTGTACATTTCACAGCTCTTTAGCCTTTCATGGGTATTTTCTGGGTATTATGCCATCCCATCGATTTGGACCATGCTTACTTTACAAAACATTCTTGTACTTCCAAAGGCAGGATCACCGAGTGTTTAAGAACACGGAGCTTGAGTACCCGGTTCTACCATCTTCTTGCTGGCTGACCTTGTGCCATTTATTTAACCTCTCTGTGCCTCAGTTTCTCATCTGCCACAAGGGGATGAGTAAAAGAATCTACCTCACAGGGTTGTTTCTGAGATTTACATATACAAATACACACACGTCATTTAAAACAGTGTCTGGCACCTATAAAGCACTCCTTAATTTGCTATTATTATGTGTCATTATTTAGTGATCCTGTCACTCCTTTGAGATAGGAACAGTGAGGATTTTAAGGCTCAGCGAAGTTAGACGACTTCCCTACATTCCCTCAGCTGGTGAGCAGCAGAGAATGGGAGGGTCCAGGTGGCCCGGTGCTGGGCCTGGAACTCAGGGCCCTGACCCCCACTGTCCTCCCTACTCAGAATCCTCTGTGGACACTTGCTGAGGGTGATAGTCACTGATGGGTGACTGTTGTCCCACAGATGATGCTTTTGTCTCTGAAATTTATCATGAATTATCTGAGAACAAGGACTATGTCATAACATCTCTCTGACATCCCAGCCCTAATACTAAATAGGGCAGGAGAACATGCTGGTTAAATGGGCTTTGGTGGGAGTGTGGGAGCCGGAGAGATGGCGCTTCCATCGAGGTGTCTCCCCCGATGGGGTACAGTGGCTGAGGGCAGACGCTGTGATGTCACGCTGTCTGACATGGCACAGGCATCTGCTCCCCATCACAGAGCAGAGGCCCGCGTGCACTTTCCCAGCCTGGGGGTGGAGGTGTTAAGAGGCTGACCCCAAGGGCCTTGACTGTACTTACGCCTTAAGAAACTGCTGTTTGGCCGGGCGCGGTGGCTCACGCCTGTAATCCCAGCACTTTGGGAGGCCGAGGCGGGCGGATCACGAGGTCAGGAGATCGAGACCATCCCGGCTAAAACGGTGAAACCCCGTCTCTACTAAAAAAATACAAAAAATTAGCCGGGCGTAGTGGCGGGCGCCTGTAGTCCCAGCTACTTGGGAGGCTGAGGCAGGAGAATGGCGTGAACCCGGGAGGCGGAGCTTGCAGTGAGCCGAGATCCCGCCACTGCACTCCAGCCTGGGCGACAGAGCGAGACTCCGTCTCAAAAAAAAAAAAAAAAAAAAAAAAAAAGAAACTGCTGTTTGAGCACTAAGTGTTAGCAGCATGAAAAATGAACACATATCAATTTATGTCTGAATTTACTCTCAGAATTCCCTGTGGACTCTGTAAAATGCCATTTTACCTCTTTTCCACCCATCCAGCTGTGGAGGCAGTGGCAGATTTACATTATTTTACATCCAGTTAAGGGTGTTTTTTCTTTTGGTTATGTTTTTAAAAAGAACATTTATTGCCCATAAAAAAGTGTTTTTGTTAAAGACAATAGTGCCTTTAGGTAGTAATAGAATGCTGTTTCACAAATATTTATAAAACTATTAAACAAGCTGAGATTGCTGAAGCTCCGATTAAAAGGTGCCTCCCATTCATCTTTCCCTTTAGAAACTGAAGTAGCTTAACTGCAATTACCCGCCACCATGAGAAGATCACCTTGCAGAGAAATAAGGCAAGACCCCAACAAGATCGTAGGTGGTGGCACCAGCATTGACCCCTTCACACCCACCCCTCCCACTGGTGTGGGGAATTTAGCTTAGGACATTGCTTACAGCCTGAGCTAAGCCAGGGTTTCTGGAGGGTCAGGAGGGCTCCTGGGCTATAGGTGGAACCAGAAGGAGGGAGGGAGGGCGGGTGGTAAAGCGGGGATGGCATAGCCGAGGGGTTTGTGGCACCAATTGTGCAGTTAGGCAAATCTGGCTTCAATTCCTGGTTCTGCCACTGGTGAGCTGTTCCTGGAGCAAGTTACTCAGCCCCTCTGTGCCTCAGTTCCCTCACTCTACAACAGGGATGGGAATAATAATCCAGGAAACATTTCTAGAAAAGGGAGGTGAGGAGAGGGCTCGGGTGTGAGGCTTCACATGTTGGTTCCTTCTAGGCACTCTGCCCACCAGCTCCCTGCCTTCTCTCCTGTCTGGTATTTTTTGTTTCTTGTTTGTGAGCAGACAGGCCTTTGAACCCCTTCCTAGTCGGTGGCTGGCCCAGAACATAAAGGTTCTCTGAGAGCAGGCAAGGGAGTGACTCTGTTGTAGGAGGGAAACTCGTACAGGCCAGACGGAGATCACCGGCTTACCTCAGAGTTCAGATTCCACTGATTCGGAGTTTTAATCATTTGGTTGAGACCAGAACAAAATTTACTCTTGCGTAATTATCAACAGGATTATAAGGGCAAGATTTAGTGGTGTTTGTCTCAGCTCTTTATAAACACCATAAACTGGGTGGCTTATAAATAATAGAAACTTATTTCTCACAGTTCTGGAGGATGAGAAGTCCAAGATCAAGAGTTGGTGTCCTGTGAGAGCCCCCTTTCTCATGATGGCGCCTTCCTGCTGGGTCCTCACATGGTGGAAAGGGCAGGGCAGCTCTCTGAGGCCTCTTTTATAAGGGCACTAATCCCATTTATGAGGACTCTGCCCTCATGATCTAATCCCCTCCAAAGGCCCCACCTCCAAGTACCATCACCTTGGGGGTTAGGATTTCAATACCTGGAGTTAGGGGGACATCAATATTCAGATCATAGCAGCATTAAAGACAAGAAACACCCCTGAGAACCTCCCGAAATTTCAGAAGCCCCACATCCACGTCAGTGGTCCATAAGTCACGGGCTCACATGCCAGATGCTGTTCTAAGAACTGTGCGGTTACTGTTGTTATGCCCTCTTTGCAGATGAGAAAGCGACATACACAGAGGTTACACAGCTGGTTAGGGATGGGTTCAGAGGTCACCCAGCTGGCTTGCGGTGGACTGGGATGAAAGCCAGGAGTCTACTGGCTTCCACTGGGTTCATTGCTGGCAGCCTCCTCCTTATTCAGAGATACTGAGCATGGAGTGGGCGTCCTAGCTGTCCAATGTGGGCTGAATCTGTTTGCAAATGAGTGGATACTAATGCCAACAATAGTAATTGTACAGGTTTTATTGCCGATACTATCATCAAGCCTTTCCCAGCAGCCTGGCCCCGTGCTAAGCCCTTGAATGCATGATCACATTTAATCTCCCTAACAATGCTAGAAGGCCGGTACTGTTATTACACCCATTTTTAAGTTGAGGTAGGCCTGAGGGTTCCCATCTTCCATATGATTTGTGTTTTCATCTCTCCCCTGAGCCCTAGGCAAATCAGACATTGCCTCCTGCAGCCTCTGCATATATACCTGGCTAGTGTCCACAGTACTTGGGGACCTCCTCTTTCGGCTTTGGAGCCCCCCCTCCCTCTGTCTCTGTATGGGCGAGCATCTTCCTTCTGTCTTCTCCCTTCCTTCTTGCCTGTTAGACTCTCCGCTCCTTAAAACCAAAAAAAACAAAACAAAATTCCCATTACTTGATCATTTTACATTCCCTCGTTAAGCCAGGCTCAAAACATTAAATAATTGTGCATTTCACACCATACCCAAGCCTTTCTGACTTTGTGATTACCAAGGTGCATTAGAATCTAAACTGCTATGTTATGCTATTTGCAAAATACTCTTGGCTCTTCCCTGAATCAATTCCCGTGAGGGTACGTATCAGGTAAAACTTTGTTGTTTTAGATCTATTTGTTCTTAGACAAAGTAAACTTGGAATTGCTTTTCAGTTTGTTTTGAAATATTCCCTAGTTCTGTGTTTTCACACGTGCACAAAGGCCTTACTTCCCCCATTAGTCTGATTCTGAAGTTTTGCTGCACTAGGAGAATGTTCACTGACAAAATGTTAAGTAATGGTGCTGAAATGTAAAGTAATTAATGCAAGAATCATAGTATGGGGTGGGGATCTCAGTGCTTTAATGAGGGCTGGGGAAACCATCTGACTGAGGATGTTGAAAGCGGAGGGGTAGATGAATGTTCCTGTAATTAATGCTGCATATTAAAAAAGTGACCTCTTTGGGCCGGGCACAGTGGCTCACGCCTGTAATCCTAGCACTTTGGGAGGCTGAGGTGGGCAGATCACAAGGTCAGGACTTTGAGACCAGCCTGGCCAACATGGTGAAACCCCGTCTCTACTAAAAAAATACAAAAATTAGCCAGGCATGGTGGCATGTGCCTGTAATCCCAGCTACTTGGGAGGCTGAGGCAGGAGAATTGCTTGAACCCAGGAGGCGGAGGTTGCAGTGAGCCAAGATAGCACCATTGAACTCCAGCCTGGGTGACAGAGCAAGACTCCATCTCAAAAAAAAAAGTGACCTCTGGCATGGTCAATATGGGGACCTCGTAACCTTCCCTGTCACCTAGAACTGCACTTCTGGGACTCTGTGGTCCTATTAATAAAAAAGATAATCACCAGTCTGCCTCATCTACTGTGGAACCCTTCCAATTCTTTTTTTTCTTTTTCTTTTGAGGAGAAATTAGAAATCACCAAATTACCATTTTTAGACTATTTATGTGTATATGTATATTTTACTCTCAGATATATTTATTCAATGCTTGCTCTATAATGAGAGTTTTAACTTTCTGTTTTCCCTTCCATTATCCCTGAAAAGAATGGATTATGGAGAAAAGATGAAAGTAGTCTAATGCAATACAGTGTTTGCTAATGTGCTGTCAGAGGTATTAGTGGGACTTGCTAAGGTTTGTGTCTTTTATGAAATGCCTTTCAGATTGCAATTATCTAATAGACTTGGAAACCTGTTTGTACTCTTGCAGGCATTAAACGTCGTCTTTGAAAAAATCCCGGAAAACGAGAGTGCAGATGTCTGTCGGAATATTTCAGTCAATGTTCTCGACTGTGACACCATTGGCCAAGCCAAAGAAAAGATTTTCCAAGCATTCTTAAGCAAAAATGGCTCTCCTTATGGACTTCAGCTTAATGAAATTGGTCTTGGTAAGGCGGTGCGGGAGCTATGTGGTCCCAGGCCCTGATGAGTGTCCCTCCCTGCCTGCCCTCCCTCCCTGTCCCCCCTCCCTGCCCCCACCAGCTTCCATTCAGTGACACTTACACAGCCAGGTTGTTCCTGGAGGGCATGTCTAGGGGCCAAGAGACTGCTTTGGTCTCTCATGGGCATCCTGATTCTTCGAAGGAAGCACGGTCCTTCAAAGATGGCGTTTGTTGTTGTTGTCTTTAAATATTACGTCTGTAAATCAGATTGATGAGATTGCAGGCCCTGAGACTGCACGGAATCACCTTGCATCATGAAATACAGAAAGGTGTCAACACAGTGCCCTCTGCGTGTGTTGCATTTCACATTGGCATTTGATTTGTTTGTTGTGATACTGAGCGTGTCATTACTGGGTGGCTCAGACTCTGGGTGTTAACTCTAGCCTGCTAGAAAGGTCATCTTCCTCTGCTAATCACATCCTGTATTAAGTATATGCTCCGTCCTCCCTCAGTGTGCAGCAGCATCTGCTATGAATTCATTTTCGGGCTCTACTGGTATACTGCAAAGGAGAGCATATGCGTGAGCAAGCTAACAGGGCCCCACTTCCCTCAAATGTTCATCAACATTTTAAAGTTGAGCTCCGTGCAGTCCTCCCAGGAGACTGTCGTGGGATTTTATAGCAGATAATGGGACAGAAATGAAGAATAGAATCATGGTGGTGACAGACAGTGTAACGAGGTTCACTTCCCCTTGATGTACAGTTATAGGCCTTGACTAAGCAGGCAATTAAAATCCTCCCACTCGGCCCTCCCAGTCCAGCCCCCTGCTAAAAGGCCATTGATAAAGCCTTGAGGCAGGGTCTTGGAAGTTTGAGACCATGCAAATGTGGGGCAACTTGGTGATGTGGCTTTAAAGAAAGCAGGGCTGCTAAGGCACCCCTCTTCTGCTTCCTTCCTTGGGTGACCGTTGAGTCACTTGAGGACCATTTTAGCTCATTTGGTTAGATACAGGATCAAAGGGGGAGCCCCAGCCAGGACACCATGACCCTGACCCCAGACCCCCAGCTTCCTTGCTCTGAGCATACATCTTGCAAATATGTGGCTGTCACTACAAAGGACATGGGCATACCCCGCCCGACAGTCTTGGTCCTGCCGCTGATGAGTAGGTAGTAGCATCCTTACTCTTTTCCTGAGTTTGGGTGTCCCTTGCCTCCTAAAGTAGGAAGGCAAGGAGCAGAGCAAGGAGGGGGCCTGGGGACACAGCCTATCAGCTATGTCAGGCTTCTGTGTGCCTGCTGATTTCCCAGACTACCTCCAGAAACCAGCCATCAACTGTACTGAAATCCAACACCAGGCTGGACGTGGTGGCTCACGCCTGTAATCCCAGCACTTTGAGAGGCCAAGGCTGGTGGATCACCTGAAGTCAGGAGTTTGAGACCAGCCTGGCCAACATGGTGAAACTCTGTCTCTACTACAAATACAAAAATTAGCCAGGCATGGTGGTGCACACCTGTGGTCCCAGCTACTTGGGAGGCTGAGGCAGAAGAACTGCTTGAACCCGGGAGGCAGAGGTTGCAGTGAGCCCAGATTGCGCCACTGTACTCCAGCCTGGGCAATGGAGGGAGACCCTGTCTCCAAAAAAAACAAAAACAAAACCAAAAAAAAGAAATCCAACACCAGAAGCAGCTATGCTTGGAGCTCTTACAGCAGAGACTCAAAAACGCAGATGCCCAAAGGGGCAGAAAATACATAAGGGGTGTCAGCCGCCTGGGACTACAGAAAGCAGTGGAGCTTGACTTAATGGGAAAGGACTCGCCATCCAAGGGGACAGTGCCATTTGCTTCAGTGGTTGCCATGTGGACTACAGATTGTATTACTAGACTGTTCGATTTTCTTTTTTTAAAGAAATCAGATATCCAGTTTTTTATATGCAACTTAAAAACTTTTAAAAAAAATTTTATAGAGACAAGTCTCACTATGTTGCCCAGGCTGGTCTTGAACTCCTAGCCTCAAGTAATCCCCCTGCCTCCGCCTCCCAAAGTATTGGGATTATAGGTCTGAGCTCCTATGTCCAGCCTATGTGCAATCTTTTAATCTTTAAATGTTGGCACTGAGTTGACACTAAAATAATAATTAAACACCATGCAGGTTCCAAAAAAAGAAAAATCACATTTGTGCACCACATGCTCACCTAGGCATAGGTTAGCAGCCTTGGCCAGAGAGTCTGCCCACTGTGGTGCTGGGACCTTCGCACACTGATGCCTCCCCCTCCACCCCGAACAGGAGCCTACAGAGATGGTTCATATCATGCCTCTCTTTGTGAACATGGGCACACAAGTGTGAGCATATACAAATTTGCTTCTGGAATTTTTGTTGAAGAGCTTAGTCGTCCCTCATAGAATGCATTATTTTGTCTTCAGTGGCTTTACTTCCAGGCTTATCAGGGAAGAAGTGGTTTGAAACATCAGAGCCCTAAACAAACAAACAAAGTAAAACAGAACTCAGAATTCAGGCTACCAGTCTGGCTGATGCATCTCTACACCTTCAAACAAAGATTTACCACTTTATTCAAGTTTTAGTTATCCATAAATTTGTGAAAGTAAAGTGGTGGCATTTTAAAACTCTCTAAAAAGGAACAAAATGCTCTTTTTCAGAGCTTCAAATGGGCACACGACAGAAAGAACTTCTGGACATCGACAGTTCCTCCGTGATTCTTGAAGATGGAATCACCAAGCTAAACACCATTGGCCACTATGAGGTAAGAGCAAGACTTGACCCCGTGTCTCCTTCCTCATCCCCAATCCTAGTCCCATGGACATTCTTTTAAAACATCCAGGACTCCCACCCATTTCCTGGAATGACTTGCAGATCGATCGTGTCTGGGGCTGAAGTTTTCTTTCGTTGCTTGTGCAGACAAGCCCATGAAGGGCTCTCACAGTGTACTTGTCACGTATTCCCTTCTCAGAAGGCTATGATTTTCTATCTCCTGAACTCTCTCCACCCTGAGGTTCAGCAGAAAAGAACCCAGGAAAAAAGTCTAGGAAAGCCAGAGAAGAGTTATCCTTTAGCCTTCACTGGGTGACAAGCGTGCTGATGCTAAACAAAGCCCGGGAAGTCCCAAGCCTCGCCTCCCTCCACAACATTCACAGTAGACCTTGTAACCTTTTGTGTAGGTCCTTGCTTCCTGAAGAAGTTCTAAATTTCCTGTTTGTTTGCAATATTGAGCGATACTTCCTTTGGCCTCTTAACCCACATACTGGGTGAGTGCCGAGGGCGGTGAGGGGTGCACGTGACTTCTCAGAGATCTGAGTGCCAGAGAAACCTGCACATAACAAGACAGAGGAGGCAGTGAAGGTTCCTGAACACACTGGGATACTGGGGTTCACTTGTTTAGCAGTATTATCTGAATCTTTGTTGAATATCCACTCTGATAAGAGCTGGGGCTGCATGGGAGAGGAGCAAAGACCAGGTCCCTGCCCTCACAGAGCCTGCAGCCCTGGGGAAGGAGTGCAAAAAAGGACGGAGAGACAAGTAGAGTCAACACCTTGCGTGTAGTAGTGCTGTGTGGCTTGGAGAATCCAAGAGGCTTCCTGGAGGAGGTTATGACTGAACTGAGAGCTAAACAATGAGAATTTAGCCAGACTGGGCTAGGGTGCAGGCACATCCAGCAGGGAAGGGAGAGCATGCGTGTTAGACTAGTCAAAACTTGAGAGGGGCAATGGAGAGGGGGAAGGAGGGCAGTGACAGCTGATTATAGTCAGTGCTTATGAAGTACTTACACCACACCAGGTACTATTTCCAGCATGTCCCTGTAATGTAACTGCCCAACAGGTTCACCTTCCCCATTGCCTAGACAGAGCTGATTTATCAAGACAGGAATTGAGATAAAGTAATTTGGCTGTACGGGAGACGGGAGTTTTATTATTACTCAAATCAGTCTCCCTGAGCGTTCAGGGATGAGAGTTTTTAAGGACAACTTGGTGGGTTGGGGGAAGCCAGTGAGCCAGGAGTGCTGATTGGTCAGGTCAGAGATGAAATCATAGGAAGTCAAAGCTGTCTTCTTGCACTGAGTCAGTTCCTGGGGTGGGGGCCACAAGATCAGATGAGCCAGTTTATTAATCTGGGTGGTACCAGCTGATCCATCAAGAGCAGGGTCTGGGCCAGGCGTGGTGGCTCACGCCTGTAATCCCAGCACTTCGGGAGGCTGAGGTGGGTGGATCACCTGAGGTCAGGAGTCCAACACCAGCCTGGCCAACACGGTAAAACGCTGTCTCTAAAAATACAAAAAAATTAGCCGGGCATGGTGGTGCACATCTGTAATCCCAGCTACTTGGGAGGCTGAGGCAGGAGAATTGCTTGAACCCGGGAGGCGGAGGTTGCAGTGAGCTGAGATGGTGCCATGGCACTCCAGCCTGTGCGACAGAGCAAGACTCCATGTCAGGGGAAAAAAAAAAAAAAAAAAAAAGCAGGGTTTGCAAAATATCTCAAGCACTGGTCTTAGGTTTTACAATAGTGATTTTATCCCCAGGAGCAATTTGGGGAGAGTCAGAATCTTGTAGCCTCCAGCTGCATGATTCCTAAACCACAATCCCAATCTTGTGGCTAATTTGTTAGTCCTATGAAGGCAATCTAGTCCCCAGGCAAGAAGGTGGTTTTGGGAAAGGGCTGTTGTTGTCTTTGTTTTAAACTGTAAGTTCCTCCCAAAGTTAGTTCAGTCTACATCCAGAAATGAGCAAGAGCAGCTTGGAGGTTAGAAGCAAGATGGAGTTGGTTAGGTCAGATCTCTTCACTGTCTTCTAACACATCTGCTTCACCGTCTTATAACAGTGAAAGGCATCTGAAAGGTTTGTTTCAGATGTTTTTCACTGTTCACCTTTCAGATGTCTTTCACTGTTATAGTTTTGCAATGGCGATTTCAGTATTTCGCCCCATTCTATCCTATAGCAGTCCTACGAGATAGGTACTATTATTAACCCCACTTTATAGATGGGTACGATGAGGCTCTGGGAGGTCTGGTAACAGCTAGTCAGTGGCAGGGCCAGATTCGGACCTGGATAGTTGGCTGTAGGGTCTGTGGCTGAACCAGTCCATGCTGTGGCCTCTTACAAGATGTAGGGGTAGGGAGGCAAGCAGGGAAGATGCAGATCACACAGATGGGGGCAGCCTCTTCAGGAGTTCTGAGTCTTATCCCAAGAACAGTGGGAAGCCATGGGAGGTCCTGAAGCAGGGAGGTTAGTATTTCAGAAAATGAGTGGGGCTGTGTGTGAGATGTAGATAGAAGGGGTGCAAACCTGGAAATAGCCCCATTAGAAGCTGTGGATTTCTGGTGAGGATTGGTGCTGTCCAGCAATAATGCAGTGGCTCTGGACAGACACAGAGACACACAAATGGAATCAGATGCTCAGGAGGAGGACACCACAAGTCACGTGGATGGGAGGGATAGTAAGATGAGGGTGGGGTCAAAGATATCAGTTGGGGATGACTGTGCAGATGCCTGGAGGCAGGTGCTTTCCTAGAGAAGACAGGAGGAGGAGCAGCTTCCCAGCACACCGGGAGGGTAGGGACCCCCTGTTTTTCATGGCTGTACAGTCCCAGGGTGACAGGTCTGCACCAGGAAGGACCTAGGACTCTGCCAGATTCTCCCCTTGCCCAGGAAGAAGTGAGACTGTTCCCGAGCAGAGCTTCTTAGACAATGGCCAGGGACAGAGAACACCCATCCTTGGGCTTTTTGGCTGAGTGGGTCACCCAGTTTGAAAGTGGTTGCGTTGGGTGATGACTGAGGTGCTGCCCCTGTGGCATTGCTGTAGGGAGTCTAGCAGAGAAAGCTGCAGGCTAGCAACTTGCCCCGTGCTCACTCTCCTATAGCTCAGACTTGCCAACCCTGGAATCATCTTGCCAAGAGCAGTCGTTCTTAGCTTTTGGAGTTTGTAAAAATCCCCAGGGAGTTTTCTAAAAGTGTGCATTCTTGGGCTCAGGAATAAGGGGCATCTTTGGCTGTATTTGGAAAAACACGGCCCCAGAGGGAAGGTAATGGCCAGGAGGAGATCGGAGTCAGAGATGCTGCCCTGCTGGGTGGAAGTGCTTATCATGGCATCAGTTCAGGGTTCTAGACCTGCAAGCCAGCACCTCTCCCTGTGTCTGGGTGGCAGGCTTGTCTTGATGAGTTAGGAGGGGACACAGACTCCAAGGCCCTCCTCTGGTGCTGTTGACTGGAGTTCTTGTCTTGCTCAGCTGTGCCTCCCCTGCCAGGCTTCTCAGCATCCCTTGGCCACTGTGGGGCATGGGGTGGGCCGCAGAGGCAGGGGATGGGGCTACCCACTGCCATTAATAGGAGGAGGCAGGGCAAGTCTCTCCAGCAGGGAGAATGAAGAACCACCACAGCTGTCTGCAAGGCAAGGTGAAGGCCTGTCGGGAGAGATAGAACATCAGTCTTCACTGCAGACATCGGCCGTGCTAGACACCTATCTGCTTAAGGATGATAATGAAATTAATCCGGCCTGTAGTCACTTCCCGTCCAAATGATTTATTGGCCTCATACCCCAGTGTTGCTGCATGGTGGTAATAAATGACAAGCCTAGGACATGAAGGCTTAAAGGATTCTCCTTATGTTTAAAAAGCTAAGCCATAAGGCAAATAAACCAGAGAGCCTGAAGGAAACGGGAGGTCATTGGGCTCCATGTTCTCTATGCCTGGACCATCTCAAAAGCCCTGTTTTTTAAAGGCTGCTTGGAGAAAATCATCCCCCACCACCCTCAGCCACCTACATCTATATTTGATTAAGCAGCGCCTCCGCAGACTCAACATTTGGGAGTAATTTGACAGGGCTGGGCTGAAGTTTGCTTTTACCCTTTTGTTAAAGAAAAAATTTTCTCTTGAGCACTAGCATTTCCCTCCAAAGAGACAAGATGCTAATTATCACTCTTATTCATTTACTAAAGCACCCTAGTTTGAGTCACTGTATGTGCTTAAAAGCAAAAAAAAAAAAAAAAAAAAAAAAAATTCATTTAAAAATAGGGTCTAATTCAGAGTTTTAAGTGAATCAGACTCACCTCCCTCCAATTAGTCCACATTAGTTAGGTTTTAAAGTTAATCTGTAGTGACGGCCAGTTCCTCCTACTATCTAAACAAAGTCCCTGCTGTTGGAGAGCCAGCCTGTTTCTTCTTTCCTTGTCTGTCCTTAGGGCAAACAGAGTGTAGCTGGTCTCGTCTGAATGATTTACTCTCAGCACATTTGAAGAACAGGTTTCTAGAGGGGATTTGAGGGCATGACAAAAATATAGCATCTCATGGACTAGATGCAGCCCCCAGAGCCCCACATTGCTGGCAGGGCCCTGTCACCTACTGGCTGACACCCTTGGCAACCCCCAGCACCGGGGAATTGCTTTCCATGACAATAACCATGGCAGCCAGTGCCTGGCACTGCTCACATGCATTAGTTCAATTAATGTCCACAAAAACCCTGGGAGGCAGGTGCTTTCCTTACTCCCATTTTCCATCTGATGAACACAGAGGAGGGTGCATTTCTGTTCCAGTGTCATTCTGTCCTGTGCAGACAAAGGGTTAAGCGTGTCTTTACACATGAAGCCAGAGGAGTCTTTCTCCCCTATAATTAAACCCTCCCGGTGCGCTTCCTTAACTGGATGTCATTCTGTGTGCGTTGACTATGAAGGGGACTGTGCTTTGCTCTGGTGCCAACAGGGTCTGGGGCATGTGCACCTGCATGTTCAGGGAGTGGGGCACACTCGTCCCCTAGGACTGTGGCAGGGTGGTTTCTCTGGAGTCCAGCCTTCTTCCTCTCACTCGCACCCTGCTGTGACCTTTGGCTGGGCCGAGTTATTGCACCCGCACCCTGCTATGGAGTAGTGGCGAGTGTGCAGGACAGGTGTTGGGCAGGAAATTTTCTCTAAAGATTACACTTCGAGTTCTGAGCTGCAAGGTTTTGAGAGGCAGAAATGTTGTTTAACCGCTTTCATTAACAGATGTGTACTAATGCAGAAGTGGTCACTGCTAACAAATTTGTAATTCAAAAGATATTTAAAGCTCATAGGAATGCCCCAAAGGGTCTGTTAAGTAAGGTCAGCAATGCTTCTGGTCAAGTCCATCATCTGTGACACTAAAAGGGACTGGACAATCGCTAAAGGTCTGTTGCAGTGTGAATGTCTTTAGATATTCATTTAACAAACACGTATAATGCTTCTTGTGTACTGGGTACTGTTCTAGGGCTTTGACCAACAGCAGCTCTTTCCGTCTTCTTTACCGCTCCATGAGGTGAATACTATCAGCCCCATTCTGAGGCCCAGGGAGGCTAAGAAACTTGGCCAGAGTCACAGAGTTCCTTCACTGATGCCTCAAGGCTTGAAAGCAGGCGAAATAACCACTCTAGAGACTGTGGCTCTGCGCAGGGCCTGAGGGATACCTTCCCCCAGATCCAGGCTTTCAGCCCATGCTCCTAACCTCCGAGGCAGCCTGGCTAGAGAGCTGGGCCTGATTGAGGAGAAATCCTGGTAGTTACATTCTCTGATGTCAAATTCATAAAGGGTAACTTCTCTTAAAATCCCAGGGTGAATCTCGTGTCTGTGAGTTTATCAAAATGCTTCCCTACTTCTACTTTAACCCTCTTTTTGGCCAGCAGTCCGTGAAGATGACAGTTACCTTCATCCAAAGGGGGCCTCTCTCAGGCATCTGGGCTCTGACAACTCCAACCCAACAGGATCACTCTTGAGTCTTAAGTGTTCAGGTCTTCGCAGTTTCCCACACATTCTTGGTGGCCCAACTCCCTCAGGAGGAAGACAGTCTCAGGGCTATCACTAATAGGCCGCAGAAGGAGCTGGCTAGTGGCCTGGAGGTTAATTTCAAGTAAACAAGAGAGAAGCAGGAGCCCTGTGGCATTTTCTCTGGTTTCCAGCATCCTGTAAGCCCTCCCCTGGATGTCCAGAACCTTCTGTGTGATTTGACCAGCCTGTGGAGGATGTTCTGACGGCCCCTTCCAATGCACTGGTGAACCCCTGTGCTGAAGGACTCAGCAAGGTTATCCCTCAAGCCCTGAGAAACAAGATTTTGTTTTCATCAGTTTCCAGCCTTGGGGCATCAGTGAGAAGAGCTGAGGGAGAAGACGATACTGACGGAGGGAGAGCAATATTGGCACGTGGCTGCTGGGACAGCATGTGGAATAGAATTCTGTTTTCACGTAATATTGTTTCAGCAGAAAAGGTGATTTCAGGAATGAGAGATTTCAATCAGAGTTTCTGTGTAGTGATTTGATTCTCATGTTTTCAGATTTTTTTCTTTAAATTATCACAATATTCAGAACATATTCATAATTTTTCATAAAATTTATAGCTACAATGCCAGCATTTCTCTTAGGTGGAGCCATATGAAATTGTCAATAGGTGACCATTTTTACCTACAAAAGTGGTAGTTTCATAAGGTTAAACATAAGTTCAACCTTACATTTCTAGAAAATCTCTTTTCATGGAATTCTAAGCTGTGCCATAAACATGGTATCTTATAAAGAAATCTTACCTTCACTTGCAAGTGGTTTGGAGGATGTGTAGCTCCTGTTTATTTTGGAAATGACTTAAAGTTGTTGATATGGGTCTTTTTCTCCCTGAGTGATTACAACTTCTCATTCTAATGATGGGAAAGTCTACAGTCATCTCTGCCACTTCTAACGTGGGGTGGCCCCAATTCCCCTCCATTGATGATTGGAGGGGAATCGCTTGTTGTCACATCGAATCCTAGAACCCTGTGAGACTGGAAGGAATTTAATTTGAAATTGCCGTGCGTACCAGTTCTGCTCTGGGCTGGAGAAACAATCCTGCTGCAGATCCATCTAGTGACATTAATCTTTCTTTGACTTAATTTGGTTTTCATCCCTAAAGTAGGGGCCCAGAGGACGCTCCCTGCCTCACAGGACTAGGGGACGATTAATGAGTCACTCTTAGAAGAGCATTTGGAGCTCCTCAGATGGAACAAATGGCATCTTTTTAACACTCTGCATTCCAGGGCACTTTTCAAAAAGGCATTTCTGTCCTTACCTCAGCAGCAGCTGACTTGTGCTAAAAAGAAAACGGAAACCTTTCCCCCACAAACATCTGTAAATAAACTATTTTTCTGTCTTTATAATCGTGTTAAAGTGTCACATGGGGGAAATGTTCCAGCTCTAGAGCAGCTGTGAAAGTTAGAAATGCACTCACACATACGCGCTCACACACACACACAACTCATCCACTAATAAAATGTTTCTACACTTGCTCTTGGGAGATAATTTCAGAGTAAAATTTCCTTGGTACAAGCTGTGTCTATGCTATCTTAATGCCTGAGCACAGCACTAGCAGCGGGCTGTTGCCAGCTCTTGAGGAGACATTTGAACTTTTGGCAGCGTTCCTTATCAGAAGGCCCATCCGAGGTATTTGTGATTATAGAGTAAGGGTGCTCGCTTTTGGCAAAACAAAGCGTCTGACAGTAGTGAAGTACTGGCTCAACACTCAATGGGAGACATTTGGGATTCATTCTTTGACAATTACCCAGAATGAATCATCAGCTTCCTTTTATAAAAAGATATTTATTGGCTTAGAAACAGAGCATATCCAGCTCTTCGTGGGGAGGAATTTTGTAACTATGTTCAAAGCTTCTCATAAACTCGGTGTCTGAGTATTGCTAAGGGGGTGCCTGCACAGAGCATTTAGTTTAATTGCATCAAATATGGAGGAGAATTGAAAAATCAGCCAGCAAACAATGAATAGCTCAAGGGGAAAAGGAGAGGATGCTCGTTAATAGGAGCAGAGTCGAAGAGCTCAGTAAGAGTTAAGAATCCCTGCTGGAGTCACTTTGCAGAGGCCTGATGGCCCCAGCCGGCCCCTGCCCAGTGCTGCCCCCACCCCACCACCAAGATATCATGCACACCAGCAGTTGGAGGCCTCTGGCCTAAACTTAGCGGCTGGCTGGACAGCTGTGTTTGAGGACCTCTTGAGGGCTGGCTCTTGCTCTGTGTTCCTCCCTGTGGGTGTAACCTGAAGGAGATTAGGTTTTAATCCTTTGGTGCTTGCTAGGTGGGCTAGTACATTCTGATAACCAATGTGCAGCAGGCCAGAAGAGAAATTCTAGGTTTCCACTCTTTCCAAACTGGGAAGGCAAGGTCCAAATTAATATTAGAATTGAGAATAGCTTTGGAGCTTCAGAATGGAGGGAAAAGTCACTTAGCTGATAAGGTTCAGAAGTGACAGGGTCAGTCCTCCAGAAACAGTTCCAGAATGAAGGAGATTTGTGGATCTCTGACCTGCCTCCTTCTTGCCACCCGTTTGTCTTGTAATTTTGTGAATGAGCCCCTCCTCCCACAGAGCCAGGCCTGCCCCCAGCATCTTGGCATCTTTGTCCCCCTTTGCCCGAAGGGCACTTCCTTGCTTGGGGATTTGCGAGTGCCCATCAGGGTGTGGGGGAGGGGCACTGTAGGGCCACTTGACCCTGGTTTCCATGGTACCAAAAGGTCTTAGGTGAGAACGCTTGATTTTAACTCCAAAAGAGGCAATATATACAGAGGCCTGCCTTTGTCAAATGTATACATTTAAAATCTGTGGCAATTCTTATCAGTTCTATTGAAGCATAATTTTTGAGACAGGGTCTTGCTCTGTTGCCCAGGCTGGAGTGCAGTGGCACAATCGTGGCTCACTGCACCCTTGACCTCCCACGCTCAAGCCATCCTCCTGCCTCAGCTGGGACTACAGGCGTGTGCCACAATGCTCAGCGCTTTTTTGTTTGTTTGTTTGTTTTGAGGAGAGATGGGGATCTGAGTTCTCCGGGCTGGTCTTGAACTCCTAGGATCAAGCAATCCTACTGCCTTGGCTTCCCAAAGAGCTGGGATTACAGTCATGAACCACTGTGTCCAGCCAAAATATAATTCATATTACCATAAAGCTAATTCGTTTAAAGTATACAATACAGTGGTTTTAGGTATACTTATAGAATTGAGCAACCATTGCCACAATCTAATTTTAGAACATTTTCATCCCTCCCGAAGAAACCTTGAATTCATTAACAGTCACTCCTTATTTCCCCCAGCCCTGCTTTAGCCAACTAGTAATCTACGATCTGTCTATATAAATTTGCCCATTTTGGACATTTCGTATATTCTTTTTAGATTCGTGGGTACATGTGCAGGTTTGCTACAAGGGTATACTGCATGATGCTGAGGTGTGGGCTTCTATTGATCCCATCACCCAGTGAACGTAGTACCCAACAGGAACTTTTTCAGCCCTTGCCCCAGACCCATCCCCGCTTTTGGAGTCCCTCATGTCTACTGCTCCCATCTTTATAGACACTTCATATCAATAGGACCATACAATATGTGGTCTTTTGTGACTGGCTTCTTCGCGTGTTTTTGCAGTTCATCCATGCTGTAGCATGTATCGGTAATTCTTTCCTTTTATTGTATGGCAATTTTTGGTAGTATATTCATACTACATGAACTAACACATAGTAATAATGAACTACTTGTAGTTGCAACATGAATACATGTCACAGACCTTATACTGACCCTCAAAATCTAGACACAGTACATACTGTATGATTCTATTTATATGATACCCAAGAACAGGCAAAATTCATAAATGGTGATGGAAGACAGAAAAGTAATTACCTCTGGATGAAGATGGGGTGGTCATTGTCTCGGAAGGGACAATGGGAGCACTTTTCAGGACCTTGCAATATTTTATATCTTGATAAAGGTGGTGGTTATGCCAGTATATATTTAATGTGAATAGTCATTGAGCTGCACACTTAATATTAGCAAAAGTTAAGCATGTCCCACATTATGCTTACATTTCAAAGCTTTTATTAAAAAGTATATGCAAATTTTGTGATTTTACAAGCTTTTGAAAAAATGTCACAGGTTGAATATCCCTTATCCAAAATGCTTGGAACCACAAGTATTTCAGATTTTGGAATTTGCTTGGATTCTAGAATATTTGCATACACATAATGAAATATTTTAGTGACAGGACCCATGTTTAAACACAGAATTTATTTATGTTTCATATACACCTTGTACACAGAGCCTGAAGGTAATTTTATATAATTTGTGCACAAATCAAAGTTTTTATTGGGTTTTGACTGTCACTCATGCTATCATGAGTTCAGGTGCCGAATTTTCCACTTGTGGCACCACGTTAGCACCCACAACGTTTCAGATTTTGGAGCATTTTGAATTTTCGGATTAGGGATGCTCAACCTGTATATACCTACAGAAAAACAAATAAATTATAAGCGTACTGCTGGATGAATTATCATCAAGTGAGCATATCCTGAAACTACCACCCATGTCAAAAAATAGAAGCCCTCTCCTGGCCTTTCCTAATCACTACCGCTGCTCTCTTCTCCAAATATCTAACATGATAGTTTTGACTGTTTGGGCTTTTTCTTTTTTCAAGCTCTATGTAAATGGAATCAGTCAGTATACTTTCTTTTCTGTCGAGCTTCTTCTGCTCAACATTATGATTGTAAGATTTACCCATGTGGCGTGTAACAGTAGTTTGCTCATTTTCATTGTTTTATAAACTGTTGTATAAATATGCCCCAAATTATTCATTCTGATGATGGATGTTTGAGTTGTTTCCAGTATGGGACAATTACAAATCGCTCCCTATCAGGATTTATACTTATTTCTGTGGACTAAGGACCTACATGTGAAATGGCTCTGTCATAGGGTAGATACCAACTTTATATACCACAATTTCTGAAAACCCATTTCAGCATTTCTTAATAGAGTAGTGTCATAGTCAGTTCGGGCTGCTATAACAGAATACCATTGACTGGGTGGCTTAAACATTTGTTCCTTATAGTTCCAGAGACTGGAAGTTCACTGTCTGGGCAAAGTACTAGTAGCTCGGTGAGGACCCTCCTCCTGGTTTGCTGAGAGCCGTCTTCTTGTATCCTTGTGTAGTGGAAAGCAGAGGGGACCAGCAAGCTCTGCTGTCTCTTCCTTTTCCTCCTCTGTTTAGAGACAAGGTCTCACTCTGTCGCCCAGGCTGGAGTAGAGTGGCACAGTCAGGGCTCACTGCAGCCTTGGATGTCTGGGCTCAAGTGATCCTCTCACCTCAGCCTCCCAGGTAGCTGGGACTACAGGTGTGCACCAATGCGCCCAGATAATTAAAAAAATTTTTTTTATACAGAGGGATCTCCCTATGTTGCCCAGGCTGGTCTCAAAACTCCTGGACTCAAGGATCCTCCTCTTCTTCCTCCCAAAGTGCTGGGATCGCAGGAGTGAGGCACCACGCCCAGCCCTGGTGTCTCTTCTTATAAGGGCACTATTCCCATCATGAGGGCTCCAACCTCATGACTTAGTCACCTCCCAAAGGCCCTACCTCCTAATACCATCACACTGGGATTAGGATTTAAACATAGGAATCTGGAGGAGACACAAACATTCAGTCCATAGCAAGTAACAATTTTTTAACCTCAAAAAATGAAACTGGCCTAGGTCTTGCCTGACCTCTGCGAATTGGGGGGAATGTCCTAACACAGCTCAGTCTTCCCCTCTTCCAGGGCTTCCCACCTCCCATCTGTCCCACAGGGTCCTGGCCTCCACCTTCTGCGTACTACCCCACTGCCTCCCATGGCCTCATCAGCCTCCTCCACAGGACCATGAGCCCCTTGAGGACAGAGACACTGCCTTGCTTGTCATTTAGTCCCAGCCTCCAGCACAGTGCCCAGAACATAGTAATTCTTGATAAATATTTGATTTAATAAGTGACAGCATGTAAGATCCATCCAGCCATCTAATTCCTGGGTGAAGTTGAGAAATCCATTAAATTTTGAACACTCATATATCTTTTATCTTTGGTTTCAGATATCAAATGGATCCACTATAAAAGTCTTTAAGAAGATAGCAAATTTTACTTCAGGTAACCAATATAATATTGTTAACCTTTTGTTCTCACCCAGCTTCATAAAGTATTGCTTTTTGCCTCTCTCAGCTGTATTGTCACAAAGGTGAGATTGAGTTGTTGCTATGTAATTCTCTGAAAGTTGAGAAAAGTCATTTTGATCTCTTTGCAGTCCTAAGAATGTGATCCCTGCAAGAAGGAAAGGAAACTATAGATGGTGGTTGGCCTGGACTGCCCAGCACTGAGGAAGTGGCTGCCTCTTTATAGCCCTAAACTCAGGGCAGAATCTCATAGCTTTTTTTCAACCCTTTAGAAGGATGGGGCCTAACAGAGGAGATCCCCCTGGCAAACTGAGAGGGAAGAGTACAGACAATCATCACAGAGCCCCGAAGCAAGCGCTGAACAAACAAGATAATCCACTTAGAAGGTCCAAGTCTCCTGTGATAGCACTTGCAAAATTCCCAGAAATTGGAGAGAGACAAACTAAAGGGGGAACTTTTATGGGAAAGTCAATAGGCTGGTCTCTAAAGTGATCTTCTGCTTCCCTGATAGCCCTGGGGCAGGAAATTCCTGTTCCAGGTTTGTCTCCAGAGAAATTATACCCCAGTCAAGACAATCAGCTCTCAGCCCTTGGAAAGGTTCTGAGCTCCTCCCAAACAGGCTCCTTTCACACACACAGCCAGAGGTAGGGCTTCCTGACTTCTGGATTCACTATTAGAAGGAGCAGGGAGCATCTGGCCAGTGCAAACAGGGAATGTGGGGTTCTTGATTATACAGACAGGATAATTGGGTAGGACTCCTTTGGGGAAACCCACCTTCCATCACTATATGGGGCTGTGGTGAAGCCATCTTGCAGAGATCATTCCAGCTTAAGGGGGATGGTGTCTTTGTGTTGAAAAGTGGAAGAGCATGGTTTTTAGGTTTCAAAGATTGGGCCTTTTGAAGAGCCTATTATTTGGGGATTGAATAGTAGAATCTTAGGTTTGGATCTCTTCGTGGGCCCTCCAGTCAGTCAACACTGCTGCTAGTTTCCATTCACTGCAACTGAGAGCCACCGTCTTACACCCTGCTAATACTCTAAACCTCCTGTACCTCTGTCCTATCATCAGCCCCTCTGTCAAAATCCCAACGCTGGATGAACCCAACGATTATCCTTTCCTGACCCTACAGCTAGGGAGCCACAGAAGAAAGGCACATAATGGCACACAGTGGGTCACTATAAGTTCATGGTACCCAACTTGACCAGGGCCCTCCACACAGCCTGCTCTCATTGGGTTCCTCTGGGCAATTCAACTCTGTGTTGTCCATAATGTCTGCCTTCTCTCCTCAAAGCTTTGACCCACACAGCTCTCCTCTCAGCAGATGACTTCACCCTGCACTCTTTACAGAGAAAACTAATCAGAAGTCCTTCAACAGCCAGTAGCAAACCTACCAACCTACCTGCACCTGCCTTCTTCCTTGATGCTTGTAGGCTGACCTTCTTCCATTCAAGGCCAGTCTCTCACCTGTGCTTTGGGTCCACCATCCTTTCCAACCTTCTTGGTATCCTTACACCACCAGTAATCTCTTTTCTCACCTGTACTTTCTTTTCCTCTCCATCTACTCCCCATTTTCCATTAGCATTTCAAGATGTGCTCGTCTCTCTCATCTTTATTTTTAAGACAGTGTCTCGCTGTCACCCAGGCTGTAGTGCAGTGGTACAATCATGGCTCACTGAAGCCTCAACCTGCTGGGCTCAAATGATCCTCCCACCTCAGCCTCCCAAGTAGCTGGGATTACAGGAGTGTGCTACCATGCTCAGATACTCTTTAAAATTTTTTGTAGAAATGAGGTCTCGCTACATTGTCCAGGCTGGTCTTGAAATCTGGACTCAGGCAGTCCTCCTGCCTTGGCTTCCCAAAGTGCTGGGATTACAGATGTGAGCCACTGAGCCTCTCTCAACTTTAAAACAAACAAACCAAATGCCTTACTTCCTCTCTTCCCTCCATTTACCACTCCCTTACCCTTTACAGCCACATTTCCTCACTCTGCGCTACTCTTGACTTGCTCTGTGAGCACCACCTCATTGTCCTTTGAGATCCTAGAAAGGGTCAGCTCCTTCCTACCTTTGGACCTTCCTGCAATTTGCCTAGCTGACTCTATCTCTTCATTAGATTCAGCTCAAGCATCCCTTCCTCAAAAACTCCTGGACTAGATTTGGTCTCTTGTTAATTCTTTAGCATATAATTCTCCTTCATAACCTTTATCACAGTTATAATAATTGTGTACCTAGAAGTTTGATGTCTCTCATTGGCCAGAATGCAAATTCCATCAGGGTGGGAACTGGGTCTTATTCATTGCTATATGCCCAGTAGTCCCTGGCACATAGGAGGTGTTCTAGGTACATTTGTTAAATGAATGAGGCTTGAGCCTCTCCTACCAGCAAGAGATCAGAGATCACTAGGGAATCTACTTCCTCCTCCAATCCCTCACCCGTCCCATCTTCACGCTGTTCTTAAGATCTTAAGATGCAGCAGGGGGAAAAATGTAGCTATGGAGAGCTCAAGTCAAAAAGCTCAAGTAACTTCAGTATACAGCACAAATGGGGCCTTTTAAGAGAAGGCCGATTAGCCCATGGTTGCTTTTTTTAATGGACTGCTTTCTCTCCCTCTTTCTCTGGCATTCAGATGTGGAGTACTCGGATGACCACTGCCATTTGGTGAGTTCAGGCTTTCTTGTGCTCACCACTGAACTGCATGCCTTCTGTAGCAAGAGTGGTCTCCTTGGGTAACGCTTCTGCTGTCTTCCCTTCAGATTTTACCAGATTCGGAAGCATTCCAAGATGTGCAAGGAAAGAGACATCGAGGGAAGCACAAGTTCAAAGTAAAAGAAATGTATCTGACAAAGCTGCTGTCGACCAAGGTACACTTACTGTTCTGGGAGCACTTTATGGCTACCTAGGGGGTGTATGATATGTTTGACTTAATTTCCACTGAAGTGTGAAAATGTTACAAATCCCTTGTGCCTTCTAGCAAAGCAAAATGAAAGTTTAAATTGTAAACACTTCCTACCCAGTTCCTCTTCTTTTTATACACTACAAAGATAACAGCACTTTACAGATTTGTACTGTAGTATCTTCAGTCAGGGATTTAATATTGTTCCCAGTCTCTTTCTCCACCATTTCACTATTATTGTTATTTTTTAGGTTGACAGCATAATTATTCCTTTTGGTTTACTTGTTATTATAGATGAGCAATAAAACTCCCTTTTTGAATTGCGAATAAAATGAAGGGGATGGGAAGGGTCAATGACTATAAACCTAGTAAATCTTAATTTTTGTTTTTCATTTTAAAATTAAGAATTCTGCTCACACATAAAAGTGTCAGATGTGAAAGCCGGTGGAATACCAAACCGAGAGCAAATTTTACTTTATCTGGCTTTTAGTGGAATTAACAGAAGTCTGTGGTGATCTTTTTTTTCCTCCCCCTCTGGAATGATGAGCACTATAAATGCTATGATCTACACTTGGCCCCAGGAACTTGATGGGCATGCTTCTTCAGATTATAACAAAGAATCTGCTTAGAGCTTAGGAGATTTGTTTAGTGGGCAGAGGACAGCCCAAGCCTCTTGATTTTCTCAGCTGTCCCATAGAGCCCAGCCTATTTGGCTTTTGTGAAATACTCAAATGCTTTGGAAAGTACACAATAAAACTTTATGATAGAAATATATGCAACAGGAAAAATTCTGGGAACAGAGCAGCATCACTTGAGCTTTTCCAGGCTGAACATAACTAATAAAAGCCAAATATCCATGGCTTCCTGGTTTATGTAAACAGCCCTACAACTGACATTTCAACTGCTAGAGATTTCTGATATCCTCCCAGTTGACTAAACAATGTTATCAGCAAGAAGCTTATGAACCAAATCTAAACCTGGGCATGGATTTTCAAGACTTTTGACCTATACTGTGAGCACTGGCCACATTTGACAATTTTACATTTTTCTCTTCAGTTTGTTTTTCCCTGTTTTGAACATTATTTTCTCTGAATGTGGATTTGCTTTTGCTATTATGTTTTCAAAACCACTACCACAGTTTTTAATCTCCCAAATCTGATGTTGTCTATCTTTCAGGTGGCAATTCATTCTGTGCTTGAAAAACTTTTTAGAAGCATTTGGAGTTTACCCAACAGCAGAGCTCCATTTGCTATAAAATACTTTTTTGACTTTTTGGACGCCCAGGCTGAAAACAAAAAAATCACAGATCCTGACGTCGTACATATTTGGAAAACAAACAGGTGGGAATGTAGGTGATTAGTGACTGTTTTCAAGAATCTGGGACAGAATATTAACTAAAAGAAAGACATAGATAGTTATAGAAGGATTCATTTATCTCTATATCAGAATCTTTGGGCTTGGTAAGCTATCATGTCAAAGTAGTTTCTTATTCTGTTACTATTTTTAAACAATAAAGGAAACCATTCCTATGCCAAGAATCCTGTTCTTGAAGATAAACTGTTATCTTTGGTGCATGATACTTTGTCTAGAATGTTAAAAGAAATTTAAGTTGACCAGTAAAGAATGAGAAATTAACATTTGTGGTTTTATATCATTTTTGCATTAGAGAAAATTTTATGATAAACCATTTTTTGTTCCTAATCGGTTACTTTGCAGTCTCCAAGCTGTCTATACTCTGATTCTGTACAGAAATTTATCAAGTGCAGTACTCAGATACTATGAGAATTAGCCAAAAGTTTGTGTTTTGTTTTATATTTTAATATTTTACCTTAAGGACAGGCAAGGCATCCAAATTTTGCCTCCTCAGTAAAGAAATGTAGCTCATGAGCTCTCTTTGAAATGCTGTGTGCATGGGCTGGATAAGACTCAGAGTTATGATGAAGTAGAACTTCTCAGTGCAAGCTCAAGGCTTTCCAGGCACTGAGGGCAGCCAGGTCACTTTAAATGAGTATCAAAAGCTGAAGTTCCTCTAGGTCTAATCTCCCATTTAATCCAGGCCTATCCCAATTCTCTACGCTGGCTTGCTCCCTTCTCTTCCTGTGTTCTAGCCTCTTTTTTTTTGAGACAGGGTCTCACTCTTGTTGCCCAGGCTGCAGTGCAGTGGTGGGATCTCGGTTCACTGCAACCTCTGCCTACTGGGCTCAAGCAATTCTCCCACCTCAGCTTCCCAAGTAGCTGGAATTACACGAGCATGCCACCGCACTCAGCTAACTTTTAAAACTTTTTGTGAGATGAGGTCTCACTACACTGCCCAGGCTGGTCTCAAACTCCTGGACTCAAGCCATCCTCCTGCTTCAGCCTACCAAAGTAGTGAGATTACAGGTGTGAGCCACTGCCCCTGGCCTGTTCTAGCCTCTTATCTCCAGTCCCTGCCACTCCCACATCAAGACTGGGAGCTGAGGGCCACCATTCCACCTTGAAGATTATGGCATCTGAGCAGGGGCAGCAGCCAGGACAGTAGAGCTGTTGGGAGACCTAGCAGCATATGGGGGAGGTAATGAGCTAGGCCAGAGTTGAAAAGGAGATAATGGAAGGACTTTGAACCAGTCCCAAGTTCATGTTCGGGTATTTGAGTACCTACTATGGGCCAAGCAGTTAGTTGCTGGAGATATAGTAACAAAACAGATGAAAGTCCAGGTCCCATTCTAATAGTTGGGGACAGACACTAAATGCAATATGCAAACAGTAGCACATTAGCAGATGATGAGTGCAGTGGAGAAAGTAGGAAAGGAGGCTAGTATGTGTCAGGACTAGGTGATCTGAGAAGGCCTCACAGAGATGGTGACACTTGAACCAAGTCTTGAAAGAGGAGAGGGCATAAACCATGAGACTACCTGAGGCAAGAAAGTTTCAGGCAGACAGACGCCAAGAGCACAAGTTGTGAGGCACGTGCTTGCTTGGCCCATATGAAAAATAGCAAGGAGAACAGGAGAGTTGGAATGAGCGCGGTGAGGAGCAGTGGGATAGGAGGGCCAGGTCATGCAGGGTGTTATCCAGAGGGAGATGGAGAGCCTCAGAGGGTTGGAGCAGAGGAGAGACATGGTCTGATTCTGTGTTGAGAGGACTGCTGATAGTTATGTGAGAACAAACTGTCAGGAGATGGGAAATAATCCAGGTGAGAGAGATTATAATCAAGAGCTATCTGGAGAAAATTCTTGCCCATGGCCACTTTCAAACTTACCCTCCTCTATCCTTCTTTTACAGTAGCTCTGCCAGTTAACCCTTTCTTCTTCTCTCCAAGTGACGCTTCTGTCTGTTGCTTGGTATGTTTGGCTAAGCAGAGTTGTATACTTCAATAACAAGGACAAAAACACCCGTTTACAAACTGTGATAAACAGACCATTGGCTTCATGAATGGCCCTATTTGAAAAGAGATTATTCTCTCTTTGAACAGCCTTCCTCTTCGCTTCTGGGTAAACATCCTGAAGAACCCTCAGTTTGTCTTTGACATTAAGAAGACACCACATATAGACGGCTGTTTGTCAGTGATTGCCCAGGCATTCATGGATGCATTTTCTCTCACAGAGCAGCAACTAGGGAAGGTAAGGCCCAGCTTGAGTATTTCTTGTATGCAGTCTTATGAGTTTGACATACTTGTCTTTCTGATAAGCATTCAAATAATAAACAATTGGTCTAAACTACACCAGCTAAAAAGAGATAGCAAGGGCCACTGTCAATTTGCTGTTATTTAAAATCTGTCTCATTATTTTTAATCTAATTTTTTTAAAGTGAAAAACAAAATAATTAGCCCCACCCAACTGCAGAATTCTGCCTGTGAAAAACTTTATCACAAAGTATGCGTTTTGTTTCCTAGAAAAATATTCTATGGACACTGATAAACTATTAACCCAAAATATGCAACCATTGAAATTTGCCTAAATCAATTCTATTTGAATATACATAAAATGCCTATTTGAATATAACACATTGCTTATGGGACACAAAATCTTGCTCAAGATTTCTAACAATACCAGTTTGTCAGTTTCTAATCAAAGCATGAGTACTGTTTTCCTATGGTTTTCTTTGCTGATCAATAGTCCCAAGAACTCAAAGAAAGACAAAAATCAGAGCAAACTTCGAAAGAGATGTTTTGGTCTTATTTGAGCGCTCCAAAATATACTAAACTGAGCAATATCTGTGCCTAATGGATCTTTGAACACTGAGGAGGAGTTCTTGGGCAGGACTTTAAGAGTACCTGGAATGAATGGAGACTGATGTTCCACAGGTGCCTCAGACTCCCAGTCATAATCTAAACTCTTTATCAGCAGTATTTCTGCAAAACAAACCTGTTTTTACTTTTGTCTTCCCTAGCATTGCCTAGTCTCTCAAGGTAGAATCCTCAACGTTATCTTTGACTCCTCTTCCTTCCAACCTCTATCCCCAAATTATTGGTTACCACTTACTTCTGTCTCAAATGTCTGTCGCTCCCTCCTCCTTCCTTAGCCTTATCACTTAGCCTTATCCCTTCATCCCGTCCCTACTGGGATAACTGCTTCCTAATTGGTGTCCTTGCCCCTGCTGTCCACCTTTCCTTCTAAACTTTTCCTTTTCACTGTCTCTCAGGTAATCTTTCTAAAACATAAATCTGATGATGTCAGTCTGCTTCTTAAAAATTGCAACTATTTCCCATTACCTACCAGCTAAAGTCTTCACAGTGCCACATAGTGCTTCCTGATGGGCTTCAGCCCTCTTTGCTGGCCTCGTTATTTTCTTGCACGCCCCACATACCCACTGTGCTACAGCTTTTACTTTTCCCAAGTTCACACCATGAACTTGTTCTCACACCCCTTTGCTCATCTTTCCTGTCTCACAGTCCCTCTGTCTAGTAAAATCCTACCCATTCATTCATCATAAACATTTTATTCATTCGACAAATATGATTTCCTAATGAGGACCAGAAACTGTAGGAGACTCAGATCAGTCTACATATGCCTACTTTGTGAACTTTCCCCAATATATTTCCTACAGCACTTTCTTCATTTGACTAATAAAGTTCATCTTAGCATGCAGCACACTGAAAGGCACTTAAATGTTTGTTCACACTAAAAACAGTTGTTTATGAATTATGTTCTTGACACACTTCACTTAATCCTCACAAGTACCAAATAAGGTAGTTATTATTACCCTCATTTTATAGATGAGAAAATTGATGTTCTGGGAGGTTACAAGTCTTGCCTGAAACCACACAAAGTAGCAGAATTATGATTTCTGATTTGTCCAACTCTTTCTGTCAACTACTGCTGCTAATTATTTGTATCATAGTAAGCACTTCATAAATCTGTCTTTGCAACTAGATTGTAAGCTTCTCAAGGGCAGCCACTAGTCTTTATCATTGTACTCTCAATGCCTGCTCCAGTGCTTAATAATGTTTATTGAATGAATGAATGATAGCATGATTTCTGGGTTCCACTTAAATTTGACAAATGAGAAAATCTCAATAATATCTCAGTCTCTAGGCATCCTTCAGAATGATTCATCAAGCCATTGATTCAGCCTCATGGGCTGGGACATTAGCCCTATCATTAACTTACCTATCTTCCCTGAGTAGAATTTTTTAAAGTTTTGTGAAAAATAATGATTTTTAAAAATAAAATCATATTTAATTTTTAAATATCACTGTTATAATTACGTAGAATCATTCAAATTGCCAGAGAACCTCTGCAAAATCACACATCAGAGCCACCAATACTAATGACCATGTGCTTCCCTGAAGAAACTGGATGATGTCTATAATCTAATGAAATAAAAGGGACAAGCTGGAAAATCTGCCTCTGCCAATTACTTACCAGTTTCATGGTTATATAAAGGGCTCAATCAGACCTACAATCAAGTCTTTTGTAAATGCCAAATTCACTGGTGGGTGAGGATGAGAGCAAATGTTTTAATTCAGGCTTTTTACAACCATTAGTAATGAACTATGATTGAAATAAGTTCCATTGTTACAGTAACTCAAAATCATGCAAAAATAATAATTTTAGTTCTTTTATGAGAGGAAGGCAGAATATATTAGCATTTAATCTGCCTGAAAATAACAGTGACTCACCAGAACTATCTAGATAGCAGTCAGTCATTCAGTCAACAACATTTAAGGCCTACTGCATGAAGCCTTGTTAGCAAGAGGTAAAACTGGTTGGTGGTGGGGGTTCAGCTACATTGGAATATTATAAATTCCTCCATCTTTTTTTTTTTTTTTTTTTACTCTTTTGGTGATGGTTGCTTTTTTTTTTTTTTTTTCCCCAGGAAGCACCAACTAATAAGCTTCTCTATGCCAAGGATATCCCAACCTACAAAGAAGAAGTAAAATCTTATTACAAAGCAATCAGGGATTTGCCTCCATTGTCATCCTCAGAAATGGAAGAATTTTTAACTCAGGAATCTAAGGTATCATTAGAAAGCAGAAATAAGCTTATATTTGGTTACTTTACGTCATTTCAGAATCTCTCAACAAGTCTTTCTTTTAGAAACATGAAAATGAATTTAATGAAGAAGTGGCCTTGACAGAAATTTACAAATACATCGTAAAATATTTTGATGAGGTAAGATTTTAAATAACATTGTTTTTAACCTTTGAATCAGGCACAAGGATGTGGTTATAGCATTCTGTCAGTTTCAGAACAGCTCTGGCATCCCAAAAGGCCAGAAAGGGAAGCCAGGAAGCCTGTCTGAGATGGGGGATCCTGGCACTGAGCCAGACCCTGTACATGGCTGCCCCCCTTACAGTTTTATCATGCTGCCCACATTTGGACCAGCCTGAATTTACATTTGAGTTCATGGGGCCTACAGCCACCCTGACTCAAGTTAACTTTGATGAGTAAGTAGTGGCCCTATTAAATGGGGTCAGCTTATGCTTGATTGTAATTTGCTAAAAATGAAAGCTAAGCTTGTTAAATTGCCTAGATTCTGTATTCAATCGTTATATGAAATTATGACATATTTCTAACTTAAGCGACTATTTCAATAAACCATTCTCCTTTATGATTAATTCTCCTTAATCTGGGTTTTTTTCTTTGGAAATTCAAACAGACACATTCATCAGATGCTTTGTTTCCAAACAAATGTTAACTCCCCCTTCCCTGATTCCCCCCCAATCATGCTGGGACAGGCTATCCATGTCAATGGTGAGAATAGCTCACCAATTCCATTTGCTACTTGAAGATGAAGTGAAGCTCTAAGGTAGGGTAGAGGCAATGAGTTCTTAAACATGATAAGCATCCCTCGTTCCAGGGGTCAGGGGAGAGAAGGGAAGCACGAGGAGGGACTACACTGCCCAGATGGGAGGGAAGGGAAGGATCTGTCTCTGACCAGGATGTCCCTGCCTGCTGCATTTAAGGAGAAATACTTGCCTGCATGTTGGCTGCCCAGGAATGCTTGCTGTGCTTGGAATGGCTGTGACATAATGCATAAAGCAGGGCCTAGGAAGCCTGGCCCCATATTTGTAAGCAAATAGTTGGTATTTCTTGCGAGCTTCTATTTTAAGCCAAGGTATTGTTGATCCTGTGATAAGGACTTAGCAAAACAACTTGCAAAGTGAGTATGTAAATGATGGAAGAAAATGTTGGCATCTGTTTCATACAGATTTTACCACTCACAGCATCAGGTATGCAAAAAACAGAATTGTAACGCTAAAACCACAATATCTAAAATAACTGTTCTAATTGTCAACAGATTCTAAATAAACTAGAAAGAGAACGAGGGCTGGAAGAAGCTCAGAAACAACTCTTGCATGTAAAAGTCTTATTTGATGAAAAGAAGAAATGCAAGTGGATGTAAGCACTCTGGGGCCTGGCTTAATCTGGCAAAGTTCTTCAGACGACTTGGGAGCAAAATGGCTGCTTGAGCTACTCTGTGTCGTTAATTTGTTGTTTGCACATAGGTTCCACTTTGGGCACTGTCTTTTTAAGAGACCAAGGCACATGCACAGCTTTTAGAAAGCATACCAACCCTTGTGCCTGTGTGTATACCGTGGGAACCCTTCTGTAAATAGAGTTGAAGTGGTTGTTGCAAACAGCCTCCTTGTTTACAGAGAATACAAGGCCAGTAAGCGAATGTCAGTATTGTAACTACAGTCTCCACTTAAGCACAATGATATAAGTGGTTTTGTTTGAAAACTACAGCTATGTAGCACTTGTGCTACACTGCACCTCTGCATTGTAAAGGGATACTGCCAGTGCTCAAAACAAAATGTGAAATGAGTCATTTGGAAACAAGGTGGGGGTGTTAGGGCAACCTCGAGGATTTGCAGCATTGAAACTTTCCCCAGTAGTTCTTGGAAAAGCTGACCGCAGAATTTGGTAGTGTACACTTAGCATTTGTGAGTGTGTGTGTGTGTTTAAACCAAAAACTAACAGTGTTGCAACATTGTTGAAAGGGCTCGTGTTTTTCAGTGGTCATCAACTGCACTCCATCAAACTCACCTCCATTTCACCAAGGAGCTCTAAAGTAAGGAGAGTGGGCTTTATTTAAATGAACAGCATTTTAACCAGATACTTTGTCCTAATGTATGTTCCTTTTCTTCATCTGTTTTTTCATACTAAATGTATTTGATAGTGGACATGTTGGATATTATACAAAAAAATCATTAATTCATTTCTGTTCCAAAACCTTTGATCAGAACGATCTGTGGAAGAGTAACTCCATTTCTATATGAGTGAGTGTCTCCTTGCTTTAGATTTCTGGTGAACCCTGTGGTTATGAATACTTGTGTGTGATTTAAAAAAAAAAAGATACATTTTACATTTTATCGAATTGCTGTTCACACTGGAGTATTATATATAAATATATATATTTGAGGCCCAAGGCCTGAAAAATATTAGTATACAACTTGGTATCTTAGTCTTACTATGTACTTTTTGAAAGTATTCCTCGCAGGAGAAAGAATTTAAAATACCCATTTTATTCATGCCTTTCTTTTTAAAGAATTCTCTATCCAGTTATACTGTAGTCTTTTTAGTGCTGATTTTTTAATTCCTGAATTTTTGCTGCTCATGACCAGTTTTAATACCACTGTGTTTTCCTTCTATTAAACCAGAAGAAGTAAACAGCATAATTGGCAACTCTTGAGCTTTTCTTGTGGCAGGCACCTTTTACCCTTGGTGCTCCAAATCCCCCATCTAGGAAAGAAAATTTTTTCAAGTCAAATAACATTGATCACATATTCCTTGAAATCATTTACCAACACTGTATGGAGCATTAGGATTTAAATATGAATTTGTCTTAAAGGCAATTCCTTTTTGCTTCTGTATTATCTGGAAAAGCATGAGAGAGGTGACACCTCAACAAACTGATCAGAGAAAATAAGCAGTTACTACCCTGATAGGCACCTTCCCAATCCTGTTGCTTTTGACCATTGTCTGTCCAACGGACACACCTCAAACAAACAAAACTACCAAATAGATGACAGATCAGAATAAAGGTGAGAGGTCTGGTCCCCATTGAAGGCTGCTACAGTCTTCAAAGAGGTGAAGGAGTTCATAAGAGAACAACAGTAGGAAAGTTGAGAGCCAAGGGTAGGAGAGTTGCCCAAAAGACTTCCCCTACTACTTTAGGGTACTGAAAACTCAAAGGATCAGCTACAGCTTTATCTAAGTATTTACTAAATGCTACATGAGGGTGTCCCTGTCCAGCTTTCTGGCACATGAGTCCTGTGTGGAGAGTTACCTCCTCTTCCAGGGACTGTGCTGTTGGGAACTTTGGGCAAGTCACTTACCTCTTTGTGCCTCAATTTCTGTATAATATTTCTAAGCTACCTCACTGAGGTGGTATGAAGATTCACTAATGTATGTAGCGTGTTTGTCAATCCTCCAGTGAAAAGCACTATCTAGATCACATTTTGGATCACATTAGCCAAATGCAGTAAATGGCCAAATTAGATGTGTGCTGAAGACAATCAGTCACTGGGTCTATATTAAACAGCAACCAGAGCAACAAATGGCAAACAATTTCTATTTTCAAGTTTCTTTGCATATTTTTTTGGTGCAAAACCATTTATAAACTTTTTTTTCTAACACTAGTGTCTACAGCAGCATTCAAAAAAATTCTGTTACCTTTTCTGTATTAGGATTTAAAGTCTATTTCTTATTGTATACCTGATTGAAGCTGTTCTTGGAGATGAATGTTTTAAATGTCTATATCCAAAAAATAAACATTTTGATGTAACTGTGGACTGTCTTTTTTTTTTTTCAATTTTCTAGTTATAATAGTTTTTTTATTCTAAGTGGCTCCGTGGAAATTATTTTTCAGAGATAAGGTGTCACTGTATATGCTGTGAATAAGCAGCTATATTATGTAGTAAGTAAACCTAGTTTGCTAAATGGTGCTAAGGACTGCTCAATTACAGTCCTGGCCTTCTTCACTATCAACTGGGACTTTTGACTATGAACACCTTGGGATAATGAACATTCCACTTAATTTGGGAGACTTGAGCTTTAGCCTCGTTAACATGAAATTATTCCAGCAGAATTCCTCTAAAAGATGTCACATTAAAAAGGCTTCCAATGGGTGTAGACCAAAAAAAATGAGAGCATACTTAGGGACACAAAACACATAATTATTTGGTTAGATCCACAGTAATGGGAAGTAAAGTTAAATACCAACAATGTTTATAAAAGGACCTGAGTTCAAGTTTTATAATCAATGGCCCCCTTGTTAATACAGCCATAGGATTTAATTATTTGCACTTATTCTCTATTCTAACAAAGCCAAAATCAGTAGACTGTCATATTGCTAAATATATGCTATATGGTTGATGTAAAATTAAACACACGATTAAAAAAAAATTAAGCTCTTTAATTATGTGCACACAGATTTTAGAAAAGGTAGCCTTTTGTATATAGATACCTTTACATTCTTTAGGCTGACTTTTAAATTGTCATCTTTTTTCAACTACAGTTTTTGTATATAGTAAACCAGAAGATGTGTATGGACCCTGTTATGGCCAAGCATCTCAAAGATGAAGAGAGAATTAATGATAGTTATATTTCACTCAAAATGCCAAAAAAAAAAATTCAACAAAGTAAAAATTTTAAAACTTGACTCTAACTAGTTCCTTTTTGTTTTACATTCTCAAACCATTGTCAAATATTCTAAATATCTCTGAGAATTTCTCTTTTAATGCTTCACTTGTATAATCTTAAAATCCTGACAGTCATACAATACAGCATGTAGTAGGTACCTTTTCTTGAGGCACATTCAAGTGTTTTGGCAAACAGTAAAAAGTATCTAAATGCCACAGGTTAAAATGTCAAGTTTTACTGAGTCACCAACTTCACCTCTTTTGATCTGCCTGTTCTCCAAGAACATCATTCTCCGGAAGATCCAAGTTCCTCTAGTTGTTTTCTTTGTGTTGTTTCCAGTTCTTCTAGTCTTTTGCGAAGTAGAGAGAGTTCCCTTTGATGTTGTTCCTCCTTAAAATGATGTAGAGAAAGCATAGCAAAAGAAACTATTAGAAAAACTGTTAGGTAGCAACCTTGGACTGCCTCTTTTATATATGCCTATAACATCTGGCAAGGAAATGCTGACCACTGTAGCAGTCTAAAAACAGTAGCATGGGCTAAACTACCATCTAGTTTTGCTTCTCTCCTGCCTCAGGCTCTAGCCTTAAGCAAAACCCGTAGTCTGTTCTTCTCTAGGTATAAAATTCACCAGGGAGTGAATTAGAAAATACTAATGCAGGGCCCAGGTATACTTACATGGTAACTTTCCAACAACACTGGTGTTTAACAGCAGTTTATTATAAACAAAGCACTTGGCCTGAGATTCAATTCAGTGATTAAAATCTTCTGTGCTTATGTTATAAAACATAATTACTTATTAATACTCCCATCTTCTGAAAAAGAATCAATCTGATTCCTTCAATACCTCAGGGGCTTGATACAATAGAAAGAGCCCGGGTTTTGGATTCAACAGGTTTAGGTTTGAAACTTTGTCACTTATTAGCTATGACCTTATGCAAGTCACTTCACTCTGAATCAGTTTCCTTATCTATGAATTAGGAATAGTAATATCTGCCCTCAAAGCATTTTTCGTTAGTATTAGACATTGCACGGAACATGCACAGTTCACTGCGTTAGTAAATTCTCAGTAGTAATTACTATTAACATTATGAATAAGCTACAAACTCTAGGTTACTCAATGACTCAATCAAGTTTCCTCTTTTCTATCGTCCAGTAAGAGATTTCACTCTCAGCACCAACACTAAAGGATCATGATTCAAACTGAATTCAGCAAATTTCTATGCTAAATGAAAGGGAAGAAGTTAAAAGTAGTTTTAAATGTTTATGCCATTTTTGTGGTGAATTTTGAGCACTGACCAAAGTTATAATTTGAGTTTTATCACCATATTTAAACATAAAAACCTACAAAAATGTACGACTTTTTTTTTCCCCCTAAAATAAATGCTCATACCTGCATATGAGGAGGAAATGGTAGTTCCATGCTTGGAACCATGGCTGATGACTGAAAGCTAACAGGATTGATAGATGCTGTTGGAGGCATGTTAGGAACCAAAATTAGACTTCGAAATTCATTATGTCTTCTCTGTATATCTTTTAGTCTTTTTTGAAGCCTTGTATAGTCTTCAAAAGGAACATTTTGTCTTAAAAAGAAAAAGAAATGTTTCTTTAACATGGTTATACCCTATTGAAGCACAGTATGATTCACAGAATATAATTTTAAACTGGAATTTCTAAATTATGAGATCTATATATAATATATAGATAAAAAATCTGTTTACCTAGAAAGATAAACAGAAACATGACATAACATCTTAATCATTAGCAATCATTAGCATTGCAGACTATCAACTCATTATAAAGTTTTATTTGCTAATTAAAGATCTAAAATCTTTTGATACTTTGGTACTCACTCCTACCCTCCTACTCACCCCCATTCATGAATCCTGAAACTAAAGGGAGACTCTAAACCAAAAGAGTGCCTTATCTTACAGAAAGAATCAAATAAAAATACAGTTCATCCCTCAGTATACACATGGGATTAGTTCCAGGACATCCCTCATATATCAAAGCCTGTGCATACAAGTCCTGCAGTCAGCCCTGCAGAACCCTCATAATGGAAAAGTTGGTTCTCTGAACTGGTGGGTTTCACATCCTGTGAATACTATATTTTCTATCCATGTTTGCCCGAATAAAAATCTGTATATAAGTAGACCCATGCAGTTCAAGCCCATGTTGTCAAGGGTCAAGTGTAAAGAAAATGCTGGATTGAAGCTTACAAAATTGCCATTTTTAAATAGGTGAAATATGGTCAAATATAGAGATTTTCATAGTTCAATCTAATTTTCAAAATGTCAGTGTAATATTTTAGTAAGAAATATATATTTGGTCTTTGCCCTTGGTTCCTGGCACACAGCTCCTAAAACTCTGGGAAACTCTGAAGTGATAAGAGTATCTTTTGTATATTAATAAGATAACTGGTGGCTGGGGGCCCCTGAATAGCTTCAGGATGGGGCAGGTCACCAGAAAGACTGAGGCATGATTAGAGGGTTGGAACTTTCAGCCCCACTCTCCAACCCCACCCCATGACATCTGGGAAGGTAAAGGACTAAAGGTTGAGTTGATCACCAATGGCCAATGATGTAATCAATCATGCCTATGTAATGAAGCCTCCATAAAAACCCAAAAGCATGGGGTCAGAGAGCTTCTGGGTTGCTGAACATGTGCAGGTGTCTGCAGGGAGGCATGCCCAGAGAGGGCATGGAAACTCCACACCCCCTTCCTCATAACTTTTCCTATGTATCTCTTTCATCTGACTGCTCATCTATATATTTTGTAATATCCTTTCTAGTAAGCTGGTTAACATAAGTTTCCCTGAGTTCTGTAAGCTGCTCTAGCAAATTAACTGAACATGATGAGCAGGTCATGGGAACCCCAATTTATGGCCATTTTTAGCCAGTCAGAAGCACGGGTTACAACTTGGGGCTTATGGCTGCATTCTGAAGTGGGGGGCAGTCTTGTGGGACTGAGCCCTCTACCTGTGGGATCTGATGCTAAATCCAGGTAGACAGGATCAGACCTGAATTACAGGACACCTAGCTCGTGTCCACTGGAAAACTGATTACTCCATGTATAGGAAAAAACCCCAAACATCTGGTGTCAGAAATGTTGTGTTGACTGTGTGAGAATAGGAAAAACACTGGTTTTTCCTATTATAAAAGGTAATCACAAAGGTGAAGCTACACAACTTTAGGAAAAAATGACATGGAGAAAAAGGCTAACTTTCCAGGCCTTCACAGATCATCATCTTTTTGGACACGACATCCAGTAATCAAATATAATTTCAAAATCACTCAAAATTCTAGATGATCTGCACCACAACTGGCCAATCTTGAATTGCTAACATTTCAATATTAATGTTTATGGAAGAGGAAGTAAGTTGAATTCTGTTTTAGAAGGACTGAGCCAGGAATGGTGGCTCATGCTTGTAATCCCAGTGCTTTGGGAGGCTGAGGCAGGAGAATAGATTAAGCCTAGGGGTTCGAGGCTACAGTTAGCTATGATCGTGCCACTGCACTCCACCCTGAACCATAGACGAAGACCCCATGTTTAAAAAAAAAAAGAATTGAAACAAAATTCAAAATTACAAGCATGTTTGTAATTTACAAATTACTACCAAATTAATAAACTAAAGGCGGCCTCCTACTTTGGAATAGAGTATTGTAAGGCTGGCACTAATTCTACAGTCTAGAAACTTCTAGAATGTTCTTTAAAAAACAATTGTTCACCTGTTGGTAATAATTGCACCCAAGAACACCAGTGCACATCATAAAACGTCACTGCATGATATTATAGGCAGTTTCCATTACAGAAAAATCTATACTTGAATAGCCAAGGCGCTGAAGGCTACCACTAATTCACTAAATTAAAAAGATTTTTCTTAACTTGAATCAAATGTGTCATATAATGCCACTACCAACAACTTAATATGACAAATCTCTGCTTTAAAAATGCTGATGATCCTGATTATCAGATGTGCTTGAATGTGACTGCAAAACCCGAAACTACAGCTCAATAAAATCTCCACACCAGGAAACCAAAACTGACCTTTGATTCAAAGTTGTAGGCACAATTTTCAGAACTATGCAATAGCTACAACTGTCTTGTACAGCAGCAACAACTAACACCACTCCTTGCTACCAAAGCCAGTGACATTTTCTGTTAGTCCCAATCATAAGGCAAACACCTGGTATGTGACAGAGACCTTTTGGTTTAAAGAAACATTCAGTTAGGGGGTAAAAAAAGGATAGTACATTAGGAGTTATCAAGCTGTTTTAGAAATCTTTAAAATGTATATTTTAAAAGAAAAGAAGGTACGTTATACTTAGAGACAAAGTTCTATGACATCAAAATAACCACATGGGGAAGATACACATACAAACACATTACCTATTTAAGACCTGATTTTCTGTTTCCAATTCTTCTTTCTTTGCCTCCAAGACTTCTACTTTCTCTTGTAGTCTTTTCAATTTGTTTTCATGAAGAGATTTTCTCTAAAAAGAGAAATATGAACAAGTATGTTAATACATAATCTCTTATTTGAACAAAACTATATAGAAAATATTTTACTCACCAAAAACTGTGTTTAGATATGAATGTTTTCAGTGAATACTAGAAACAAAGGTTAGTAGACATGGCTCTTACTGAAAATTGCAAAGATAATAAACCACAAATCTATCTAATATTCTCAATGTGACAATTAATTATGAATGCCAAACAAAAAAACTGTTATCAATAATTGCTGCAAAAAAAAAATCTACAAAGGGAAGGAGTCAAATTTTACTACTGAGTCTGCCTGTACATCTGGTAAGAAATAATGAGCTCTCCATTGTTCCAGAAGATAGCATGTGTTTAAGAGAACTGAGCCAGGTACAGTGGCTCATGCCTGTAATCCCAGTGCTTTGGGAGGCTGAGGCAGGAGGATGGATTAAGCCTAGGAGTTCAAGGCTACAGTTAGCTATGACTGTGCCACTCCACCCTGGACAACAGATCAAGAACCCATTAAAAAAAAAAAAAAAAAAAAAGGGTGGGGAGCCAGGCACAGTGGCTCACGCCTATAATCCCAGCACTTTGGGAGGCCGAGGCGGACAGATCACAAGGTCAAGAGATTGAGACCATCCTGACCAACATGGTAAAACCCCATCTCTACTAAAAATATAAAAATTAGCTGGGCGTGGTGGCGGGTGCCTGTAGTTCCAGCTACTCAGGAGGCTGAGGCAGGAGAATCACTTGAACCTGGGAGGCGGAGGTTGCAGTGAGCCGAGATTGCACCACTGCACTCCAGCCTGGCAAAAAAGCAAGACTCTGTCTCAAAAAAGGAAAAGAAAAGAACTGAAGTAAAATTCAAAATTACAAGCACGTTTGTAAGTTATAAAGTACTACCAAATTAATAAAACTGAAGGATCAGAAAGCTAAGATAAATATGGATGCATCTGTTTAAAAGTTGCCTTTCTAAATCTTAAAAGGAAAAAATTTAAACTTTACAATATACAAAGGGAGAAATTCCTAAGTAAATCTTGTATGGTTTCATTAAACAATACGGAAAAGTCCAGGTAAAATGCAAAAGGAGTGTATGGAAAAAAGTAGTATTTTTTTTCAGTTTTTATACACAGGCCTTTTGTTTTTTAATAGAAAAACACCTAAAATGTTAAAACTCATTTAGTCGCTACAAACCTTTTAGGTATTTTCTAACTCTTTTTTAACTGAAGTATAATCTTACAGCAAAATGCATAGAATAGAAACGTAAAGCTCAAAGAAAAACCACAAAACAAATGCTGGCATGATTTCCTTGTAGGTCAAGAGCACTGCCATGCCAGAAGGGCCCCTACCTTTCCCCCTTCCAATCACTAGCCCTGTCATCCTCTGAAAGGGTAACCAACTAATTTACTTCCAAAACTATAGTTTACTTTTGCCTATTTTTGAACCTCATATACATACAATCATAGTATGTAGTCTTTTATTAATGACTTTATTTCACTCAACATTGTTAGTGAGATTTATGTTACTTACAGATATACTTCATTCATTCCCACATATTATATTCCACTTACGATTATTGCATAACCTAGTATATTCACTCAGTACACCGTTAAGGGTTATCTGCATTATTTCCAGTTGGGACTATTACAAATAACTCTGCTACGAGCATTCATTCTCATGCTTTGATTGTCCCACATCCTCCAACATCTCAGAAGGCTTCCTTATGCTCCTGTCTACCCTGGCAAAGGAACCACTCTTCTGGTTTTTATCACCATAAGTATTTATTTATGAATTTATAGGCAGTTAAGGAGTCCATCTGTCTATCCATCCACCCATTCATATGAAAGAAATCATAAATTTATGCTCTTTTGTATCTGGACTTTTTTCTCAACATTTTATCTATATGACTAAGCCATGGTTATGTATTGTCACAGTACTTCTTTTTCATTGCAATGTTGTCATTCATTGTACAAATATACCACATTTTATACATTTTCCTGTTAATGAAAATTTAAATTCTTTCCAGTCTGGGGATATCATAAATATTTTACGAACATTCCTAAACATGTTTTTCGCAGATTAAGTACCTCATTCTCTTCAGTATATACCTATGAATGGGTCATAGTGTATACATGTTTTAGCTTTAGTAGATACTGCCAGTTTTCTAAAGCAGTTTTACCAATTACATTTCCACCAGCAATATGTGAGAGTTCTAGCTGTTCTACATTTTTGCCAGTACTTGGTATGGTCGGTCTTTTAGCTTTTGCATCCTGTTTTGGTGAAATACAGTATCTCACTGTAGTTTTAATTTACATTTTCCTGATAGCTAAAGGTATTGAGCATCTTTTTTTATGCATGTTAGTCATCTGGATATCCCTTCTTTGTGACGTGTCCATCCTAGTCTTTTGTCCATTAAAACTTTTGAGTAACCTGATTCCTACTGATTTGTAGTTCTTTATATATTCAAGATATGAATCGTATGTCAGATATATATGTATTGCAGATTGACCTTCTCCAGCCTGTGGTGTCATTTTCTTTTGCTTAAGAGTATCCCTTAATAAAAAGATTTTAATTTAAATAAAATCAATTACATCAATCATGTATTTTATAGTAGGAACTTTTTGCATCCTGCTTATCTTTATTATCCCAAGATCCTAAAATTTTCTCCCAAGTTTTCATCTAGAAGCTTTATTTTTTTTTTTTACCTATCACACTTAGGTGTATGGTTCATTTTTATCTATGTTGTGAGGTTAGGCTGAGTTTAATCTATTGACTCACTACTATTTGAAGGAACATCCTTTATCGAAATGCAGTGGTACCTTTAGTGTAAACCTATTTCTGGACTCTATACTGTTCCATTTGCCTGTTTATCCTTATGCCAATACCACACTGAATTACTGTAGCTTATATTTAGTGTTGATACCTGGTAGTTTTAAGTCCTCTAGTTTTATTGTTCTTCAAGATTGCTTTGGGTATTCTAGTCCTTTGTACTTTCAGATGAATTTTAGAATCTACTTTCTAATTTCTACAAAGAAACCTGCTGAGATTTTGATTAGAACTGCATTCAACTTATGGATAAATTTGGGAAGAACTGACACCTTAATATTGAATCTTCCAAGTCATGAACATGGTACAGTTTTCCCTTTAGGCATTTTTCCATTTTTCTTAGCAGTATTTGTATTTCAGTGTAGAAGTCATAAACATCTTTCACTAGATTTGTTCCTAGGTATTTTAGGTATTTTTATGCTATTGTAAATGGCATTTAAATATTTTCTAATTGTGTGTGTAAAGAAAAATAACTAGTATTTGTTACTTGACTTCGTACTTAGAAATTTTAAAAATTCATATTAATTTTAATAGTTTGATAGGTTTGACTTTTATGCATGCACAGTGACATCTGTGAATAATTTTAAATTCCTGTCTACTCTTTATGTCCATTTCTTTATTCTTAAAACTTTTTTTAGGCTCAGAGGTACATGTGCAGGTTTGTTTTATAGGTAAATAGATTATTTCATCACCCAGGTACTAAGCCTAGTACCCAAGTTATTTTTTCTGATCCTCTCCTTCCTCCCATGCTCCAGTCTCAAGTAGGCCCCAGTATCTGTTGCTCCCCTTTGTGTCCATGTGTTCTCATCATTTAGCTCCCACTTATGACAATGAAAACATGCAGTATTCGGTTTTCCTTTTTTGTGTTAGTTTGCTAAGGATAATGGCCTCTTGCTCCATCCATGTACCTGGCAAAGGACATTATCTCATTCTTTTTTATGGCTATATAGTATTCCATGGTGTATATATACCGCATTTTCTTTATCCAATCTTCCATTGATGGGCATTTAGGTTGATTCCATGTCTTTGCTATTGTGAATAGTGTTGCAATGAACATATGCATGTGTCTTTATGGCAGAAAGATTTATATTCCTTTGAGTATATTTACCCAGTAATGGGATTGCTGGGTCCAATGGTAGTTGTTTCTAGCTCTTTGAGGAATTACCACACTGCTTTCCACAATGGTTGAACTAATTTACACTCCCACCAACAGTGTATCAAAGTATTCCCTTTTCTCCACAACCTCGCCAGAATCTGCTATTTTTTTATTTTTTAATAGCCATTCTGACTGGTGTAAGATGGTATCTCATTGTGGTTTTGATTTGCATTTCTCTAATGATCAGTGACATTGAGCTTTATTTCATATGCTTGTTGGTCACATGTATGTCTTTTGAAAATGATCTGTTCATTTCCTTTGCCCACTTTTGATGGGGTTGTTTTTATCCTGTAAATTTAAGTTCTTTATAGATGCTAGATAGACCTTTGTCAGATGCAGATGCATAGCTTCTAAATATCTTCTCCCATTCTGTAGGTTATCTGTCTACTCTGTTGACAGTTTCTTTTGCTGTGCAGAAGCTCTTAAGTTTAATTAGAACCCATTTATCAACTTTTGCTTTTGTCGTGATTGCTTTTGGCATCTTCATCATGAAATCTTTGCCAGTTCCTATGTCCTGAATGGTATTGCCTAGGTTGTCCTCCAGTGTTTTTATAGTTTTGGATTTTACATTTAAGTCTTTAATCCTTCTTGAGTTGACTTTTGCATATGGTGTAAGGAAGAGGTCTAGTTTCAATCTTCTGCATATGGCTAGCTGTTTATCCCAGCACCATTTAATGAATGGGGTGTCCTTTTTCCCATTGCTTGTTTTTGTCAGCTTTGTTGAAGATCAGATGATTGTAGCTGTGAGGCCTTAATTCTGGTTACTCTATTCTGTTCCATTGATTTATGTGTTTGTTTTTGTATCAATATCATGCTGTTTTGGTTATTGTTGCTCTATAGTATAGTTTTAAGTCAGGTAGCATGATGACTCCACGTTTTTTGTTGTTGTTGTTTGGCATAGGATTGCTGTGGCTATTTGGACTCTTTTTTGGTTCCACATGAATTTTAAAAGTTTTTTTCTAGTTCCATGAAGAATGCCATTGGTAGTGTGATAGAAATAGCACTGAATCAATAAATTGCTTTTGACAGTATGGCCATTTTAATGATATTGATTCTTCCTATCCATGAGCATGGAAAGTTTTGCCATTTATTTGTATCATCTCTGATTTGTCTAAGCAGTGTTTTATAATTATCATTGTAGAGATCATTCACCCACATTTAGCTGTATTCCTAGGTATTTTATTTTGTGCAATTGTGAATGGGATTGCATTCCTGATTTGGCTCTCAGCTTGGCTGTTGGTGTACAGGAATGCTAGTGATTTTTGTACATTGAGTTTGTATCTTGAAACTTTGCTAAAGTTATCAGCTGAAGGAGCTTTTTGGATTGAGACTATGGGGGTTTCCTAAACATAAAACCATGTCGACTGCAAACATGAATAGTTTCACTTCCTCTCCTCCTACTTGGATGCCCTTTATTTCTTTCTTTCTCTTGCCTAACTACTCTGGCCAGGACTTTTAATACTATGTTGAATGGGAGTGGTGAGAGAGGGTATAATTGTCTTGTGCTGGTTTTCAAAGAGAATGCTTCCATATTTTGCCCATTCAGTATGATGTTAGCTGTGGGTTTGTCACAGATGGCTCTCACATTTTGTAGTATGTTCCTTCAATACTTAGTTTATTGAGTTTTTAATAGAAAGGGATGGTGAATTTTATCAAAAGCCTTTTCTACATCTATTGAGATAACCATGTGGTTTTTGTCTTTAGTCCTGTTTATGTGATGAATCACATTTATTGATTTGCACATGTTGAATCAACCTTGCATCCCAAAGATAAAACCTACATAATCATGGTAGATTAGGTTTTTGATGTGCTACTGGATTCGGTTTGTAAGCATTTTGTTAAGGATTTCTGCATCAATATTCGTCAAAGATATTGGCCTAAAGTTTTCATTGTTGTGTCTCTGCCAGGTTTTGTTATCAGGACAATGCTGGCTTCACAGAATGATTTGGGAAGGATTTCCTGCTCCTCTATTTTTTGTTAACAGTTTCAGGAGAAGCAGTACCAGCTCTTCTTTGAACATTTGGTAGCATGTGGCTGTGAATCCATCTGGCCCTGGGCTTTTTTTGGTTGGCAGGTATTTACTACTGCCTCAATTTCAGAACTCATTATTGGTCTGTACAGGAAATCAACTTCTTCCTGGTTCTATCTTGGGAAGGTGTATGTGTCCAGAAATTTATCTGTCTCTTCTAGCTTTGTTAGTTTGTATGCAGAAAGGTGTTTATAGTTGTCTGTGACGGTTGTTTGTATTTCTGTGGGGTCAGTGGTAACATCCCCTCTGTCATTTCTAATTGTGTTTATTTGGATCTTCTCATTTTTCTTCATTAGGCTAACTAGTGGCCTAACAATTTTTTCAAAAACGCAACTCCCGTATTAGTTAATCTTTTGAATGGCTGTTCATGTTTTGATCTCCTTCTGTTCAGCTCTAATGCTAGCTTTGGGTTGGTTTTCTCTTGGTCCTCTCATTGTTTTAGTTGTGCTGCTAGGTTGCTGATATCTTTTTTAACTGTTTGATGTGGGCATTTGGTGCTATAAATTTCCCTCATAACATTGCCTTAGCTGTGTCCCAGAGATTCTGGTATGTTGTATCTTTTTTCTCTTAGTTTCAAATAACTTCTCGATTTCTGCCTTAATTTCATTCTTTACTCAAAAGTCATTCAGGAGCAGGTTAACTTCCATGTAAATGGTTTTGAGCAATTATATTTTTAGTCTTGATTTCAATTTTTATTGTGCTGTGTGTTTGGTATTTCAGTTCTTTTGCATTTGCTGAGGATTGTTTTATGTCTGATTGTGTGGTCAATTTCAGAGTATGTGCCATGCAGCAATGAGAAGAATGTATATTCCTGTTGTTTTTGGATGTAGAGTTCTGTAGAGGTCTATCAGATCTATCTGGTCCAATGTTAAGTTCACGTCCTGAATATCTTTGTTAACTTTCTTCCTCAAGGATTTAATACTGTCAGTGGAATGTGGAAGTCTCCCACTGTTATTGTGTGGGAGTATAAATCTCTTTGTAGGTCTCTAAGAACTTGCTTTATGAATCCGGGTGCTCCTATGTTGGGTGCATATATATTTAGGATAGTTACGTCTTCTTATTGAATTGAACCCTTTACCATTATGTAAACCCGTGTCTTTTTTGATTTTTGTTGGTTTAAAATGTTTTGTCTGAAACTAGGATTGCAACCCTGGCATTTTTCTGATTTCCATTTGCTTGGCAGATGTTCCTCCATCCATTTATTTTGAGCCTATGGGTGTCATTGCATATAAGATGGGTCTCTTGAAGACAGCATATCACTGGGTCTTGCTTTTTTATCCAGCTTGCCACTCTGTGCCTTTTAAATGGGGGCACTTAGCCCATTTATATTCAAGGTCAGTATTAATATGTGTGGATTTGATCCTGTCATTGTGTTGTTAGCTGGTTATTAGGCTGGCTTGTGTGGTTGCTTTATAGTGTGGCTCATCTGTGTACTTAAGTGTGTTTCTGTATTGGCTGGTAACCATCTTTTTTTTTTAATGCTCTCTCTCAGCAGAATCATGGTAACCATCTTTCTATATTTAGTGTTCCTGTCAAGATCTCTTGTGAGATGGGTCTCCATTTAACAAGCATTTGCTTATCTAAAACTCCCTCAGTATTTGCTTATCTAAAAAGGATCTTATTTCTCCTTTGTCGAGGAAGGTTAGTTTGGCTGGATATGAAATTCTTGGTTGAAGATTTTTTTAAGAATGTTGACTATAGGTCCCCAGTCTCTCCTGGCTTGAAGGGCTCCTGCTGAGAAGTCAGCTGTTATCCTGAGGGGGTTTCCTTTGTAGGTGACCTGCCCTTTTTCTCCAAGTGCCTTTAATATTCTTTCATTTTGACCTTGGAAAATCTGATGATTATGTGTCTTGGGGATTATCTTCCTGTGTAGAATTTTGTTCTCTATAGTTCCTGTTGGTCTCTCTAGTGAGGCTGAGGAAGTTTTCTTGGACAATATCCTGAAATATGTTTCCTAAGTTGTTTGCTTTCTCCCCAACCCTTTCAGGGATGCCAGTGATTTGTAGATTTGGTCTCTTTACATAATCTCATATTTCTTGGAGGTTTTGTTCATTCTTTTCTATTCTTCTTTTTTATTTTTGTCTGACTGTCTTACTCCAAAGAGCCAGTATTCAAGTTCTGAAATTATTCAGCTTGGTCTCTCTCTTCTGCTGTTAATACTTGTGATTGCATTGTGACATTCTTGTGTTTTTCAGCTCTATCAGATCAGTTAGGTTCTTTTTTATACTGGCTATTTCATCTGTCAGTGCCTGTATCGTTTTATTGTGATTCTTAGATTCCTTGGATTGGGTTTTGCCATTCTCCTGAATCTTGATTATCTTCATGCCTATTCATATTCTGAATTCTATTTGTGTCACTTCAGCCAACTCAGCCTGGTTAAGAACCCTTGTTGGAGAACTAGTGGCCATTTGACACTCCGACCATCTGTGTTGCTAGAGTTCTTCCGTTGATTCCTTCTGTCTGATGGTTCCATCTCTGCGTGGGGGTGTTCCTTTAACTGCTGGGCTGCCTCTGATTGAAGTGGTCAGGCAAGCTCAGGGTAGTTGTGCTACAGTTCCAGGTTGGGTGACCCTGCCCAGGGAGGAGAAGTGAGGACTGGGACTTGCATAGAGAACAGTCTGGCCACTTTTCTGAGGTAGGTGCTTTGTGTTGGGCATCCGTACCAGCCCCTGGTCCCCACAGACTCTCCAGAACCTGGAGACAGTAAGAGTGAGGGCTACAAGACAGCAAAGATGGCAACCCATCCCTCCCACTAGGAGCTCTGTCCCAGACAGTAACAGAGCTGCTACTGGCTGGATGGCCCTGGTGGGGATGGCTGGAGATTCAGGTTGGGAGGACGTGCTCAGTGAGGAGATATAGAATCAAGGACCCAAATAACAGTCTGGCCACTTTTCCATAGGGCTGCTACAGTATGCTGGGGGTCCGCTCCAATCCCTTTTCATCTTAAATTTTCCAGTACCTGAAGATATCAACAAGGAAGTCTGTGAAACAGCAAAGATGGAGGACTGCCTTCTCTCTGGGAACTCTGTCCCAGGGAGGCACGGACCTGTTGCTGGCAGAACACACTAACAGGAGGTGGCTAGAGACCTCGGTTGGGAGATCCTACCTAGTGAGGAGTAACAGGATCAGGGACCCACATACAAAAGCCGTCTAGCTTTTTCCATAGGGTAGCCATGCTTTGCTAGGGGTCCACTCCAGCCGCTAATCACCTCAGACTCTCTAAAGCCTGAAGACAACAGCTAAGGCTGCTAAACAGCAGAAGTGGTGGTCCACCCCTCTCTTTGGGAGCTCTGTTCCAGGGAGGTTTGAAACTGTTGCTAGCCAAAAAACACTGGTGCAGGTGGCTGGAAACCCTGGTCAAAAGGTCCTGTCCACTGAGGAGGAATGGGATTAGGGATTCAAGTAAAAAAGCAGTCTGGCCACTTTTTCATAGAGCAGTTGTGCTGTGAGGGGGTACCTCGAGAACAGTTGCTTCAGACTCTCCAAATCCCAAAGGCAAAGAGATAAGGCTGCAAAACAGCAAAGCTGGCACCCTGCCCCTCTCTCTGGGAGAGCCATTCCAGGGAGGTTTGAAACTGCTGCTGGCCAGAAAACACTGGTTGGGGTATGGTTGTAGACCTCAGTCGGGAGATCCCACCCAGTGAGGAGAAATGAGATCCAGGAGCCACATGAGGAAGCAGCCTGACCACTTCTCCTTAGAGCTGCTGCTCTGTACCAGGGGATCACTCCAGTCCCTAACCAACTCAGACTCCCTAGAGCCCAAAGGCAACAATGGCTAAGAATGTGAAACATCAAAGATGACAGCCCCATCCCTCCCCCTGGGAACTCTGTCCCAGGGTGGCTTGGAACCACTGCCAGCTGGAAAACACCAACAAGGGTGACTAGTGACCCTGGTCGGGAGGTCCCCCACCCATTGAAAAGCAGGGTCTGGGACCTGCATAAAAAAGCAGTCTGGATGCTTTTCCATAGGGTGGCTGCAATGAAGGCAATAGCTAAGGCTACAAAACAGCAAAGATGGCAGCCCACCCCTCCCTCTGGGAGCTCCATCTCAGAGAGGTGTAACACTGCTACCAGTGGCTGGCTAGAGTTCCAAGCCAGTGGGTCTTATCCTGCAAGGTGCCATGGTAGTGGGGCCTGCAGACTGTCACTGCTCTATCCCCTGTATACAGCCTCTTTCCTAGGGGTATGTACAGGGGTCTAACGTCCTGCTTGGCTGGAGTTGCAGTTGCTTTTGATGGGAAACCTGGGTATCTAAAGCTCCCAGGGCTCTACGTGTATCTGAGCGGCTGCATTGCTGAGACTCCACATAATTCTGTGTAACAGGCTGCAGACCCTGGTGGAGTGGGCTCACAAGGGGATCTCCTGACCTGTGGGTTGCAAAGATCCAAGGGAGAAGCGTGGGTCGCTGGGGTCACTCACTCACTCACCACTTCCCTGGGAAGAGGAGGCTCCTCTGGCTCTGTGTCACTCCCAAGTGGATGACTGTCCTGATTGCTCTTCTCCATTCTTTCTGGGTCAAGTTGTTTTCTTGATGAATCCCAATGCGTGTACCTGGATGCTTCAGTTGAAGGTGCTGTATTTACTTACTCCTTCTATTTCTCTCCATGAAAGTGGCACACACCAGCTGCTTCTAGTTGGCCATCTTGACCAGCCTCCCCCTCCATTTCTTTTTCTTGCCTTATTACACTAACTAGAACCTCCGATAAAATATTAAACAAAATGGTGATAGTAGACATCTGTTCCTGACCTTGGGTAAGTAAGGGGAAGCAGTCAATATTTTTAATCAGTAAGTATGATGTTAGCTGCAGAATTTTTATAGATACCATTTATAAGATTGAAAATTCCCTTCTGTTCCCAGTTTGGCAAAAGTTTTTATCATGAATGGGTACTGAATGTTGTCAAATTATGTTTCACACTAGAGATCACAATAGTTTTCCTTCTTTGTTCTGTTAGGGTGTTGAATTACACTGAACAATTTTGCATGTTAAGCCACCTATATTCCCAGAATAAAACCTAAATGCTCATGCTATATTATCATTTTTCTATATCACTAAATTCAGTTTGCTAATATTTAAGATTTTTACATGTTTATAATGCAATTTTTCTTATATTGATTCTATCAGGTTCTAATCTCATAAGTGGAGATGTGTTTCCTCCTTTTCTATCATCTGGAAGAGTTTGCGTTAAGATTAGTATTAATTCTTCCTTAAGTATTTGGAATAATTTACCAGTGAAGCCAAATGAGGCATTTCTTTGTGGAAGGTTTTTAACTAAAGATTTCATTTCATTAATAGATACAGGACTATCCAAATGACCTAATTCTTCTTGTATTAGGTTTAAGATGTTCTTAAAGAAATGTATTCATTTATTCTAAATTGCATGATTAATTAGCATAATAGTTTTTATACTATTCCTTTTGTTTTAATATCTATATGCAGATAGTTAATATCTATAGATAGATATCCCTTTTTTCATTCACTACATTGTTCATTTGTGGCTCTAATCTCATCTCATCTACTTTGTGGGGAGTCTGAGGACAATCAGTCTTGCCAAGGCTTTATCAATTTCGTAATCTTTTTAAAACCAACTCTTGGCATTTCTATTTTCCTCACTGTACATCTTCTGTCTCTGTCACTGATTTGTGCTCATCTCTTGATGATGGTGATGTTGTTTGCTATTAAATCTATCCATTGAGTTAATTATTGTTATTGTATTTTTTTAGTTCTAAACTCATCTTTTTTAGTGCTGATCTGTAACCTGGACAACTAAAACATGGTTTCCCTGACTCCTATTCTGCCCCTCTACACAACAGCCAGAGATTCTTCAAAAATGTAATTCAGATATCACTTCTCAATTCAAAAACCTCCAGTGTGTTCCTACCTTAACTGAGAATAAAAGCTGAAGTCATGGCATAAATTTGGCCTCCTACTATACCTCTTTCTATTCTAGCTCCCTGGGCCTCCTGTGTTCCCTCAACATACCAAGCAGATTCCTGCCTCTCTTGTACTTGCTATTCCCTCTGGAACACCCTTACCTTACATATAACAACATGGCATCCTCCCTCCTTTCCTTCAGTCTCTGCTCAAATGTTACCTTACCAGAGAAGCCTTGCCTGACCACCTACATAAAACAGCACCCCCTACTCCTGTCAATTTTCTCTCCCTTTTTTTTTTTTGAGATGGAGTCTTGCTGTGCTGCCCAGGCTGGAATGTGCTGCCACCATCTCCGCTCACTGCAACCTCTGCCTCCAGGGTTCAAGCAATTCTCCCTGCCTTAGCCCCCTGACTAGCTGGGATTACAGGCACCCGCCACCATGCCCGGCTAATTTTTGTAGTTTTAGTAGAGATGGGGTTTCCCCATGTTGGCCAGGCTGGTCTCAAACTCCTGACCTCAGGTGATCTGTCCGCCTTGGCCTCCCAAAGTGCTGGGATTACAGGCGTGAGTCACCGCACCCAGCCTACTCCTGTCAATTTTCCTCTTAGTACTCACCTCCACCTGATAGTATTTCTTTCTTTATTCTATGTCTCCTAACAAACTACAATGTAAACTCCATGGTGCAGGGTCTTTGTTTACTTCTGTATTCCAGTGAATGAGTAAGTACCTGATACATAATAGATGCTTAACAGATATGTTGAGTAAATTGGATAAATGAATACAGATAAACCTCGTAGGGAAGACAGTCTGACCAAGGATGTTAGTAATAGGAATGAAAAGAAATATGGGGTGGGGGAAAATTTGAGAGGCATCATAAAGGAAGAATTCATAGGCTTTATGAGTTCTTATTTTAGGTTGAATAATGTCTCCCAAAAATTCATGGGCACCCAGAATGTGACTGTGGTATAAGAAGAAATATATTTGGTCTTTGTACCCAGATCCTGGTACAAAGCTGCTAAGACCTATGGAATTGTATAAGTGATAGGAGTGGTTTTTGTATAATTCTTAGCAAGTCCCCTTCAATCATACCTGAGTTGATGTTAATGAGGTAACTTAGAGTTGAGGTCCCTAGATAGCCTAAGGATGGGGGCTGGTCACCAGAAAGACCAAGTGATTAGATGGTGAATGCTTTCAGGTTCACTCCCCTGACCCGTAAGAAGGGGAGGGGGCTGGAAACTCTTCAACAATGAGATTTTGAGAGCTTCCGGGCTGGTGACCACATTGACTTGCTGGGAGGGTGGCTCACACAGAGAGGGCATGGAGGCTCTGCACCACAATCCCCGACCCCCAACACCTTGCCCAATGCATTTCTCCCATTTGGCTATTCCTGACTTTTATCCTTTACAATAAACTGGTAAATATAGTGTTTTCCTGAATTTTGTGAGCCATTCTAGCAAATTATCAAACTGGAGGAGGGGGTCATGGGAACCCCTAAGTTAGTCAGTCAGAATATAGGTGACTCAGACTTGCAACTGGTGTCTGCAGTTGGGGCAGTCTTGTGGGACTGAGCCGTTTAACTTGTGGGATCTGACTCTAACTCCAGGTAGATAGTTTCAGAATTGAATTTTTGGACACCTGGTTGGTATCCAGAGAACAAAGAAATGATTGCTGGTATTGGAAAACACCCTAGAGTAACCTTATTTGGAAATAGGGTCTACAAATGTAATCAAGTTAAGATGAAGTTAGATTGGATTCGAGTGGGCCCTAAATCCACTATGACTGGTGTCCTTACATAACAGGAGTGAAATCTGGACACAGAGCTACAGATACACAGGGAGACCATCATGTAAAGACAAGGCAGAGACCAGAGTGATGTGCCTGTCTAAAACCCAAGAACTCCAAGGATTACCAGCAACTACCAGAAGCTACACAAGGGGCATGAAAAAAGATCCTCCTCCAGAGCCTTTTGAAGAAGGATGCTCCTGCTGGCACTCTGACTGTAGATTTCTAGGCTCCAGAACTGTGAGAGAATAAGCTTTTGTTGTTTTAAGCCACAAGGTTTGTGGTAATTTGTCATAGCAGCCCTAGGAAACTAATATAGTGCCTGACTAAATTTGGAGATAAGGCAGACCTCAGGATGAATCACAGGTTTGAAGCCTAAGTGACTGGAAGAATAACTTCTACTGAAAGAAATGCAAAGTCCAGAGGTAAAATTAGTGGAAAGGAATGATTCTAATTTTTACTTGAGTGGTCCAACACAATCACAGGATAGTCAAATCGATGCCTTAGTGTTATAAACAATATGACACAAAGGACTAATAGAACAATTAAAACAATATAGATATAAGAATTAAGGCTGGGATTCCCCTTTTACCACCCTCTAGTCAAATCCAATTAACTTTTTTTCAATGATCATGTTAATGACCATTTATCTTTGATAACTTTCTTTACCTTTGGTTCCCATAACATCACAATATAGCTTCTACCTCTGTTCACCACCACACCTAGCTCCTCGTTCTAAGTAAACTTAGTATTCTTCAGTGATCTGCAAAATCCTGAGTTTCTAATTATATTTCTCTAATTTGAATTATTCATCTCTGTACTTCACATTCTATTATTTCTAGTTACCTATATAATATCTTTACTTAAGAGTCTACGTCATGTCTACATGGATGCACTGCCATCATTTCCTATCTGACATGTGTTTTTTATCTTTCTACTCAACTGACATTCTTCAATCCATTATCATAACTCCACTTACATCTTCTCACAGCTAAAATACTTCATAGTTTTCTTTCTTATTTACCAATATATTCTGCAATTATTTTTTCCTTTGGAATACCTCTGGCAGTCACGCTTTACCTTCATTCCTATATTCCAAGCCCCAATTCTAGACTTCTTACCTCACTTTAAGTTTACTATAACAGCTTCCTAACTGGTCTCCTTGTCTTCAGACTTTTGTCTGTCTAGCACAGTGGTTCTCAAACTTTAGAGTCCACATAAATCACCCAGGAGTGACTAGTGGGATTATTTAGGTGTTTCTTGCATGTTATCTTATTTCTCCAGCAAGATTATATAGTTATCAAAGCCAAGGAGTAATCATGGCTTCTATTTCTCCCCAGTGTATAGTGTAATCTAGGCCACACAACATATTCAATCAGATATTTTGCAACTTCAAGACTATGATTCATCTCTTTTTTGAAAACATTCATAATAGTATCTGACCAAGAATTATTTCAGAGACGTATACCTTAGAATAAAATTAACAAGTTGTCATTTCAGGTTCCTCAAGAAAAAAGAAAAAAACCCAACTCACTGTGTTCACTTCAAGAGATCTCTCTTCAATGGGGGTGGGGGGAATACACTCTCTCTGTATGTATCAGTCACAGAAGGGCATCCCAACTCAAGATCCTGTTCAAGCTTTTCCAAACAAATCAACACAACAAAACATCATTTACACCAAAGACTACTTAAAAACAGCAGAAATGACAATCTCTGTGCTCAGGAGCTTGGAGCTCTGAGTAAACACAGACGGCAGCGAGCCATCTTACCCAGCCTCAGGGAAAAAAGAACTTTTCACAGGAAAGCAACTCCAAAGGATTATTTCTGCACTGGGTTCATAATTTGTGACTTTTGTTACATCTTACGGCAAAAAATGCTATGACTTTTGGCATTAAAGAATCTAAGAAGTCTGTTGCACTCTTATGAATTATATTTATGTAATCTGATAGCCAAAATGGTCAAATAGAAGCATTATCTTTAACTTGAATGGGAAAAGGGTATGAGTTAAATTAATTTACAGTGATTATTCTGACATAAGAAACGACTCATATGGACCATAGCTATATTAAGCGAAAAGTTGTAAAGTATTTGGAATCAAGGAAAGTAGGAAATTAAAGCCTAACAGCGCAGTGGAAAGAGCACCAGACTGAGAACAGAAACATGTAGATTTTAGTCAACTTTTGATTCTTACTAGTTAAGTAATCTTGGGTACCTCCTACTTTAGGTTGCTAACTTGTAAAAGCTATTTGAATGCTAAGATCCCTTCCAGTCCTAAAATTATACATACTTATATACTTTTTAATTGTATTTCTAAGTTACACATGATGTTTTTCTATTTTAATTGATGTAAACTTGTAAGCTCCTAGGGCAGTGTCCCACATAGTAGGACAATTCTAGGTCATAATCATTCACTGAATTGACCTTAACAATTTCACTATGACTTAAATCACAATCCATAGATCACATTTTAAAAAGTAAAATGACTATCTACTATCTTCACACTCATCATCTGGTAGACATTTCAGTAGAAAAAAAAATTCATCCTGTCACAATACTAATGAAATGTTACTTTGTAGTGTTTTGGGGTTTTTTTGTTTAATTATTATTTTTTTTTGAGATAGGGTCTTGCTGTGTCATCCAGGCTGGAGGGCAGTGGTGCCATCACAGCTCTTTGCAATCTTGAACTCCTGGGCTCAAGCAATCCTCCCACCTCAGCCTTCCAAGTAGCTGGGACTACAAGCATGTGCCACCATGCACAGTTTTTTCATGTTTTATAGAGATGGGGTCTGGCTATATTTTGTAGATTTTTAAAAATATAACCTCCTCCACTCCTTCTGGTATACTTATGATTAGCTGATAATCTCACCACTGGGTGTCACTTTTGCTTCAAAAGAATTCAACCCAAACTAACCTTAATAATTAGAATTTGATCTGTAAGATACTTATTCCTAAAGCCTCAAAATTTAGCTCTTAAAATTTCTTGCTGTAACACGGCTTCAGATGTTTCTAGGCTTCAAACACAGTGCAAACAAAAATCAGTAGGATTTCTGAGTTCATAGGTCATAAAACAATCCTCTGAAATCCCATTAATATTCATACACTTTTCAGTACCTACATCGACAGAAAGGAAGAAAAGTGACATATACAGAAAAACAAACAAGTGTGCATATTTGGGTATAAAACACTGGGATCCCTATATAATAAATGCTGTTTTTCCAATAATACTACTTCTAGCATTATGAGAAGATAAAAGTAATATTCAGAGACCAAGAAAGTAGAGAAGGAATGACTTTTAGACTACTCATGTTGTCACTCCAACCATCAGCAACATTTGGCAGTGATATCCAATTACATAAAAAGGGGTCTAGGAACTGCTGTGTGGTTTTCAAATTCAGAATAACTGAACGATCTACAGTTATTTTCTCTTATCCAAATATAAACAGTTAACCTTTCCAATAAACAGATATTAAGATAATGGTTCCTGCACCTAGAAGCATTTTCCTCTCACCTCAGATCTTCTCTCCTCTCCACAACAAATGCTACTATTAGGGGAATTTATCAAATGAAGACAACTCAAATCATTTGTGGGACTTTACATATAACACGCACACACACACACACACACTTTATCATGTCCCTCCTCTTCCTCTAATCCTGTTGAAAAGATTACCATGTCCTTCCCCTCCCTTAATCACCACCATAAGTCATGGTTACTAATGGGACCTGTTATATTATTCTTGGGTTTGCTGAAATAGAAAAAAGTTGTAAGTCACTGATTTAGAAGATCCATCTAGATACATTATTTCCATGATGCCCTGGATTGTTTCCAAGAAAACAAAGTTAGGTTCTGGAGAAAAGTATGCCTGCAAAGGTAAAACTTAAAAAGGATCACAATGCTGTGGGAACTCCTGTGGCAGTTTCAGAAACCAAGGGAGTCCCATTTCCTCCTGCTGGAGCAAAGAAATACTTGCTCTTGTATTTCTGAATTGGAAACAAAAAAGCCTTTTAACCACAAAAGCAATAAAACAGATATTAGGTATAAATGAAACAAGCTTAATCACACTATAATTTAACTGGAGAATGTGTTAAATATGACTTCCATGGGATGGCCTGGAAACTATCACTCTGAAAAACACCTTCTGTATGGAAAAATGCATGTCAGCTCAAAACAACTGACTTACATACAAAATTTAGAAACAAACCTGCTGGACAGTTTGGATTTTCCCAATTTATTTCTGCAAGGTTGACAGCAAAATGTCATGCTTATATATCAAATTAAACATATCACTAAAATCTCAGATTCAACTATATACTTTATTCTCCTATAAGAGTTTATTAGGATGGACGCGGTAGCTCACACCTCTTAATCCCAGCACTTTGGGAGGCTGAGGTGGGAGGATCACTTGAGGTCAGGAGTTTGAGACCAGTCTGGCAAACATGGGAAACCCTGTCTCTACTAAAAATACAAAAATTAGTCGGGTGTGGTGGCATGTGCCTATAATTCCAGCTACTCGAAAGGCTGAGGTATGAGAATCGCTTGAACCCAGGGGATGGAGGTTGCAGTGAGCCAAGATTGCACCACTGCAATCCAACCTGGGTGATGGGAGTCAGACTCTCAGAAAAAAAAAAAAAAAAAAAAAAAAAAAGATTTAATTATATTTTACTCCATAGAAATCACCTTTTTTCCTTTTTTTTTTTTTTTTTTTTTTTTTTTGCGACAGAGTCTTGCTCTGTCACCCAGGCTGGAGTGCAGTGGCACGATCTCGGCTCACTATAAGCTCTGCCTCCCGGGTTCATGCCATTCTCCTGTCTCAGCCTCCCGAGTAGCTGGGGCTACAGGCGCCCGCCACTATGCCTGGCTAATTTTTTTGTATTTTTTCAGTAGAGATGGGGTTTCACTGTGTTAGCCAGGATGGTCTCAATGATCTCCTGACCTCGTGATCCACCTGCCTCCGCCTCCCAAAGTGCTGGGATTACAGGTGTGAGCCACCATGCCTGGCCAGAGATCACTTTAATAAGAACCACTTGCCTTTTTCTGGGCAATTGCAGCTCGCTGCAGTTTCTCCTTAGCTTGATTGTACTTTTCTTCTCTGTCTGTGATACGCTCATGAAGCTTATGCTTTTCTTCCAACCACTGTATCTGTTTCTCTTCCAATGTCCTGTCAGAAGAATGTATGTAAAACATGGAAGTTAAATAAGTTCTTAGGATTAAATAGATATTATCACAAGTATAAGCAAACTCACTACCTGTCTGACCACATTCTTAATTATCCAACTGCAGGCCCTCCTGTATGGCCACTTGTTTGGAAATCCCACCATTACTGAGCACTTCCTATGAATAAGGCACTGGACTTAGAAAACTATGTGTTCTTTACAAAAATCCTGAGTTAGGTATTTCTGTCACCTTTATACTTCTGTCCATTTTATAAATGAGGAAACTGAGGATTAGAGCAGTTAACGAACTTAAGGGCTCACATCTAGTTAATGGCAAGACAAACACTTGATAACCAGATGTGAAGTATAATAACCATCAAACTACAAATATCTGTCCTCATAAATTTGGTTTAAGAAAATCAAGCCTGGTATCAAATCTTAATGCAGTATGTCTTCTGACTAGAGTAAAATGCATATAAATGATATCTTAAAATAACATCATAACAACTTATATTTTTAAAGCTATTCTGCATACTTTATATGATTTTTTTAGTATTCTTACTATAGGCAGTACTAATGAAAATAACAAACCCTGAGAAGTTAGATTACTTGCCTAAGGTCATACAAGATTTTAAGTATCTTAGCTGGAACTAAAATCACATTCCATTGACCCTTAGTTCAGCTATTTTCTTCTATGAAATTCTATGAATATTATTTAGAAACCAATGATTAATTACTTAAATTTGCTAGCTATACTGTCATTAGAATTATTAAGCTCATTTCAATCAAACACTTGAGAAATCCAAGCACATGTTTCTGTTTTTTACAAAATAAAAGAAAAATAAGTTGGATCAACTGAAATGTCACATGCTATGGACATTTATCTTGCTTACTTCCTTTTCTTGAAATTCAACCCCATATAAAAAAGCATGGACAAACCTTTGAATATGTAATAATAGAAAAACTGAAGAAATACAGTTTTATGTGGCATGGTGGCCTTCAGAAGAAGAAATTTGAAAAGAATAATGTTTTGTAGATTAAAATAAAAACTTACTTACAAGGCCAACATGTTATAAAGACAAAGCAAATACAAAATAGTACAGTGTTCTACCACATCTAAACAAATTTTTCCAGAGGATATAAGATCTTGAACATCACCACAATCATTTTATCCCTACCAGTTTTACTCCATACTGTCTACTAGTAACAAATTTTAAGACCAAAAAAAAAAAAAAAAAAAACAAATAAATTAGCTTTTCAAAGAAAATCCAAGATAGTTCTAATTCAAGGAATTAAGTTTTGCACATCAAAAACAAAACAAAAAACCCATTCTGTTCTCTGGCATTCAGAAGAATAGATTTTTGAAGAAATGTTTTGGTTTAATCAATGAATAAAAAAAGTTTTCTTTGAGGTTTTTCAGAATACTATACTGTCAGAATTTTAATGTCTTAATTTTTTTAAAAACAATTCAAGAGTCAGTATAGTTCATTCTATAAAAACATAAAGTACATTATTACCTCAGTAGACCATTGTACACTATTAAAGTGTATTTGTAACTAGTTTCTAAAATATAATCAACATTGGAATCATTACTAAAATAAGTACATGTTATATAGAAAAAAGAAAAAATAGTTTGTACATAAAGAGCAAACTCTACTTTTCAGCTTCTAGTTGCGCTTTTTCAGCTTGGCTTCTAAAATTTCGGCATTCTTGTTTTAATCTCTCCACCATTTCCTTCAGCATTTGGTTTGAATTCAGCAAGTCATTCTCTGACTGTGCAAGTGAAGTCACTTGGATCTGCAAACTACTGATTTGCTTAAAAGAGAAGAAAGAAGATAAATTAAAGCCCACTAAATAAATGCGGTAAGGTATGAGAGAAGCAGAAGATACTAAGCATCTCCCTTTGCAAATGCTCCCTCAAGCTGGTGTGTCCTTGGAGATGACCCCTAAAGGAAATAACAAATAGCAGCACCCAGGAGCATTTCTTATTATAATCAGAGACTATCAAGAACTATATTCCTCAGTCACTGAGTCCCCTCCCTCTTCTTTCCAAAATATGCAGGCCAGGAGAGGTATTGGGAATGGAGAGAAGGGTTATCAGGGGGATTAGCAGTGAGATGAGAAAAGGGAATCCAGTGATTAGAGTGAGTCTCCTACCACTCTAGCCTTCTCCTCACCTCCTAGGAAAAAAAACTGATTTTAAAAGCAAGTCAGCTGGGAAAGCAGCTAAAAAAAAAAATCCATCCTCCTCTTCCCACATACCCTGAGATCAGCAACCTTCCAGAAGTTCTACTCTCCGAGCAATCAAAATTGTTCAGTGTAAATGTGGGAAGGATCACTCCTCACATTGTTTTTAAAAGGTTTCCAAACCTTCTGTATGTCCAGTGCTGGGCAGAAGAAAGATGCTCTGGGAAATCTAATAAATGCTATAGATTCCTTGGCCTCTACAGCCATTTACCAAACTACATAATGTCACTCACAGCTTTTTTTTCCATCCCAATTTACCTTTATCTGGGAGTACTTTTTCTCATAAGAAGTCTAGTTACAGATTAACAGGCTAGAAAGATTCACACTCTTCTAAATTATATCCAAATCTCTTTATTTGGGACAGTTACACATACCTCCCCCACAAGCTATTTTACCAATTAGTAAACAATAAAAGTCCTTATTTTCCTTTCACTTCCTTTTATCTCTCTTAGCCATTTTCTGAAGACATTTCAAAGCAAAGACAGTCAAGAGACAGGGATCAAAAGAACCTATTATGAGATTCAAGGGTAAAAAGAAACAAGATTCTTATATAATAAACAAAATAAATGGGTAATAATCTCATTACTTCCTAATGGTAACAAAACAATTCAGATAGGATTCTGAAGGTCCACAGAGCAATTTTTAGCAGAATAAAACTAAACGGTATGTCTCAGATTTCTATTTTAGAATAAATTTATCCATGTAGAACTATTCACTCTTTATTTTTAACTGGAGTGGCAAATATTAAATCTGTATTACAGCTGCTTGAATAAGCAACCTTCAAAGAGCTTAATACCTCTCCATATGCATAGCATGACAGAAAGCCCAAATGCCAATGATACTAAATAACTTCTGAGTATCAAACGTTATGTCCATCTAGTTAAGACTTAGAAACCATAACTGCACATGAAAAGCAGTACCAACTCGCATATGAGCATGAATTCTAAAAATGGAATCCTACTTCATAATTTATAGGGAAAAAAACAACAACAAAAAAGAAAATAGAATTCAGAAAAGATCACTCTTCCATGTTTTACCCAACTTTATACAAATCTTT